>NC_000003.12:78760000-80010000 GCF_000001405.40 Homo sapiens
GGGAGGAACCCAGTGGGAGATAATTGAATTATGGGAGTGGTTTCCCCCATGCTGTTCTCATGGTAGTGAAAGTCTCACGAGATCTGACGGTTTTATATGGGGAAACCTCTTGCGCTTGGCTCTCACTCCTCTTTTCCGCCGCTATGTGAGACGTGACTTTCACCTTCCGCCATGATTGTGAGGCCTCCCCAGCCATGTGGAACTGTGAGTCCATTAAACCTATTTATTTTGTAAATTACCCATTCTCAGCTATGTCTTTGTCAGCAGCATAAAACCAGACGAATACACATGCCTATATACCTCTAAAATCTAAAGGTACCCTGGTAAAAACACACTACACTGAAAATTTATGTATAATTTTAGGTAATTATAAAATTCATTCCTCACTGGGTGCAGTGGCTCATACCTGTAATCCCTGCATTTGGGAGGCCGAGGCAGGAGGACTGCCTGAGCCCAGTACTCTAACTAATTTAGTCATCAGCCTCCAAAAATTTGGCAGCTCAGCTCTATTATAATGGGAGCTACAACATACAGGCTCACAGCCTGTATAGAACCTCATCAATAAACATGAATTAACCTATTTGAACAGAATTTTGGGTACATTTCATAAATTTGAGGTGACATGTTTATGTGTTATATGCTTTTGTTGTTGCTGTTTTGAGTCAGGGTCTTGCTCTGTCACCCATGCTGTAGTGGAGTGGTGTTATCATGGCTCACGGCAACATCAAACTCCTGGGCTCAAGCCATCCTCCAACCTCAGCCTCCCAAGTAGCTGGGACTGGAGGTGTGTGCTACTGTGCCCAGCCAAATTTTTATTTTTTGTAGAGAGGGGGGTCTAACTTTGTTGCGTGGGTTAGTCTTGAACTCCTAGCCTCAAGCAATCCTCCTGCCTCAGCCTCCCATATGTGTTTTCTTTTTTTTTCTTCACCCAACATAGATCTTTGATATGTTCTTTTTTAAATTGTAACGTTTAAAGAAAAACAATCCAAATCAAATTTAATTATTATTGAGTTATTAAATTATCTAAGGCCCAGTAGATTAAAGTACAATCTTATATAATCAATAGTCTAACAGGAATCAAAAAGGCAGAAACTCAGTCTCCTAGGTGGAAGAGGGCCAAATGCTTTCTCTGGAGATGTTAAGACCTATGCTTATAATGAGGAATAAACGGTTCTTAGCACTAGGTTACCTGACCAGCTTTTGAAAATGCCCTGCAACTTGTTTAAAAAACTATAAAACCATTAGCAACTTCAAGAAACTTAAAAAAAAAAATACAAAGATGTTTCAGTTTCTCTGCAATGCTGGCAGGCTTTGGATTACTTTTCTCCTTTAACAGGCCCCACTTGGAACAGCAACGCTTTTTATAAACATTAAAAAAAATAAACTAATGTATAAGGTTTTACTTCTCCACAAAAAACAGTTGCAACTTCTGGCTTTTTGACTATTTTTAACAATCTTTTTATATTCTATGTTCTGAAAGTTGAACCAAGTACTTCTACTGAACTTAGTTATAAGTCATTAATATAATCTCTGATTATCATAAAACTTTTGTATATATTCAAATAGGTGATAAATTTGTTTTCTAAATAAACAGTTGCTAGCCTCTTTTGACTTACATGTACTACAAGTTTCCTCTTAACATCAGCATCTCTTTAAGCATTGCAATAAAAATTACATTTAAAAATGATCATTTTAGCTATCAATTTTAATCATGCATATTTTATCAACTATTAAAGAGAAATGCAAAATAACTGGTTATTGATAGTGCATAACCTTCTTTGCTGCAATTACCGATCATTCATTTTGGCAAAAGAAGTCACACACTCACATTATAATTTAAAATATTCATTAAGTTTTGACTTCTAAAATCAATGTTGTAACTAGCTTCCTATCAGCCAAATAATTCTTTCTCACATTGTAAATGTTAGGTTTGTAAAATTAAATATGATAGTAAGTTAATTAGGTGTTTTTAGCTTTAATAATGTGCATTTGATCTCAAAAAAGTCCAGTTTCATTAACAATCTATGCAAATGAAATTCACAGTTGTTTTTAAATGGGAATTTAACAATAATAATGCAAGATTACATTTTTCTGGAAAAAATGATAAAATGTTCTAGGTCTAAATAGGTATTCATGACTAAATTTACCTAAAGACAGATATCTTTAGGTAAGTAAATAAAAGGCACACTTTAAATGCATAAGTATTTTTAATTGACAATGACCTATGATTTAATAGAGATGAAGATCTGTGCTTACAGACATCATGGAGTAATCCCATGGTCTTAATGAGCAAAAAGTTGAGTCATAAAAAGGATTTTTTATTAGCTTTTAAAAATGACAAAACATAGATTTCCCCCTTGACCTAAATACTAAAAGTTAGGAAATAATAAAATTAAAAACACATTGTTGCTCCTAATTTCATTTATATTTCCAGTTGTTATTTTATCTGTTTTTTGTTTGTTTTACATTCAGTGTTACAAAAGGGAAATGTATGTGAACATATAATAACCGAGGATACATATAATTTAATATAATAATTTCACTAAACAGACGATGTAGAGGCACTTCTTAATCATGCATTTCTTAAGTTAGTTTTTTCTTTTGTTCTCCAGGTCAGAACTATAGAGAAACTTTACTTGATTCATGCATAGCAATTTCCTCTTTAACTTCCCCCAAAATAAAAGACGATGAGCAAGATATAAGGAAAAATCAGTTACATTTAATTTTTATAATTGAAATAACATATTAAGGATTACTTAATTTATTGTCTTTACTAATCAAACTATGCTGTTTAATCATTTCAATATTTAAAATGATATTATTTCTCTTTGCTTAGAAACAAAAGAAACAAAAAAAAGGCATTTCAAAACATCATGACCAGTGAACAAAAAACCACAACCACTAATTATAAAATGTTCCAGGATTGGAGGGGATCATAGACATGTTGAAAAAGGTAATTAAGTATGGAAGAAGAGGAAGATGAAATAAGCACCATACCACATGATGTGACACAAGAGACAAGCACTTATTTTATTCCTAAACTCTATAAATAATTGACAGCTCGTACAACCATAATTAATTGATCTAAGTAATGCTTGAAAGAAACACTACCACATATCTAACAGGGATAAGATACAGCTCGAAGTAAAGACCGGCAATTAAAATATCCAGCATTTTATGGTCACATAAATTAAGTGTTGGTATCAAAGCAACAATTAAGCAAAAGAGAAGACAAAAGAACAACTAAATTAATAATGCATTTCTAGTAGGTTTTTTTCTTTTTTGGTATCCTAATGGCTAGAAAATGAACTACTGAACACATTTATAGTAAGTACATATGGCCTCTGTAGTTGGAAGTTGTTTTTAATATTTTAATCCATGAATGCTGCCTCCAACTTGTTTAATGTATGTGGTACTTTATCATTTTTACCATTTAAAAATTCATACCTTAATCTTCCATATTATAATCAAATTTGAAATGTATTTTGAAGCAACTGTAACTTTTAGCTAACTACATTCACATGTGTTCATTATGAAGTTTGGTAATACATGCCTATAAGCAGACTTTACAAAAAGAAACACATGATTTTCTCTCCATTCCCAAACTCCACACCATTTAATCTCTTGCCTTTCATTTAATTTATAATTTAAGTCATTAAAAAAATTGAGTTCTTACTCTTATGTTAGTCTTTGAAAAACCAAGTGTCCATCTTTGGTTCTGCCAATCTTGAAACCACCTGTAAGCCTTTACTCCACAAGAACTCCTTGGCCAACCTTCCTCTACCCAATCCATTCCCGAGTTTTAACCGGCAAAGCGATTTGCCACCTCTTACCGTATACCTCAAAGACTGGCTGTCTGTACATACCGGAATTTAAAGCCTACATAGAAAGTGTGAACATTTTAATTGCTTAAGGTTAGTGTATGAAGTAAAAGTTTTATAGTGTGGAAGTGTAAGAGATGTGATTACGTGTCAAACGATTTTATTTTAGTTAGATGGAGGGCTGCAAATAGAAGCTGACGGGTTTGGATATGGATTTTCAGTAGATAACTCTGCTTTATCTTAAAAAGCAAACGAAAATTTTAATTAGACTTCCAGTTTCATTAAACAGAAAAAAATATTCATGTATTCTACTGTTTTGTACTGTGGAGACATGAGAGAGAGAAAAGATAAGCAACTTAGTCTATATTCTATCATCTTTTTGTTTATTATTTTGAATCATAGCATGTTTTAGTTAGAAGGAATTTAGAGATCTTTTTAGTCCAACTCTTCTTCATTGTACAGAGGGAAAAACTGAGTCCAGTTAGGTTAAATAATTGGTTTAATACTGTAATAACCCAAATAGCTTATGAAAGCCCATTTATTCCCAATTTCATGATCATTACCCACTGACTACTTGAACAGATTCCAAAGAAAACAAACAGCATTTTATTAAAACAATTAAAAAATATTTTGAGATTGAATTGAGACTATTTCTGAAGCAGTTCTAGGTAAAATATTAATGGAAAGTCTTTGGCAGCCACAAGATTTGACCAAGATGCTTCACTGTGGAGCGGCTGCTTATCTTATAGTTTTCCCATTAGACCAGCCCCAGAAACCCAACACTTAGAAGAGAACTATCTTAATATAGTAAGTAATATCCTTGTATCAAGCATTAACCACATGAGAAAATTAAGCCCATTCCTGTTACAACCATTTAAATTTGATACTATATCTGTTAGTTTACTTTCAGTTTTGAAAATTTCAAGCTCAGGAATTTTATTCTCAGGCTCATGAATTTAGGTTGAAGACAATGTCATCATAATTGCTACCTGTCACAGAGACATAAGGCCTCTACCGATAAAATAGATGGTTCATTCTGTCATCATGACAGCTTTAAAAATTGACAGCTCTCTTAAGAAGAAAATGGTACAAAAATAATATAATGGTTTGTGTGATTTTTTTAAGTAAAAGATTTCATACATGAGGAAGTTATAGTCGTGATTTTGATTCAAATCGTAGCAACTCATCAATGAATCAATACACATTTTAGACTTTTTTTTCAAATGTATATTTTAGACCTTTGGTTTTATTGTTGTTGCTGAATTTTTAAAAAGTAAGGTATTGCAAAGTTAAGAGGAGCACGTCACCATCAATTTTCATATGATAATTTTAGGCCTTCTCTCGAAGTTTCTATATGCAGATCATGACTGAATATTGTTGTTTAATCTAAGTCTTGCAGGGAAGGCAGGTGACTCTTTTATTTGGAACTGGGTCCACCCTAAAGTTTTGATTATATTTACAAGACAGAACATCCTAATCTTCAAAGATTCATTCATTTGTAAGTCAAGCTTCATAAAAGGATGAAATGATTATTTTAAATATTTTTTAAAAAAATATAGAAACATAAAATTTATTATTAAATATAAACTTGCCTTCAATAAAATATTTTAATTCAACATATATAGCAACCTCAGTTGATTAAGAAATTACATTAAAGTAAAACAATATTATCTTTAAAACTTGAAAAAAAGACACTTCATGAAGATAGTGCTTTTACTAAGCGAAAGAGTAGGAGATACACTGCCCACAAAGAGGGAAACAAAATAAAGTATATTTTTAGATTATTATGGTGAGCACTAATATCTAACAGGCTAGCATACTAATAAAGTGGTCATTCAAAATGCTGTGTACTGTAAGATAAATATATGAGCAAGGCAAAGGGATCCAGTCTCATTTTATCGTGCACTTTAATAGAGGACAAAGCTAGTTAAACAGATGGCACTCAGGATTTCTCAATGAATTCAGCATCTGTGTGTACATGTTGCATAAATGCCAATTAAAATGTGTCCGAGTAAATTTACATCCCTTGCTGATAGATAGTAAGCCAATCTTGCTGGCTCAGGATCAAGGTTAAACTTAATCATCTGCTGAACTTTCAGCAAGTTGCTCTCAAATTGTACAGAAATTCCCAGTGAAATAATAAAAACAGAACTCCTATTGATTTGTATTTATTTACATTCATAACTCATTTCTGCAGCCTTGGGCTAGAGCTCAAAGGGAAAAAAGTTACTATTTGTATGACTTGGCCAAGTATACTTTTGACCACATTTCCAACAAATACCTCTTTGATTAAAATGCCGGCCTGAATAAATTTTCCTAACCTCCTCCTTGCAACTTCCCAGTTGAAATAATTTTGTTTAAAAATGATCCTTTCAAAATGATCTTGAACAAAGGAAAAAGGCAGGTAGCAGTAGGTCTATTATTTATATAGCAGGGAACAGAGCATCTGCCTCAGATTGACAGGCAGCCATGAAATTAACAGAAGCAATTCTTCCTAGAAGAATATAAAAATGGCTTCCCCTGACATTTTAAAAATACTGCTTTGCTTTAGTACCCCAACCCCAACCCCCAGTACATTTGTACTCACATAAAGCTTGGTCGCTGTTGGTGTATAGAAGACCTACTGATTTGTGTACATTAATCTTGTATCCGGAAATTTTGCTGAATTCTTTTATCAGTTCTAGGAGCTTTCTGGAGGAGACTTTACGGTTTTTTTAGGTAAACAATCATATCCTCAGCAAACAGTGACAATTTGACTTTCTCTTTACTGATTTGGATGCCCTTTATTTCTTTCTCTTGACTGATTGCTCTGGCTAGGACTTCCAGTACTATGTTGAAGAGGAATGGTGAGAGTGGGCATCCTTGTCTTGTTCCCGTTCTCATAGCGAATACTTTCAGCTTCTCTTCATTCAGTATTATGTTGGCTGTGGGTTCGTCATAGATGGCTTTTATTACATTAAGGTATGTCCCTTGTATGCCAATCTTGCTGAGAGTTTTAATCATAAAGGAAAGCTGGATTTTGTCAGATGCTTTTTCTGCATCTATTGAGATGATCATTTGATTTTTATTGTTAATTCTGTTTATATGGTGTATCGCATTGACTGGCTTGCATATGTTAAGCCATCCCTGCTTCCCTGGTATGAAACCCACTTGATCATGGTGGATTATCTGTCGGACATGTTGTTGGATTCAGTTAGCTACAATTTTGTTAAGGATTTTAGCATCTGTGTTCATCAATGATATAGGTCTATAGTTTCCTTTTTTGGTAATATCCTTTCCTGGTTTTGGTATTAGCGTGATGCTGGCTTCATAGAATGAATTAGGGAGGGTTCCTTCTTTTTCTGTCTTGTGGAATAGTGTCAAAAGGATTGGTACCAATTCTTCTTTAAATGTCTGGTAGAATTCTGCTGTGAATCCGTCTGGTCCTGGACTTTTTTTTTTTGTCGGTAATTTATTTTATTTTATTTTTTGAGGCAGGGTCTCACCCAGGCTGGAGTGCAGTGGCATGATTTTGGCTCACTGCAACCTCCACCTCCTGGGGTCAAGCGATTCTCCTGCCTCAACCTCCTGAGTAGCTGGGATTACAGGCACTCACTACCACACCTGGATAATTTTTGTACTTTTGGTAGAGACGAGGTTTCACCATGTTGACCAGGCTGGTCTCGAACTCCTGGCCTCAAGCGACTCACCTGCTTTGGCCTCCCAAAATGCTGGGATTACAGGCATGAGCCACTGTGCCCAGCCTGTTGGTAATTTTTTAATTACCATTTCAATCTCACTCCTTGTTGTTGGTCTGTTCAGGGTATCTAATTTTTCCTGATTTAAGCTAGAAGGGTTGTATTTTCCCAAGAATTTATCCATCTCTTCTAGGTTTTCTAGTTTATGTGTGGAAAGGTGTTCATAGTAACCTCAAATGATCTTTTGTATTTCAGTGGTGTCAGTTATAGTATCTCCTGTTTTGTTTCTTAGTGAGGTTATTTGGATTTTCTTTCTTTTTTTTCTTGGTTAATATTGCTAATGGTCTATCGATTTTATTGATGTTTTAAAAGAACTAGCTTTTGGTTTCATTTATCTTTTGTATTTTTTTGTTTCAATTTTATTTAGTTCTGCTATAATCTTGGTTATTTCCTTTCTTCTGCTGGGTTTGGGTTTGGTTTGTTCTTGTTTCTCTAGTTCCTTGAGGTGTGACCTTAGATTGTGTGTTGGTGCTCTTTCAGACTTTTTGATGTAGGCATTTAGGGCTATGAACTTTCCTCTTAGCACTGCCTTTGCTGTATCCCAGAGGTTTTGATAGGTTGTATCATTATCATCATTCAGTTTGAAGAGTTTTAAAATTTCCATCTTGATTTCGTTTTTGACCAAATGCTCATTCAGGAGCAGGTTATTTAATTTCCATGCATTTGCCTGGTTGTGAATTTTTTTTGGGGGGTGGGGTGGAGTCGATTTTCAGTTTTATTCCACTGTGGTCTGAGAGACTGCTTGATATAATTTCAATTTTCTTAAATTTTTTTTTTTACTTTGAAAAATTTTAATACTTTATGTACTTACAATAAGAAAATAAAGTGAGGAATTATAAACTTTAAAAAAATATATGTTCCTGCTCATTATAGATGGGTTGTAAAATCATGAATAGTAGAGACAGAAAAAGAAAAAAAATACATTCATGACAATTTTCCCTCCTATAATATATAATCATTATTAGCATGGTTTGATGTTTTTCTATTTCTATATGTACTTGCCTGCTTGTGATTGTGTGTCTGGTATGTTAAAATCAATATACATAGACATGTACATATATATTGTTGAAGGCAATGTGGCAGTATGTTCTTTTTTTTTTTTATTATTATACTTTAAGTTTTAGGGTACATGTGCACATTGTGCAGGTTAGTTACATATGTATACATGTGCCATGCTGGTGCGCTGGTGCGCTGCACCCACTAACTCGTCATCTAGCATTAGGTATATCTCCCAATGCTATCCCTCCCCCCTCCCCCCACCCCACCACAGTCCCCAGAGTGTGATATTCCCCTTCCTGTGTCCATGTGATCTCATTGTTCAATTCCCACCTATGAGTGAGAATATGCGGTGTTTGGTTTTTTGTTCTTGCGATAGTTTACTGAGAATGATGATTTCCAATTTATTGAGGCTCGTTTTATAGCCTATCATATGGTCTGTCTTGGAGAATGTTCCATGGGCTGTTGAATGCGTATTCTGCAGTTGTTGGATGAGATGTTCTGTACATATCTGTCAAGTACATTTGTTCCAGGGTATAGTTTACATCCATTGTTTCTTTGTTGACTTTCTGTCTTGATAGCCTGTCTAGTGCTGTCAGTGGAGTATTGAAGTCCACCACTATTATTGTGTTGCTCTCCATCTCATTTCTTAGGTCTATTAGTAATTGTTTTATAAATTTGGGAGCTCCAGTGTTAGGTGCATACATGTTTAGGATTGTGATATTTTCCTGTTGGACAAGGCCTTTTACCATTATATAATGTCCCTCTTTGTCTCTTTTAACCACTGTTGCTTTAAAGTTTGTTTTGTCTGATATAAGAATAGCTACTCCTGCTCGCTTTTGGTGTCCATTTGCATGAAATGCCTTTTTCCACCCTTTAAGTTTGTGTGAGTCCTTTTGTGTTAGGTGAGTCTCCTGAAGGCAGTAGATGGTTGGTGAGTTCTTATCCATTCTGTGGGTCTGTATCTTTTAAGTGGAACATTTAGGCCATTTACATTCAATGTTAGTATTGAGATGTGAGGTGCCATTGCTTTCATTGTGCTTTTTGTTGCCAGTGTACTTTGGTTTTTTTTTTTTTTTTTTTTGCTTTTTAAATTGTATTTTTGTTCTATAGTTCCTGTGTGATTTATGCTTTAAAGAGGTTCTGTTTTTATGTGTTTCCAGGATTTGTTTCAAGATTTAGAGCTCCTTTAAGCAGTTTTCATAGTGGTGGTTTGGTAATGGCGAATTCTCTCAGCCTTTGTTTGTCTGAAAATAACTGTATCTTTCCTTCATACATGATGCTTGGTTTCGCTGGATACAAAATTCTTGGCTAATAATTGTTTTGTTTGAGGAGGCTGAAAATAGGTCCCCAATCCCTCCTAGCTTGTAGGGCTTCTCCTGAGAAATCTGCTATTAATCTGATAGGTTTTCCTTTATAGTTTTCCTGGTGCTTCTGTCTCACAGCTCTTGAGATTCTTTCCTTCATCTTAACTTTGGATAACCTGATGACAGTGTGCCTAGGTGAAGATCATTTTGTGATTAATTTCCCAGGTGTTCTTCTTGCTTCTTGAATTTGGATGTTTAGCTCTTTTGCAGGGCCAGGCAAGTTTTCCTCGATTATTCCCCCAAATATGTTTTCCAGGCTTTTAGATTTCTCTTCTTCCTCAGGTACACCAATTATTCTTAGGTTTGGTCATTTAACCTAATCCCAGACTTCTAGTATTTCCTATTCTCTGCAATCTCACCAGCATCTATTGTTTTTGACTTTTTGATAACAGCCATTCAGAATGGTGTGAGATGGTATCTCATTGTGGTTTTGATTGGTGTTTCTCTGAGGATTAATGATGTGGAGCATTTTTCATATGTTTGTTGGCTGCTTATATGTTTTCTCTTGAGCAGCATCTGTTCATGTCCTTTGCCCATTTTGTAATAAGACTATTTGCTTTTTGCTTGTTCACTTGGTTAAGCTCCTTATAGATTCTGAATACAAGACTCTTGTCAGATACACAAATTGCAAATATATTCTTCCATTCTGTAGGCTATCTGTTTACTGGGTTGATAGTTTCTTTTGCTGTACAGAAGCTCTTTAGTTTAATGAGGCTCCACTTGTCAATTTTTGTTTCTGTTGCACTTGCTTTTGAGGACATAGTCCTAAGTTCTTTTGCAAAGCCAATATCCAGAATAGTGTATCCTAGGTTTTCCTCTAGTATTCTTATACTTTGAGATTTTACATTTAAACCTTTAATCCAGATGGGTGTGATGGCTGATACCTGTGATTCCACCACTTATGAGGCCAAGGCTGGAGGATCACTTGAGCCCAGTGATTCAAGACCAACCTGGGCAACAGAGTAAGACCTTGTCTCTATAAATAATAATAAAAAAAATAGCTGGGAATGTTGCTTCCACCTGTGGTCCCAGCTACTCGGGATGCTGAGGTGAGAGAGTCACTTGAACACAGCTGGTTGAGGCTTTAGTGAGCTATGATCACACCACTGCAGTCTGGCCTGGGTGACAGAATAAGACCCCATATCAAAAAAAAAAAATCTGTAATCCACCTTGAGTTAGTTTTTGAATATGGTGAAAGGTAGGGGTTCAGTTTCACATTGATTGAATAGGGAGTTTATTCCCATTGCTTATTTTTGTCAACTTTGTCAAAGATTAGATGGCTGTAGGTGCACGGCTTTATTTCTGGGTTCTCTATTCCATTGCACTGGTCTATGTGTCCATTTTTGTACCAGTACCATGCTGCTTTGGTTACCACAGCCTTATTGTATAGTTTGAAGTCAGGTAATATGATGCCTCCAGCTTTGCTCCTTTTGCTTAGCATTGCTTTGGAATTCAGGCTAATTTTTGGTTCCATATGAATTTTAGAATAGTTTTTTCTAGTTCTGTGAAGAATGACATTGGTAGTTTAACAGCAATAGTGTTGAATCTGTACATTGCTTTGGGGCAGTATGGCCACTTTAATAATACTGAGTCTTCAATCAATGAGCATGGAATGTTTTTCCATTTGTTTGTATCATCTCTAATTTCTTTCAGTAGTGTTTTTTGGATCTCCTTGTTGAACTCTTTCATCTCCTTGGTTAGCTGTATTCCTAGGTATTTTATTTGTGTGTGTGTGGCTATTGTAAATGAGACTGCATTATTCATTTGGCACTCAGCTTGAATGTTATTGGTGTATACAAATTTTTGTAAAATGATTTTATATCCTGAAACTTTACTACTCATTTATCAGTTCCAGGAGTCTTTTGGTAGAGTCTTTAGGGTTTTCTAGGTATGAAATCATATCATCCGTGAAGAGAGATAGTTTGATGTTTTATTTTCCTATTTGGATGCCTTTTATTCCTTTCTATTTAGGCTCAATCCTTTTAAATTTCAATAGCCATATTACTCATTCTAAAGTGAGAATTTCACATTGCTATTAAAACAAGGACTACATTGCAAGGGAATATTACATAGGCATTAAATATAATGTTCTTTTAAAAATAAATTAATAAAATACTCAAGATAAAATGTTGACAAAAACCATATACAAACAGATGTAATAAATTTTCCAAATCTATGTTCCATAAAATACCAGTGCCTAATATGACCTAATACGTATTTGCTTAAAAAATGTCATTTATGTCTGGAAATTTCTACCTACTATAGTCTACCTTTGGAGATTACAATAGTCATTACCATTTTAAAGATAATTTGAAGTTCTGCAGTATACAAACCCCATTTGACTTTATTGCTCTAATATTTAACAAACACATTTGACCATGCTAACTGCATTTTGTTATTTTTCTAAATTATTTGAGGAACATCATTGACATCTTCCTGAAATAAAATCCATAGTAATATACTTTGGAAAACGTCATCATAAAATATGTTTCTAATTTTGTAAAAGGACGTAACTAAAAATATATATCTCTAGAAAACAGGCAAAAAGAAAAGATATAATGTTAGGCATAGTTATTTCTGAGTAGTGAGATTATCAATGATTTCAGTTTTCTCCTTTGAAATAATTCTAAGATTCTGATTTTTTTACAGGTAAATCTATGTTCTTTTTACAAAACAGAAAATAATATATTGTACTAAATATCATCCTATTTTTTTCTTAATCTCCAATGAGACAGTAGACCCTATTTTCATATATAACTATACATGTGAGTTATGAATTATGAGTCTACTTCTCAGGCCTCTACTCAGATAGGTAAAAACCTGACATTTAGTATGGAGAAGGTTTGTATTAAGAATTGAATCTCATTTAATCCTCACAAGAATTGGTGAAGAGTTTTCACTATTTTACAAATAAAGAAATTGAAATTTTGAGAGGTTAAGTCAGTTGCTTATTATATGGGTGAACCAGGATTCCATCCTAGGTTTGTCTGATGTCAAAATCCACAGTTTTAACCACTGAGCTGTGTTGAAACCCTGAGGGCAAGAATTATGTTTTATATTAGATATTTTGAAAGTACATCATTATAGTACCACATAATAATATTCAAGAAAAAGTAATACTTAACACTTACTCACTGACTATAAGGTGCACATGTTTTGAATACTAACGTTAAAAATTATTATTGTATGCTGTGTTAGGAAGTGGGTTAAGGATTTGTTATATATTCACCTCATTAATTCTCACCAGAACCATGAGTTTAATACTATTATTATCCCATTTTATTGGAGAGAAAACAAAGAGATATACAGGTACAAAAAAATCAAGATACAAACCATATTGGTTTAATCCTAAAATCAGTATCAATTAGTTTAATTTTAAAATCAGTACCCATTAAATCAATATAAAACCACATAAGGAATGCATTGTTATCCTAATATGCCATTTTCAAATTGAGTTCTTTAAAAGAAAAAAGACTTAGAAGACATTAGTTGAAATTTCTTACATCAACATACAGAACTGCATTCATTCTACTCATTTGTATTTTAAAATGATTAAACTGTTGCCTAAAAGAGATTTAAAAATCCATACCATAAGTCATCTAAGATTTTGATAATTTTTAAAACATCTCCTTAAAGAAACATATATCTTCAGAATAAAATGATTAAAAAGTATCATACATTAATATTCCATAATTTTTTATTGATGTATTTGGACAGGAAAGAAAAAAGAAAAAAAGACACTTTGTGATGACTTAGTCTACACTCTGTCATGTGCTAGACAATCCCCAAAACTCATCCTTTTTCATTGATTCCATCCACCTTCCTCCCTCTAGTCTCATATATAGCAAACTGTATCTGGTACACAGTGGGTGCACAAAAATGTTGGTTGCCAAATATCTTTATTACCCATCATATTAGTTTTAAGACTGAATTGCTTTAATATTATGACTCATTTGCATTCAAGTAGCTCTACTAAGTGCCAATGTCTTGTTTATCTCTGGATATCTTGGCTCTGTCACTGTTTCCCTCACAGTAAGGAGCTTAATAGATACTTTTTAAATAAAGAAAATCATCTAATTTAATCCATGAAACAATCTTGGGAGATGCACTCCTTTTCTTACTCATTTTCTAATTTAAGAATTTTGCCCAAAGAATAGTTGATAGTATGTGGCAGATGAGAACCTAAGCAGGATATGTGAAATTCCTCCAAGTCCTTTTCATTTATTCTTTTATTAGTCATTTAGTTCAGCTATTAAACTGCAATAATCTAAAATAATTGTACAATTTAAATTTTCCCACCATCTTTAATGTTTTCAAGAGTCATGATCCTTTAAGCTAGGCTTACATTGAAAACTCCTTTAAATGTTTTATTCTTTAAAGATATTTGCTAAAAGTTTTTTTTTTTTTGAGACGGAGTCTCGCTCTATCGCCCAGGCTTGAGGGCAGTGGCCGGATCTCGGCTCACCGCAAGCTACGCCTCCTGGGTTCACGCCATTCTCCTGCCTCAGCCTCCCAAGTAGCTGGGACTACAGGCGCCTGCCACCACGCCCAGCTAATTTTTTGTATTTTTAGTAGAGACAGAGTTTCACTGTGTTAGCCAGGATGGTCTCGATCTCCTGACCTTGTGATCCGACAGCCTTGGTCTCCCAAAGTGCTGGGATTACAGGTGCTAAAATGTTTTTAATAAAAAAAAAAAAATCTACCACTTGAAAATATCAGAGGAAACTCACTTTAACTTTCATATTGTGCAACAATATTTTATATGTTACAAAGCAAACAACAATAGGAATAAGCTGTTCAAATTGTGTCCCTTCTTGAACAAACTCTTAAAAGCAACAATTATTGATACCAATGATCTCTAATGTGACTCTATTTACTATGTAAATAAAAACATTCAGAAATGATCTTTTAGTCACTTTGCTAAGGATAAAAGACTTGAAAACATATTCAGTATTTTTCCTTTAATAGACTTCTACCAAATATATATTAAGTCAATATCCACTGGTAAATTCGTAATACTCTTCATACCATATCATAAAACTTTAACTTTACCTATAATTTCCATTACTTGAAAAAATAGACTTTTTCCAGTTTTCCTAAAAACTCTTACATTTAGTAGATTTGACATGTCTGATTTTTGCATATCATACACTTTGAAGAAATGCATATGTGCACATATTCCCTTGTATAAGATGTCAGTTTGTACCCATGACAAAACAAAGATGATCAACTGGTAAACCATCCAGTGAAATGCTATCTTCTGGCCAGCTCAATGTAATAGGAGTTTTTTCCACTAAATTACCTAGATGAACACAAACCTTGACCAGTTATATCCCACTAGCTCATGTGTGTAATTGTTAGGGTAGAAAATTGCAGCAAGGCTGAAGGTACAGACGTTCATTTCCAGTTAACCAAACAAAATAGGAAAATGTGCTTTTCTACACTCATTCCTATTTATATAATACATTTTATTCTATTAAATATATTTCTAGTGTATTTAATTTAAAAATAAGTCAAATAATTGAAATAAAATGAGATTAGTAAGACTTTCAAAGCATGCACTAAAGGATTGCAGTTATTGACTTTGCAATAACAATTCACTCAACATCCAGTAATTTAGTCACTATGCTATACAAAGGCAAATTTACAGAAGAAGAAGCAATGACACCTGTCTTTAAATATGTGCAAAGATCTTTCTTCAATTTGTTGAGCGAAAAAATACATGCTTTAAAGCATTCAGAGCTTTTCTCTCTAACAAGCTTGCCTTATTTTCTTCAGTGCATGTTCAGGATACTTCACTAAACATTAGTCTTCTACCCCAAGTTCTGGTCTATTGTGTATAGCAGGCTTACTGTCTGGGAACCATTTTTGGCCTTTGATTGAAAACTGCTTTTCTCCCAGTTGCCTTAGCTGTTGATTTAGCCAGTTTCTGCTAAGGTCTATGGACAGACTCTGACTGACCAGTGCTCTCAGTAGCTGACCTCAGCATTTTATTTCACAGAATTGAGGAAGGAGGCAAGTGCAGAGCTCAGTACTTACATAAGCTTTCCATGTATGCATAGTTCTGTCCTTCTAAATATAAAGCATGCCTATGGGTTCAGAATTACATCTTTATGGTTACATGTAATATATACCATGCTATATTTGCTTATTTTTTATTGTTTCTTTTCCCCACCCTTCTATGGGTTCCAAAAAAGATTTTTATCCATAGCACAAAGACTAGTTTTAAGGGAATAGTAGACACTCAATAAGTACTGTTCAAAGAATGACTAACTGAATGAACCTCAAATCCCCCATCAGACACTTGTGAAGAAATTCTTATTTATTTATTTATTTATTTATTTATTTAGGACAGAGTTTTGCTCTTTCACCCAGGCTGGAGTGCAATGGCACGATCTCGGCCCACTGCAACCTCCACCTCCCGGGTTCAAGTGATTCTCCTGCCTTAGCCTCCCAAGTAGCTAGAATTACAGGCAAGCGCCACCACACCCAGCTAATTGTGTAGTTTTAGTAGAGACGGGGTTTCGCCATGTTGGCCAGCTGGTCTTGAACTCCTGACCTCACGTGATCCACCCACCTTGGCCTCCCAAAGTGCTGGGATCAGAGGCGTGAGCCACCGCACCCAGCCAAAATGCTTTAATGGAGTTTCAATGAGGAATTTGCCTTTAGTGGCCTTCGATATGATTCCATAAATAACAAATAAATCTTTCATTATTATTGGCAAGAACTACATTCACTAAGTAAAATTCCTATGCAAATTAATGTACGTTAGAATGTAGAAATATGAATGGTACCATGTTTAACAGTAGAGACACTATGGTCAGACTGCCTGGGTAAAAACTTAGCTCTGTCATTTACTTAGTATCTGGCTTTGGACAAGTTTCTGAACTGTTTTGTGCTTGAATTTAATCATATAGAAAGGGAGGATAATAAAATAGCGACAAATAATTAAAACTTTATGAGAGAATTATTGTGAGGATTAAATAAATTATACAAGACACACTTAAAAAGGTGCCCAGTACACTGAGTAACACCTAGGACTATTAGCTTTTATGGTTAACAATATAGTTGCATGATCTGCATAAGAAATATTTGTGGATGTCATCTCTATAATAATTACTACTATTATTAACTCCATTGGGTATTTGGTTAGATTGAACTGGACCCCCAAGAGATTGACTATCCTTAAGTGGATGGAAAGTTTATGCCAAACTGAATAGCAAACTTCTGAAATATGCTAACTTAATTAGAATACAGATAAATTACAGGAACAGACATCTTTGGTTACTAATTAAAACAGTACCAATAATATCTGAATGTAAATAAGCTAACTTATTTGATTCCACTCACAAACATTAACTTCTGATGACCAGAGGAAGGTTCAAAGACAGTATACAGCTAGTGATGTCAATTTAAAGACGATTTTGAAACAAGAGACAAAAGACATGCTGAGACAGAAGTATGGGCTCATGAAGATGTACTTTGTCTGTTTCACAATTTCCTTATGATATATATACAACCAATGCCATCTGGTACCCCATCATTTTTCTTATCACTATTGCTATTGAAACTGATAGATATAATGTAAACCAGCATTCTTCATATTTGTTTGTAGTTGAAAGTCATGGGAAATGGTTGTAAACAAATCAAAATCACACCCACTGTTTGAGCACATACCTTATCCTTTTAAGTGAGTATTTTTATGTAACAGCATTTAATTTAAAGGAGGAGCCAAAACAAAAAGTTTGGCTTACTTTGTATTATAAATTTTTTCACATTGATTTTGTATCCTGAGACTTTGCTGAAGTTGCTTATTGGGTTAAGGAAATATATAAATATACAATCATGCCATCTGCAAACAGAGACGATTTGACTTCCTCTCTTACTATTTGAATACCCTTTATTTCTTTCTCTTGCCTGATTGCCCTAGCCAGAACTTCCAATTCTATATTGAATAGGAGTGGTGAGAGAGGGCATCCTTGCCTTGTGCCGGTTTTCAAAGGTAATGCTTCCAGCTTTTGTCCATTCACTATGATATTGGCTGTGAGTTTGTCATAAATAGCTCTTATTATTTTGAGATATGTTCCATCAATACCTATTTTATTGAGAGTTTTTAGCATGAAGGGTGTTGAATTTTATCGAAGGCCTTTTCTGCATCTATTGAGATAATCATTTGGTTTTTGTAATTGGTTCCGTTTATGTGATGGATTATATTTATTGATTTGTGTATGTTGAACCGGCCTTGCATCCCAGGGATGAAGCTGACTTGATCGTGGTGGATAAGCTTTTTGATGTGATGCTGGATTGGGTTTGCCAGTATTTTATAGAGGATTTTCGCATCGATGTTCCTCAAGGACGTTGGCCTGAAATTTTCTTTTTTTGTTGTGTCTGTGCCAGGGTTTGGTATCAGGATGATGCTAGCCTCATAAAATGAGTTAGGGAGGAGTCCCTCTTTTTCTATTGTTTGGAATAGTTTCAGTGGGAATGGTACCAGCTCCTCTTTGTACCTCTGGTAGAATTCAACAAAAATCACAAGCATTCCTATACACCAGTAATAGACAAACAGAGAGCCAAATCATGAGTGATCTCTCATTCACAATTGCTACAAAGAGAATAAGATACCTAAGAATACAACTTACAAGGGACATGAAGGACCTCTTCAAGGAGAACTACAAACTACTGCTCAAGGAAATAAAAGAGGACACAAATGGAAAAACATTCCATGCTCATGGATGGGAAGAATCAGTATTGTGAACATGACCATAATGCCTAAAGTAATTTATAGATTCAACGGTATTCCCATCAAGCTACCACTGACTTCCTTCACAGAATTAGAAAAAACTAAATTTCATATAGAATCAAAAAAGAGCCCACATAGCCAAGACAATCCTAAGCAAAAAGAACAAAGCTGGAGGCATCATGCTATCTAACTTCAAAATATAGTACAAGGCTACAGTAACCAAAACAGCATGGTACTAGTACCAAAACAAATACCTAGACCACAGAACAGAGGCCTCAGAAATAACGCCACGCATCTACGACCATCTGATCTTTGACAAACCTGACAAAAACAAGCAATGGGGAAAGGATTCCCTATTTAATAAATGGTGCTGGGAAAACGGGCAAGCCATATGCAGAAAACTGAAACTGGACCCCTTCCTTACACCTTATACAAAAATTCATTAAAGATGGATTAAAGACTTAAATGTAAAACCTAAAACCATAAAAACCCTAGAAGAAAATGCAGGCAATACCATTCAGGACATAGGCATGAGCAAAGACTTCATGACTAAAACAACAAAAGCAATGGCAACAAAAGCCAAAATTGACAAATAGGATCTAATTAAATGAAAGAGCTTCTGCACAGCAAAAGAAACTATCATCAGAATGAACAGGCAACCTACAGAATGGGAGAAAATTTTTGCAATCTACCCATCTGACAAAGGGCTAATATCCAGAATCTACAAAGAACTTACACAAACTTACAAGAAAAAAGCAAACAACCCCATCAAAAAGTGGGCAAAGGATATAAACAGACACTTCTCAAAAGAAGGCATTTATGCAGCCAACAAACATATGAAAAAAAGCTCACCATCACTGGCCATTAGAGAAATGCAAATCAAAACCATAATGAGATGCCATCTCACGTCAGTTAGAATGTTGTTCATTCAAAAGTCAGGAAACAACAGATGCTGAAGAGGATGTGAAGAAATGGGAACGCTTTTACACTGTTGGTGGGAGTGTCAATTAGTTCAACCATTGTGGAAGACTGTGGCGATTCCTCAAGGATCTAGAACCAGAAATACCATTTGACCTAGCAATCCCATTACTGGGTATATACACAAAGGATTATAAATCATTCTACTATAAAGACATATGCACACATATGTTTATTGCAACACTGTTCACAATAGCAAAGACTTGGAACCAACCCAGATGCCCATCAATGATATACTGGATAAAGAAAATATGGCACATATACACCATGGAATACTATGCAGCCGTAAAAAAGAATGAGTTCATGTCCTTTGCAAGGACATGGATGAAGCTGGAAACCATCATTCTCAGCAAACTAACACAGGAACGGAAAACTGAACACCACGTGATCTCACTCACAAGGGGGAGTTTTACAATGAGAACACATGGACACAGGGAGAGGAACATCACACACCAGGGCCTGTTAGTGGGTTGGGGGCTTAGAAGAGGGATAGCATTAGGAGAAATACCTAATGTAGATGACAGGTTGATGGGTACAGCACACCACCATAGCACGTGTATACCTGTATAACAAAGCTACATGTTCTGGACATGCATCCCAGAATTTAAAGTATAAAAAAAAATTCACATATGTTAGTCTTATTAACTGAGACTGCATGCCACAGCTACGTGTTAAAGCAGCATATTACAATAAGACGCAATTTCCAAAATTCAAAATACCTTAGCCAATAAAGAAAATACTAACAATAAGTAATCTGGGCTCAGTTAGAGCAAGGTACAAGTTTGATTTTGCATGGCGCCATTTTTGTATTTCTAGATTTTTTTTTTCATTCCATATACATGCATGCCCTTATCTCTCCTGTCATGTCCCCAAACTTTCCCTGATGGTACTTTCTTATTGTACGCCTTCCTCTACTGCCAAAATAATTTTAACGTTGAGACAGATTGCCTCAATTTGTTTGCTCACCCTGTGGAAACTCTTTTCACATCAGCTTTTACAAATCTCCTAATTTGTCTGATCAGGAAGCCTATTTTCAGGCTTTGTATGAGTTGATTGTTGTGCAGAATTCATTACTATTGACCTGCTTCTTCTTGGCAACTCTAGTCTCTTTTGGTGCCTACCACATTCATTTCTGCTGCTTCTCCTCCCTTATCTCCAGCTGTTCCTTCTCTGTCTTCTTGACTGGATTTTTCTCCGTGTTTTCTTTTTTATTATGATTTTTTAGGTTCTCTAACTCACCCCTGCTTCTTTTTATGTGGAATATTGTTCCTGACTTAATGATACTATTCAACCCCATGATGTTAGGCACTGTCTTTATGTGGGAGTCTCCATAATCTATAATCACAGCTCAGATTTATTTCTACCAAAACCTAAACAAATAGTTCTCACTTCCTTGGTACATAAACACTTGGATACCTCATATAGTTGAACCCTAAATACAAACGGATTTCAGCAATATCACTACTCTAAAACAACAATGACAACAAAACAGCACAGTAACCACTTTTTGCCCTTATCCATTTCCTCTATTAGTATATATAAGTAAGCCAGAACACCCTAGAGTCAATCTGTAATTCTCCTGCTCTATCAGTCCCATATCCAAATAGTCAGATTTATCACACAATTTTCTCTCAAATTAGTCACCTTCTCTCCGACTCCAATTTCACATGTTAAATTAGATGCTAGCCAACTTCTTCATCTAGATTAACTCTAACATTTAATTCTATCTAGGTAGCCTCAAAGCACAAACTCTAACCCCAAGTGGGTATATAAAAGCTTCAGAAAAGTGAAGCAGTGGGTGTAGTTTGACAGTTTCCCATGTGATTCTAACATAACATACCACTCCTCTCCTTTATTTTCTCTGTGCTCAGGGGTTAAAATCATTCCTCTAATCCCTTTAAGTGGTTCTTATCCTTGACTGCACACTGAAATCCCCTGGGGAGACAGAAAAATTTCAATGTCCAGGTCTCACACCTAGATTCAGAAATAATTGTTTTGAAAGGCAGCCTGGTGATTCCAATATACAGATAAGGTTGAGAACAACTCTTCTTGATTCATACTATCTAGAGTGAGTGAACAACATTCCAGGGCTATAGAAAACAATCCATTGGTGTAAGATAATAATAGAAAATTTAACAATATGTATTTTTAATCTTAGTGCTTAAAATTTTAATAAAATCACATATGATGTTTAAAATATACATAATAGTTTGTCATTGGTATAGAGTAGTATATAGTAAATAAAAACATTTACAAAAGTTGTAAATGTACAAAAGTGTACATGCAAATAAGTAGGTATGAAACATCCAAAAAGTCTAAAATTATTTGCTGTAAAAAGCAGCTCATTATCTTTCACTGCAACTGTTTTCATACTGGTCTTTTTTCATCTAGCCTGCTCATTTTGCTAGGCCAAGTAATTATTCTACTGTAGTTATCTTCTGGAAACTAAATATGAACCTGTCATTTTCTTGCTTTAAATGTCTATTAACTCCAAGTTATCTAGCTCAATTTCAAGTTTATTGTTTAAATAACCTATTAAAATTAAGTTGAAATTCTTTTTTTTTTCTTCTTTTTTGAGACAGAGTCTTGCACTGTTGTCCAGACTGGAGTGTAGCAGTACAGTCTCAGCTCTCTGTAACCTGTGCCTCCTAGGTTTAAGCGATTCTCTTGACTCAGCCTCCCAAGTAGCTGGGATTATAGGCACCCACCACCACACCCAGCTAATTTTTGTATTTTTAGTAGAGATGGAGTTTCACTATGTTGGCCAGGCTGGTCTTGAACTCCTGGCCTCAAGTGATCCTCCCACCTTGGCCTCCCGAAGTGCTGGGATTACAGGCATGAGCTACTGTGCCTGGCCCATAAATTGAAATTCTTAATGTCGCTTCCAAGCACCTTTAGTTTCTCTTCAAACTCTGCAACCTTAGTTCTCCCCAGTCCATTCCATATCCTAGGCTGAAATATTTTCCTGTGTATCAAAATTCACTAGTTCCCTGTTCACACTGGCTTTCCTGAATCTATAAACACCACTGTTTTTATTTTCTACTTTTTAAACCTTCATTAAATTTGCAAACGACAAAACAGATATTTTCTCACATATTCTAGGATTATTAATTAAATGTCTACTAGAACATTCATCACCTTATACTGCAATTATCATACATGTTGGTTTGTCTTCATTAAATATTGAGATGCTCAAGGACTAAATTTGACTGTTTCATCTTTATATTTTTCCAATATTTGGCACTGAACTAAGTATAAAAGAGTGGTTTAACGTATGCCTGTTGAATAAACTCATTCAGGTTTTCCATAAATAGTTATTGATTTCTATGTGCTGGGCAATCATATAGGCACTGTGAAAGTAACAATGAAAACATGAATTCGTGACTAAAGAACAAAGGAATAATAGATTTTTGTTTATTTATTTATTTCCCTTTTTAAACATTATTTTTGGTTTTTATTTGTGTAAATGTTAAGGGGTACAAGTGTAATTTTGTTATGTGGATATATTGCAAGTGGTGAAGTCTGGGCTTTTAGTGTAATCCTCCCCCATTAACATACATTGTACCTATTCAGTAATTTCCCATCATCCACCTCCTCTGAGTCTCTATTATCTATCATTTCACACTCTATGTCCATGTGTACACATTGGAACAATATATTTTTTTAAAAAGTCAATCAGTGTTGCTTGTTACAAAGAAAACCAAAGCAAAACTAGCCATTACTAAAACAAACAAAAGCACCTCAACATTTACCACAGACCAAGGATTTCATCTATACCTACAATCAATTTAATTTTCTTTCTAATAAGATGAATTCACTATTAATAGCAAGTATACATATCTACTACATAATGATAAATTATTATCACAATAGTGATGCTAAGGACATTCAAGATTCTAAAACGCTATTTTAATCAAAGATTAAAGTACATTTACTATACATAGGTTCTATGGCATTTTGTAAGATTCTGATTTCAGGAAAATTTTAGACTTGTGGAATAACAGTGCTGGAGGAGATAAATTCCTCTCTCTACCTATGGGAAAACAAATTCATAGAAGTCAAGGGTTTCACCTTACGTCACACAACTAGTTAATAACCAAAACAATGGTATAAATCACATCTCCCAAGGTTGCTTTTTAGCACTCCTTAGACTATGCCAAAGTGGCTTCTCTTGGTGAACCAGGATATCTGATTGCAGACTAAATCATGCTGAATTACACTTCACTATCCAAGGAACAGGATGTTATTATGAATAATACATTGCTTCTCAATGTTTAAATGTAGTGAAACTTGAGAAATATAAAACATTATTGTGGCTCTATGAAATATTAAGTGGCTTTGAACTAGCAGGTTTTTAAGCATCTAAGGTAAAAGTGATTGTTAGGAAAGAGTACATAAGTAACTACGCAGAAAAAAAAGACATTTTTAAATAATAGATTTATAATTCCCTAAATATGCTACCTTATAGAGGTAAGCATATCCATATATCACAATTATAACAAAACATTAATAACTAGTCATATAACAATAATAGTTTTAATGTAGGTTATTTGAGGCTGAGATTGTATTCACAAACTACCTTCTAAATACTCAATCACTTAATCTGTAGAATAGGAATAATAATTATTAACTGTTATAATTAAATGATATTACCCATAAAAACTCTAAATATCATGCCCGGCATATTCTAAAACACTTAATAGAAAGTTAGTCATGAGGGCTTTGATTATCTAATGAATAAGAAATTAATACAGACAAATGTTCAAGAGCACAGGCATTGAGTTCCATTGGGTATCAGTTCAACTTCTGTTTCGGGATGTTTAGCTGTACAGCTTTAAAAAGTCCACAATACTGTCTAGGTATAGAATGCATGGTTACTACATGCCTGTAAATTGCTAAATGATAATGACAATGTATATAATTAATCTAGGAAATTTTAACAATGAACTTAAAAGTAAATTGAAAAAAAGGACACGTTCTTTAAGGAATGTTAGAGTTCTTATGGTACATGGAATAAAATAAATGTATATTTTATTTGTCCAAAGAATAGTAGCAACAAAAATCTTAAAAAAACTTATTTTGCATAGGTCAACATTGGTCCTGGATATTAAATTATTGTTATGTCTTCATTCTTTAATAGAGTAATATTAAATATGGTTAGCCATTTGCAACTATCAGGGTTACTAATTCAATAACTTAGAAAAGTTTTCTCTTGTCCCTGAGCTTCATTTTCTCACCTTTAATGTGAACATGTTCATCTAGATGACTACTAACTTCTCTTCCCATTCTATAACACAAAAAGCATTACTAAAGCAGACTGCCAAGTACAGCTGCACAGGTTATTCACTGCACAAGTACATCCAGCATATTGTGTACCATGTCAATTTGCACAGCTTATTCATTGTTCAAAGGCAAGTGGGTCTAAAATGTAACTGGACCTCCACTTGCCAAGCTGTGCTCAGATACATGACTGCCTAGAAAAAGGAGTGCTTTTGCATCAACTGCAACGATATAAAGTCTAAGATTATAATCCTGTGTTAAAGAGAGATGCATGATGAACACATTGCAGTGAACTCACTCTTAAGGTATATGACTCATTCTTTTAATCTGTAAAACAATTAGAACACTCTTCTGAGTCTTTTTCTTTAGTTTCTGTACTTATTCCCTTTCATTTTGAAAACTTCAGTGCAGTGGGGATCTTAACCCTCTGTAAAGTGGACAGTCTCTCTTTGTCAGGCTCCTAGCTCTCAACTTACTACCTACCCATACAAAATCGCTATCATTTATTATTTTACTGCTTCACTGCTTTCAAAACACTAAACTGTAGGCTGCTTATTTGATGGATTTTTCTTTTTTACTGTTTTTGTCTTCTTATTCCTACTACTACTCATACATACCTGTCTTGTATACTTGCCAAGCAGACAAATCTCCTTACAAATTCTGGCTATGATTCAATTCCTTCTTAACTGAAGATAAATAAAATCCTTCCTCACTTATTAGTACCTTCCCTCTTACATGCTGGTTCAAGATTCACATGATTCCAATTATTCCTACAATTTTTTCTTCCTAGTAATTCCTACATCTGTCCACCGTACGTTTTCATTGTAGTAGAGTAATATAATGGTGCATAATTATCCTTTGTGTACTTGCATTCATTTAGTTTTGTTTTGCAAGTTATTATTAGTATTTAAACACCCTCTTCAAATCATGGATATTTTATTTAGCTTTCTTCTTAGCTCACTACAGTTCACAACAAGCAGCAGTCCAAAGAGGGCTGTTGTATTTTAACAGGTGAATTTGCTAAATCAAAATCAGAACCAATATTTCTAAGGTACCAATAAAAACAGCTAGTTGTTATTATAAAACTCTCAATCCATCAAGAGTCTATAAATTAAATTAATGTGAACTACCTTTATTTTGAAAAACATAAAATTAGTAAAGAGAAATACATAAGATCAGAAGTCCTTTAACCAGACTTCTGGGTTTGAAATTGATTCCATGACTTCCACCTACTTTCTCTGCTACACTTTTATCCTTTTGAAAGTAAGATTAATAAAAGTTTCTGTCACCTGAGTTTGATTTGCATGTGTCTTAAAAAAGTGACTTCTTATTACCATGGCTACTTATATTATATAACCAAGTTTAATATGAGCAATAAATATCAGAAAATACATTTATGGAAAAGTGCTTTATAAAACAAGTTTCAGTAAATTTCAAGAAATATTTCTTGACACTCTTTTAAAATCATTAATTGAGTGCTTAGTATGAGTCTGGATGATGCTATTATATACATATTTCAGATTATTATTTTATTTAATCCTCATGACCCTCCCTCATGATTCAAGTATTATCATTTGATATGGTTTTGCTGTGTCCCCACCCCAATCTCATCTTGAACTGTAGCTCCCATAATCTCCACATGTCGTGGGAGGGACCCGGTAGGAGGTAATTACATCATGGGGGTGGGTTTTTCCCATGCTGTTCTCCTTCACTAATGATAGTGAATAAGTCTCACGAGATCTGATGGTTTTATAAAGGCAGTTCCCTTGCACATGTTCTCTTGCCTGCTGCCATGGAAGATGTGCCTTTGCCCCTCCTTTGCCTTCCACCAGGGTTGTGAGGCCTCCCTAGCCATATGGAATTGTTGAGTCCATTAAGCCTCTTTTTCTTTATAAATTACCCAGTCTCAGGTATTTCTTCATAGCAGTATGAAAATGGACTAATACATCATTTTACCATTTTACAAATGTGAACTCCATGTCTTAGAGAAGGTAAGCAGCTCACTCAAAATGACAGTTAATGAGTCAACGAGCCAGCATTCAAACTTAGTTGTATGCAACTCCAGGGCTGGACCTCCTAAACTAGTGGTTCTCCACCTTCAGTTCATAGCAGGATCACCTAGATGGCTTTGATAAAACACAGATTGCTGGGCCCCAACCCCAAGTTTTTGATTCAGTTACGCTAGTGTAGGACCTGAGAATTTGATTTCTGAGAATAAGTTCCCAGGTGATATTGATGATGCATAGCCAAGGAACCATACTTTGAGGATCACTGGCCTAAATTATTAAACATACTGTTTTGACTGTTTAATTCAGTAATCTATAATAACACTAATCAGTAATTATATAGGCATATACCAGTATTTCAAAATTGTTGTATTAATAATATAACTATTCATGATGTTATAGTATTTATGTGATTTAGGACATAAAAAGCAGTATTTTACATAGTGAAATTCAAATACTGTTTATGTTTTTGAAGCAAATCAGAATTTTTTTTTATTATCCCATACTAACTGTTGGAAGCAAGATGTCGATGATTTATTAAAGAGAATGAGTTCATCCAGGGTACATAATAACCATAAGTACTTTCACTTTAATGTGTTTTATCTTGGGTCTTGTGATCCACGTTGTAAGTAAAAATTTCAGTAAAACAAGCTATCACCTATGTGCGGGTTTTACCTATTAGACTTACATATAATACCACAGCTAGTTTAAAAATTACAGTGGAAAAGATCACTCTGGTCAGGTGCGGTGGCTAATGCCTATAATCCAGCACTTTGGGAGACCAAGGCAGGGGGATCACTTGAAGCCAGAAGCCAGGATTTCGAGACGAGCACAGGCAACAAAATGAGACCCCGTCTCTCCAAAAAACAAAAAATCTGATACAGTGTTGTGAGCCTGTAAACCCAGCTACACAAGTGAGAGGATCACTTGAGCAGTGAGCTGCAGTGAGCTATGATCACACCATTGCATTTGAGCCTGGCCACAGAGTTAGACCCCTTCTCTTTTTTTTTTTTTTTTTTTTTTTTTTTTTTTGATACGGAGTCTCCCGCTGTCTCCCAGGCTGGAGTGCAGGGGCACGATCTCGGCTCACTGCAAGCTCCACCTCCCGGGTTGACGCCATTCTCCTGCCTCAGCCTCCCGAGTAGCTGGGACTACAGGCGCCTGCCACCGCGCCCGACTGATTTTGTTTTTGTATTTTTTTTTCTTTTGAGACGGAGTCTGGCTCTGTCGCCCAGGCTGGAGTGCAGTGGGGCAATCTTAGCTCACTGCAAGCTCCGCCTCCTGGGTTCACGCCATTCTCCTGCCTCAGCCTCCCGAGTAGCTGGGGCTAAAGGCGCCCGCCACCACGCCCAGATAATTTTTTTTTGTATTTTTAGTAGAGACGGGGTTTCACCGTGTTAGCCAGGATGGTCTCGATCTCCTGACCTCGTGATCCACCCGCCTCGGCCTCCCAAAGTGCTGGGATTACAGGTATGAGCCACCGCTCCCAGCCTCTCTTTTCTTTTTTTTTTTTTTAAAAAAAAAAAAAAAAAAAAAAGATTCCACTTAGGACCTAGAATATTCAGTATTGCCAAATAAAATAATAAAGTCTGATATAAGAATTTAGCTCTCCACTTTGAAATCAATTATATTGCTTATTTTCCAAAGGGCTTTTATATATTAACTTCCTCTGAAAACAACTCTATCACTTTTACAGTTTGAAATAATTCCAAATTATCTAATAGTTTACCATATCTTAGTGGTATTTAGTTTTGATTTGTTTTGTTTTTTAAAAAAGCATTTGAAATCCCTAGCACATTTAGGTCTACAATTACAAAATATTAGAGCTTTTTATTCAAATTGGCAAAACTGACACAGCTAAAATTAAATCCAAAATTTATAAAATATCAAAATTAATCAATAAATTAGAAAAATGATATCTCTAATGTAGTGTAAATTCATAATTTTTAAAATACATCTTAATTAGAGTTAGATTGCACACTAAACAAGTTGGATGATACCATAACTAGTTGGAGTCAGGAGTGTAGAAAATTACCCCCAGAACTAAGAGTAAAAGAATTATGAATTGACTCATTTCACTAATCTCACATAGGCTGGGCCAAACACTAAGATATGAAAGATCAGTATTGTTATGCAAAATAATAAGCCTTCTTAGTAAGTCTGAATACAGCGCTAAAATCTATTTCTCATAAGTGTAGACTGATCTTGGCAAATCTAGAGAAATAGACTACCCATAACTAAAATTCAACAAGTCATCACTGGTTTTGTGCCTCGGGGGAACAGAATGAATAAAAGTAAGATTATCACTTTTAATGGTGAAAAATAAGAGAAAGATTAAAGCTAAGATATTGATATTGATAATAGCATTCTCATTTCAAAAGCATTAATGTGGACCCGACTTCAACTTTTCGCTCAAATTTACAAATGAAATTAGGGTTCAAGTATGAACAATTTTTTAACGACTAAGAATGAGGACTTTTCCATAATCTCTCAGCACTTTGGAATAAAGAATAGATTCACTCTCAGTAATGATTTGCGACTGACATTTTGAGTAGCATAAATTATATTTCACACATAATGAAAATAAATAATGCCTTTAAAATATAAATGATAAGTGTCATTTTATGGTCTCAGAAATCCTGTATGTTCTGTTTTCCCTACATGTTAGGGGGAAATTATGAATGATCTACTCTTTACCTTCAATCTCTTTCACACTCTTCATACCTTTTGTCTTATGTAAAATCTGGTTAACTTGAGAGAACACGGGGCGACTCTCACTGCTTCAGTTTTCCAGTGCTAGAAGGAGTGCTAACATTTTCTTCTTGATCTCACAGGGACTTTTAGTTCATTAATCTATACTTTTGAGAAAAAACTGTCCCCTCTTTAGAGCTCAAGCCATTCATATATACAACTGGCTATGCCATTTCATCATTTTCAGCCACCACCTTTGTTGAATCAGAATTTGGATAATTCAGTCTCAAACATCCTCCGCATGACCTCCCAAATTGGACCAACATCTTGGGCTAGCTTAACATCTATACAGACGAGGCATGCAAACTTACAGCTTTTTTAAAAGATCTTTTATAATAAATTTAATCTCCTCTATTGCAGCTTTGTCTTCTATTGTCCACATACCATGAACCTTGACCAATACTGGGGACTGTTGGAGTCCTAAAACATAATCTCTCAGGTCTCTCTCAGATGTCTGACAGCTTTGTTTTCTAACTTTCTTGTTCTTCTTATACCTGGTGTCAGGACACCAAAAGTTACCAACACATCCAGGTCTTAGACCTCACTCCACCCCACCTTTGCTTTTATCATTTATCTCCTAGACTTACAGCTTTTCCTGTGCAGCTTAGAACTTTTGGTCCATTGCTTTCATTATTTTTTATTTTTTAATTTTTGTGGATACATAGTAGGTACATATATATATATTTATGGAGTATATTATATATTTTGATACAGGCATACAATGTATAATAATTACATTAGAGTACATGAGATATTCATCACTTCAAGCATTTATCCTTTGTGTTACAAACAATCCAGTTATACTCTCTTAGTTATTTTTGAACGTACAATTGAATTATTATTCAATACCATCACCCTGTGGTGCTATCAAATACTAGGTCTTACTCATGCTTACTAACAATTTTTTGTACCATTAACCATCTCCCTGGTTCATTGCTTTTAATATTTGTATCAGTAAAGACATTCAGCTCCAGATTGCCAACACTCCCTACTAAGAAAAAGGTATTATCTCATAAAACAGAAAGTCCCAAGGTAAGGAAGCTCCAAGACTTGTCCATTCTCCAAGTCAGCCATGTCCTTTAGGACCCAAGTTCCTTCATATTTCCACTGTCCAATATTCACATTTTGCATTTGATTCCCTTTTATGGTTGACAGACAGCTGCTGTAATTCTAGGTCACATATGTAGACCTAATTCCAAGGGATGGGGCAGGGAAGGAAAATGCCATTTAACCTTATAAAGTAGTCCCCCCATCAGACTTGTCTTCATATTTCATTGCAAGGAAGGGGTCAAGCATCACTTTTGAAACCAGTTATTGTTAAGGAAATAGGATAACACAAATAGGGATTTACCCTAGAGCTAGCGAGAGGATGGATCTTCCCTCAGTCTCGTGGAGGAGACACAGAAAGACCAGATCAAACCTGAGGCCCTGCCAGTGAGAACAAAGAGAATTCCTGGCAGACAGACAACCAGAAGTGTCTACTTCTCTACTTTTTTGGCAATATTCATTTTCCTATTGCCATGCTTGCTTCCTACGTGTTGTTGTCATAGGTACACTATAGGGTTAGGAGAGAATCAGAAGTATTATAATTTTCATGGTTTCTAAGATCCTCCTCTCTCCTATAGATTAAAATAGGAATTCATGCCAATTTGCTAAATTGTCTAATAAAAAGAGCAGTAAGGCACGGCAAAAAATGTCCTTTGCTTCAAATAAAACAACAAAATCTTCTCTCTCATAATTTAAGCTGTGATACTGACACTTCTGCCCTTGGGAAAGCCACCAAGTTTAAAAACCAATATGCAGAGAATGGATATATCCTGAATCTAATAAAGTTCAAGCTTTAAAAACCTTCGCTGAGACAGGCTTCGTCGATACCCTCTGATTATGCATTCTGGTATTACATTATTTCTTAAAAAGAGACTGAAATTTTTATGAGCTTCAGACTCCTAAAAATTCGTATCTGCGTCTGCTGATACATCAACCTTTACTGTCTGTGTGCTATTGAGCTTGTCACTTACCTCTCTATACATCCATTTCTTTATCCTAAAAATTGGTTTAATAGAAGGAGCCCTACCTTTCTTGCACAACTGTGATAAGGATCAGAAATGCATGCATAAAAGTGCTACGTAGCAATGTTCCGTGTAATTATGATAATCATCGATATCCAGTGTTCTCTTGTGGCTGCTATTTTCCAGTGAGAGGCTGCTGTTGCATCTGCTCCTGCCAGTTTGTCTCCAGGATATGACAAGAGCTAAGCTCAAAATGAGCTGAGCCATCCCTGATTGCTGTCCAGAATACTCATTCAGCTGCAGGTGTTTTCCAGCCATCCACTGTGATGTTACATTGCTTCAGGCTGTGCTACAGGGGACCCTCATAGGGTTTCATCTGCCTGGCATGTGCTCCACTCCTTTCTAACCCTGGGGAGTTGACTTTCATGTAGGATGGTTTCAACTTCTCAGGATGGCATGAGTCCTGGGACCTCATTGTGGGGAACTATGCCCTACCATCTGGTGTGAAGCGTGGTACTAAAAGATGCTGATAGAATTTGTCTTATAATTGAATGTGGTGATGGTAGGTGTCATTTCTATAAACAAGACCAGACAGCACAATAGCTTTGTAGACTTTAATTTTGATCTGGAATGTGCTTCTTTGTTTTCATCATCCTGTCATTCTTGCAACTGTTATGAGTTTTAAAACATGATTTATTACTTTACCTACTAATGTGCCATTATTAGATAGTGAGCTGCTGAAGTAGCAGAATTGGGTAACAAGCAATTTCACAAGTAATTATGCAGTCAGGGGTTGAGTGCTGCAAGAATTGGATGGACAATAGCAAGTAGAAAGCTATCAAGGGGTACAGGAATGAGCAGCCTGTGTTTCAATAAAAAGGATTATATCTGTCTTGACCATTGCCACAGCATTGATGAAAATCACGTACTCCATCCAGGACAAATCCCACAGTCGCCTCACTTTCCTTCTCTCAACATTTTATATCAATTAAAACAAATTTAAATTAATAGTTATAATGACTGCTATCTATTGAGCATTTATAATATCCTCTTGTATATTTTCATATTTAATCCTTATAATCACATTATAAAATAAGTAATAAATCAACTTTCTATATTGGAAACAGTCTTTACCTAGACACAGTGGCTCATGCCTGTAATCACAGCACTTTGGAAGGCGAAGGTGGGAGGATCACTTGTGCTCAGGAGTTTGAGACCAGCCTGGGCAACAGAGTAGAACCTCCTCTCTACTAAAAATAAAATCAAATAAATCCAGGCATTGTGGCAAGTGCCTGTAGTCCCAGTGGTCCCAAGTAGTCCCAGCTACTTGGCAGGCTGAGGCAGGAGGGTCACTTGAGCTGAGAGAGGGAGGTAGCAGTGAGCAGTGATCTTGCCACTGTACTCCAGCCTGGGTGACAGAGTGAGACAACAACAACAACAAAACAAAACCAAAAAAAAAAAAAGAAAGAAAGAAAGAGAAAGGGAAAGGAAAGGAACAGAGTCTTAAATTTGCTAAGTTAACATCAATTAGAACTAATAATTCATGGAGTTGTAATACAAATACGAGTTCATTAAATCTCAAAAACTTCATTTTAATTCCTTGTTTTTAACAAAGAATGCATAGCAGAATCTCCTGCAGAATTAAAAGATAGCGATATCTGTCAAATTCACTAATTTGGCCTTAGAATTTGGTTCCTTCATTTTAAAATTATTCTCTGAGTAATTCTGATAAACACTTTTAATTGGAACCTTCTGATTATACTTAGCCTTACAAGAATAATCATAAAATGCCACCTAAGTGATGACAAGTAGGAGAAAATAAATGTGCTAAATGTGGGTCTAATTGCAGGTACATGATCCAACAATTTTGCTTTCCTGTTAAAATATGGCAGATCAAGGTTCTTCCCTCTGCCCTGAGTGACAAATAAGCCATCAATAGCAATTGTGTTAATGACTGAACCCTAGGGTACGGACATCAAATAGAGTCTAACACACAAATGCTAAAGATATGCTAAATTTTAGATTGGGAGGTAGAGGAGAAGTAGAAACTGAAAATAATAAGATATTTAGTTTTTTTTTTTAATTTTGAGATAGTTTTGGCCATATGAATGTGTCAACTGATATTCAGATATAAAATATTATTTTTCCTAAACACAGGCAATTTTCTATGACCGAAAAGACTAAATCATTGAAATGTATTTTTCTTCAAAGAAGCACTGAATTATTTTAAAATATTTAAATTTAAAGTATATTGACTGTAGAATTGTTTTTAACTAGATCCTCATCTAAAAAAATGAGAATCATGTTAATTAACTTTGTGACTTTTAAAAAGTTAAGATTTGGTCAAATCATTTCATATCATCAAAGACCTACACTTTATTTTTAATCGTAAATTCACAAAAACACAGCAAATAAAAATACAATGGGAGGTCATATGGTACACTGGCTAAGAGCATGGATTTTGAAATCCTACTGTCTGGGCTGGATCCTGGCTCTTATCTGAGCTAGCTGTGTTACCCTGGGTAGGTCACTTAGCCTCTCTTTATCTCAATATCCCTATCAATATAATGGACACAATAATCATAATGCTTACTTCATTGGATTACTATGAGAATCACATAAAATTAAAATATGTAAAATAGAACAGAGCTCAATGCATAGTAACACTATATAAATGTTTACTATAACTACTGTTGTCTTATTTTAAATTTTTAAAACTTCAATTTCTAATAGTGGTGTATGGGACCTTGGAGTTGGAAGGGGGCCCTTATTTTACAAGCAAGAAAAGAAAAGCCTAGGTGACTTTCTAAGGCAAGTTACAAGGCATACTAACAACCAGGATGTAGAGTGTTGAATGGAGCACAACAGCTGTTCTGTGGCTATGACAGTCTTTATTTATTTATTTATTTTGAGGCAGGACCTCACTTTGTCACCCAGACTGGAGTGCATTGGTGTGATCTCAGCTCACTGCAGCCCTGCAGCCTCAACTTCCTGGATTCTCCCACCTCAGCCATGTGCTACCGAGTAGCTAGGACTGCAGGCATGTACCATCATGCCTGGCTAATTTTTGTATTTTAATAAAGACAGAGTTTTGCCATATTGCCCAGGCTGGTCTCAAGCTCCTGGGCTCAAGCAATCTGCCTGCCTCAGCCTCCCAAAATGCTGGGATTACATGTGTGAACCACCGTACCTAGCCGCAATTGACAGTCTTTACCAGTAATTGCATTCTGGGAGTTTTAAAACAAAGTAACTCCAAATGATTCATTTCAAATAATTTCAGAAATGTATCTTATAAGCAGCCTAGTACTTGTAATTACATTTAACAGAAAATAATTCATACTAAAAATGATTTAACTGAAATTATGTCATGTGTTCAAGTTATTGATATATCACTGATATTTTCCTTGCAGAAAAAAAAATTTGGCCTGTAAAAAGATAGCATTCCCTTCCAATACCTACCCTAGATAATACTGTACTGATCTAACCTTATTCTCCAACTACAAAGTTGATCAATTACACAAGAAAACAATGAAACATAATAAAAGTCAGAGCACCAACTCATACCCCAGGCATCCATTTAATTATCTCCATTAGTAAATATGAAGCTATTTCTCAAAGGAGATAATGGATTCTTGCTTAATACAATCTCAAGAAACAAAATTACGGCCTCCCCCTCCCATAACAGAAAATGTGTAACACCCTGGTTTATATTTCTTGATAAAAAACTTTTTAAAACTTCATACCCTTAAGGGACAGCTTTGCATACAGGAACAACACTAAGAAAGGGAACCAGATGCCATCTTTATTGAGATCTCAAAGAACAGCATCCTATGGGAAGACAGAAGAAAATGCCAAGGTCGCTTCCTTCAGGTAATGCAACACTTTCTTGTGAGAGGCACAACGGTAAACATGAAGATGATTGATAACTTCTTTTAAGACATATAAAAGGGAGTTATAACACAGAAGTACAATCCTGAACCAAAAAAGAAGAAAAGCCAATTTATAGCTACGGAGGCATGTTTAAAAGTGCTACACAGAAAATTTCTTTGAGTCTATGTTTTTGCAAATGGGAGAGGATTTTCAAGTCAGCTCATGTGGAAGATACACTTCATTGCCAAAGGGAATAGTGGGACAGGCACCAGGAAATACCCTAAGGAACTGGGAAGGAGATACATGGTCCCAGAGCAGAACTTTGACCCTACTGAAAAGGAAGGAAAAGGCATTCCTGACGAGCAACCTCCTTTAATGCTTTAATGGAGCCAAGTTTAACCTGAATTTCAAATTCTTGAGATAGACTTTAACACAACAGACTGTCTAGGTTTGAATCCCAGTTCTGCCACTTTTTAGCAAAGTGATCTGGAGCAGGTTACACTACCTCCCTCCATCTTATGATTATTATTATCCACATTTGGTATGAAATGTGGATAATAATAATAGTAGCTACCTCACATGGTACTCATAAAGATTAAATAAAGTAATTTAGGTACAGTGAGATAAGGCTTGCCTTCCAGCAGATATTCAATATGTGTTGGCCATTATTATTATTTCTCTAATCATTAGAGAAAAGAATAACAAATAATAAGAAATATCTGCCTACAGTTAAAGAGACATTTCCTTTAGTCACCTCTGGCTAAAAAAAAAATTAAATAAAAAAGACTAATGAAAGCCTGAAATTCAATACCAGAACCGCATGCAGTACTGTTGGTTCATATCCACATGCACACACATTCTTTGCTTGGGTCTACAGTGCAACATACTACAACCAAACATAGAACTTAGATATTTCCAAGCCATTTGATGTAAGAGCCAGCTGGAAATCCTCATTTCAATGTTCCACAAGTATCTTAAACTCATTATACCCAAAACTGAACTGATCATTTTCACCCTCCTCTACTACTACTTCCCCTAACTTCCCCTAATTCCGTGGTGCCACATCCTGTTCTCTACCAATTTACTTTCAAGTCTCTTCAATCTACCATCAAGTCCTGACAATCTTAATTTTAATCTAGTTCTCAATTTGTTCACTTTGCTAAAGCTCTTCCTTCCTTTCTCCTGACTGGGTTATAGCAACTAACTCCCTGTGTCTCTAAACTTTCACCTCTTTAATTTCTCCTTCTCTCTGCAACATGAGTGTTCTGTCTAATGAATCTTTGAAAACTGTCACTACCTTGGTCAAAATCCAAATGGCTTTTCATCTCCTTCAGAAAAAAGTTATCTTTAGCATAGTTATGATTTGTAATTTGACCCTTTGTCTTCCAACCTCGTCTCTCATCTTTCTATCTCTTGTACTCGAATCTCTCCAACATCTGACCTACTTTTCACCTCATGTATTTCTTTTGCTTAGCTAGCTCCTACTTAGTCTTTGGCTACAGCTTCTATATCTCTTCCTCTTGAAGATTTTCTAACTTTCTAAAACTTTCAGACAGGTGCCCCTTCTGTTGTGCTCTGGTAACAACCTATATTTCCCTTCCTAAACTATAACTAGCCATCGTACCTGCATGTTTAAATGAGTGTACCATGACACTAAAAGTTTTCATAAGTTAGGGACATTGTCATTGTTCATTGGTATATTCCTAACTCCTAGTCTAATGCCAGTCACACTGTAAAATGTAGAACAACTATCAGATTGCACTTGTTTACATTACTTGGTATTGGCTCAGTTATTTTGAATTAGTCCTCCTTTATCTTCATGTTAATACACAGTATTGTTATGAACGAACGTATGAAATGGGAAGGCTCTACTGTCAACTGCACTTAAGGCTCAGGTACCCATCACAGGTGTAACAGAGGAGCAGCACCCTTTATAGCTGTACCTTAGCTAGCCATCTTCCAGCCTGCTTCTGAGACATGATTACCCAAATGCAAGACCAAGTATGTCCCAAGAGGATATTTAATTAATCAAAAATAATGAGAGAACATTCTTTAGCCACTTTTCAATAAGCAGAGGGTTTTTTTCTTGTATGTGTCGGGGATGGGTGTGGTACTGATGACAACAGTAATTAAGTAATTTTTGGTATAATGAAATGCTTGATTCTACACCAAAATGGAACAGTTTTCAGTTTTTTCTAAAGACCACTATTATGACAAATTATAACCATAGCTTAGAAATATGGTAATAAAATAACCCTGAAAATCAGATATTTATTTTCAAATCATGGAATATCTGGGATGATATTACAAAATAAAACAAAAGGTGACCTGTTTGTATATATAATGACTGTTCTTTATGATATGAGGAAACAGGGAACAGCAATGTAATATGCTATCAGGTATTAGATATTTTACTTTTTCCCTCCATAAAGGTATGAAGTAATCTAAATCCACCACAACTGTTGAGAAATGCATGCTATTTTCCTCACATTTTGCACACAAAATTCAGTATAAAGAAGATATTTTATTTAGAAAACACACTATAAAGTTCATATGGGTACAGGTGAAACTATTCATGGGAATTTATTTAGTAGTTATTTGGAGGTAAGACGTGATGGGGACTTTTCAAGTACAGAATATAGTGTATTATCATTTCAGTAACTGTTACACTTAAATAAAATGGCTTTTCTTGAGGAAAACATACTACTGTAGCAAAAAGCTACTTTTCTGAATGGCTAATTAATAAGCCCTGCATATAATATTTTCACTGAAGTGTCAAATAAGCATGGTAGAGCAGATGCATCAAATACCTAAAATTACTAAGTAGTATGGATAAAATTTGATGCTATCAGAATTTTTGAGTGATTCATACTTTATTTACTCTGCATTTACTTACCAAAGCCACAAGCTTAATAGTTCTGTTTATAAAAACAATGTCAGGCAAGCTGAATGTGAAGAACAAATATATGTGAACTCATTTTTAACTTGTGGATGCATGCATGCACACACATCTTTTTATTATCAGCATGCTCCCAAATTAAAATTGTTACCACATGCTAAGTAAACTTTTTCAGATGTTCAACAAAAGAGATCAAAAGAGATTTCATCATATATTTTTAGATCTCTGACTAGGCAAACATATAGGAACACAGACATGTCAAAACATCAAGTAATCCAAAGGTACAACAATTTGGAAATTTTCAGTTCAAGGAAACTTCCATGAAGAGTAGTTTAGTGTACTTTCATACTTTCCTATCTGACAATGTACAGGTGAAGCTATTCATGGGAATTTATTTAGTAGTTACTTGGAGGTAAGATGTGAATGGCGACTAAGATGAAGGATAGACCATCAATAAGCTGGGAAGAGACATTTAGCTTTCCAGAAAGATAGAAAAATTACAAAACAAAGCATGCAGGTGGAAAGAAACATGTTATATTTGGGGCCATGAGAAGAATCAGCTTGGATGATTTTATACTGGAGTTGAGAGTGATGATATGATAGATTATTATCATATAGTGGGTTCCAATGATGGTCCTGGAATTCTTCTCTTTGATTGCTACAAATTCGCACAGCTTTTCTTAAACCCCTTTTGTAGGTGGGAGAAACATAAAGCATGTATGGAATCCATTCTTTGGTGGATAAAACCAATCAATTTTACTGTGTGTTCCATTTTGACTTTAAACACTCAGTACCATAACTGAGTTTTGGCCTGCTTTTATATTCAAGCTTATGTCCTACTCTAGTTTTAGAAAGTGAGTTCACCTACTCTACCATTTTTGTTTTTTTGTTTTTTGTTTTTTTTTGAAACGGAGTCTCGCTCTGTCGCCCAGGCTGGAGTGCAGTGGCACAATCTCGGCTCACTGCAAGCTCTGCCTCCCGGGTTCACGCCATTCTCCTGCCTCAGCCTCCTGAGTAGCTGGGACTACAGGCGCCCACCACCATGCCCGGCTAATTTTTTGTATTTTTAGTAGAGACGGGGTTTCACCGTGTTAGCCAGGATGGTCTCGATCTCCTGACCTCGTGATCCACCCACCTTGGCCTCCCAAAGTGCTGGGATTACAGGCGTGAGCCACCGCGCCCGGCCCTACTCTACCATTTTTGAATACTTTGCTTGTTTTTTTCTGCCTCTATCTGGGTCCTGGTCTTCCTTTTTCTAATCTACTGGATTTCCTCCACCTACTGCGTCTATGATTGGATTATCATTTCCTTCACTCAAGATTTTCTTGTGCTACTTCTACCTCCTTGGCTCCCCAGTGGGACTCTCCTAATGCCATGAATCACTTGCCTCAGGAACTACTCTGAGTCACTTATCCAGACTCAGTTTTATTTTCTGCTCAAGGATTCACCCTTATCATATTATTATGCCCTGTTGAGCTTGTCTAGGATTCAAGTCATGGTCACCCCAGCCTGAAAGCTTGGGGCAACAATTCAGTCCAGTACCTCCTTACAGGGCCTCATGACACATTGTATAATTGGTTTTAAAGTAGACATTCTGGACAGATGTTTTGCTCACAGTAAAAATGTGCTGCTCACGTTCCTAGAGGATTTTATCATGGCATTCTAATGACTGTCATTGATAGTTCTCATTTATCTTCAAGGTGGGGTATATTTTGCTTCTTTTTCTATTAAAATGTATTTTAAAATTCTGCATATTTGGGGGATAAAAGTAGATTTAGAAAGCAGCCCAGAAACGAAAAAATAACAACAAGATAACTAAGGTATTTACCAAGATCTGATCACTGGTAATCAAGAAAATAGTGATGAATTTCTGATCCCTTATTAAATTCATAAAAGAATTGGCCTAATTATAAAATAGAAGACGAGTAATGAACAATTTTAATGTGTATGCTCAGGAAAGTTAAGCTGCAATGAAAAGGGACTCCCCAAATCTCCCTGCCCTCACTGTCAGAATAGGATGACTTACCCTCACCCGTAATACTAAAAATAATACTATCCACAGTTGTGAAGATGGCCAAATGAAGCTGTTTTTTGTTTGTTTGTTTGTTTGTTTGTTTTAGAAGACAGAGTCTCACCGTGTCGCCCAGGATGGAGTGCAGTGGCACAATCTCGGCTCACTGCAACCTCCGCCACCTGGGTTCAAGCGATTCTCCTGCCTCAGCCTCCCAAGTAGCTGGGACTACAGGCGCCCACCACCATGCCCAGCTAATTTTTTTGTTTTTTGTATTTTTAATAGAGACGGGGTTTCACTATGTTAGCCAGGCTGGTCTTGAACTCCTGACCTTGTAATCCGCCCACCTCTGCCTCCCAAAGTGCTGGGATTACAGTCGTGAGCCACCACACCTGGCCTAAATGAAATTTTTAAAAAATGATTTCAATTCAGATAAAAGTTGAGGGGCTCTAATCAAGGAAATATAAAATAGTTCACCAATAGGATAAATACGGATAATCTTAATAATCTATGCTCTTTCACAGGCTGAATTCCACACCACTTCAGGTGGCAAACATAGAGTTCATTATTTTATTCACTTGAACACAAAGTTAGAGCACTTATTATTGTGTGACAGGATATAGACAATATCTAATAATAGACAATCCACCTCGGGCTTAGGGCTCATAAAATATAGATCCAGAACATATTATTAAAGAAAGTTAAGAATTTTCCAGTCTATTTGTCATAAAAGGTCATTGATGTATTGCCATAGAAAGGATTCTGGATCGGATGAATTAGTCCTTAACATTTCTGTTCTTTTTGCTAAAACTCTGTTCAAGGCATATTCGATTATGAAATAATTTTGAAAGATTAAAAATATAGGATACTTTGTTCATCTTTTTAATCCGGAACCTATTACATCTTTTTAGACATAATTTCTAGACATTTAATGCTTCAATATACAAAAGCTTATATAAAAATATTAATATCAAAGTCTAAAATTCCAATATTATCTTCTCTATTAATTCTCCTTACACTTCTATCCTAATTCTGCCACTAAAAAATACACAGACATAAAATGAAAATGTCATATTTGGGCTACAAATTTTTAAATAGAAAAAATATAATTGCTGTAAATGGGTTATAGAAAATATAAATGCAAAACAAGTAGCTAATTGTAGATAATTAGGTAGCAAATATAAAACTCATTCAGAGTTGTAAATATAACATGGGGTACTTTCTATAAGTTATTTGTTTAACAAATAAGTGTTTTTAACTAATTTATATTTTCATACGATTATAACAAATAGTAATACAACTCATTTGAACATGGAATGCCTCTAAATAATTTACAAACAGGGATATTCTGAAAACATTTTGTGGGACATTTACAAATGTGATATATAAGGCATGACAAAAACAAGAACAGGAAACACTTCCTGTGGATTTGTGACAATTTTGTAGGGCTTGTTGTCCCTGTAGTAATCAATGTATTTGCTTTTTAGTGTGATTATATTAAAATACATTTAAAAGAGATTTTTCCCATACTGATCTTTTCCCTTAAAGAGGTCTTATGAATGTTAAGTCCTTCCAAAGAGAAAGCAGCTTTTCTGGTCTTTATTTCCATTACTATGCAATTAACATCAGATGATTCAACAGGCTAGGAAGTTATACTAAGAAGAGATTTTGCATGAGAAGCAGAAAAGTTACACAGACATTGAAGGGTGTCAGCTGAATTTAAAAGACTTTCTTCATTAGATAACTCCTCTAGCTAATTTTCTACAAAAGCATGCTTTCTATATCAAACTAATTTTACAATCTCTTTCTGAAGAACATTCCCACAGTGATACAACACATTGATCCTTGGGAAACTAGTTGCAAGAACATAAACACAAAGGGGCTTTCCAGATTTAACTATTCACATTTTAAAATAAACACAAACTAGACATGAAAATCTTTAGCACATGAAGGAGCATGTTTCATTCTTAATCATTAGAAGACAATGCAAAACTGAAATATCTCTGTACTAAGTTGAAGCAAGAATACTCCAAATATGTAACCAAGATACATCTAAAAGGTTGGTCAGGGCCATTAAACTAGTACAAAAACAAAACAAAACAAAAACACATGATAATTCTGAGATATACCTGAATTCTCTTTGCTGAGACTACTTAGTTAATTTTTCTTCCATAAGTATGTGATTTCAATCCCACATAAGACTTTTCTGGAGAGAATGCTATAGAAGGAGCCTGCGGTCTAGCATCATCATCATCATCATCATCATCATCATCATCATCATCATCAATAACATTATCAACAATAAGACTTTACATTTTAAAGAATTTACAAAGTTGTTTCAAAATCATCCCTTTTAAGTTATAATGTCTCTATAAGTAGAGAGATCATATATATGTTCTTACTTTGTAAATATAAAAACTGAACTACAGAAAAGGTATACACATTTGTCATGATGACTTGACCAAAGAGACATAGCCAGTAAGTATTCTGAATGATACTGCCTTCAATAAGGGCTAGTTTCACTCCATATTAGGAAGTATTTATATTGTAACTTTATTGAAAAGAAACGAGTACTCTCCGATCTGTGCAATCATCTAACTCCAATGGGAGAAAATTTGCCATTGTAGATAAAACATGGGCTCGTGCATCAGACTTACTTGGGTTGAAATTCCCACTTCACTTACTGGCTGTGTATTTTTGGCAAACTAATCAACCTGCCTGATCTTAAGCTTCTCCATCTGCAAACAGGAAACAATGTCTCTCTTTCTCTTCCTCATAGGGTTGCTGTGAAGACTATATGACAAGGGTTCAATGCAATGTCTAGAAAATCCTGTGTGCATGTACATTTTAAAACTTTCTTCCTTTTCCTCCTAACATCATGACATTCTGCACCACATACCCCATACCTGAGGGGAAAAGTCATATTGACCTTGCTCATCAATGGGGAAACAAGTTATAATAGAGAACAATATCATGAAAATATGATAGATTTTTTTAAAAATTCGAGGCATGAATAACTCTTATTATGAGATGTTAGCTTAGACAGAAAATAAAGTGGCCTAGTTTAGTCACTTTCTACTAGTTCCTGCGAGTAAGTCGTCTTTTAATCTTCTAAACAACATTTTTAAAGACCATTGTATCTGGTCTTCTTTCTGAGACAGTTCCATGAAACAACAAATTCATGATAACTTGTTCTTCACTTTTTTCCTGTAAGCTAAGAAAGGAGGGCAATTGACAGGATAAAGAATGACAACACAGGAATAAGTCAGCCAATGGGCTTAACACTGCTTACAAAACTAGCAGAACAAAGTATAGCTTCTTTTGAAAAAAAAAGCAAAGGGGATAAGGAAGAAGGAGGTTATTGGGTCTGTTTAAACAACAAAACTATTGGCACCATATCTTCAGAATGATTAATTCTTAAATGTATGTGTATATTATAAAAGATTTGAAATTGTACAAAGTGACACTGTGTACTGTAAGGTATACTTAAAAGATTTCTCCTCTGTATAAAAATCATATGCACCTAGACCATGTGTCTCTTGTGCCATAGAGTGTGGTGTCTTTAAGAGCACAACAAATCATTTTCCTGCAAAGTTTGTATTTTTCAGATTTAACTGAAGCTAACAAATCTCCGCTCATCAGCACTATGAACTATGAAATACTCTTTAAAAAATAATAGCATTAATATATCTTTCCACACAAATAATTGCATTCAGATTTGGTAAACATGTTGAACTACTGTTTGGAGACTTGTGTCTGTTTATCTTTGATGACTTTTACTATTAACTCCGTTCCAAATTTAAGAACTAATAGCAATGGAATATTATGAAATGCTCTGATTTTTTTTTCTCCAGAAAGATATAAGAGATTTTCTTTCTATATTAAAATGGAGTTAAGCTACCCTCATTTCTCAAGCGTTTTAGGTTAGGTTTCTTCTTTGTTCCACTAAAACATCTTCTGTGTATACAACATAATTAGGGAAAACCACAACAGTTGCTTTTGGCCAGTGGGGATGTTTCAAATACTATTATTTCAAAGTGGCTTCCTTTTATTCCCCTTTCTGGCAAAAGAGTCTTTTATTAAACTCACTGCACCTCTCAATCATCCATCATCCCCCACTTCTTTTTACTCTGAAAAAATAGTGTAGAGGGAAAAAAATAAAGTTATTGGGCAGACTTCTTATTTTCATTAATGAATGGTCAGGAATTTGGCAACTGGGTGGGAAATTGGGTTTCTGTTCCTTGAGTCAACTCACTGGAGCAAAGGCAAAAAAAAAAAAAAAAAAAAAGCAAAAGGAAAGAAAAAAAAAATCCACTTAGGGCTTGGCAAACAACTTTTCCTCTGGACAAGTTCCATTGGCTTGCAGCACAACTGCTGTACATCTATTAAGAGTTCCAGTGTCTATTGGTTGGGTTCATCTGCTTCAGGCATTTCTCTTTTAAGCTCAGCACTTCTTGGGCTTGTAAAAGCTCCTTGAAGGTTCAGTTTAAAGAATCTCCCTTGGTCACAAGAGTTCCTTCTGCTTGTTCCTTTATATGGCTTCCTGTTTGTGCCTGTTTATTAAATGCCCCTTTCCAAGTAACTATTGACTGTTGGAACTTTTACAGGATTCATTATGATTCATTTGATCTTCAAATGCTTGGAAAGAATCGGTGTTGGTCCTATCCTTTCTCTATCACTTGAAGGTCTGTCTGCCCAATTAATACTTTCTCACTAGTGCACTACTAGGGTTTTCTGTGGGAAAGTTTCTATGAAATTAAGAGATATTTAGAATTTATGAACTTTTTTCTTTCCAAGTATTTACACTTTAAAATATTGTGAAATATATTTCCCTGAGGTTTCTTGTGACTAATTTAATTTCCCTCCTTCTTTTGTTTCTTAATGATACAAACCACATGAGAAAGTCACTAAAAAATGTAGAATTATAAATCTCTCCTTAAAGCTTACATTTAATTACTTATACATAAACGTCAGTAAACCATATTTACAACTACTTAGATAATTCTGTGATGACTTTTACTAAACAAATGTATCTTTTGTTCTAACTCTAGTTATTTATACTCACAATAGTATCCAAATATAAATAGGGTTTAGAGTTTGAAAATAAAATAATTTGAATAACATTCATTATAGCATCTTTATTTTAAGAGTTACTGATTAAGTCTATTGGGGAAAAATATATCAGCTGATAATGAGGAAACTTCCATGATATCTTTCAATATTATCATATTGTTTTAAACTCACACTATTTTTAGCTAAAGTTTAGGCTCTCTGTATGTTAAAATATACTCTAGATATAGCATATTTAGATCTATTAGTTAGTATATAATACAAACTAAAGAATAAAGTTCATAATACATAGTATAGTGTAAACATACATTATTTTAGCCAGTGATACATTTGTGCTAAAATTATAAAATTATTATACAGATTGATAATATTACACTTATAAAAATTCTCAATAGACTTCAAAAAACTTTTAATTTGGTATCTCTAATTTTTCTTTTTTTTGAGACAGAGTCTTGGCTTTGTCACCCATGCTGGAGTACAGTGGCACAATCATACCTCACTGTAAACTTGAACTCCTGGGCTCAAGCGATCCTCTCACCTAGGCCTCCGAAGTAGCTAGGACTGCAGGTGTGCACTACCACATCCAGCTAATTTTTAGTTTTAAGTTTTATTTTTTTTTTAAGAGACAGGGTCTCACTATGTTAACCAGGCTAGCCTTAAATTCCTGGCCTTCAGTGATTCTCCCCCTTGAGCCTCCCACAGTGCTGGGATTATAGGCATGCACCACCTTGCCTGGTCTGCTCTCTCTAATTTTGAAATTATTTGTAGCTGACCCTAATGCTAACCAACGCAGCACCTGATTCAGGTTTGAGGTACCAGTGTCAGTGAAGGTTCTTGGGAGGAAGCGGTATCTAAATGGAGAACTGAGGGTGAGGGGAAAGAGTTGGGATAAAAAGTGCTAAAAGTGTTTTGTGACGGGAAAGCAGCACTTGTGAAAAAGAAGACAGAGCCTACTTAATAGTATGTTTGGAAAAGTAATGAGTGTGGACGTGGGCAGCAGGTTTCAAGAGAAGAGACTGTAGATATGCATAGGGCCAGATGAAGTAACACTTATAAGTCATGTTAAGAAGTTTGAACTCTATATTTTAGGAATTGAGAAGACCCTGAAGTATTCTATTATGTTTTGTTTTAAGCAGGTAAGTTAAGCGGGTAAGTTACAAAACCATGTTTGCATAAATATGGAAAATCATTTAATGATTTAGATCTTCTAAAGTAGGACAATGTAATATTCTACTGTGTCTTAGTCTATATATAAAGACCTTGCTTTTTTAAATATCTTTTTTTTTTCCCGATACAGAGTCTCACTCTGTTGCCCAGGCTAGAATGCAGTAGCATGATCTCAGCTCACTGCAACCTCCGCCTCCCAGGTTCAAGGAATTCTCATGCCTCAGCCTCCCAAGTGGCTAGGATTACAGGCGTACACCACCACACCTGGCTAATTTTTGTATTTTTAGTAGAGATGGGGTTTCACCATTTTGGCCAGGCTGGTCTTGAACCCCTGACCACAAGTGATCCACCCACCTCGGCCTCCCAAGGTGCTGGTATTACAGGAGTGAGCCACCGTGCCCGGCCTAAAAATCATTTTTCAATAAAGGACATTGCATTTCTTTTCTGAGTTGCTATCAGAGCAATCTATAAAGGAGGAATGTACAAGGAGTGGTAGGATCAAGAATTCTGTAATGCAAAAGAACAGAAGGAAATTGTATTCATTCATTTTTATTACTATTTTTCTCTTTAACAAAGATTTTAAAGTTTAAACAATGTCACAGAGAAGTCAAGAAACATTTTCCCTATCTTTGGACATTTGATCCTTTTTGTAACTTAATGTATTTCTCAAAAAAACTAAAAAGTTATAGATGATGAGGAATAACATAGGAAACTGGATTTCAGAGAAAAAAAAATTCCATAGGCAAAAGGAGTCTGTCATTCTTTTCTTCTTTTGGTGAAAAATGTTGCTGTGTTTCATTGAATCTAAAATGCCATTAACTGCAAAACTTACCTTGGTTTCAGAATGGTTAAATGTGAATAAAAGTAACAGTATTACAAGTAATACAAACACTAAAACTACAGAAAAGGTGAAGTTACTAGGCAACTTTCTTACATTTCTGTCAGAACCAAAGCAATAGTGAAGAGTGTTGTATAAAAACAAAAGCTTATGAGAACATATGGTTGCATCCTTTTAACTTTAATTTAAACATTTGTATGCATACACACAGCACATGCATGTGTGTGTTTGTGTTATGTGTGCATAAAGACTGAAGCTCTCAAGGGAAGATGAGGGAATGAAGAGAGGGAAAAGCATAGGGAACTGAGATGGTGTCTAATACTACCAAACAAAAATAAGCAGTAGCATTCTTATTAGCATTAATATTGAACAAACATTTGCTAAACACATCAACAAGATTTGTCATTAGAGTTCTCTGTCACATAACAGTGATAGAAAAGCAATAAATAATGAAGCCCTCATGATGTAAAAACTGAAACTTGTCCATTTTTCATGAGACTTTTATGAGAGTTAAGTAAAATTAGGTTAAAATACAATAAGGAAATTTGTTATAAAAAATAACTTATTTCATAGGCTATTATCTCCACAAAAATCAGAACTCCTTTTCCTAACCAACAACTGGGTTCAACACATCCAAAATTAATGCTGAAATGAGAATTATTTTATTTTATTTTATTTTTTTGAGACAGACTCTCGCTCGATTGCCCAGGCTGGAGTGTGGTGGTGCAATCTCGGCTCACTGCAACCTCTGCCTCCCAGATTCAAGCAATTCTCCTGCCTCAGCCTCCTGAGTAGCTGGGATTACAGGTGCAAGCCACCACGCCCAGCTAATTTTTGTATTTTTAGTAGAGACAGGGTTTCACCATGTTGATCAGGCTGGTCTCAAACTCCTGAACTCGTGATCCACCCACCTTGGCCTTGCAAAGTGCTGGGATTACAGGCATGAGCCACCATGCCCTGCCTGAAATGTGGATTTTAAATGTTATATCAAGTTGAAGCCCAAATCACTGAAAAAATGACGGATAAAAATAAAGTACAAAGATTTTCAAATTATATGGAAATAACCAAAGCAAAGAGATGCAAATGTCATAGCTTCAATGGCTTAAATTATACTGTTAAAAGCAATCCTCAGAGACCTCAGAAATAACACCACGCATCTACAACCATCTAATCTTTGAAAAACCTGACAAAAACAAGCAATGGGGAAACGATTCCCTATATAATAAATGGTGTTGGGAAAACTGGCAAGCCATATGCAGAAAACTGAAACTGGATCCCTTCCTTACACCTTATACAAAAATGAACTCAAGATGGATTAAAGACTTAAAAGTAAGAGCTAAAACCATAAAAACACTAGAAGAAAACCGAGGCAATACCATTCAGGACATAGGCATGGGCAAGGACTTCATGACTAAAACACCAAAAGCAATGGCAACAAAAGCCAAAATTGACAAATGGGATCTAATTAAACTAAAGAGCTTCTGCACAGTAAAAGAAACTACCATCAGAGTGAACAGGCAACCTACAGAATGGGAGAAAATTTTTGCAATCTATCCATCTCACAAAGGGCTTAATATCCAGAATCTATAAAGAACTTAAACAAATTTACAAGAAAAAAAAAACATCAAAAAGTGGGCAAAGGATATAAACAGACACTTTTCAAAAGAAGATATTTATGTGACCAACAAACATATGAAAAAAAGCTCATCATCACTGGTCATTAGAGAAACGCAAATCAAAACCACTATGAGATGCCATCACATCAGTTAGAATGATGATCATTAAAATGTCAGGAAACAACAGATGCTGGAGAGGATGTGGAGAAATAGGAACGCTTTTACACTGTTGGTGGGAGTGTCAATTAGTTCAACCATTGTGGAAGACGGTGTGGCGATTCCTCAAGGATCTAGAACCAGAAATACCATTTGACCCAGCAATCCCATTACTGGGTATATACACAAAGGATTATAAATCATTCTACTATAAAGACACATGCACAAATATGTTTATTGAAGCACTGTTCACAATAGCAAAGACTTGGAACCAACACAAATGCCCATCAATGATAGACTGGATACAGAAATTGTGGCACATATACACCATGGAATACTATGCAGCCACAAAAAAGGATGAGTTCACGTCCTTTGCAAGGACATGGATGAAGCTGGAAACCATCATTCTCAGCAAACTAACACAGAAACAGAAAACCAAACACTGCATGTTCTCACTCATAAGTGGGAGTTGAACAATGAGAACACATGGACACAGGGAGGGGAACATCACACACCGAAGCCTCTTGAGGGTGGGAGCTAGGGGAGGGATAGCATTAGGAGAAATACCTAATGTAGATGACGGGTTGATGGGTGCAGCAAACCACCATGGCATGTGTATACCTATGTAACAAACCTGCACGTTCTGCACATGTATCCCAGAACTTAAAGTATAGTAAAAAAAAAAAAAAAAATCCTGATTTTTAAAATGGGTTTCATAATTCAGTGTTCATGTTACAAGCAACTGTCCCAGGTTGGAGTGAGATGCAAGAAAATTTGGACGCAAAAATGTAAGACATATGGTCTTGATTGCCTTTCGCAGCTACGTTAAGAGTTCAGTGTAAAGAAAAGCATTCCAAGCGCCAGCTTGCAAACTAGGTTTTTATGTGAAACTCTAATAAAACAGCAGCAGATGTTTCTATGCTATTAATTTGTTTGGGACATTTTTGGCTGGTTCACTCCAAATCAACTGTTATCCCTTGTCCAACAACTGCAGCATTCATTTCTTTTTTTACACAGGGAGAAAGAGAAAGGAAGCTTTTCCTTTGGAATAGATACTGCACCAATTTGCTGTATGCATGGGAAAGTGAATGCCAGCATTTGTATATTTTTGAAAAAAAATTCTCTTAGAAACTGATGGAGGGTGGTTTTCATTATTGAAGGAAAAAAAATCATCCAGCCAAATTGCTGAAGCAAAAAATGAAGTATATTATTGGTAGGTAAACATATATTGAGTAACACAGTATGCATTTTATTTTAAGGATTAATGACTTGACAAAACCTTTATTTATCTGACTTCTAACCCTGCTTATATTGATGTACATTGTTGGTAAATCTATTCTGGTTCTGATTTACAATGGGAAAAAAAAAAAGTAATCACCCTGTAAAATTTTCACACTATCCTAGTCAATTCACTTCCATTCCTCCTCCCCTACCCTTGTAATCCATTCTTGCTGCCCTAAAGTTCTTAAAAGATCACCTTTGCCTGGAGATAAACACCTCTTGTTAATGTTTATTTAAACACTGAATGTTTCACCTTCAGAAAGAAAACAAAAAAGATCTTAAAAAATAAAATAAAGCCTTTCCTTACCTTAGTAATTTTCCTACTTTCAATCAACCTGCTCAAGAAAAAGGACAAAACTGGGAAGAAATCAAAGTGCCAGTTGATTGTTTCCAGTGAGGCCAAATGTGTTCACTCCTAACCAGTTACCCTCTGTAACTGGGCAGTTTGCTTTACATGAAATTATGCTCTCTCACTGGAAATACTAAGTATTCATTTTTAAGGACTGTTCTCGGTCTATACAGCTTATTAGTATCTTTCAAGATTACCCAGAAATCCTTAATGGGATTCAAATGGAAACCCTAAAGCCTATTACCCTGTGAGTCTGCTGGCTAAAGTGCCAAAATGATTTGGATTTCAATTTTGTTTCTAAAACAAATGTAAAAAAGTATCATTAACAAATTCAACTAAAGTTGGTTCAAGTTCAAAAAGTCTGCACATTCTAGTGTAATTAGAGGCAAGAAAGTTTTAAAGCCCTAATGGAATTTTCTGTAATTCACTCTTTAATTGAAAAACGTTTGCTACTTGGAAGTATTTCCATGTTATAGGAGCCAACTAACAAAGCATAGTAACCTTGTAAGACTCTTTCACTATACATATCTACTGTGATCTTTTGACATTGTAACTGCTCTCCCAGGCCTGTGGAAACAGCTAAATCCTACAATATCTCTCAATTGCCCTGAAAATAGAATCCATGTTTTCGTTTGATGAGCACCTTTATGATCTGGCCCCTCTCCTACTCACCTCTCCTCTCCATCTCTTGACCTCCCATAACACTCTATATTCCAGGCCCACTGAATCAATCTCAGTTCCCTAAACTAGTCGCTATTCCTCTAGCCACTAATTTGGAACTAGTATACTGTGTCCGACATGCCAGAATCTTAAGTAGCTAACTCCTATTTGTTATATGTGTCTCAAATTCAATCCTTTTTTCATCTATAAGTTCTCTCTATCTCGTTTCTTCCCAAGGCATTTACTTCCTTATCACTGCCTCATCAATATAAGGTGAGGCAAATCTCATTTGTATGTGTTCGCATTATAGTCCTAACTTCTGCTAGAGCATAATACATTGCACCTGTCAGTCACGCCCAAGCTCATTCACAGTAGGAACTATTTAATGTTACGGTGGAATCGTTTCCTAGCAAGGTGCCTGAATTTTAGGAGTCCTTTGATAATATGCTTGGAAGTGAACATTCTTTTGCACCTACAATACCAGCACACGTTTTGTTATGTGGAGGCCATGCATCTAAATCAAGAGTGAATTTTCTAAAGTGAACTCACCCTAAACTACGTCTCTGGCCTGAATCCTCCTACCAAATCATGTTTCTCTCACACTGTTCCTTTACTCAGAAACTCTCTAAATCTCCTACTGCAGAGTAAAAGACAAACTGTGGCCTTCAAGACTCGGTCTATGTCATTGTTCACCCCACTGCCTCTCTCACTTCTTTTAATAAACTTCCACCTAATTCACTCAGTCCCAGCCATGCTGGAGTCCTGCCATTTACTTTAATGCCTCGGGCACATTTTTCTTCCTTCAGGGCTGTTGCAGTTACAATTCTTTCTTTTTGGATAATGGATACCTACAAGGCTCCCTCTTTCACCTCCTTCAGATCTTCACTCAAATGTCACATACTCAATGATGATTATCCTGATCCCCTTATTTAAAACGGAATAAATATCCTGGTACTTGGAATTCCTTATCCCCTCTTCCTGCTCTATTTTGCTTCTTCAGCATCTAACATGCCATCCATTTTACTTATTTATATTATTTAATGTATGCTCCTCCTCTTTACTATAAACAGTAAGAGCAGGGATTTGAATCTGCTTTGTTCTTTTGTCACCCCAGCACCTAGAATAGTGACTGCCACTAAAACGATACTAAATTAATATTCACTTGAATAGTGTATGATAAATATAATACAATTGAACTATAATTTTAGTTCTAAGCATGATATCTAACTATGCTAAAATAAGCTAAAATCCTGAACTTAACTATTATTTAATCACATAATCACATGACTGCAATTATTTACATGGTAGAATTTAAAAACTGACAAGAATGAAATATTAACTATCTTGTACTTGAACTTCTAAAAGCATTTTTACCATCTTTGTAGAATTATAAAAATTTACAGAAGAGTTTCCATATAAAATTTTCTTTAGATCTTAGAAAAAATATAAACTATGAACTATTCCAGATATCGACATTTTAAGTGATTCATTAACAAAACTAAAAAACACATACAGATCTGTCAATTGCCATATGATCTAATCTTTGGAAAAACAAACACAATTTAGCCAATATTCAAATAATAAGGAAGAAAATAATTTGTATTCCACATATTACTCATTTATTATAGAAGTTTTACATGCACACACACACACACACACACCACTTTGATAACAAAATGAATACAGAAAGTTGTCAAAGTCATAAAGCTTGAAATTCACATCTTGTCTGAACTTAAAGCTCATGTTTGTAAAATATTAGTCAATTTGAAAATCATTTCTTGGTTTTGTTGGATTTTACAAGGGATAAATACATGTATAAAGATCTAAAAACTGTCGTGTCTTTATTCAACTGGACCAAAAAAGAATTTTTACATTTTCTTAACTTAAATTAGTTTATTTTATATTGAAACATTAATATCCTTACTTCCAGTTAATCAGCAATCACTTAGAATTCTCAGAATCGTTCTGTTTAACCAAAATATATTTTTGTCATTCACATTACAGAAAAAAAATATGTCATGCACATCTGTGCTTTCATTCTCTAGCTTACATAGTTGGTGGATCAGAGACCTCAACGCAGGCATTCTGACTCTAGAGTCAATTCTCAATGACTGCTTTATACTGCCTGTTTATAGTATTGGCCTAAGTCTAGTGACATTCATTTTAGCTCTCAACTCTTTTCATAATAATAGTTATCATTTATTGAAGTCCACTACAGGCAAAGCTTGCTTGATAAGTTAACTAATATGTTGTTAAGGCTTAGAGGTAGCCTTAACAACATATTAATTACAGGGATCTTGTCCTGTGAGAGTGGATCCAGAGTAATAATATTTCTTCATTCATTCACTCAGGTAAATGTTCTGCTTCTCCCAAATCCTAGTCTCATTAGCTTACCATGCTATTCACTTCGGTATATGCCAGTTTTCTTCTTAGTTGATTGCAAGTGTGAGTTTCTGAGGCTAATATTTAAAATAGGGTCCAGGGTGTCTTAGGTATACCTACTCTACTACTGATGGACCTTTTTTACTCTTCAACAGCTTGAACAAAAGGTACCTTTAATAACAATGTTCTTTCTTTGATTCTGAGGAAAGAAATTATTTATTATCTATGTCCACATTGCCCAATATTGATATAATGTGAGCCACATATGCAATTTAAAATTTTTCTAGTAATCACATAAAACTAAAAAGTTGAAATTAATTTTATATATTTTATTTAACTCAATGTATCAAAATATTCAATATGTAATCAATAATAAAAATTGTTAATCAGATATTTTATACTTTTAAAAAATGAAGTCTTTGAAATCTAGTGCATTTTATAGCACATGTCAATCCACACTAGCCCCATTTCAAGGGCCCAAGAGCCTCATGTGGCCAGAGTCTACCTTATTGATGACATAGTTCTAGATAATAAAAAAGGATGAAATAATTTCTACCTCATCTTGTGTTAAAAAAAATATAGCTTTGAAATCAAAGCTAGACAAGACCTGTAAGATAAAAGTAAATTGCAGGCCAGCCCGCTCATAAACGATGATGTAAAAAATTCCTAAGCAATATTTTGGCAAACTGAATTCAAGCCGTATTCATAAAAATATAAGGAATCATGTCGAATTGCTATATTCTACCAATTCACGGTTGGTTTAACATTAGAAAATATATACATACAGTCATACCTCATTTTATAGTGCTTCACTTTGCAGATATTGCACTTTTTACTAATTGAACATTTATGGCAATCATACAGCAGCAAGTCTGTCAGGGCCATTTTCCCAAGAGCATGGCTTTACTTCATGTCTCTGTGCCACATTTTGGTAATTTTTGCAATATTTCTACATTTTCATCAGTATTATATTGTTACGGTGATCTGTGATCAGTGTTCTTTGATGTAACTATTGTAATTGTTTTGGGATGTGACGAATCACAACCATGTAAGATGGCAAACTTAATAAATGTTTGTTCAGGTTCAGACTGTTCTACCAGCTGACCATTTGCCCTTATCTCTTTCCTCTCCTTGGGCCTTCCTATTCCCTGAGACACAAAAATACTGAAATTCAGCCTACTAAATATACTACAATGGCCTCTAAGTGTTCAAGTGAAAGGAAGAGTGGCAAGTCTCTAACTTTAAATCAAAAGCTAGAAATGATTAAGATCACTGAGGAAGGCATGTTGAAAGCTGAGCTAGACCAAAATCTAGGCTTCTTATGCCAAACAGTTTGCCAAGCTGTGAATACAAAGGAAAAGTACTTGAAAGAGATTAGGAGTGCTATTCTAGTAAACACACAAATGATAAGAAAATGAAGCAGCCTTTTTACTGATATGGAAAAAGTTCTAGTGATCTACATAGAAAGTCAAACCAACTGCAATACGCCTTTAAGCCAAAACCTAATCTAGGGCAAAGGCCCAATTGTCTCCCATTCTATGAAGGTTGAGGGAGATGAGGAAAGCTTCAGAAGAAAAGTGGGAAGCTAGCAGAGGTTGGTTCATGGCATTTAAGAAAATAAGCAGTCTCTAGAACTTGAGAGCAAGGTGAGACAGCAAGCATGTTCACAGCACCTTCACTAGGAGTAGATTTCATCTCGAGGAACCACTTTCTTTGCTCATCCATAAGAAGCAACTCCTCATCTGTTTAATTTTTTTAATGAGATTGCAGCAATTCAGTCACATCATCAGCCTCCACTTGTAATTCTACTTCTCTTGTTATTTCCACCACATCTGCAATTACTTCCTCCAATGAAGTTTTAAACCCGTCAGTGTCATTCATGAGGGTTGAAATAAATTTCTTCCAAACTCCTGGTAATGTTGATAATGCATATAGAGATACACAGTTACTATATATGTTTCCAGTTATCCAGAAGACCTAGCTAAGATAACCGATGAAGGTGGCTACAGTAAGCAACAAATTTTCAGTGTTGACAAAACAGCATTCTATTTTAAAAAGTTGCCATCCAAGACTTTCATTGTTGTAGAGATGACAGTGCCTGGCTTAAAAGCTTCAAAGGACAGGCTGATTTTCTTGGCAGGAGATAATGCAGCTGGTGATTTTAAGTTGAAGCCAATGTTCATTTACCATTAATAAAAATCCTAGGGACATTATGAATTATGATAAAGCTATTCTGTGTTCCATAAATGAAACAAAACATGGATGACAGTACATCTGTTTATAGAATGGTTTACTATTATGGGCCCATTGTTGAGACCTACTATGCAAAAAAATATTCCTTTCAAAATATTACTGCTTATTGACAATGTACCCAGTCACCTGAGAACTCTGATGGAGAAGTACGAAAAGAGTAATGTTGTTTTCATGATTTGCTAACACAACACCCATTCTATAATCCTTGGATCAAGGAGTAATTTTGGATTTCAAGCCTTATTATTTAAGAAATACATTAATATTTTGTAAGGCTATATAGCTGCCATAATGATTCCTCCAATGGAGCTAGGCAAAGTAAATAGAAAACGTTCTGGAAAGGATTCACCATTTTAGGTGACATTTTGTGACTCATGGGAGGAGGCCAACATATCAACATTATGAGGAGTATAGAAGAAGTTTATTTCAACCCTCATGAATGACACTGAGGGGCTTAAGACTTCAGTGGATAAAGTAATTGCAAATGTGATGGAAACAGCAAGAGAAGTAGAATTACAAGTGGAGCCTGATGATGCGACTGAATTGCTGCACTCTCATGAGAAAACTTGAACAGATGAAGAGTCACTTCTTATGGATAAGCAAAGGAAGTAGTTCCTTGAAATTATATCTGCTCCTAGTGAGGATACTGTGAACATTGTTGAAATGGCCACAAAGGATTAATTGGCACATGTATACATGTGTGACTGACCTGCGCAGTGTGCACATGTACCCTAGAGCTTAAAGTATAATAAAAAAAATAAAATAAAATAAAATAAAACATTAGATTGAATTAGTTATAAAGCAGTGGCAAGGTTTGAGAGGGTTAACTACCATTTTGAAAGAAGTTCTCTGAGTAAAATGTGATCAAACAGTGGCACATGCTACAGAAAAATCTTTAGGGGAAGGAAGAGTCAATCAGTATGGCAAACTTCATTGTTGTCTTATTTTAAGAAATTACCACAGCCACCCAAGCCTTCTGCAATCACCACCCTGATCAGTCAGCAGCCATCAACATCAAGACAAGACTGTCTACCAGCAAAAAGATTGTGACTCATTTGAGATTAAGATGATTGTTTGCATTTTTTAGCAATATGTTAAAATTAAGGTATATACTTTTTTTTAAGATAACAGTTCGGAACACATGATGACAGTATAGTATAATCATAAATTTTACATGCACTGGAATACAAAAAAAAATTCATCTGACTCACTTTCTTGTGATACTAGCTTTATTGTGATGGTCTGGAAATGAACTCACAGTGTCTCTGAGGTATACCTCTATGTGAATTCACTACATCAAAAGATGAGGTAGAAAAAACACAAATGGCATGCTCAATAGATCCAGAAAAGTCATTTCATATAATTCAAAACTCACTTATGAGAAGAAAAAAATCAGAAAATTAAGAAGAGAAAATTTAAAGCAAGAAGATTTACATGGAAATACTCAAAGATTTTTTTGAATAAAAAATAAGACAGGGAAGTTCAGCATCACATTGTTCTGGAGGTCCTAAAAAATAGAGCTAGTTAAAGTTGCCAAGAATTTCAACCATTAGTCAGAGTTTCAATGGTCATAGTTCCAACTACCGTGGTTCCTAACTGGAATCTGGTAAATTAAGTAAAAAGATGGGAGTCCAGGGTGAATATCTCAGACTTAGGTGGAGGTGTTCTTTATTGAGGCTTTTATTTTTCCATATTATATCCCAGAGTTGAGAGTAATTCAGCAGTGGAGGACATTAGTCCCCACTGGTTATATCAAAATACAGTTAAAACCTGTGCAGGAATCTTCCAACCAAAACCACTTGAACAGCTACCGTTTGCAGCCAGAAAGAGGTGACTGAGTAAAAGATGGAATTCAACTGCATCAGTTGCAGTACTTTCTCCTACCTCTCCTCCCTCAATCTTTTATAAGGAGGGATCTAGTTAACCAGCAGTAGAGGGCCTTAGGCAGGGATGATGGTCTGTGGGGAGACGGTGGATCCAGTTCCTTGACTGAAGCCTGGCCCAGCCTGTCCAGCATCTCAGCTGGCATTTAGGTTGCCGCTGGTACTGTGGGGATTGTGAGGCCAGTGCTCTGCAGCATGTATAGCTGGGCTGACCCAGGTTCCTAAAGTCCCACGCCAGACGCCCTGGAGCAGCATTATTCATCCCCTGTGCCTCTGGGAGGTTGCCCACAGTGACCTCCGTCAATCCTCTACTAGACCACAAGTGCCCATGACGATTTGTGGAAGCCGGGGTCCTGCTGCCACCATGGCATGATGCACACTTGGGCTTGGACCCAGCAGGGGACTAATGCACTGAGCAGCAGGAGGCCATGATAATGTCTTCCTGGCCAACGGAAGTACACGCAGTCAGCGCCTTGGAGGCTGAACTGGTGGGGCAAGGCCCTGGGTGCCAGCAGCCATCTTGAAGCATTCTTGCCTCAAGCCAAAAGTGCTTCTGGGAATGTGGTGGCCGGCACTGACGGCGAATGAGCTGGAGCATTTGTTTGCAAGTTCCTCGGCCTTGGCTTCCGGGATGGTCGTCCTGTTCAACTCTCTTTTTCACTTTTCTATTGAGCTTCCAGCAGTCCCCCTCTATCACAGTTTCGCTTTCGGAGGTTTCAGTTACTTGCAGTCAACCCCGGTGTGAAAATAGGTGAGTGACACTACATTTGCATAAATTTTATTGTAGTATATTGTTATAATTGTTCTACCTTATTATTAGTTATTGTTAATCTCTTCTTACTGTGCCTAATTTATAAATTAAATTTCATCATGAAGGTGTATATACAGGAAAAAACATAGTGTACAAAGGGTTTGGTACTATCTGCCGTTTCTGGCGACCATTGGGGGTCTTGGAACATATCGCCCCGTGGACAACAGGGGACTACAGTGTTTGGTTTTTGTTGTTCTGGTAAGGCATTGTAATATATTCTGGATGCTAATCCTTTGTCACAGATGTTGTGAACATCTCTTGATTCTTATCTTGTGTTTTCACTCCATAGTGTATTTGATGCACATACGATTCTAATTTTAATGTCAAATTTAGTGCTTTTTCTTTATGATTAGTGCTTTCTGACTCTTGTTTATCTTTAATTACCCCAAAGTCATAAAACTTCATTTCTAACTTGTGTCCTAAATGTTTTTGTAGTTTTTCTTTTCACATGTAGGGCTTTATCTGACACTAATTTCTTTGTAGAATATGGAATATGGAATACGTGTCCATATTCTACAAAAAAAAAAAAACAAAACCTTTTTTTTTCTTTTCTCCATACAGATAATCTATGGTCCTAATACTTTTTAGTGAAAAGATCATCTTTTTTTCTAAACCTGTAATATCAGCTGTCTGATAAATCAAGTTTCATGTCTGTGTGTCTGAAATCAAGTTTTATGTCTGTGTGTCTGACTCTGGACTCAGAACTCTCTCCCATGATCTGTTTGTCTATCCCTACTCCAATATCAACTATCTTCATTACTACAGCCTTATAGTGATAAGGCAAGGCCTTCTACCAAATTCATATTCTTAGGCCCGTCTTGATTATTTTGGTTTCTTGTCATCATGTAAAAATTTTATGTCAGTTTTTCAGCTCTGCCACCAACCCGATACACACAACACACATAGACACACACAAACCTGTTGAGAATTTTATTAGAATTGAAAGAAAAGAAATAAAATCCTTATTCTCAATTCATGAGGGAAAAATGACTCCATTTTTCCTAAGCTAAGATCCATTATCCCCAATGGGATAGAACTTTTAAAACTTTTTGATTCAGTTTTCCGTGTCTATAAATAGGTCTTTATAATGCACCCAGATTGCTGAAACTTAAAAGAGTACAATCGAAAAAGGGATCCAATTTGAAAACAAAGGGCTTTCACATTCTGCCTACACTTGGCAATTTCTCTACGTCTTTCAGGTTGGGTCTATAAACGTGTTATCTGTTTGATTATACGCAAATTTCTTTAAGACAGAGAACAATTTGCTCACTCTAAGAAAACTCTTCATACTTATATTTTGCACTGTTGTTTTTGATGGTTTTAATTTTTTGTATGTATCTATGTAGGACATGACTAGCAATTAATTATTTTATATTTAGTCATTTTATGGTTCCAAATAATCCTATCAGATGGATACTATTATCTACATTTACAGCCACAGAAACTGACTCTTGGAGACATTAAGTAACTTACCCAAAGACAGCTAGGAAATGTCAAGGCCTGGATTCAAAGCCAAATTTGTACTAATGTTAACGTAGGTAGAACAAATGCTTGTTAAATGTATAAAAAATGGTAATCAAACTCAGATTAGTAAGAGACCAAAGTAGCTACTGTTTAAATGATTAAAGATGTATGGTATTAATTGAGATTTTATTTAATCAAATCATTCATTGTTGATAGCTCCAGTCTACACCAGACTCTGTGTTCTCCACTCTGGAATTATTCCATTCAGCTGTGGCTAGATCTATGCTTGGTTTCTCATGCCAATAACCTCAGCTAGTCCGAGAAGCCTCACATACTAGTCTGTAACTATATTAAAACTGCTACAAATAACTGCTGGGCAGACTGACTCTTATATCATTCACACCAGAAGTTCAGTGGCAATGTGCCATCACAATTTCTTTCTGATTTGGAAGCTATGAGATTTGTTCTAGCACCCTTTCAAGAATGTTAAAAAAAAAAATTCCCTCTCTGACACACATACACAAACATATAATCTAAACTGTGTTGTGATCTTTCTTGATTTAAAATGTTTCTAATTACCAAGAAACTTCATCTACCTGGCCTACTAAGAAAATAATTCAAGCCAGTTAGTTCATTTCTCCTTTTGTGTACAAATTATATAAAGCAAAATTCAATCTTTTAATCTGAAAGTGGAAAAAATATACATGGTGAAACTTCAAATTCTATTACTGTAGAGATAAGTGCTTATATGTGCATTTTATGATACTGATTTTTTTTTTTTTTTTTTTTTTGAGACAGAGTCTTACTCTGTCACCCAGGCTGGAGTACAGTGGTGCGATCTCGTCTCACTGCAGCCTCTGCCTCCTGGGCTCAAGCAATTCTCCTGCCTCAGCCTCCCGAGTAACTGGGATTACAGGTGTGTACCACCACGCCCGGCTAATTTTTGTATTTTTAGTAGAGATGGGGTTTCACCATGTTGGCCAGGCTGGTCGCAAACTCCTGACTTCTTGATCCGCCTGCCTCAGCCTCCCAAAGTGCTAGGATTACAGGCATGAGCCACTGTGCCCAGCCGATACTGATGTTTTATCTTATGACATCCCATCTGTGTAGTCACTTTTACCTGTTCAGATGTGCCTATCCTTAGCGATTCATTTTTCCCCTCTAAATTGCTCGCTTTTCACATGTAAAAGATTTTAGATACCAGTTTACAAACTAGTTAAGATTGTTTATAAATTAATTGTCAACAGATTGATAATAATAACATGCCCCACCCCTTCTTTCCCAGCTCTCATAACAGCACATGAGTATTTGGATTTGGCCCAAAGAGATTGAGGTTGCAGGATAATTTAATTTAATTCAATTAAATTTCACATAATTCAATTCCTTTCAACAAACTTTTACAGACATCTGTGCCTAATCTCATAATCCCAAAACCTGGGTCCTTATTCTTTGCTCCAGAAGCAGATCCTGAGACAGGCTTTGAGGGCCATCACCTGTAGAGAAGTGGAAAATTCAGACAGAGAAGAAGAAGCAGTAGTGGTAGCATTCATGAGCAGATAGATTATCATTGTAGACAACGGGCCAATGCCACCCAAGCCCTCCAGGACACTATTTGGTATAGCCTTCAGAGTTGTCCCATCTGAAAGGAGAAAAAGCTGATGTATAATTATACATCAGTCTCTGGGAAACACACATATACATACACACACACACACACACACACACACAAATGTACGGTGTTGGTTCAGGGCTAATTCTGGAAATGCTAATTCACAGGAACCTATATGCACAGTACAAGCATGGGGACACACACAAAAAAGTCAAAGATATTTGTAAAATGAAGCTCTTGGAATGTAGAGAAGCGGTGAAAACAAAGGGGATGTGTGGGGTGGACTAGTATCATCCACTACAACATCCTTAAACTGTACAAGGAAAAAATCTAGAGATTCTGTTTCTCTGTGCCTGGTCCTGTTGCTTGTGCCAGCTGCCTTGAATCAAGCCAATATTCTATAAGCACCTGCTGAACACAAAATCTATATTAGGCACTCTGAGAAAGACAAATATTGAAGATACAAAGACACAGTCCCGGCACATCCAAGGGACTAGAGAATGAGCTTTTCTGATCCTACAATCTGGTGGATGAATTCTACACACACTCTCTAAACTGAAAAAAGCAGATTATAGATACTTTGAAAGTACCATAGGTATACCACATATTATATATTTCACAGTACATATAAGAATACATGGTTTCCTCTGAAAAAGCAACATTTCTATGAGTTAAAAATTATTTCTGCCTTCCTCATTCTGGTCCAACTTAATGTCTAGCCACAGAAAATGGAAAAGGAACAAAAGGAGGAGAGTTTTGTTTATACTTTGAAAAGCATGCAAATATTTTCCAATGATTGAAAATTAACATTTACAAATTGAGTAGAATATACTTTATTCATGCACAATAGTGCATTTGTTAACAGTGACATATTTATCTGGCCTTTCCCAGTCCTAGGAAAAAATTATGTCAATTTTCCCTCAGACTGCCTTCCTATTCTGTCACACAAATTATTTCATGAAACATGAATCCAAATGTTCTGTTCTTTTTCAATTTCCTTTCACCACAAATTCCAGAGTTCTGTACTTCATTGCTTTTCACTAACAATTCAGTCTTTTTATTCTAATGGCAAAACTGAAATGCTGCTGTCTTTAATCAAGCTACTTTTGACATGTCTTCAATAGTGAAGATTCAGCCTTTTGTGTTAAAGGAAAACTTTTAAAACATAATTATAATGATTTAAAATGATTTTTTTTTTTTTTTTTGCCAATGCATTTTCAGCTCTTGGGATGCTCTTCATCACATTTTCCCATCGTTTCTGCGATGCCTTTGTGCCTTATTGTTAATGAAAGACAATCTATAAATACAGAAAAGGCCATATTTTAAGGATTTCTCATTGGACAAGCAAATATCTGTAACATAATAGAGTACTCGAAACTTAATTTACTATCCTATTTCTCTAATAACAAGTCTCAGATCTAAGAGGGAAATAAGGAAGACAGGGAACAATATCAAACATGCTCATCAAATAACTCAAAGCAAACAGGCTAACTCCAGTCATTTGTTAACAAATTTTAAGGATCGTCCATATATACGTGTGGCGGAAAGCATGTGTCCAGGCAATGCAAACCTGCAAGAAGAGGACATGCCCTCTGAGGTCTGACCCTGCCTTCATTTCCAGCCTCAGCTCACATCACTTTTACCTCGTGGTCTTTGAACATACATTGCCCTTTTCTGTCTCTAAGCTTTTAAACATTACCTAGCATACTCTTATCTCCAGCTTTTCACTTGCCTAATCCATACTTACCCTTTTTGTTTCAGATATGTGTCACCTCATTAGGGATTTCTTTTCCCTGATTACCAAATTTAAAATAGGTCCCTATGAACACCCTTTATCAGAGTATGAATTTCTTTTTTTCTCAAATTTTGTCACTGTGTGTGTGTGTGTGTATGTATGTATGTGGCACATGAGCATGCATGTGTGTGTACCTTATGAATAAATGAGTAGCACTTAATTTTTATTTAGAACTTTGAGATAGAGATCTATACACATATTATTCACTGACATTAATGACAGGTATGACTTGCTGCATTCCTTGAGGTTGCATCACACTAGTTTCTCAAGAGCTTGAACTAGGAATTATTTGTTTTTATTTCCTTATTCCTATAGCAGTGCCATACTGTAGTAAAACAAAAAGAAGTTTGTTGAATTAAGTAAATCTATGAGCACGACATGTGAGTTTCCAATTCTTACATTAGTCAGTGGCAAGGAGAACCTTAGTCTGTGACAAGAGATATATTAGGTTAGTGCAGAAGTAATTGAGGTTTTTGCAATTGAAAGTAATGGCAAAAACCACGACTACTTTTGCACCAAGCTAATATTATAAATGCTCTTCATCTACTCTCTAAAAACACATATTTTTATTCTTGACCCTATTTGATAAATAATCATTAAACAATCTAGTTAGAAAAGATTCATTGTTTGTGATTTTTGCATTATTCAAGGCTGATTGTAAAACTTTTCCTCTTTTTGAACAAAATATATTTGTCATGCTAAATGGCAAATATTGGCTCAAGACACTATTCGGAGCTGCAGTTTATAATGATGTACATCAGGATGTAATAGAAGTCATGATAGCAGTTATGAAACTTAAGAAAATAAGTTTTGGAATGAAATAAACTTAGAATCAAGTCCTGATTTAACTGTGTAAAAAATAACTTTGGGCAAATTATTTAGAATCTATAAAAGAAGATTCCTATTCTTTATCCACTTAATAGGGATAATAATAACCCTCATATTTTTGTAAGGATTGGAAGATCCTAAATTAGGCAAATAACATAATGGTTGCATGCACATAGTAATAAAGCACAGATATAGTAATGCTGGTTATTATTGTTTTATTAGGCAATGTTTGAATTCCCTAACCTGCCATTTTCTCTCCTTTTTGTTCTGCTTCTGCGCCTACTGTCCGTTACTTTCTTTCCATCTTGAAAATAAGTCTTCCTTCACAAAGGTATTCCTTTCACCTAAATTCTGTTTCACTTTTTTTAACCCTCTGTTAAAATTTCTTTTCTAAATAACCTCTTTTTCTATAAAACTCAATTTAAATCCCTTTTAACACTATCACTCTAACAAAACATGAGTTACTTCAAATACATGCTGAGTGAATTAGGTACAAATAATTTGTCTTTGAATACGGGTAAACATTATAGTTTAAAAATACCCTATATAGTTCCCATTCACACTTACACAGGCATTTCTAAAACTTGAAAAAGTTACCCCGATAGTAAGGAACATAATATGCCAAGGAAGCCAAATCAGTTTGGTGTCAGCAGAAAGTATGTCATAACAAAACGGTCTCTGGCCAGATGATATTACTCACCAAATGAGCCTGGATTTCACCTAGGAGAACCCAAAAATGAAAGAAAGAGTCCTGAAACAAAACATGCAAAACAGGTAGCTGATGACCTTAACCAGTCTTTCTAAGGAGAGGAGTTAGAAATGTCCCAGTCCCAACAGAACTCTATTCGAAGACAGCCAAGTGTGTCTTCAAAGAGATGGTGCTCATAAAGACAGGCCATCAGTTCTCTAGAAAGCAAGATGGTAGCAAAATACATTTTCTACTGTTGATGTTTGATCTGTCCCTTAAATCCTATCATTATGAAGAGAAAGACTGGGTACATGCACCCATAGTAGGTGTCACTCTTGGCATAAGACGTTTAACAGAATCCCTACCTGACAACATACATTACCTATATGTCAGCTCTGTTTCAAATTCAAGAAACTGCAGCTTCATGTAAATCTGATTTGGTTATCAAGTGCAAAAGTGATATTCTCTCTGGGACAATCATGTCATATAAAATGTGCTGATACTGTTCAATCTCAATGCCTTAATTAAATCTGTCATATCCCAAGGATTTTCATTAAATAAAAGGAATGATGACTCCTGCTAAGATTTTGAAAGACTTGAAGTATTCACAAAGATTACTTTGCTGTGGTTACTACTGGAAGAAAACATTCTACATTCAAAACATAATGCCTACCATCTCAGATATCCAAAAATCTCTGAATCAGCATACTCATATCCCTGTTTGTAGTATGGCCACAGAGCTATAGCATATTTTACTTTCCCTGATAAATCTTAAGTCAGCTGTAATTCATTAAGGAAGTTGTTTGAGCCAAATTAAATTTTCCAGAAGCACATCATCTGACATAAAGGAACTCTGCTTCAGTAATAGATTCAGAAAAGACTAGCTAGTTTGTAAGCATTACTCCTTTAGTCTCATGTAATCCTGCAATAAATATAGAACGCACATTATATTCTACAGAATAATTAGTGTGTACTGGCACATTATTGCTTAAATGAACTTTTTGTTTATTGAACCATTACAGAATCGTCTTTCTCAAAAATGGTTTTAGCTCTGTAATTTGCTTCATTTTGAGGCCATAATATGCCATGATTTGGGACTAAAATTAATAGTTTTTGAGGAAAGGAGATTCTTTTCAGGACAGTTCAACTTCGGTGGAAAAACCTGATGTTAGAGATCAGTCAGAGAGGCATAAGCATTTGCTTAGTGTACAAGGCGAGAGATGGTTGCATAAAATACTGCCTTCACCAACAACCCTACTGAAATCAATGTAAGAGTTGAAATTGACCATGGAGGCTATTTAGAATCTATGCTTCTTGGACAGCAAAATGTTCCATTGAATTGTTTCAAGTGTTGCTATGAAGAAGAAAGTAAAGGGATAGATATGCATAGGGCAGGATCTAGTTCTCCAATCCTGGCTTCAACCACAGCAGTTTATTATAGTTATCACTTCGATATATTTGTTTCTTATACAACCTACACATTTATACATTAGGTATTGACACCCTCCAGTTGTTTTTGTATTGTGAATTGAAACATTGGGACCTCAGCTGAAGTAACTTTCTGGTAACACAACCTGACAGTTGATGTTTCAAATTTGGTAGCTGCCATCTTTACTGGACAACAATGTTTCTATAGTTGTTTTAACATATGATTTTGCATATACATACTTATACGTACTTAAATTTTATTTATATTATATAAAACAAAGAGGAAATAGGAAACTAAATGCTGACTAGTAGTTATAAACATAGTCCTCAAATATAATTATAAATCTAAAATAGACATGTAGAAAGTTAATTTTAATTTCAATTGAATATAGAATACTCAATCCATGTGTTTCAATTGGGTAGGAAAAGAATAAAAGAACTTATGTGAAATTGTGGGGAAATACTGCTAAATACTATGTTTAAACAGCAAAGTATGATTAAACTATATATTTTAGCCTTCTTGGAATGGAAGTTCTTGTCTTGTTATATGTAAATCTGTTTTTCATTTGAAAACATAAGGGATAGTCTACTTCACTACACCATAATACTTTGTTTCTAAGAATAAAAAAGCTAAAAACTTACAAATGTAGTTCAATCTCTGAAATTAATAAATAATAAATCTGAGCTTCTAAAGTTAAAGAGGCTAATCCAAGTTCATATAGCAGGTGCATGCCAGTGGTCTTTCTAATATTCCACAATCTTTATTTGTGGAATCATGTTTTTCTAGTGTATACTGCTCAGGGTTTTCCAGAGAAAAAGAATGTGTTGTGTGTGTGTGCTTGTGTTCATGTGTGTGTATCTATCTGTCTATCTGTAGAGAGATTCATTTTAAACAAATGGATCATGCTGTTGTGGGGGTTCGAAGCTCTGAAATCTGCAGGATAGGCCAGTGGGCTGGAGACGCAGAGAAGAGCTAATGTGCTAATGTGGCGGCTCATATCTGAAGACAGTCTGGAGGCAGAATGTTCTCTTCCTAAGGGAACTTCAGTCCTTTTCTCTTCAGGCCTTCAACTGATTGGATGAGGCCCACCCACAATTTGGAGGTTGATCTTCTTTACCAAAGTCTACTAATTTAAATGTTAATCTAATCTGAAAAATACTTTCATTGTAACATCTACTTTGATGTTTGATCAAATATTTGGTTCCCATGGCATAGCCGAGTAGACACATAATATTAACCATCAAATGATGCTGAAAGACTCAATTTAAGAAAAAATAAAAACAGATACTATTAACATTTTAATGTATACCACCCAAATGTTTAAAGTAAATCCAAACTCTGTTGCTAGATTCGTTTGCTTTGTATAATCAGAGAAGTTTCAGTGTGGAAAGTGGGAAGGTAGATTAGCTTATCCAGTATCTAAGAAATCTGACTGAAATATTAATTTTACTTCCTCTTCTTCTCAGCATAAACTTCATTTTCTGCAAGTTGATTTTCACTGATGTTGCATTTTTTAGTTCCATGTTACACATATTTAATCTTCCAGAATGTAGTTTTATCTTGTCTAAAGGCCAATTTTCTAACAAGCTCCAGAGAATTTCCAATAGGGCAAAAGGTGGTCAGTGGAACAGATTGCACTGCTAGAATACATTAATTTATTGCTGTAGTCTTCATTTGAAAATGTGTGTGCTTAATGACCTAGGAAAATCTTGCATGTATCCAAGCATAAGAACAATAATTTACTGGTAGGCAAGTTTCACGCTACCATACTAACCCTAAAACAAATGTTTCCATCATAGAAATGGGATAATGAAAGGTGTGTGAATTTAATTACAAAGAAATGAAAATTTTCTATTCAATCCCAAAGTACACAATCTCATAATTTTGATCATTTGGGTATGTCAGAATCATGGAATATTGTAACCATTATTGGATCTCAGAATATTTCTGATCTCTTCTCCTCATTTTTCAAGACAAGCAAACTGTTGCCCTTGACAAAGGTCAAACAGCTTGTTAGGCATAGAAGGATGTCAGAAATCTTGGTGTCTCCTGTTCTTTCCATGATTATAGGTGGCTCCCCATTTGGGAAAGCTCCTGACCTAAGAATACATCAAATCAAGTATATAAATATTACCTAATATAAATCGTGCAACCTGGCAGTTTACCAACTAGCTAACTATAGAAAAAAAACTTTCATATATTCTCATAATAAACTATTTAATGTTAGAAGCGGTGTGGAATGTTTCTCAGGGAATCATTTAGTAGATTACAGAGCACCGTTAGGCAAAGTTCAATGACATAAGAGCACAGTGGTTTGCAGCCGGGTAAGGAAAGACACTAAGAAAGATCTGAATATTCTAGTGATTTTAGTCATGTAATAAAAACATAATATTAAGCTTCCATCTCAAGTATGTAGGATAATAAATTTGTAATTACATTGTCTAATTTAATTCCCTTTAAAAAACTAGCAGTGTCTGAAACAGAGTGAGTCCTCGATAAATACTTGATGAAGTGAAAAGGGCTTTTTCCCCTTTTATCTCGGAAGAATTACAGTTATTATAACACTGTCATTTTTAAAAAGCAAGTGTAATTTTTAATATATTTGGAAAACAAAATATATTACAGATACACTTGTTAAATTTCATTGATTCTTTTTTCTGTCTTTACTAGTGGCATCATTCACAATCTAAGGGGATAGCTCAAGATTAGCTCTGTAGGCTTGGTCTGGCCTTGGTCTTGTACCTTTTTTGCTTCTAGTCCATTTTTCTGCCCTCAAGACATCTGTGTAGTAGCTAATAAGAGCTAGTCAGTGTGTTTGCATCCCCCTCCACCATGCAACATGAGGGGAGATCTGTGATAGCGTGAATATGGCTATGTCGACAGGAACTAATGATTTCCCCCTCTACTGTTTTCTCTTGAATGGGCCCTGAGATTTGTGCCTGTTTCCACTCCTGAAGAAAACCATAATGCTCCCTCTTGAGATAAGAAAAGCGTTGTAGATAAGAGTTCTAATTCTCCCTTACAAAGAGAAATACTGGTTAGAAGTTGGTTGTGTGACTTGTTTCTATGGGTAAATAAGGACCAGGCTGTATGAACATATTTCATGATGGAAATCTAGAAATATTTGTTATCATTATTGGCATGTTTAAAACTGTCCTTTTCTTAGGGCTTTAAAAACATAAAAACAGAGAAATTGGGCAGGATGAATAAACACAAACTTATGGGTGAATTTTACAGGGTTTTACTACCCAATTTATATAGCCGTAATAGGTGTGGTGTGGCTGTAAATATAAAGGTGACACAAATCCAAGTGTGGATTTGTATAATCATCATCCAATTTCTATTAAAAGTCAGAAAAACAAATCCGCCCATGATGGCTAGAGACAAAAGCTCAGTCATGCAGCCAGTCTCGTTTTTCTTTCTATGTGTCTCTTCTGCCTCTTGGTCTCTGTTAAATTGTTAAAAGGTTCACCCCTACATTTCTCAGCATCAAATTATAACAGAACAAAGGCCCACTACCATAAACAGAATATTCTCTCCTGATGTTTCTTTCATCACTGACCATATTACTTCATGACTTGAACACAGATGTATGTTGCATACTCCTGTGATGGAAGAATCCCTGGAGATTATAATCCACTGTATTAATCTGTTCTCACGCTGCTAATAGGGACAAACCCAAGACTGGTAATTTGTAAGGAAAAGAGGTTTAATTGACTCAGAGTTCAGCATGGCTGGGGAGGCCTCAGGAACCTTACAATCACGACAGAAAGGGAAGCAGACACATCCTTCTTCACATGGCGACAGGAAGGAGAAGAATGAAAACCCAGTGAAGGGGAAGCCCTTATAAAACCACCAGATCTTGTGAGAACTAACTCACTATCATGAGAGCAGGATTGGGGAAACCGTTTCCATAATTAAATGACCTTCCACTGGCTCCCTCCCACGACATGTGGGGATTATTATGACTCATTATGTTAATCTGTGAATTAGTAGAGGCAACAGGAAAAGAAATTCTCATGAATTTCTAGCAGAAAGTTTCCAGCATATAAATCTAGAAATAGATTTAGAACACGGCTTGGATAATTACTGATGAACTACCACTCCACAGCTTCTACTTTGGTAACTCTGTTTTGTTGTTTTTTGTGTTTTTTGTTTGTTTGTTTGTTTTGTTTTTGTTTTTGTTTTTGAGATGGAGTCTCGCTCTGTCACCCAGGCTGGAGTGCAATGGCAGGGTCCCGGCTCACTGCAACCTCTGCCTCCCGTGTTCAAGTGATTCTCCTGCCTTAGCCTCCTGAGTAGCTGGGATTATATGCTCCCACCACCACGCCTGGCTAATTTTTCTATTTTTAGTAGAGACGGGGTTTCACCATGTTGGCCAGGCTGGTCTCGAACTCCTGACCTCGTGATCCACCCGCCTCAGCCTCCCAAAGTGCTGGGATTACAGGGATGAGCCACCATGCCCGGCCGGTAACCCTGGGTTTTAAAGCCATATTCAGTGTTTCCCAGACAAATGGGAAACTCTGATATAAACAATAATAATTACTTGTAAAGGTTTGGTGACACAAATACCAAAGTTGACCTGCCTAAAAAATGAAATTACAAGTTCTTCCATAAATACATAAATATATAAGTGGAAAAAAATCCTGCAAATAGTAGTTTATGTTTTTATTTGGTACTTATTTTGATTGTAAACTGCATGTCAGAGATATTAAATGAATTCATCTCCATTATACTCTCTGTGTCTCCTACTGCATTTGTTAACTAATAAAATACACAGCACAGATGTTCAGTTGTGCACAGTACAGAGGAGATAGCAGATTATCCTACCTATCAGAAAATGACATGAGATAGTTTATATGTGACTAATTCACCACTCAAAACCATTCACTAAAAGTGTGTGGTATTGTATTTGTCTGTTATCTCACTGCTCATAAAGATGTACCCAAGACTGTGTAATTTATAAAGGAAAGAGTTTTAATTGACTCACAGTTTCACAAGGCTGGGGAGGCCTCACAATCATGGTGGAAAGCAAAGGATGAGCAAAGTCACATCTTATGTGGTGACAGGCAAGAGAGGGTGTACAGGGAACTCCCCTTTATAAAACCATCAGATTTTGTGAAATGTATTCACTATCACAAGAACAGCACAGGAAAGACCCGTCCCCATGATTCAATTATCTCCCACTGGGTCCCTCCCACAAAACATGGGAATTATGGGAGCTACAATTCAATATGAGATTCAGGTTAGGACACAGCCAAACCATATCAGGTATGAGGAAATGATAAATGAAACAACTTTGGTAAATATTGTAACTGTTAACACTTAGTAATGCACACATGGGGGTTAATTTTATTATTTTTTTCTACCTGTGAAGCTGTTTTAAATTTTCAAAACAAAAAAGAGTCACCCAAAGATCCTCATCCATCTTTCTATTCATTTGAAAGAGATTCATTTTCTCCATTCAGTAACTCATAGATGATAATTCAATGTTACACACATCTTAAATTGCTGGTTCTTTTCTCAACCTTTCTCCACAGTCTCTTTCCTTTCTAAACTCAAAATATTTTCCTTGATTCATCTTTTGCTCTTTGTGTAAACATAGATATTTATGCAGGTGTATATGCCTCCGCCTTTAAAGCAGATCTCAGCCTAAATTACTGGGCCACAGAGACCTTGGTGTATCTTACTCCTTTTCCTTTACTCAGAAGAGGGGTAACGTCATGAGCTACTTGACATCTGCCTCTCACTAACAAACAGTGATGCTTGAGGATAACAAACTCTGTCACTCACCTATTCAACTAACATTGTAGAGCATGAATTAAGTGCTAACTTTGTGCTAACAGCCAGAGACACAAAGACAAATAGGATGTGATCTCTGTTTTGCCACACAAAACTGAGTAGTAGGTTAATATCAGGAGTGTTGCTTTAGTATTCTTGAAGCAGCGAAGAGTGATATCTAACGAGGTTAGGCAGGAAACTAGGTGAACTAGGTTGGTAGAAAAAACTAGGCTAGGTAGGAAGAACACCTTAGAGGTACTTCTTGAGGATAACAGTGAAAAGTCCAAAAGGAAATACAAAGGTGAGAGGAGGCACTCTTGGTATAGAGCACAACCCAAGTAGAAGCACAGAGCAGAGAAACAAGGTGCTGTATTCAGCAAACCATTAACAGTTTAGTTTTAATATACAATAAGCTAGAAAGTATAGGATGACTAGAGAGGAGGCCATTGATCTGGCAGGAGCACGATAACGGAGGGCCTCACATCGCATGCTAAGGATCTTGGACTTTATCCTGTAGGTAATTAGAAGCCAAATGTTTAAACAAGTAAATGATGTGGTCAGATTTCCATTCTAGATAGATCACGGTGGCCACTCTCTGCAGGATTGATTTCAAAGGGATATCAGTGAAGGCACTGTTAGAATAGTCCACATGAGAGATCATAAGGGCTCAATGCACGGCAATGAAAAATAAGGATGAAAAAAAAGGTTAGAAATCATTCATAAAACTAGTTCATAAAGTAAGCCGTGTTTCACAGTTAATTAGAGGTGGGGAATAGGACAGAAGTGCAGTCAGGGAAAAGTCAAGGATTATTTCGTTTTTAGCTTAGTGGGCCAGATACGTGGTTGCACTCACAACAGATATAAAAAATACTGAAGAAAAAGAGATTTAATCTTTTTAAAATTAATTGTATGAAACCAATCTTAATTGTATAAAACAAATAACAATGAAAGATATTTAATTATACAAAACAATGAAAATATATTTAATTGTACTAAAATAATTAGGATATATCAAACTTTCAAAAAGTCCCAATAAAGAGGAGAGAAATGGGGGCAGAGAGAAAGAAGGGGGACAGGGAAAAAGAGAATCCAGGATATTTTCTTAGGATTGTTGTGTGGAATCAATGAAGTAACACATAAAGTACTTAGTTCTGAGCCTGGCCTTCAATTAATGTTCCATACATTTACCTATGATTTAGGTGCTTATGGTAAATAAAGGTGGAAATGACCAATAAGCAGTAGGCAGTTAGGTACAAAAATTCTGAGACTACACAGAAAGAACTGAGGGGTGAGGGAAGAGAACTCAGCATGATATTTGGCATTCTGATCCTGAACAAGTCAAACCAGGAGGAATATTCAGAGTAAAAGCACCAACAAGAAATAATAAAACAATAACAAAACAATGGGCTACATTCAGACTTTTGGCAAACACCAGTTCTGGGATAAGCAGAGAGAAGGGGATGGGAAGCTTATTTAAGAGAATAAAATCTCACAGAATCTGACAAAGTAATATTATGAAAGTTCAAAATAAAGTACGGAGATCCAGTAAGGTAGGAAATGGAAAATTATCGCTTATGTACTACAAAGAGAAGGACAACAGTGAATGAATTAGGAAGAGATACAATGAAGTGGTGTTGACCGAAACAAGATTAAAGCAGTTTTTATAGATAATGGAAGGCTAATATCTAAAATAAGTAGGATATACTAAACTTTCAAAAAGTCCTAATAAAGAGGAGAGAAAGAAGGGGCACAGGGAGAAAGAGAATCTGGGAATAAATTTTGTTCTTGAGGAAGTTATTTTGGTGGGAACGGCTTAGGTGTATTTACTAGAAGAAAGTTAACAGGAAGTGAGAGTTTGAATGGACAGAAGGAAAGAATAACTTGATGGTGCGGGGGTCAGAGGAAGTAAATACAAATATTAGAGCAGGCAACTAGATGTAGGAAAAGACAGCAATAAAGTGAGCTTTTCATATTTGATTATTAGAAATACATCTCCAGCACTTCCATATTAACATCAAAACCACAAATATGTATTCATTTCATCATCAGGGTGCATATGCTATATAATGATCAGAACTATTATTAACATGGAGACAAGCTAATTTCTTTGAAAAATATAAACCAAGTTTAAAAGACAAATATTGCTAAATCTACTGACAATCTTCTTTATCCGGCCTTGAGTTACTAGGCACTGTCTAACCAAGCTGACCTGAGGGGTTGACCTGGTTTTCAACTGAAGTAGCCAAATTCTTGACTTCATTTTTTTAAAGCAGGTCTAAAAATTTTTACTTAAAGGATTATATTTCCATAATACTACAATCGTGTTGCACTAAACAGTTGGTACAGAAATTTCTTTCTTCCATACTGATTATAGACATAAGTATTTTTCTACAATGTAAACTTTTGCTTATATAATGACATGAAATTAAAAAGTGTAGAGTCCAACTTGAGTCCACAACTACACCTTTAATAACAATACATTTAAATTTGTTTTACTAGTGGGATTTTTCCATTTTCGACGGACTTTCATAACAGAGGGAAGCCAAGAGATGAATCAATGTCCATTCTATATTAAACAGATGTTTTTGTCATCTAGTTTTTTCATTACTCACAGAACAGGAGGCTCCATCACAATCACTCCCTCAAGCCCCACACGTCAAGAAACTAAAATATTTTTTCTTCTGTGAGTAATGTCATTACAAATTATGTATTTAATAATATTCTCCAAATGTTGTCTTATTTTGCTTTCTAGATGGAACAAAGGGCAATCAGTAGAAAAGTAAATTATCCCAAGAAAACACCAAGATAAGCATTTGCTAGTAAAGACACAGAAAAGCACTCAGAGATGAAATTTATAACTTGGCAGACAAGACACCTGAACATTACATTTTTAAAAGACAGTGATTCAGTGCCACAGGTTTATAAGCAACATTATTAATGTCTCCAAATGAAAATAAGTAAGACATTGCTATGACACAGTAGCCTATATTCTTCACATTACAATGTTGTCTGCTAAATTTCCTATAGGGAGTGCTTAAGATTGCATTACAAAATAGTAATTTCTAGGTAAAAATCCTACTGGGAAAGCATATATCCATAGTTTTAAGCAGACAATTTGTCTAAAAAATGATCAATCTATGAATTATAAATTCTTACATTTAATTGACTGAAAAATGCATAACTCACTGTATTTTCTAACTGCTATATTCATCTTCTACATCTCAATGTAGTAAGACCGCCAAATTGAACATTTTACAGCCATAGTCATATATTTAGGGTTTCAACTAAAATTATTCCTATCTTAGAAAAGCAAAAGTCTAATTAATGGTACTGTTAGGGCTGACATTGTCCATATCATCTTAATACTTTCCTTAAGCACTTAAATGAAAAATTTAAATTACTTCACTTATTTTGTCATGGAATTGAATTATTCCAACTGGGTTACACCAAATGTATAGTACACAAATTAGTGATGTGGGATTTTAGTAAAATCAAATGATAAAATACATGATTGGACAATGCTGCCTAAATCAATTGATGTCTCTTACTCTGTCAAAGATTGACAGAATATGCCTAATGGTAAAATTTGTAAATCAATACTTAGAAATGCCTTAATTTTCATATTCCAGTTATAAGAAAGAAACTTAGCTTTTTTTCAAAGCTTTCTACAAATCTTTTTATGAATCTTACCATTTAAAAATTTCTTCAGGCCGGGGGCAGTGGCTCATGCCTGTAATCCCAGCACTTTGGGAGGCCGAGGCGGGCGGATCACGAGGTCAGGAGATAGAGACCATCCTGGCTAACACGGTGAAACCCCGTCTCCACTAAAAATACAAAACATTAGCGGGGTGTGGTGGCGGGTGCCTGTAGTCCCAGCTACTCGGGAGGCTGAGGCAGGAGAATGGCGTTAACCTGGGAGGTGGAGCTTGCAGTGAGCCAGGATCATGCCACTGCACTCCAGCCTGAGACACAGAGCGAGACTCTGTCTCCAAAAAAAAAAATTATTCAAAAAACATAAAATCCCTCCTATTGAATAGTTTCCATTAGAAGGTATAATGCAGACAATTCATTGATTATAATAATAAGAAGAATAACTTTTTTGCTAGGGCTAAACCAAAAAGACACAGAACAACAACCATTTACTTTGTATTAATTTGTATAAGGTGGTCAACTGACCTGTATGATAATAAAGAAAAACATCATAGTCTTCTAAAATTTTCATTCCTACTTCCTTAAAATTGGGTTGTAAACAATGTTTCTTTTTGGTGTAAGAATGAAAACAGAAACATTACAGCAATTTTAATTTACAGTGCTCAAATCTCATAACTTCTAAAATCATTTTTCATACTAAAAGAAAGGGGAAGCACAGAAAACACCTGCTGTAAGACACAGAGCAACACAAAAAGAGGTCATTATCACATCCATACAACTTTCTGTCCATTTATTAAAGAAAATATTCATCTGCTCATCACATCTTCAGGCCTAAACCTAAACACATTGTAATTATATTGTAAAAAGTGTGAAATAAAAACAATATAAAATGGATATAAAATCATAATTACGGATGAATTGACTTTTAAATCAATTAATAAATGACATACGATAATTAAAACATTAAGTGTTGGTTCATCAAATTTCTTCACAATTAAAAATCATTTAATCATTCTAAGTTGCTACATATTGTTTTCAATGTTGGATATAACCATTCCTAACGTAAGCACAAAATTTAAATAAAGAAAAGGTATTGGTGGTTTTATTGAGTTAATAGACAAATGCATGATTTAAAATTTCTCAACAGTCATGAATCTGCCTAAGAAACCTCTCCTATGATACTACCAAACAATGGGGACTTTTGTTTAATATATATTCTGCTTAGTACAGCATTACTGATAGTAGCAAAAATAGTTGCTTAAAATGATTTAAAATAGGTATTTCTATCTAGTAAATCAATAGCTAACAATGTTTAACAGTGGGTAGAATTATTAAATTCTAAGAGAAAAAATGCTGTCAAAATTATTTTTTGTTATTCTAAATGAGATACCCATGCAATTAAGTAGGAAAAGAATAAATGGCAAAACTATCATTTTTTGATGATATGAGCACTTATGTGACAACTTATCAGCTGAAAATCCATGGGAATATATAAGAAAGCATTCAAACTAAATAATGAAAATGTTTCCTTTCCTATATGTACCAGTTAAGTAATACCAAAAAAAATCCAGTCATTGAAGCCATGAAAAATATAAAGTATACGAAAATTGAATTAACAAAAAAATACGCAGGGCCAATATAAAGCAACACATATACACATGATTAAACAGAAATATCAAATACAAGATGAATAGATGGGAAAATACATGCCATGTTGCATAATGCTTAATTCTGATTATAAATATGGCAAATATCGTCAACCTACTAACTTAATGTTAATATCCAATTAAATGCCAACATTTGTAAATATGCCTGAACATTTTCAGCATTTCACTTTTATCTTTAAAAACTACATCACAATTTCAGGTGACTTCCATATTAGTAATAGTACTGAATATTTACACACATAAGGAAGCTGATCATAAATACAGCTAATACACTAACATCTTGGGTTTAGTTCCTGTTTTTTAAAGTTTAATTCAGATTGATAAGAACTTACAAGTTAACCTTTCTATGCCTCTTTTTCAGTGATTCCATAAATGGTCATTATAAAAGAAACTGCAGAAATGAAAAAAGCTGTCCATCATAATTAAAGGCCAGGTTGGCACTGATCACAATCTACGTGTACTTCAGGATGAATACATGACCAACAATCTTGTCTGGCTCTCCTCCTGTGGATTATTTGATTGAATGACTTTCAAAGCCTGTCTTTGTTTTGTGTTGCTATAAAGGAATATCTAAGACTGGGTAATAACTTACAAAGGAAAAAAGGGTTTATTTGGCTCACAATACTCATGTCTGGAAAAGTTGAAGACTGGGCATCTGGTGACGGCCTCAGGCTGCTCCCACTCATGGTGAAAAGCAAAGTGGAGTGTCATGTGCAAGAGATCACATGGTAGGAGGGGAAGCAAGAGAGAGATTGGGGACGTGCCAGGTTCTTTTTAACAACCAGTTCTCAAAGGACCCAGCTGAGCGAGAACTCACTTACCCCTGAGAAAGTTCATCAATTTACTCATGAGGGAAGCACCCCCGCCCTACCTCCAACAATGGGATCAAAGTCCAACATTAGCCTTGGGGGACAATCATTCAAACTTTTGCAGCCTATCACTATTTTCAGTTCTTCCACTTAGACATGTCTTTGCTCAAAAAGATATGGCCAAAAAGAGAAGGGGACTCTCAACCTTATTCCTCATCCCACACTCCCCAACATGGACATTTCTGGCACTCTTAGATTAAACCTGGCACTCCTTGACTAAATCTAGATGTTAAACATTGTTTACTCTGGGCTAGTGTCATGTTTTCAACTATTTTTAACTATTACCTTGTTTGATAAGCAAACAATAAACCTTCATTCCAGATGTCCAGAGAGATCATTTTTTAGGTCTATCATTTTCTCACCCTTAGTTGAGAATTCTTGCCCAAGGCATATTGATCTGAGATGCTGAATTCTCCAGATGATACCAAAGAGTAAAAAGCTAAGATTCATTGCATTGCATCACAGTTGTCCAACATTCAAGACAAAAGTTTGATCGCTAGAATATTTGATCACCTGATCCTAAGTTATTTTTTTAAAAATTATTACTACTACCATCATATGTATCATTACATATAATGATGTATCCGTATAATGATGTATAATGTAATGATGTATAATAATGTATGATGTAATGATGTATAGTGATGATAGGTGGCCTTCCCTAGTCCAGAAACTTTTTTGGGTTTGTACTGAATATTCTTTTTTTCATTACTATGAAAAAAGAATATTTTTTTTCATTACTATGAAATTTTTTTCATTAATTTACTATGATGCTCCATTGATAACATTAATGGAGCATCATAGTAAATTAATTAAACAAATATTAGGATAAAAAAGACAAATAGTAATATTCATTAAATAATTTTCTAAAACAAAATCGTTTAGAATTGTGATAAAGCCCTTTCATTAGTAACAAATCCATGTTCATCCTAGCAACAGCATGATTTATCAACTTTAATCATATCCAATTCAAACTAAATCTTTACAGACTGAAAATCCCAGCCTTGTCACTATGTAAGGATATGAAAACCACTTCTTTTCCTGAACCACTTCAGTTTCTCTCCTTTGAACTATCTTCCTGCCTTAGATCACAAACATCAGCGACAAAAGCACAAAATGCCATCTCCTCTGCTGCCTCTCAGGCCATCTGCAGATAAAATGGTTCTGAATGAATCAGCCCTATGAATTCATGAATCATCTGTTTACTTTTATTAAGATAACAGTGAACAAATGATAACAAAAAGCGTATTAACTAAATGATGAATATGCTACCAGAAGCTGCAGAAGACATCAATGAAATGTCAGGAAGGCAATACGGGACTGTGTCTTACCTGTCAAAAGTTATTTCCAAAATAAATGGACCTTAGGCAGCATGGCCAATGCTTTCATTTTGGCTGTCTTAATGATCAAAGCACATCATTGTATGATGAATTCAGCTGTTTCAATCACAATGAGGGCCAAAATGAATGGATTAGATGTTCAGCTGTCCTGATCATCCAAAGGAAATAGATATGGTCTCAGAGGTTTAAAAACAAAATGCTGCGATTTGGTAATATCTGAAAGTGAATAAAACTGCACCTTCATATGAAACAAACAGTCCATAGATTATAGCCAGTCTACCACTTATACTCACCCTCTATCAAATTATCTGAATCTGGATTTCATAATAGGGACAAGAGTAATAATATTTTTAAAATAATTAAAATTTACTGAGCCCTCAATAAAGTGCCATGCATGAGTATAAATGCTCTATAGTTGTTAATTCATTCATTTCTTACAACAATCTTCTGAGAAGAGTACTCATATTCACATTTTAAAGATGAGAAAGCCAAGGCAAGAGGTCGCATTTGCAAGCCATGTACCTAATAATCGTGCAAGGTTACACGGCTAATAACTGACTCACTCTACTATCAAACCTCAATCCTTTCAGTAATAAGATTGAAACACTTAGTTCAAGTGAATATTAAACTACAGTTAACATAGAAAGTCAATTTCTATTTATGCTGTTGCAAACAGAACAAGAGCAAGCTTTCTAATTCTACTAATGAAATTATCAAAAGTAAGTTATAGGCCGAGTGCGGTGGCTCACACCTGTAATCCCAGCACTTTGGGAGGCTGAGGCAGGAGGATCATGAGGTCAGAAGATCGAGACCATCCTGGCTAACATGGTGAAACCCCATCTCTACTGAAAAAATACAAAAAATTAGCTGGGCGTGGTGGTGGGCGCCTGTAGTCCCAGCTACTTGGGAGGCTGAGGCAGGAGAGTGGCGTAAACCTGGGAGGTAGAGCTTGCAGTGAGCCAAGATCACGCCACTGCACTCCAGCCTGGGTGACAGAGCAAGACTGTGTCTCAAAAAAAAAAAAAAGTAAGTTATATAGTATATTTCATTATTTTTAATGTCAATAAGGCAATGTTGTATGTTAATAAAATAATATACACTAATAACACAGAGTCAACTTCAAAATAGGATAATGAGGAATAAGAATCATGGATAAACCAAAATCCCAGGTAAAACTAAATTACTGTCAACTCTCAATTATCAGACCATACACAAACTATGAATAAGCCAGAGGGGAAATCTGGTTTTCACTTATTTCCCCAGCAGACCTTAAAATTAAACAGCTTCTTACTGCTGGACCATTTGGGCTTAAAGGAGGTTCAGTCAAATGTTGGGGCTGAGTCCCTTGTGAAACATAAAGAACTCCTCCCTTCCTCAATCAGAACAAGTACAAGGTCTCTGCAGTGTGTTGGCCATGATTAATCAGCAGAGCAGTTACAGTGCCCAGAATTATTGACAATTGACTCGACCCAGTTACCTGATTTTGACCATAAGTGGAGTGGAATAATAATGGGGGAAATAATTTAAGCCCTGGGCATAGGGAAGGCCTTTCTAACAAAAGCTAGATCCATAAAAAAACAGAAGTAATCAATAAACTTAATTACTCAAACCCCAATTTTCTGTACTGCACAAAACACCATAAACAAAAGATAAATGAGAAACAGAAAATATTTGCAATTCCTATGACATAGCCAATTTCCCTAATATATGAAGAACTCATACCAATCAATAAGAAAAAGACGAATGAGAGAAACATGGAAAAACAGATTTTCTAAAACAAACTATTTTAAAATTTTAATAAAGCCCTTTCATTAGTAACAAATCCATGTTCATCCTAGCAACAGCATGATTTATCAATTTTAATCATATCCAATTCAAACTCAATCTTTATAGACTGAAAATCTCAGATTTGTCACTATGTAAGGATATGAAAACCATTTCTTTTCCTGAACCACTTCAGTTTGCTCTCCTTTGAACTATCTTCCTGCCTTAGATCACAAACATCAGCAACAAAAGCACAAAATGCCATCTCCTCTGCTGCCTGTCAGGCCATCTGCAGATAAAATGGTTCAGAATGAATCGCCAATTTGTTTTTTTTTTTTTTTTGCGCACACACACACGTACTATATATATATATTTATATGAGCCATATATATATTTATATATATGAGCCATATATATATTTATATATATGAGCCATATATATATTTATATATATGAGCCATATATATATTTATATATATGAGCCATATATATATTTATATATATGAGCCATATATATTTTTATATATATGAGCCATATATATTTTTATATATATGAGCCATATATATTTTTATATATATGAGCCATATATATTTTTATATATATGAGCCATATATATTTTTATATATATGAGCCATATATATTTTTATATATATGAGCCATATATATTTTTATATATATGAGCCATATATATTTTTATATATATGAGCCATATATATTTTTATATATATGAGCCATATATATTTATATATATGAGCCATTTATATATTTATATATGAGCCATATATATATTTTTATATATGGCACCTAAGCACACGAAATAATACTCTACATTGCCCATAATAAAGGGAATGTACATTAAAAGTATATTGATATATCAGGTAGGCAAAAAAAATAACTTTTGGTTAGTTTTTTTTTAAAAAATGAGAACTATCTTGCCTTGCTATTGGAGCAATAATTTCTACAACTACTAGGAAGAAAACTTTGGCAATACCTAAAAATAATTACAGGTGCATATACTTTCTGATGCAGTGAGTTAACTCTAGGAATTTATTTTACTGATAATTTTACATACTTTCAAAAGGACATTTATACCAGATTATTCACTACAGAGCTATTTGCTACATTAGAGGGATTGGAAACCATATAAATGTTTATTAAGAAGGAAATGGATAAAGTATTTAATTCACATATTGAATACTATACAGCTCAATACGATTGAAGTTTATTATGCACTGATATCAGAATGTATAACATGCTACTATTTATATGATAAGCATGTATTTGTTTTATGTGCTTAAAATTTATCTGGAAGAATTTTTTTAAAACTAGTAATTTGGGGGTTTCCTGTGGAGGAGAGCTAGGTAGCAAAAGGACTTTTACTGAATATCCTTTTTAAAATTTCTGAATATTAAACTATGTGAATGTTTTAACTATTTAAAAATTTAAATAAATAATCTGGTTTTCAGACTCAAAATCAATACCTCCTTCATTCACTGATTGGGGACTGAGACTCGCCTTTAATAAGGCAGAATTTAAAGTCATAATTCCCTTTTCTAACAGTGTTACAGATCTCAGCAAAAGACTGTTAAGGAGGAGTGAAACATTTTTTAGGTATATACTTGGCCCAACTTTCTTGTTTAAATATACTTCAATTCTCCAAAAGCCCTCTGATGTTCCATCACTTGGTTATACTTGCAGAAAAAACAGCATTTTAGCATCACCTGAGACAAACAGGTATCAGATGAACCTGTTTGTCTCAGCTGAAGGTTTCGGAGTATGTCTCGGAGAAAGTTTCCTTCAATAATAATATACTTCTCCAAAAGTTTTAACAAGAGATATGTAATAATCTGAAAACAAATGATACAATATACAATGCAAAGCTAACTTTCATTCTTTTTCATAGAACTGTAGCAAAAATAATCCTAGAAATCAAAGTTCGAGAAGAATCTCTTTGCAGGCAATAAAATATATATGTAGCAGAGGAATTATCACGTGGTGGACCTATATAATAAATTAAGCTCTCAATCAATTAAGTCAAAGAATATGAAATAAGCTGAACAAAAGTGGAAATCCTAATTCCCCACATTTATTTCATTAAGGTGCAGGCTACTGAACTTATCTTTGCCTTATCTGTAAATCAGCAATTGTAGGGTTTACCTGCCTATATGTGTGTGACAAATAGCACCAAGAAGACTGTATTAACTCCACTAAATCACTTTATGCCAATACAGGTATTTTGAGAAATAAATTGTGATCATTCCATTTATATGGATTACAGTTGTTTAAATTGCTATTTTTGTGTTCCCTTTACATTGCTTAGAAGCAGCCACATTTTAAAATTTGCTTTGTACCCTACTAAGCTACTATGAAGGAAATACATATTTGCCTTTCTAAGAAACTCAAAGTGAATTTAGTTAGAACTAAACTAAACGGAGGCCTTCTCCTTCTCTGTCATTTGCTTCTAAGAGAATTGTTTGTGTTTTTGGACTCAATAAAGATTTTTCTGACCTTTACCTGTCTGCAATTATTTTTTTAACCTCCTTTTTCTGGATTATCCAACTGTTTAATATATTCCCGCAGAGTCTCTTGGCCTTTCAAAGTTTAAAGGACCTATTAGAAAAGAAGTTTGTGATATGCCGTAATTTTACAGGAACAAACAAAAGGTCAAAGGACCTGAGCCCAGAGATGACAAGATGGTTCGCTGGTAAATCAATACTAGGCTTTGTGTTGACCATGGCAAAAGATTTATGAGCAAAGGGCAAATCATTTAGAGGGTTCAGGGATACCGTGTGCTTGGGTAACATTGTTCTCCCTGCTCTTTTACCTCACCTGAAAATACACTTGATCCTCAATATAAACATAAATATAACAAAATACAAGTTTAAAGTCAAAATCTAACACTGAAAATATTTTAAATGCAAATTTTTACATATATTTTCAAGAAAGTATACATTCTGTGAATAATATGGACGTTAGGATGGCCTCATGGTTCAATAATTAGTGAATCCTGCTTCCATTTGAGTGTAGGTAAAACCTTGAAATTCCTCCAAAGCAGTCTCTAGAAAATGAGGGTGTAGGATTAAGTGCACCACCAAATAAGCATGTGCCTAACATTTGTGGATTTGAAGACATATGTCTATAACTAAGGTAATTATGTTAAATTAAAGATCACTCTGATATCAACTTTAGTCTTGTAGATTGAAGAAAAAAATGTTCACAATTTGATTTGGTTAGAATTCCTCAAGTTCTACCTTAAGACTTATTACAAAATAAGTCTTTGAGTGTGCATGTATCCTATCCTTTTGCTGCCTAATAAGTAGCCACTAACTACTGTGAATATCATGAATTCAGATGTGTGTAAGTATAAAATGTGCACAGGTTTTAGAGATTTAATATGAAAAAAGTGTAGATCTCTCATGAATTCAGATGTGTGTAAGTATAAAATGTGCACAGATTTTAGAGATTTAATATGAAAAAAGTGTAGATCTCATTAACATTTTTAAATTGTTTACACCTTAAAGTGCTCACATTATACTGGGTTAAATGATATTCTTTAAAGTGATTGTACCTTTTTCCTTTTCCTTTTATTGTTGCTATGATTTAAAATTACACATGTGGCTCATATTTGTAGCTTACAGTATATTTCTCTTGTATTTTATATGTATACACTTTAGTGTGTGATATCTACGTGTGTGTTTATACAGACACACATATATTTCCTAATGAAAAGAAAAATATTTACTGGAAAGAAATTGAATAAATTATAGAAAATATTTTCATAAAGCATACAGAATTTTTTAAAAGGCCCCTCTAAATAATACACAAGCAAATGCTGTCTTTGAATGGCACAGGTTCAAGAATAGGTCACTAGAAGCTAAGCCTAATGCCCATCATGTCTGGGGAACCCCCGGAGGGGAAAGTGGTAGCATGTCTACCTGTTTTAATCCCCCAGTAGCACAAGCAGTTGCTCTGGAAAAGTGCAATAAACTGCCTTTTCAGATAAGGTAATACACGTGATTATGAAGAAAAGCTTTGAAATCCATGCAGTAAATCATTTTTAAAAACAATGTGTTCAGAATTCTTCAGACTAATAAATTATTCTTCCTGTACTCTGGTAGTGTTCCCTACTTCGCTGGTTTGTAAAGGTGGCCCTTGGAGACTCTGAAACATTGAAACCTGGTTTATTTTTATATAACATTTCAAGTACACATAGAAATTAGCCCCAAAGATTTTTTTTTTCCTCTGCCAATTGCCCTAGGATGAGGCTTCTCGCCACTAAACACTAGGGAGATGGTAAGAAAGATATAAATGTAAAATCTAATGTGTAATCTTTTTTGTAATTACAAACAAAACTGCAACATGGAGTTTTAGTTAAGTCACCACATAGTCAGTACAAGTGAAGTTCCAGTGGTAATTTCCTTCATGAAGCCAAGACAAATATAAAAAACAAAGGCTGTTCTTCTTGTCCAGAGGTATTCTTGGAGGTAAATGTCAAATTTTACTCAAATGACTTACAGTCTTATAAATCAGCAGCCATGTTTTTATTTTACTGATAATTTAATTGCAATTAAAATGGATGCAAATCCTCCCCAAACCCCAAGTAAACCAAAGTCCACTCTTAGACATTTCCCTGTGAGTTCAAGCCTTCTCACCAGTAAAGATAATCAATATCATCTTTATTTTTCACGATGGCATCTTTTCACATTTTATTTTGTATCAGAAAAAAGCATTTAAGCCTATTGAAAATATCACTTTATAAATAGAATATTTGAAAATATAATATTTGATTCAGACATTCCACCACTATCAGATCATTTTGAGGATACCAACACAAGATTCTGGTGTTTCTTTTCTTTTTTATAATTGGTCTATATAGACATGTCTACACTATGTCCAAGTGTAGTTAAATATCATCTGTTGACTCCTGACATTATGCTGTTATTACCTTAAAATGGAAACATTCATTTAAAGTATATAAGTGGTGTACTTTTAAAGAACCTTTCTGTGGTTTTCCAAAAGCATTCCAAAGAGGTTACTTACGTTGCTTTGAAACTGGTTTGAGTTATGGGAAGGCCATAGCCTCAGACTAGCAGCTGAGACAGCAAAGGAGATGAAAGTTTTTAGCTTTCAGATCCAAGGGGAAACACAGCTGCTACAGCTGGCCTGCTCAGATCTCAACACTTAGTACAATGATGGAGAAGGCGATAATGCTGTGTCTCAGCTTGAAAAGTGCATTAATAAAAACAATCCTTAAATAGAACAGGGAAATCGATTAATCAAATCTAGGCTCCAGGCTGCAAAATGAAATGATTTTTTTTAAAGGCAAGGGAAGGGGAAATCCTCTTAGATTCTTAAAGATATCCACTTCTGAGACATTATCTTGACTAAATGAAATCATATGGAGGATGGAATATAACTTCTTAAGAAACTAAGTTTACCTTGGACAGGTACTTCTAAAGTTTCAACTTACTGTAATAGAAAATGGAAGTTTGGCAAATGTGTATCTTACATAATAGGGACCAGAAATGTGTCAGGCCACCGTGTGTTACTTTTTAACAGCTATACTGCAGAACGCATGTGCAAAGCTGGTAGCTCGTGGAGATTAGTTCCGCCAGAATGTAGAGTACCTGAAGTTGTACCTCAAAATAGTTGTCTAAGGAAGGCAAACATGCCTCCAGGAACCTGTAAGGGAAGCTATGCCAAAATATCTGGGTGGAGCACTTCTCCAAAATAATTATAAATATCAGAAAAATGTAAGACTTCCCTTTTCAAATAATAACACCTTCCTTCGAAGGACTTCAAAAAATTCTAAACAGCCATTATCTTATTAACCTTAACAACTCAGTTAGGTAGGTGAGAGAGTGGTATTATTATACCTATTATTACGATTATTTTAAAGATAAGGGCCCTAATTTGCTAAAGCCACATAACTTCTTCAAGGCCACACAGCAAGTTAAGGTGGAAATAAACCAGAGCAGCTCATCTTGGTCTAGAAATTCTTCACCATTCATTTGCAATGAGTCAGGCTTTCAGGTAAAGTGAAAAGTTAAGATAACGGAATGTATGATACTTCATATACATAAAATGGTTTTAGTATGTGTAGCAACAGTGCATTTAGAAAAAGAGAAATATGACAATAGGCTATAAAATTGATCAAGTAACTAATAATCCTTCTGACTTTTTTTCCCATTTTTTCCTGTCAAAAGGTAACATAAAACCAAACTGTGTGCTTTGATGCTAAGAACACTGTTACTTTTTTGAAAACAAACTGCAGTAACACTGAGAACACAGGAAATATTCTGTTTTTATAGTTTCTCAACAACCAAGGAAATATGTTAGTTCAAACTGGCCTATTAGCTATCTTAAAGGGCAAAATAGATGTTTATTTATTTAACTTATTTATCTACTTTTAAAAGTAGAAATTTTAAAAAAGCTACATCACAACTTCCCTAAGAAATATTAAATTGGCGCAACAGTAATTGCATTACTTTTAAAGGCAAAACCACAATTACTGTTGCACCAACCTAATATTTTCATTCAGTCAATCATTCATTCAACTAAATTTGTTCTAGATTCTGAGGATAAGGTAGTGAACAAAGGCGTCTCTGCTGTCATGGTGATAAGTACTAAGTAGAAAAATTAAAGCACAGTAAAGGGGTAAGAAAGTATACAATGAGGTGCAGGTTGCTGTTATATAGGAGGTCAGGGAATTGTCTTAGCAACTCTTGTACAGCACAGACCTTAGAGAAGGGAGGGGCCAAGTGGGCATCTGGGGATAGAATGGTCCACGCAGAAGGTGTCCTGCAAGTCTAGAGAGAAGTGAGCCACTGTGGGAAAAATGAGGTCAGAAAGGATTAGGTTGGGTGAAGAAGGACAGCGATCATTATCAGGTTTGTAATCCTTCCACAGATCTTGGCTTTGACATAAAGTGAGACTTTATCTTAAAGTCTGTCTAATCTCCAAGTTTAAAGTAGCACATGACCTGACCTACATTGTAGAAGCATCACTCTAGCTGCCTTGAGAAGAAAGAGGGTGTGGGGGCTGGGCAGAGAAAGCCAGCCAGGAGCTAACTTAAGTGGTTATCGCACTAATTTTCAGGTAAAGATGATGGTGGCTCGGTCTACCATAGTAATGGTGGTGGAAAATCAGGATGAGAGGCTGGACATATGTTTAAAGTAGAGATGGCAGAATGTTCTGATGGATTGGATGGGGGGCATGAAAGGAAAGAGAAGAGTCAAGGGTGACATCATGGGATTGAAGTTGAGCAAATACAAGATGGAATTTCTATTTACTGATCTGGGGAATTCCGTGAGTGGAGTAGTCTTTAAATATTTGTTTTGGACACAGTAAGCTTGAGGTGTGTTTTAGATCTTCTAGTGGGCATGATGGGTGGGCAATTCCGTGGAGCAATGCTTTGAAATTATAAAAGTTTAAGGGATCTTAACCAACTCCCTTCACTTACTTGTAGGGAAACATAGCAAATGTTCTCATAAACACATGTTTATTAGAGAGCTTTTGGCAGAAACCTCGGTATTTTGGACCCCAATTTATCTCTCATTTCATTATATCATGTTATAACTACATATGAAAAAATGGTCAAATTTTTATAGGACCTTTTAGGACAGCACTTTCACATGTCTGGCTGAGTGAAAGTGATTTTACTTATCACCCCTTTGGGAGCGCACAAAGCAACAGTTAGTCTCTTTTTGATAGTCTGGAGTTATTATAACAATAACAACTAAGAAAAGTTGAAAATAAATATCACAGAATGTTGTCTTTGTGTCATTTAAAAATAAGTTTTATATATATATATAAAATCACATCATATCATTTTCCTTTTGTAGCTATGGTACATAAGATGTAAGAGTAAAGAGATTTGACAGGAGGTTCAAAGCATGTTCTCGGAGTAACATCTAACCTTTACTGTTTAATTCATGATTTTCAAATATCTTTCAGACAGATAAGACTAGAATAGGCCTTTCATGTTTTTGTTTACAGTCAGTCTCTCTCTCCCATTACACACACACACACACACACACACACACACACACACACACTCTTATAGTCATGCACTGCATAACAATGTTTTAGTCAATGACAGACCACATATACAACTGTGGTCTCAAAATATTATAACGTAGTTTACTATACCTTTTCTGTGTTTAGATATGTTCAGATAAACATATACTTACCATTGTGTTACAATTACCTACGGTGTTCCATACAGTAACATGCTGTACAGGTCTGTGGCCTAGAGCAACAGGTCATATCATAAAGCCTTGATGTGTTCCAGGCTATATCACCTAGGTTTGTATAAGCACATTCTAGAATATTCAGAAAACCACAACATCACTGGATGACACCTTTGTCAGAATGTATCCCTGTCACTAAGTGATACATGACTATAAATTACCCCTCTGGGATGGCATTGAGCATTGTTTTTGGCTACAGAATTTCAAATGTGTGTTAATAAGCTTTATTTCAGAGTAGCTAAATAAGGACAATAATTTTTTGAATAAAAGAAAGGAAGTAATACTAGTCTATATTTTAAAATTTCTCAGCAATTTTAATATTAACTTTAAAACCAGATAACAAGTTTAATAACAAAGGGATAAAGCAGTCACACAGAAAATAATGGTTATAAACAAGAAAAACATAACAAAATAATAACTTATTTTATGTTATCCTCTTCTGCTGCTCAGTAATAAATGTCATAGGTAGAATACTGGAGCAAATATGTAATACAGATTATAACAAAAATATCTGTGGGTTTTAGGGAACAAAAATCCCATAGAAACTGTTACATGGAGGAGGGTTATGAGAATAAGAACAGGCCATGTGATGAGATAACCTCAAGATAGGAAGGCACGAGCACTGATGATAGTGGAGTACAAGGACGTCAAACAGAAATGCTGCTTCTTGGATTGGGGTACCACTCAATGCAGTAAATTACACCTGTTATTTTCTTTCTTTTCTTTGTTTCTTTTCTTTTCTTTTTTTTTTCTTTTTGAGATGGTGTTTCACTCTTGTTGCCCAGGCTGGAGTGCAATGAAGCTATCTTGGCTCACTGCAACCTCCGCCTCCTGGGTTCAAGCGATTCTCCTGCCTCAGCCTCCTGAGTAGCTGGGATTACAGGTGCCTGCCACCAAGCCTGGCTATTTTTTGCATTTTTAGTAGAGACGGAGTTTCACTATGTTGGCCAGGCTGGTCTCGAACTCCTGACCTCAGGTGATCCACCCACCACCTCGGCCTCCCAAAGCTGGGATTACAGGTGTGAGCCACCACGCCCGGTCACACCTATCATTTTCTTTGTGTCATTTTTTGTTGTTGTTTTTGGTCCTTCTTATTGGTCTATTTAAACTATAAGGTAGAAAACACAATTGCAGAAGATTCTAGAAGATAAACAGGATGATTCTGTCTCTGGAAAGTCCTTTTCTGGTCTGGAAAACACCTCAACTGAAAGGATAACATGTTTTATTACCTTTTGCTCTTAACTAGACCTCTTTTAAATAATTCTAAACATATAAGATTACATTTTAAAAGCACATGCTTCTTAGTTTACGTATGAATACTGTCATTAAAAAGACAATGATTAGAGTTACCAGTCCTTATGGCATTTGGGTAAGTCGGGACTCTAACTAACCAGGTCCCACTTTCCTCATCACAGAGTAGCTGTGGATATTATACTCCATGGAGAGCACTTGGCACATTTCCTGGCATACAGAATACATTCAATAACTGTTAGCTGTTTTATTACCATATGGTTATCTATTAAATATGGTTAATAATTCTCACAGATAAACTATAAAAATTTATTCAGAAAGGGCACCTGAAAGCAGATGAAAATATATAAATCAATTTTATTAAATTGTACATCAGTACTGTCAAGTAACATTTATTGATCCTCATCAATATAAAGTACAAATAATACAATGAGCAAGTTAATAGAATATTTAAGAATAAAACAACAAAAAGCATGGATAACTTTTATAATAGGTAAATCAGTCATTGCTGTTGAGATTTTGATTTCTTTAGGTTAATTCTCTTCATTTAATCCAAAATAATGTATAGACTGTCAGCCAACACATTAAAAAAACTATTAAAAATTGAGTGATTTTTTTTAGGATAATATATTAAACAGTATAAGCAAACATTTATGGGCCATTTATGGCCAGTTATCAATAAGGTTATGAATAATAATTTCTTCATATATTTTAAATTTAAGAAACACATTAAATAATGTGTATAGTTATTCCCAGAAATTTAATCCATGTTTTAATTTAGAATCAGTTCCTAGGAAATGAAACATAACTTCTATTATGTGTTCATTTTTAATGGTTTCTATCAATCCCTAAAGCCATTTAGGGATCTCATTTAGGATTATAGGATATTTATAATTAAGCAAAGCAATTTAATACATGTTAAGTAGAAGTGCAAAGATGATTTGTGGAAGAAGTACTTTAAACCTCTGTAACATATCTAGAGACTCCAATTAAATGAGAATCTTTATCATTATAAGAGATTTCTCTCTTCGGCATGGAAGAGAATGTCAGTTCTACTTTCTGTAGTGTAGTGTGTTATAACAACTCTTATTAAATATACTTCCAGTGACAAAACTCTTTAACAGGAGACTGGCAATTCAGTTATTATTAAGAAATCACCAACCAAAAATTATTTAAAAAACTGTGGTCAGCATCATGATTTAATTCATTTTTGTTGTAATTTTTCATTAGAATCATTTAATGCTTGCCCAGTGTTTAATCCTTTGTCCTCAATATTTTATGCCCTGTTATTTTAGCAATGAGAAGGAAGGCTCCTGTGAATGAGACAAAGGATTTAGGCAGGGATCAAATCATGAAAGACTTTGGGTAACAGGCTAAGGAATATGGATTTTACCATGAAGGCAATAGGACCCTTTGAGAGATCTTAAGGAAGGAAATGATAACTTTGAATTCACATATCAAATAGGTTTTCATAATAACTGTGTGACAAACACAGTTTCAAAGGGATGAAGTATATAGGCAAAGGCACCAGCTAAGAAAAGACAAATGGTAGTGATGTATTGTGAGCTATTTGGCCAACAGATACTATTCACGGTAGCCACTGAATGGGAATAGAATGGTTCATAGGTTTATGCATATAAAAAAGAAGGTGGCATTAAAAACTGTCTGGGCCAATTTCATTCATGGAGACAAGAAAAAAAGAAGGAACAGATTGGAGGAAATTAGACATTCCATTTCAGACATTTGCTTTTTGAGGTGACTACAGGATGTTCAAGTGGAAATGATAGTAAACATTTGGCACTTATCAGTCTGTAGCTTAGAAGACAGTTCTGGGAGTCATCAGTTATATAAGTGGTTTGAAGAGCAGGGGAGAAGAAGGAAGGAGGATGGAAGAAAAGGAGTACGGGAGAGGTGATGGGAGGGAGGAAGAAAGGAGGAGGTAAGTTAAGCAAAAGTAGCACATAAAGGAGACAGAAAACTGAGGAGCAGCAAATACACATACACACTCTCTATATTTAGAGAGAGAAAATATGTAATTTTTGTATATATACATACAAATATTAAGTATAGGATATGTGCATATATATACAGTATATATACATATATAATATATATTGTATTTCATATATAGTATGTATGTGTGGGGTGTGTGTGTGTGTATGTATGTATGTATTTATTTATATATTGTGATGGTTAATTTTGTATGATCTTGGCTGGGCTATGGTACCCAGTCATTTGTTCAAACAGCAGTCTAGATGTTGCTATAAAGGTATTTTTTAGATGTGATTAAAATTTAAATCAGTAGACTTTGAGTAAGGCAAATTACCCTCCATAATGTGGCTGAACCTCATCCAACCAGTTGAACGCTGTATTAGTCCATTTTCACGCTGCTGATAAAGACATACCTGAGACTGGGTAATTTATAAAGAAAAAGAGGTTTAATGGACTCACAGTTCCACGTGACTGGAGAGGCCTCACAATGATAGCGGAAGGCAAAAAGGACATCTTATGTGGTGGCAGGTAAGAGAGAATGAGAACCAAGAGAAAAGGGTTTCCCCATATAAAACCATCAGATCTCATGAGACTTATTCACTACCAGGTCAACAGTATGGAAGACACCACTCCCATGATTGAATTATCTCCCACCAGATCCTTCCCACAACACATGGGAATTATGGGAGCTACAATTCAAGATGAGATTTGGGTGGGGACACAGCCAATCCATATCAAACACCTTAAGAAAAAATGTTGAGGTTCTCTAAGGAAGAAATAATTCTGCCCCCAGACTGCCTTTGGATTCAAGACGGCAATATCCACTCTTCCCTGAGTCCTTAATCTGTGGGCATGCCCTGTAAATTTCAGTTTGCCTGCCCCCACAGTCACACAATTATGTGAGCCATTTCTCTATGGTTCCCCTGAATACATACATATATATAATATATATATTATATACATAATCAATATGATGTATTATATATAAAACTATAAATATAATTTTTATTAGTATATATTTATTACTATTATATATAATATGTTGTATATAAAAATATAAATACATACATATAATATATATGTGTGTGTGGGAGTGTGTGTACACATAGAGAGAGACATATATCTTACTGGTTCTATTTGTCTGGAGAACCCTGACTAATATAATCACTTAACAGTCAAGTAATATTTTTATGTGTCAAAAATATATATGCAAAAATATTAAGAAGGGCTTTCTTTGTGTGGCAGGATTATTAATACATTTTAACTTCTTCTTTATTCATGTCTCTATTCTATGATTTTCTTGAAAAAGCATGTATTAGTTTTATAATTAGAAACAAGCAATAAACTGTTTTAACTACAAGACTTAGAAATTCATAGTACAACTCATGAATAAATCATTTTATTGCAAATATTAAAATTTTTCCAAGGTGATACACGTTGGCAATTGCATACAATTTTAATATAGAAATTTGTCTAAAAAAATGCGATGAAGATTATAGGTTCCTTTCACATATTTCAACTAACTTTTATAGTTTGCCAAAATATTAAAGGTTTTAGAAAACATAGGACAAACAAGAGTTTTCCAGGGAACCAAAATTTATTTGTACTTCGATAGAATGATATAACCTATCTTAAAAAACATGGTTTTATCTTGAAAAGGATGTGAGTTGGTCAGCAAAAGAACAAACAAAAGGAAGGTCATAGAACAGAAGTTTTATTGGGATTAAACATCCAACTATGATCCACTGAAGAGTATGCCAATATATAAGCACATGATTTATCCCTTCCTGGGGACACACAGAGTGTCTGATTTGAAAAAAAAAAGCCATAAGGACCATAAGCCTGAAGCCACTAAACACTTGAATGGTACCTTGATCACTTACGCTGATTTCATGTTCACCCAGCAGTATCCCAAATGGAGTCTGCATTTGTAGTTCGACTATTCAAAACAGATTTGGTGTCTGGAGAACCTAAGTGCCCAAGTTAGCATTCTGGTTCACATACTAATACGTCTCTCTGAGCTTGATTAACGTAAGTCTACTCTGAGAATTAGATCTGCTCTTGGAGTGCTAACAAACCAGTTTTCCAAGCCTGCAAAGTCAGGCAGAGCCTGGGCAACTGTAAATTCACCAAGGCAAGTTCACCAGTGCCACAATACCTGGATAGATTATTTGCTTTAAACAAATGAAACACCTCCGCACTGCTAGGATATGTGGATTTTTTCATTAACATTTTATATCATAAGTATTCAAATTAGATGGTCCTTAAGAGTTAAAATTTCTTAGATAACCTCACTAAGCTATGCTTTACTTATTATTATGTGTCTTTAAACTTTTCTGCTCAGACTTCATGCTGTATCCTGTTACAGCTGATAAACTAGCATTACTTGAAGCTTAACTTTAAGACTAGGTCACAGACAAGAATAACAAGGAAGAAACGTCTGTTTTAAAGATCATTAAACAGAAAAAAAAATTGCTTTAAAAAATCCTAATATGAACAAAGAATTGCAAAAGAAAAAGTATCACAAACACCTCACTCAGTCAACATAAAATTATGAAAACTTTGGAGAATATTTTTTTTTCCTTTTTAAATACTAACGGAAATGAAACCAGGAAACGTTATCAGGATCAAAAATTACTTTTACATGCTGTTTTTATTATACTAAGAAGAGAAAAATTTAAAACTCAAAATATAGTCAATTCCAAGGGAATATTCAGAAATGACACACTACCAGAACTTTCCTTTTTCTTTTTTTTCAAGCTTCAGAGTAACAAATTACATTCTAAAAGGAAGATCTATTTCCTAAGTAATCTACATGATGGTTGTAATTCCTCTACGGTTTTCAGCATAAGAAATCAGTTTTAAACACAAAATCTGTATTACTGTTTCTAGGCCTCATTATACATTTTTACATGGAACACAAAAACTGGAGCTAAACTTGAGAGGTACATTTAACCTACAACAAATAACCTAGCAAAAAAAAGAAAAAAAAAAAAAAACAGTATGAGAAAATCCAGGGGAAAAGGCCAAGAACAACCACATAAACAAAGTGAATAAACATGTCACCAGAAGACTATAGACGCTATCTGAAGCCAAATAACTTTCCTATGCTTATTACAAGGATGTCATCCTGAGAGATAAAATATAGTATCATAAATTTGAAGGTCATTGAATTTTTCAAGGTAACCCAAACATTGTAAGGACATGCAATTAATTCTCTCAACATTTAGCGTATAACCAATAATTGCAAGAGTCCAAGCTATATCAAATGAAGTCTATATCTACTTATGTGCCCTGACCTTTAGGTGGAGTCCAACTTAATAAAAATAAGAAAATAATAAAAATAAATAAAAATAAAAATAAAAATTACCCAATCTCCTTTGATATATTTTATGTTTAGTACATAATGAAAGAAAAAAGTGTTTTCTTTTTAAAAATTATATTTCATATAACACTGTTCAATGTTTTATATATTTTATATATACAGTTTAATGAATAATCTGCATTTTATTAAAATACATTTGCGCATTCTAGATAGCCAAAATATCCTATAAAAGAAAGACATTTGGAAAGTCTCACCATTATTTTCTCTAATACTAACAAGCACCTCCTAGGCCTATTTTTAATCTTTTAAAATTCTCATTTCAAACTAAGCTTTGATTTTTTCTAACAATGTTTACAGCATTAACTAAAGGCTAATTTTATTGGACAAGTCAGTCTTTAAAACAATTGCATTTGTATCTATACTCATTCAAAAATCAACAATTAGAGCTCTGATGATAAATATTATTTATGACATTTATTCACACAATATTCATCCTTTTAAAAATTGCTTTTTTAGGCCTCAAATGGGTGGCATAATCATTAGACAACAAATTTGTGAAAACAAATGAATGTGGTAAAGTACTGAAAATGTCTACATAAAAAAGGTTGTAGCCTCATAGGCAAGTTTCATTTTTATCTATTAGACATGGGTACACATTATATGAGAAATATGTCTTACAATCACAGTAGGTTAATCAGCTGTCTTAAAAACTTAACATTTTAAAATTTTAAATGTTTTATGCTTTAGACAATTAATCATAAGGATTAATTTAAGAGTTAGCATCCATTGAGTCCTTATTCTGAGTGTGGTATTTTGAAGTGTCCCCTATTCTCAATAGCCCCAAAGATGTCAACTCTAAATATTCCTGTTTTAGATATGAGAAAACAGACTTAAAGAAGTTAAGGCAGTGGTTCTCCAAGTGTTTTTCCCAGACCAGCAGCATCAGCATCAGCATCATATGGGAACATTTTCGAAAGGCAAACTCTCAGACCCCACCCCAGACCTGCTGACTCAGAAACTCTGGACGTGGCCAGAAATCTGTGTTTTATCAAGCCCTCCAGGTGACGCTGGTGCACAGTGAAATGTATACTCACAGCATTAAGGAAATTTGCCTAAGGATACACATCTAGGAATTGGTGAAACTAGATGGGAACCCAGGTTGGTCTCCCTCTTTTGAAATCCAGGCGTTAACTCATAAGGCCTTTGGTTAAGGGCGACCCTTTTTCTCTGAAATCAGTATTACTTTCTAGAAGGATTACTTTCAGTAGAGAGAGTGTACTGAACATAATGGAAACTTTGATGTTACCAAATCTTACAATGCCTCAAGGTCATCACTCTGACAAATGTTCAACTGTCATGTAGAACACAGGAAATTCCTGATATATTGTCAAGATTTGAGACTGAAATATCGGATGCCTCCAGCTCCCAGCTAACTCACCACCCCACCTTTGTCAGCCCACAAACAGGTCTTCATCATTAAACAGCGAGGAGTAGGGGGACAGGGCTTTAAGTGTGGCTAGCTCATAAGGAGACTTATTTAAATAAAGTTAGAAAGCAGGAACAACCGGGGACAGTCATTCCCTTACAGGACACACCACAGGAAATCAGGAGCAAGAGATTAATTCCCAAACCCCTAAAACTGTTCTCATTCATCTCTTCAGTCATCTCAGACCCCTCCTTCACCAGGACCAAAGGCAGACTGTTGATGATGAACTATGCTGTCACCTAAACTGCTGTCACTAGCCCAAACAATGTCATGAATCAGTGTTGGCCAGTCTCAGCAGCTGCAGATCCTTAGAAAGTGGAAAACTGGGTGAGATGCAGTGGCTCACACTTGTAATCTCAGGACTTTGGGAGGCCTAGGTGGATGTATCACTTGAACCCAGGAGTTTGAGACCAGCCTGGGCAACATGGCAAAACCCTGTCTACCAAAAAAAAAAAAAAAAAAAAAGGAGAAGAAGAAAAATTATCTGGGCATGGTAGCGCAGGCTTGTAATCCCAGCTACTCAGGAGGCTGAGGTGGGAGGATTGCTTGAGAACGGGAGGTGGATATTGCAGATCTCACCACTGCACTTCATCCTGGGCAACAGAGTGAGACCCTGACCCCCACTCCGTCCACCTCCCCCACCCCACCCCCCGCCAGAAAACATAAAAAAGAAGAAAAAGGAAAATAGAAAGCGGGAGCCTGAAATGAGAGTAGGTGAGTATCCAAAACACTTCATCTAATGAAATAAATATGAATAGCCAAATCTAGATGTCAGGTGTTCTAGGACTTAAAAAGTAATGAAGGCAGTGTCTAAGAGTGACTGTTATTACCTCAGCACATATTCTGTGAACTGCTTTGATCTCAAACCTCCTTTTTTCTCAACGTGCGTAAATCACTCATTAATTCCACAACTCTCTGTTGAACTCTTGTCCTATGCCATGCAGGGTTTCCAAGTGGACTACAGCAGGGAGACTGGAAAGAGACCCCTGAAGTACCGCAGGAGGAAGTGAGTCATGCCAGGGTGACAGTAGTGGAGGTGGAGAGAAATATTACCGATAGAGCTGGAGTGTGTTTAGAAGTAAAGTTCTGCCAATAGAATAAATGTAAGAAAAGACAGTTTGAAGCTTAGGTTTTGAAGAAAGTATAGTTGTTGGTACAGGTTGAGTATCCCTTATTCATGGAACTAGAAGTGTTTCAGAGTTTGAATTTTTAAAAGAAATTATGGAATATTTGCATTAACCTTACTGGCTGAGCATCCCAAATCTGAAAATCCCAAATCTGATTTAGGCTGCACGTAGGCACTCAAAAAGTTTCATATTTTGAAGGGTGAAGTTCAAAATATGAACTTTCATATTGTGAAGTTCAGATTTTTGAATGTTGGTTGTTCAACCTATAGTGATAATATCTAGAATAGGACCAAGGGAATATAGAGGAAGAGATTTTTGTAGCTAAGGGGGTCAGCCAACTGAAAGGCCAAAGTGTTGAAGGTGTCACTGGGTGTTTAAATCTCCAAGATGGTGACAGACACTGAATTAGAAATAAAAACAATAAACAAGCTATTAAAGTTATTACTGCATGAGGGAGAGGAACTGGGTGGGCTGGGCCTCAGTATGTGATAGCAATAAGAAGGGGCATTGGGAAATAAAGTCAGCTTAAGTGCATTTCAAAGAAACAGGGGGAGCCGGTGCAGGGGCTCGCGCCTATAATCCCAGCACTTTGGGAGGCCAAGGCGGGTGGATCACGAGGTCAGGAGATCAGGACCATCCTGGCTAACACGGTGAAACCCGTCTCTACTAAAAATACAAAAAATTAGCCGGGCGTGGTGGCGGACGCCTGTGGTCCCAGCTACTCGAGAGGCTGAGGCAGGAGAATGGCATGAACCCAGGAGGCGGAGCTTGCAGTGAGCTGAGATTGTGCCACTGCACTCCAGCCTGGGTGACAGAGCGAGACTTCGTCTCAAAAAAAAAAAAAAGACACAAGGGGTTTTAGGAAAGAAGGGAACATAGGTAGGTAGATAGGTAGATAGATAGATAGATAGATAGATAGATAGATAGATAGATAGATGATAGATTGCTGAATAGGTTTTCTGAGTGAGAAGATAAGGAGTTTGGATTTGTGCATTTAATACAGATGTTCATGGAATGTGCAAAAGTAAAAATTTGAGAGGAAAATTGAAATATACTATATATATATATATATATATATATTTTTTTTTTTTTACTCATAAGGTGTTTCTAGTGGAAAATGGTGGAGAACCACTGCTTCAAGAATCAAATGATGTCCCTAATTATTCTAGTCTACCTGTGAGTAAAGACTTTCTCCTTGGTTCAGAGGAAACATGGATTTTTCCCTCAAAGAATTTTTACCAGGAGACTAAGAGAGATGACCAAAACAAAATCATCATAATAATACAAGGATAGAAGTAAATGAGCTTAAAGAGGAAAGATTCCTCAATGTAAGTAACTAGTCTAACCACAGATTGACATGGCTGAAACCAGTACTGGGCCGTCAGCCCTGATTCATTTTCCTTGCCCAGATCCCATGTGGCATCCCATGTGGGCTTCGGCTCCACCAGAGGTACATTTTTAGCCCATGCGAGAACCTTCCAGAACCCTTGAGGTATAATCTTTAGCTGTCCACTACTACTTGCAGCTGCACTCACTCCAGCAAATGCTACCTTTTCCTAGAGAGGAAACTTTCCCACCTTCACCCGAAATTCTATCTTCAGTTATGAAGTCTCACTGTGGGAGTTTTTCTCAGGTATCCCAGATGGTTTCATCTGGATTGCTCTTACCCACTAAATTTCTTCTACCTCATTTTCATATGTGGTTTAGCCTTACTTAGTCTCAATATGAGTTTTCAGGCTTCTTGTTCTTAACTTTTTCATTAAATGACCTTACCCATTCTTTTGTCTCAACTATCATATTTATGCTAATGAATTTCCTATAGATATATCTGGCCTGAAACTCTTTCAATTTCCTTCTCAAATTTTTACTTTTGGACATTCCATGAACATCTGTATTAAATGCACAGATCCAAACTCCTTATCTTCTCACTCAGAAAATCTATTCATCACATCTCCATAATCTTGGAATAATGGCCTCACCTTTCCCAGTTGCTGAGGCTAGAAAGCGTCATATCTTGACTCTACATTTACCTTTCTGCACATTCAATTCAACATCCTGAACGTGTTTTATAACATAATTGCCTCTTTCCATGTCTACCGGCACAATCCTAGCTTCTAATACGCCTTCTGCACAACAGCCTTCCAACCAGTCCTGCCTGCCAGTCATCTCCCACATTGACACTAGACTTTAATTTTCTAGGACATGACTTTTATCATTATTTCCTGGGGTTTAAAAGCTTCACTGCCTCCTACTATAGAATTCTAACCTCCTAACAAGGTTATACAAATTCCCATTTTCATTACATATTGCCATGAATCTTCGGAAAATGCCACTTCCTGAACACAGTGTATGTCTTTGCTCTCATGTTATGTTGTTCATAAGACAACAAATACCTTTCCCTTACACATCCTTCAGGACATACTTCAAAAGCTACCTATTCAAGAGAGATTTCTTTCTTTGATCTTCTTTTCTTCCCATTAGAAATAACTGCAATTTCCTTTGTGTCCTCAGCCACCTTGTTTATAGCTCTGAAATCCCTTATATCTAGAAATATATAGATTTTATTCCCCAAATAGACTGTAAGTTTCTTAAGCATCCTATGATATTTAATACAAGCTGCTCAAACAAGTGAGAAAAGGGAACAGGGAAAGGCTGCCTGCCTATGGCTTATATTTAGAATATTTAGATTTACAACAACCTAAGGGTAATGGACAGACCAGCTCTCCAAAGATGTCTATGCCTTAATCCCTAGAACACGTGAATATGCTAGCTTGCATGAAAAAAAGGAACTTTGTAGATGTAGTTAAGGTTACCGAACTTAAGATAGGAAGAGTGGGCTAGATTATCTAGATGGGCCCCATCTAATCACAGGAGCTCTTAAAAGCAGAGAATTTTCTCTGCTTGCATTAGACCCCAAGATGGAGGAAAAGGAGAAGTCAGAGAGGCTCTAAGTGTGACAGACTCAACCACCTTGGCTGGAGTGAAGCCACCTGGAAAGCAAGAGAAGGCATAAAGGCAATCTTTAGGGAGAAAAGACCAGCCTCTGAATGACAGGAGAGAGAAAAAAAATAGGAAACTCATTCTGATAACCACTAGGAATTGAACTGCCAACAAGTTGAATGAATTTGGAAGTGAATTCTTTTCTATAGCCTTGAATAAGGAACGCAGCCCTATCAACACCTTCTTTCCAGTCTTATCAGACCCTAAGCAAAACACCCAGCTGAACCCGCTCAGACTTCTGACCTACATAAATTGTAAGATATTAAGTTTGTGTTGTTTCAAACTGCTAAATTTGTGGCAATTTGTGAAGGCAGCAATAGAAAAATACTACAACAAATTAAAAGCAGAAGTACTGTCAAGGATGTGAGGATCTGAGTGTATTAGAGTACCATAGGATTGATTAATCCATGAAAAGTCAACAACAAGGAAAGCCTTGGTAAATTTAAATATGTTAAAAGTTAATCATTTATAAATATGGTCCTTAGTTTTTTTCTACCCTGAAGATACTTCAGAGATATGATATAAACCTCTCAGCAATTAGCAGAGGGTAGTACTTGGGTGAGGAATGTTTATATCAGAATTTCCAGAGCATCATGTCATTTTGGTAACTCTGATACACCATTTCCCTAAATTCCCCTCCATACTTTCTCTACTCCAATTAGTTGAGAAATAGCAGCTTAGAAATATCAAGGACCAGCTCTGAATTCTGAAGACATTATTTAATGAAGCTTAAGCTAATGCTGCCCTAATAAGATCCAGTTTTCAGAAGAAATAACTGACTACTTCTATAGCAGTTTAATATCTAGAAAAACAACAACAGTGATTACGGAAAGTCATTATTGAGTACTTACTCTGAACCAGGCAATGTTCTGTATGGCATATCTCATTTAATTCTTTCAGTAAACCCATAGAATGGTCTCTCTAAGTCTCTATTGTTCTGATGAGGAAACAGGAAAAATGAGTTCACTAACGTGCCCTGTGTCTCACACCTAGTGAGTGGTACAGGCCACAGGCAATTTAGAGACAAATATTATCAATATCTGATCCATTTAGAACTCTATGAGCCTATGACATCCACTGAAACTCTCTCCTATTTTATATAGCCCATACTTGTATTTTTCCCTACCAACTTTCAGATTTTTACAACTAAGTGCAGGAAGGAGCAGCCAGGGGGGAAATGTGCAAACTATGTGTGAAGAAACCGTGTGAATGCAGAAACCTAGCCAGGGGTAAGCCAGCAAAGGAGGTTCTGCCGAGGGACTGTCAACTGCATGCATGGGGTTGGGGAAGGTAATCTCCCTACCACTGAGCCAACAGCTCCTCTCAGAAACTGCAGGACTAAAGCCAAAAATTACACTTGTTTTATAGTTTCTTCATTTCAGGGGATTCTTTGAATCTGAAATTTCATATACTTGGTTTCAGTCCACCATGTTCTTTCAGTTAAATTTCAGCTGCTTTTAGTTAGAAGGCTAGGGAAATATGCCAAAATATACCCAACAAATGCAGTCGGCATTGCACTGCAAGCTATTTCTGGTCCAACTACCAGGAGTTGAAAGAGTTAGGGATGGGAGAGTCCCTCCACCGTCAAAATCATTTTTGGTGAGTGCTAGATTGACATATGTCTCATCTGGGATAGTATGGAAGAATTCATGGCACACTGATTCAGCTGAGAATAACATAACTTTTTATGTTCTGCAATTAAAATTTATTGTTACAGCAACCTGTTGCCTGTAAAGTGCTAAGGGATTACTGCCATCATAGCAATATAAGGGCCTTCAGATAGCTTGCTTGCTGCTTTCTATGCTATTTACGTAGTTCACAATTACATTTACTCCTTCTTCATCAGGAGGAATATGTTAACTTATTACTTTCCAAACCACACTAATCAATCCTATTCATCCCTCTCCTCCTAAAAACAAGCAAACAAAACAAACAGTTGGCTTCATGGCTTATAAGGGAATGCCATTTACCTTTTCTTGAACTCTTTCCTTTGCCTTGAATGATGGTAGCTCTTAGCCAAAAGAAATAATTCTGGCATCCACAATGTTTATTAAAGTGAAGACAAATTAATTGCCTAGTGGAAGCAATTTAATTTGATGGAATTTCTATATAAATTGATATAGCATATCCCCAAGGAAGCATATACATGAGGGTCCTATACCTTAGTAATTTTAATAACATTTAATTTATAAGATGGCATACATGCAAATATATTTTTCAGACACAAAAAAGGGAATAAAGAAGGCATTACTTTTTACAAAGCAATGCATAATATTTGAACATTGATTAATTTCCTAATTACTAAATTGAAGTTAAATTAACCTTGAAATTCATTTTCAAAATTGGATGAAGTAAATACATGTATTTTGAATTAAATGTAACCATTTTAGTATCTAATGGTAATATCATGAGAATTTATACCTCTCATCTTAACTGTAATGCATGTATGTATATATACATATATACACATGTGTGTATATATACATACATACACTATGTTCTTTTGTAGAACTTTTTTTTAAGTCACCTCTCTAGTTTAACCCTGTTTGTACACAAGAAAAAAAAAAGATTTTTCTTTCAGAGGAGAGCAAGAAAAAAAGAAGTATAAAGAAAAAGGGTTACTACTACCCAATGTTTAATTATAAGATCTTCGTGATTATAAATGGTTTGAAAAAATGGCTATAATTTTCTTTCACCTGATAAATTTTCACGTTTGATCGCTACTTTTTTGTATTTGGTGGCAATATCTTTACTAAAACAGACTTCTATTTTTGCATTACCATTCACTCATTTTCAAATGTGATACATTATTTGAATTGGACTGGTGATACTACACAACTATTTTGCCTGGCTTGTGGGAAACTGTTTAGATCAGGATGTATGTCTTCATATTTGACTTATTAATTTGAACTGGAGTACTCAACCACAGATCCCTTTGAGCAGTACTTAGGGGAAAAACAAATAACTGGAACAAAATGTATAATCAATGCCAAATAAATAACAATAAATTGCTGTGAAAATTGCCATAAATGTCACAGCAATACTTCTGTGGTGAAAATGCTACATTGTTTTGATTTTTATCACAACTAGTGAGTATACTTTAATATCAAAATGATAAAATATTTTCTCACCACCATATGCTTTACTCATTTGGGGTTACATAAATCTGTTGTTCTAGTTTTAACCTAAGAATGTCTCACAAAAACTTCATGGCTTGATGAACGCTTTTTTTTTTTTTTTTTGAGATGGAGTCTCGTTGTGTCGCCCAGGCTGGAGTGCAGTGGCACAATCTTGGCTCACTGCAAGCTCCGCCTCCCAGGTTCAAGCGATTCTCCTGCCTCAGCCTCCCGAGTAGCTGGGATTACAGGTGCCTGCCACCACACCCAGCTAATTTTTTGCATTTTTAGTAGAGACGGGGTTTCACCGTGTTAGCCAGGATGGTCTTGATCTCCTGACCTCGTGATCCTCCTGCCTTGGCCTCCCAAAGGGCTGAGATTACAGGCATGAGCCACCGTGCCTGGCCATGGATGAACTCTTTTTTACTATACATATAACATATTGTCTTGTATAATACAGTTATACATTTACAGCTCATTAGAGTTACACTTTGCTAACTCAAAAGGACAAGACTCCTTAGTTGACAAACCAACATTCCAATATAAAGTATATTTAGCCTTACATTCAAACACTGGACATAGCTCTCGAATAGAGGATATACATATAGATCTCCTAATATCTGTATCAATATCTATATGTAACAGATGGATTCAGCCAAATTCAACTGTAACAAAGATATTTCTTGGAAAATCTGTCTCATGTTCATCAAGCAAACTCAAAATATTGTGCATGATGGAAAATAAACATACTTATTTTCTTTGTATTTTATATGAATATTTGTATACTTGTAATTGTCAGTCTGCTTATAATTAAATTTAAAACAGGAAAAGGGAATAAAAGACAACAATATTACAAAATTATTATAGATGAATAACAATCATTTGTCAATCAAAAGCAATAGAGCATTTAGAAAACTATTTCATTGTTTATAAATACTAATATTTGTGTGAGTGAAAAAATTCATACAGGACAGCATTTCCCATGGGTGTCCCTCGGATCACCAGTGCCTAAAAAGGGATGCCTTGCCCAAAATAAGGTAGAGAAGATAGGACTGCTAAATGCCACCATTAAGAAATCTGTTTTGCCTCTATTTGCCAAATTTATAGACTATAGAACCCTTCTTTCCATTCGCACCCTCCCATGCCATTTCCTTGAATGTACATGGTTTAAAAAATAATAAAATAAAGAAGCTAATATTATATAGAGCTAGAACCAGAGATATATTTTGTAATAATGCATTGTTGTAGGGTAAATTTGCATAGTAGTCCAGGTGACTAAAATGAAATACATTTGGGAATCTCTGAACTCTTATATTGTTTAGTAAGTATTCACATAATCCTTGGGGAATACAGACACACCTTAACTTACATGGTTTTAAAATGGAGATGTATAGTGATAGTTCATATAAGGCTCTGTCTATATTGCATTTATCTCTTGAGAATAGAGGGGCAGGAGTAGGATAATGGGAGAGAAAAATAAATATAGTCTGTAATTCTAGACCACGAAAGATCTCTACTGGTGTCACACTGTGATACTACACGTAGCATCAATTTACGCAGGAGAGTTTTAGACTGTAATAGATCCATTTGTGCTTCAGTTACCACTAACCAAGAATGCGATTACAAGAAGACAAAAATTTCCACTACGTTTGCCATTTGTATTTGAAAGACTTGGTCTATCATTAATTTTGACAAATTGGGACATTATTTCCATTGAAGTTTCTGTTTATCCTGGATAACAACTCAGTATTTCATTAAGGAAATTCGTTGCCCTTAACTTGAATATTTGAAGGGATCGTTTCTTTACCGCAAGCCCAAGCAATCAGTTCCATTCCTGTGCATTCTTTTCTTCAGATTATTGTTCCATGAAGCTACCTTGTCAGGAAACTGGAAAACTGCCTCCTTCATTTCTATTACCTTAGAAGTATTTGTTGACTTATGATTATATCTCCTTTCATTCTCATGGGATAAGAGCAAAATGCTAGCAGTCTAAGAATACAGGAAATTGAAATTTTGTCACCTGCAGAGGACTAAAAAGTGTTTGATTTTTTTTCCCCTTCTATGTTAAGAAAGGATCTCTTGTGCATGAAAGAAAATTACCTTCTTTTCAGTAAGACACATCTGGAAATATTCTTAACTATAGTCTCACAGAATGACTAAGAAAGCTGATACCAATGTTTTTGTGATTTATTACAAGAATGCAGTAGAGTCTTTAAGGGATGTTTTCTTTTACTCAGCTATTTGCTTGGGAATCATGATGCAACTGATAGCCAGAAACAGAATTTTCTCCACGGAAGGGCATTTTGCTCCGGATATCTATACACTGCATCAAAATGGAGTTGAAACCAAATAACCCAGTGAGCTCTTCAGACTTCCAGAAATGCCTTCCAGCTTTTTTAAAAGCCAAATCAGCTACAAATTTTCTTCAAGTGGCCCACAATAGAACCCTTATCTTGTGATTCATAAAACCCTCAACAGAAGACTTTTCTGCCATCTCCGAAAATCTCATACTGTGGGGCAGAAAATGTGACTATAGAAGAATAACACAATTTGCCTCAGAATTGAGACTAATAACAGAACCTCTCCGTCTATTCTTGTCTTAAAGGCCTGTTAGAATCTCGACAGGGAGGAAAGTTTCCCTGCTGATAGAGTTGTAGCATATCAAAAATGAATCATGAGTACAAAGAAAGATTATTCTGTTCAATGAGACATTTCTTACACCCTTACTCAGGCGACAGCATTTCTGCCTAATTACCCAATTACTACTGACGTAAGGTATATGGAGAGAATTAAGGGCATGAGGAAAGGGAGCACATGGAGCTGCCAAGATGTGATAATACCATATTCCTATTTCAGTAATGTACTGAAAAGATCAGAGCACAGAAGAAAATGAATATGGTAAACATTGCAACATACTCAGTAACAAGATTACTTTAAATACTATGAATGATGTCAGTGCAAACCTTGGAGGTCTTAATGAAAAAATAAATTCAAGTTCTAATTTGGAATTGAAAAAGAAAAAAAAAGACTACCAAAAAAGTTGACATTACCCAATACCCTACTTAAATAATAACAGAAATAAATTTAATATGTGTTTAAAATGTTATTGTCTTTTCTTTAAATAGTGGCATCGCTTTTAATATACACAGAAGAATTATCACCTTCTTTAACAACATAGTCTGGTATTAGAGATCACACACTTTAATCCATAACTTAAGGCACTAGCCAAAGGTAGAGACAAAACTATAATTGATTTTGATTGTTAAAATCCGCATGCTAAAATTTCAGGATAAAATAAACACAGGAAAATTGAGCCTTATATAACACTGAAGCAGGAAGGGAATTATGCACTCAAGCACAGCATAAAAGGGGAAAAAAACACACTTGGTACATCACAGCTGTCTTCCATTACATATAATTATCCATTCTCAGCCTGAGCTAGTGAACAAAAGCTTAGAAAGAACAATGGGTATGTAGATGTCAAAAAGGCAATATTCCCCTTTAAATATGTAACCTGTTATTTTTTAAAGAAGTGTAGATAGAACAAGAACAACTTATGTCTGTATTATAAACTTTTTTATTTTCTCAAGTTTGCAAAAAGTGATGTTAAACATATTGATCAATAAGGAATTTTTGCTATCAGACAATAAGTTATGTAGTTACTTCTGCTTTAGAGTAAGAATAAAAAAATTAAATAAAATTTTAACTTGGGACAAATAAGCATTATAGTTTTTTTTAAGAAACTTTTTTATTGCAACAAACAATTCAATGAAATTGAAGTTTAACTATTTACCTTATTCAAATTTTTATCACCGTTATAACCCCAATATTTTTAGGGGTAAAAAATTTGAATTCATCTGCCTCTTTAACTGATCAACTTACCCAGTAATTAAACCTATGTGTAATATCATATGGGTTGACTCCATTTAAACCAACATTTTTTTGTGATAAGGGTTTTAAAATTTTATATTTGCTTTCTACCCACAAACAATACATTTTAAACAAACGTTGATCTTTCTTTATGTATGCTACAGTGAAACAATGTAATGAGGAGTAACTTTAGTGTATAGCTCATCAACATTTGGTCATTCTTTCAAGGATTCAGATGCTTTCTATGGCTTATTTTACCCTGTTGCCAGGCTGGAGTTACAGTGGCATGACATGGCTCACTGCAGCCCCAACCTCTTTGGTCTCAAACAATCCTTCTCCTTAGCCTCCTGAGTAGCTGGGACCACAAGTGCGCCTCCACACCAGGTAAATTTTTTTTTTTAATTTTTGGTAGAGGCCGTCTCACTATGTTGTCAGGGCTGGTGTCAAACTCCTAGGCTCCAGTGATACTCCTGCCTCAGCCTCCTTAAGTGCTGGGGTTACATACATGGGCCGCCACCCCTGGCCTGGCATATTTATTTAAACTACCTCAGCCCCAGTTTCATAATCTCAAAGAGAGAATATTAGTAATACCTTCTTCACTGAATTGTTCTGTGGATTTAGTAAATTAATAAATGTAAACCAGTGCCTGACACATAGTAAGCACTAGAAATTATTGGTGATTGTTACAATTAAGATTAACTTTCACCTCAAATTCTTCCTTAACTTTAAAAAACTTGGATTGCATTTTATAATATGGTTTTCAAAGAACCACCACACCTGGCCTTTCTATAGCTTTTGGAAATAAGTTGATACCATGGCAACAGAAAACAAAATCTTATGGAAAATATAGGTCACAAACTTAAAGCAAAGAACAATCTTATTTTTAAGGAGCATTTTTGTCTTTCATTTGTATTCACTGTTATTTTTCATCTGCACCAAATCTGTATACCACCTTTGTCTCTCTCATGGTTTGTTCACTTGATTTGCCTTAGAGGTCCTGACCCAACCCCGTCCATTTGCCTAAAAGTGACAGAATACCGTAATGAAGTTAAGTTAGTAATAATTCCAGAGGTTGCTGATATTAGGGTTTGTTCTGATACTCAATACTATCTTCAAGCTCCCAGACTCTCACTTACGACTTCTACATGCAAGTGTGTTTTCCATGTTTCCTCTTGTAAGCAAAAGATGAATCCTGCAGATTGAAGCATCTCATTCTCACACAGTATTCTCAGAAGGACAGAAGAGGTTAAGAGTAAAAAAGCATTCTCTTGCATTGCCTTACAGGGAAGAAATGATTCTTACACAAGAATGTCCTCAAAAGGACAGAAATTGGTAGGAATAAAAGGCTTTCCCTTGCACTGCCTTACCAAAAGGAAATGTTTCCCAGAAGCACTAGAACAAACTTCCTCTGTAAACAGGAATCATGGCTGAGCCCATCATCAATGGCAAGGATTTTAAAAGGATTGCGAAAATTGCTGAGCCAATCAGGACTTATCCTCTGGGAGTGAACACAAGGCTTTTGAGGTAATTTCAAAATACTGTTAGCAAGAAAAACCATTGAGCAGAGACCGAGAAGTGTCACAAGCCAACAGTACCTGAATCTTTGGACCTGGCCCTCTACTTAACTTAGCTACATGGCCTCGATGAAATTTTCTTTCCTTTGTTAACCTGTTTCCAGATATGCAAAATAGGAATAAAAATAACCACACATGCTTCATAAAATTATTTTAAAGGGCAAGTAATATATTATATGTAAAGTACTAGGTCTATTCCTGGAATATAGAAAGCACCCAGTAAATTACATTTCTCGTTAGCTGTTAGGGTGCTATCAAAAATACGAGATGCTGCATCACCTCTGTTAAGAAAACCTGCACTTGCTTGTTTGATTCCAAGAGTCACCTTCTGAAAGAAAGCAAACCCAAAGCCATGTGAAGACACTGATGCCCATGCGAGTGTGAATGTTTGGAGAGGGATGGAGAGCGGCACAGGGAAGTGTCATAAAGCCTGGTTTACCTTTGTAACCCTACATATGAGCCCACATTTCTCAGAGCCAGTCATTAGGAAGGTCTGTGGTTTTTCATGTGAGTCAGTTTCATTTTTATTATGTAATTTAGAATACACTGAGCTTTAGATTTTCATCTTATGCTTTAGGTTTTCATCCTTTCTATTGGTTTATTAAATTCCTTTTAAGGGATGAAAAACGGAGCTTTCTGATCTTAGCTCTAATTTCCTACGGCATCAGTTGATTTTGCTACAAGATGATGTTGTGTGTGTGTGTTTTCATTCACAGTGCTACTTAATTTAAATAAGATGACATACATTTTACTATGGATCTGATAAAAATTAGGTTGCTACTTTTGCACAATTTTCTTTGTATTATACTTATATTTTTCTAATTCTGTTTTTACAATGTGTGAAAAGAATGCAAGTTAAATTTTTGAATCTACTGTCCTTTCATAGCGCTCAGTACTAGAAAAAGACATTATTTGCATTTATAAGCTTTCACAGCAAAAAAAAAAAAAAAAAAAGAATTTGTAAAGCTAGGTTTCTGGTTTTATAAAAAAGTAACCAACTAATGAAAAATTTTGGTCTGACACAGACCTATTTAAGAATTTCTATATCTATTACCTAAAAGTGGAATTACCCCACCTATTGCTGTAATATCATGCTGCTGATGCTCAACTATATTAAAACACACAATAAAAATGAAAGAAAACCATCTGTCTTTGCTTTAAATTCATGACCCATCTATTTTAAACACAAGAGCTTTTCTGTCACTTGCTATGTTATCGACAATATGAGACTTTAGGTTGAGTCTAGGTCTCTCTGGGCCTTATTTTATTGCAACTATTTTATAAGATGTGAGCATAAGTTGCCTAGCATATCACTGTTTTCTGAGACTTGTGATTACATATACTCTAGCCTGGGGAATTTTCTGACTTCTAACAAATACTCTTTTCTGTGACTACTTGTTCTGACCATCCCCCTCCATTTCTCCTCAACCCATCCTCCACCAAACCTGACTGATGTTACAGTAAGTAGGGCCACTCCTGGGGGAACACAGACAACCTTCCCAGAACTGCCTGCGTGCTTTGATAGGGAAGTGACTCCCAGCTACGCTGAGTTTGGGGGAAGGCACAATTGTCTGGTTTGATAATCTTGTCTGGACTTTCCAGCTCTGCTCTTGTTTCAACTTCCCCTGCTGCAATCTGAATCTATTCTGGAATCCTAACGGACTGGGAAAGAACAAAAGAATTTTTTTTATTGTTACAAGGTTGATGACCTTCTGTTTGATGTTTGACAGTGAGAAGGATTAGTTTCTTTTCCTAACAATCATTAACTGCCTTTGCAACCCTAACATTGTATCAAACAAGCACAATGAAGAAGAAATTCTGTTTAGTTAAAAATTCAAAATTAAATACAAAGTGTCAGGGAGGAAGTGGGGCAGTGCCTAGGTATTTAAAAGCAGATGAGTTTTCAGGTTGTAACACTCACGTTATCAGTAAGCTCCCTGGACAAATCAAGGCATTTGTCCTTCCAAGGTTTTATTTAATTCAATAGCTTGAGTATAAGAGTTACAGAAATTCCCATGATACTGGTAATTCCCAAAACAATGTTTCTCACTTCAGAAATCTTAAGTGAAGAAATACTTATAATATGAAGTAGTAAGGGTGTTTCAAAAGAATAGGTCTTTGTAAGATTTACAAATTGTAATCTGTTTATATTTCTTACCTCAGGAAAAATAGTACATCATTTACAGTTAAGAAAAGGAAAAAATGCCTGGATTAAACAAGACTTACCTGATAATGTTCTTTCCTTTCTTTCCCTTTGTGGAATAAATATTAAGAATCCCATATTCTATTTTATTTACTTTAAATTCTTTTCCCTCCCAAAAACAGTCTTGGGGGAATATTGAAAACTCACCTCTATATATTAAAGGGTTATGTTTAAGTCTCTAAATCAGTCAGCCTCTCTCTACTTCCTACTTTTCTTTCCTCCTTTGTCTCTCCAAGGGAACTCAGGTAGTTCCGTCAGTCAAAAGGGGATGCATTGTGCCACTGTACTTGGACCTCCCTCTGGAGATATCCAATTTTGTCCTATCTCTTCCTTCGAAAAGAAAATAGATGAGCTGGCTAAACTGTTAGATCTCACTTCTGGATTCTCCACAGAATTCTGTCTATGAATTGAAACCCCAGCTGAAACAACATCAAAAACATGAATTCCAATTTTTTTTTCCAGAGTGATAGTGTATGAACGTGTTTAATTACTTGTCATGTGCTTGCGACCAAGTAAACCTCTTCTTACCTATGAGTAAATAAAAAATACGAAGCCAATTTTGGAAAATATTCCTACAAAAATTTCTAATATTTGAATCATATAAAGGGCTCAATATAAAATTAAATGATAAAGGAATACTTCTTCAACAACTAATACTTACTATCATGTATATTCCTGAGCGAGGTTAGGAAATTTTTAAAAAATGCTTTCCTGGGAAGAAAAGTTGAAGAGTTAATGAATATTCATTTTCTGTGTTCATCTGTTTCTTTTCACGTGACTTTTATTTGGGCCATAACTTTATGCTGGAAAGTTTACACTTCAATTGTCTCACTGAATATATACAGCAATACTATGACTAATATAGTTACTTTCATTTCAGTTTTACAGCTGAGGAAACAAGGACTTTGGAAATCAAGCAACTTGTCTAAATTTGGATTCAAACTCAATTTGTTTCTGTAACCCATACTCCATTTATCACATACCCCCTTGGAAATTTAAAGAGAGGATTTTTTTTTTAATGATATGTGACTTCAATTACTAACCTTAAAGTATGAGCAACGGGCATAAGCAAAGATTTTTCCATCTTGCATTTTCAAAACAATATATTGAATCAGATTAGGTATTAAAATATACTCAATCACTGTATCAAATTGCAGCACTTCTAAGAAAACGAATTTTAGCCAGTGCAAATATACTTAGCAAGCACATAGTAGGTACTAAATAAATGTTTACTAGGCAACTGCTTATTAAAATACACCTTTATTTCATTAATATGCTGTATTATTTTACACACATAAAACTCCATGTTGTGAAAAATGGTGAGGTAAGATAATTTTTTCTCAAAATTCATAGCCTTTTAATAACTTTTTAAAAGCCAACTTAAAACTAATTTTAAATTATATAAAATGTTACCTCAAAATTTGCATTATAACTTATAATGCAAATGCTAATGTATATAATACTAATACACCGTAATAATACATATATTATAGTTACAATATGAGGTCTTAACAACCAGTACTAGAGAGGCTAAAAATGCAGGGGCAAATAAATCTTTGAAAACTTTATGTCATACACTTTCAAGTATTCATTATATTATGGTTTACTTTTGCTTTATACTAATTATTAGCTCAAAAACATTTATTTAAAAAATTGAACTAGAATTTTAAAATATAAAAAATTTAAACTAACAAGTTAGTCAGTTTTACTATTAGCATCAACCATTATAAGTAATTCTTTTCTATAACAGATCAAAATCTCAGTGAAAATTCATAAACCACAATAGTTGTCTCAAATTATTTATGTTGTCAAAATAACAATAAGACTATTGTTACCTCAATAATAGTTACCTCAAAACAAATACCTCTATTCTATTTATTTATTAGATTCAAATAAATAATCTTATATTCAAATTCAACACCCATCTGTTTCACTTTGAGAATGCACAAATAAATGAATCCAGTAACAAATGAGAGCTTCAACATACATTTAAAGATAGAAATCTGAACATAGATGAGGTGTGTAGAACTGTACTGCAATGTTAAACCAAACTATCATAAATCTACTGAAAAGTCATGGGAAAATTAGAGAATTCCAAAACTTGGAAATGAAATTTTTTATTTTAAAGTTCTGAAAAACAAAATCAGATGAGTCTTCAGTCTGTACACAAATGATCTTGGCACTAATTTCGGACTTCTTATGAAGTGATTCATTTTTAAAATAGATTATAAATGATTAGAAAAGGAAAGGAATAATCACTAACATAAATCATGACACCCATTAGGTTTTCTGGATAGTAGATCAGCAATTGTGATAAAAATCAAATGACATGGAGAAAGACTGAGAGAGACAATTAGTAAGCTTGAGAGCAAAAGCAAACTCAACACAATTAAAATAAAATGAAGAAATAAACCATAAAGTCTGGGATCGTGACATTATATAAATGATATAGATAAAATGTAAATTGAAAAACAATGAAGCCTTATAGTTAGGGTAACCTGGTTTCACTGATTACTAACTTATAAAGCTAGAATAGAAAAAAAAATCAATTGCATGCACTCGGAATAGCTTATGGAAATATTTACAAAACGTCCACCAGTCCAAAAAAGACTGAAGAGAGGGTATGTTGCCAACTGAAAACTATCAGAATTCTGGCCAAGTATCCTGGCAGTCTCCAAACATCAGAACATTCATTCAATTTGGTTTTAGGAAGCAAAACGTTACAGAGAGAAGCATGAAAATCTGTCCCACCTGGAGATTAAAAGCAGAATCAAAGTGAAAAATATCAAGCCCTTACCTGACACATGTTAGGAACTAACAACTAAAAGAAAAAGGAGTTATTAGTAAGTCCTTCACATGTATAATCTGTACAATTTAAAATCTACTTTAGTGTCAGATTTTGTTACCTGAAATCAATCATCATTTGCCAAAAGAACTATATCAGCATAGTAAATATAAATCAGGGCTTACTTAATGAAGATTCACCAATAAAGAATGCAGAATTAGTGTGCAAGACTTATTCACATTATAAGAACAGTAAAATGACTAGAGAACACAAAGTGCCAGGAATAGAAAGGAAAGGTTACTCACAGTTATGTAGTCAAGAAAAAATAATAATCTTCAAGGATGAATGATGTTGTATTTTCAGAACTCAAAACTATTTCCATGTTTTGAAAAGTATCAAGTTGCATAGTAACATATGCAAAATTTTCAAAAGAAAGATAAATTTTATAGCATTCAAAATAGTTCTACAGAGTGTAACCAAACATAAACTAGTGCATGGATTTAGAGACAACTATACTTGAAGAAAGAAAATCTTTAAAAAACTGTATCAACTTAGCCATAATTATATCTTGTTTTTATGAAGACCAATTAACTTGATTATGTGTTGTGCTTATTGAGATTGTCGTATAGTCTATTAATAAGTTCAGAGAAGTTCATCTTAAGGTAGTAAAAAATTTAGTAAAAAATTAGCATTTGGCTTTCAAATATTTTGCTACACACGTAATGCACTGCAATTGATACAACTGATGATTGTTAGAATAATAAATTCAATTGATCCAATGTGAGATAAAGTAAAACCACATAAGAATACATGAAAATTCCACATTTAAACCAAATAGAAAGTCAAGATACTCTTAAATAAGCCAGTCACTAATACAGCTGTCCGATGACAACCACTCAACGTCAACACGGGAAACATGGTAAAGAACGTACTGTGGAATAGTCTATAGGAATACATCCTGGGAAAACTCTGCTGTGTTACATTTAAAATACAAAAATACATTTGGTCAAACCAGATAAATACAAGAATAGATACGTGAAGACTCTAAACCAAAGGTGTATCTTTAAAATTCCACTAGATTTTTTTTTTTCTATTTGAACTATTAAGACCCTTTATTCAAAGTGTAATAACATCATTTGGGATTAACTAGGTGTGACTGCATGAGTTTGTTTAAGGCCAATTATTATGTGGCTTGGTGTCTACGACAATCTCTGCACATTCAATAGGACATAAGCAAGAAGTATTATCGCTGCTAGATCCAGCGACCTACAACAGGGCCTGACATGTAGTAGCCAGTGAATACAATTTATTAAATAGATAAATGAAAATTAAAATGATAAACACAAAAGCAATCAATGTTACTGACATTTTGTAATACTAGACTTGGTAATTTGGGACATACATATAATATCCACATTTTAAAGTATAATAAATGAAAAAGAACATAGAAAAGAAATTATTGTGGAGCATTTTAAGACCTCCAAGAATACATCTATTGAGAACAAGAAATTCTGATGTAAAACTAACATTTCCATGTGAAAGAGAATGGAAGGACAATGGAATAACAAAAGAAAGTCAGTGAACACTGTTCTATTCATTAGAACAATTCTCTGATATGAAATAACAACAAGAATAAAAACATCCCTAAAATAAATCTAATTGAATGAAAAAAAAATAGTACATTGGCTTAGGCTGAATTTCAAAAAGAAAAAAAATCAAACAGATATTCAGATATCTTAAGAAATACTTAAGAAAAATAAGTCTGGTATATTTTAAAAAATAGCACAGGTCTAACTTTTAAAATAGTTTAAAGTAATGTGAGCATTATTGCACACTTCTAACTAGATTTTTAATTTTAGTATCTCTCAGACCATTCCTAAAGTATCCCTGTAAACAGAGTTAAAAAGTGTCTTTGAATACAAGGTAAGCCTTCCTGCTTTTCATTCATACAATGAAATATTATTCAACAATTAAAAGTAACATATTCATGGAGGAGCCTCCAATATGTGCTATTGGAGCTGAGAAAAATAAGAGCTGAGAAAAGGTAACATTAGTATAAAATTGTCTCACACTTCTTGAATTTTGTGCCACATTGAAAGTTTTACACCTACTTCAACTAAAAATGCATTTTATTTAGGATTTCCAAATTGGGACTATAGCATATATTTGTGCAGGCATCTGGCTTCCGACAGCCTCTTGAACCTGCTGGATGACGTTTCCTATGCATATCCTCCCATCACCTTATCAATTTTCACTAAGGATTTCTTTTGCTTGAGGGCCATCGTTCTCAATTAAAAATGATAGTACTTTAGGAATGCTCTTGTTTAAAATACCAAGAACCCAACAATACTCTAATGCTGAGTAATCCAGGCTGTCACAATGAAAACAATTTACTCCCAAACCCACCTTCCAGTTCAAACCCAAACCTCAGCAAAACTCCAATGTCTAAATGCCACAGACCTTGCAAGATACTAAAAAGCTGTGAGATGTGTAATTTTAAAATACTGCAGCCAGGCGCAGTGGCTCACGCCTGTAATCCTAGCACTTTAGGAGGCTGAGACGGGTGGATCTCCTGAGGTCAGGAGTTTGAGACCAGCCTGGCCAACATGGCAAACCCCGTCTCTACTAGAAATACAAAAATTAGTCGGGCATGGTGGTGGGTGCCTGTAATTCCAGCTACTTGTGAGGCTGAGGCAGGAGAATCGCTTGAACTGGGGGACAGAGATTGCAGTGAGCCGAGATCACACCACTTCACTCCAGCCTGGGCAAAAGAGTGAAACCCCATCTCAAAAAAAAAAAAAAAAAAAAAAAAACTGCATAATGGGCACCTGTATTTTTAACTACCTTGGAAATAACCAGCCAAAATAAAATAGACAAGTTACTGTCTCAATCATAAAAAAGTTAACAGTATCATACTTAAGCTAAATAGAGTATGTGAAGCAACTTATCTATCTAAAACTCTCATTTATTTTCAAAAACCACAAACAATGCAATAGGAAACTCATAGGAGATTCTGTAGACCAAAAGTTGAATATCACCTTTTACAGTCTAGGTAAAAAGTACCTACTTCCCTATATAGTTAGCAGATGACAATAAACAAATAAATAAATAAAATAGTGCAATTACAAAAACCAAAATTTTAAAGTGCATACTTGGATATTTTGTGTCAATATTATCCTTTCAACGTGGGGAAAAATTAGTCACTGTATTTGTTGTTGCTGCTCTTTGAACTTGTTCACTGTCTTGCTCCTGCAGTTGTCTGCTCTTTCCTTAATTCACTGTGTTCTACTATACTTCTGCCTAAAACATTTTAAACTAAACTAAATGGTATGTGTAACAAATTTTTTGATTTATGCTAAGTTGGACTTAATAAATATTAATAAAGCATATAACTAAAAACTGGATGCAGATATTTATAACACAATGATATTACACGCAGGGTTGAAGACATGAGAAAGTCTCATTTCTCTACCAAAATAACTCAAATTTTAAATCGTGTATACTGGATCTGAGTTGATATATGTGTGACAGGGAGCATGTGTATGTCTACACATATATCATGCCTACAAGCTGACTGCACATAATGACATCATCTATTTATATTAAATTTCACATATTTCCACTCATGGCTTGACCTATATACGAGGTTAGGCAAATATAAGCAAAACTGAAGTAGCATTTTTTATCTTATAAAAATTCATGAACATCATTACCACATGCTTTCATTCATTTAAAAAAAAAAAAGAACTAAATACCATCTGTGTATGATAGCCTAATTAGGGGATTAGAACCGCAGACGCTTTGCTGGCTCACATGTTCAAGCACATGCCCCTTTGACCATTTCAGGGAAAAAAAAAAAGAACAATAAAAACGTAGTCGGAAGCATCCCTCTGGATTCCGCATTGACTCCTAGCGTTAACTAACCCCACAGAATTTAGCTGTCTGCACTCCCTTTGGGAACTGGCTCTTGTTTTTCCTTGATGTGCATGCCTGCCCCAGCACAAGCCTTAGGATAAACTTGGCATCACATGAATTAGGTTTAAATAAGTTCAAACAGCATTTTACAGAAGACTTGTATCTAAAGTCTGCAACACTGTAGGGACCATTGTTTCCTAGATTTGATACCAATAATAGAAAAATTAATAATTCTAAATTGGTCTGAAAGAAAATAAATGAAAGACAATCATTACTCCACAGTGATATATAATGTATACATGACCCTACATAATATGTAAAATAGAACCTGTAATACCTATTAAAGCACCATGGTAATTTTGGGTCTATTTATTCTAGAAGCTCAATTAATGAAACTGAGTTCATATAGAAAAGTCAAAACACATCTCATTTATTAGGATTGCTTTTCTTACCTTAAATTCCAATAAAATTAGCATGCTAAAACTTTAAACTTTAAAGACCATGTAATTTAATATGTGGTAAATCCTACCAGTCCTACCAGTTAGGATCAGAAGATTGACTCCTACACAGTTATTTAAGATGTTAACAATTAAATATGTCCACAAAACAAGAGCAGTGAAATGTTGCTGTATTTCATAACCAGAAAGAAATATATACTTTGTAGATTAAAAGGTTTTCAACTTAGAAAATGAGGCTAATGAATAAGCAGGAACCCATCGTCACTTACTGAATAGGGTAACTTTTTGTCCTCCCCACAAGGCACAAAGTTAAAAAAAAATTAACATGGTAATAATAATAATCACAGACTCACTAATTGAAAGAAAGGAGTAAATCAGTTAAGCCACCCAAATTGTTACAAACATACACAAAGAAAATTGTTTTACATTTAAAATAAAATGCAAAATGTCAAGAAAATTGCAAATTTAAATGGTGCCACAACCAGGCCGCTGCTCTTTGAACCATTAGGCAGTTGGAGATCTAACCCTTTATCTGCTTTTTTTTCTATTTCAGTTCCAATAGTGCTCCATAATAGGAGTGACCAGTCTGCTAAAGAGCAGCTATTTATGTCACAGTTTCATAAGACAGGTCTATGTCCAGCTGGAAATAACTTCAGGCATTTTCAGCCCAAACCAGCTCTGTATCTAGGTCTGTTCAAGTAAAATTGGGTCTACACAATTTCTCCACATTCTGATCCAAAGAGAAAAGAAGCCCTCATTTAAATATAGCTTAGAAAATCTGGAATTACATGCTATTCTTTCAGTGGTCAGACCCTGATAGTTATGGACTAGCGTATTCTCTTTGGATTCTGGAGGCCATTTCTTATGAATATTGGCTGCCGCAACAATTTCATATTGTCAACAGATGCGGGGATGCTGCTTATTCAGCTCAGTAGTGGTTGCCAGTAGAGGCTCAATGCTTCAGGCTGCAGCAAATTAATCCCAGCAGAGATGAGTTTTATTTGTTTCTCTAATAGTGGGAAGAAATATTGATGAGAGGATTCTGAGCTGTACGAAGGAGAAGAGACTGCTGGAAATTTCACCAACTCATTTTAGCATCTCCAAGTTGGTGGGAAAGTGTGTTACGGAGCCCCTCTTAAGTCCGCATTCCCCTTAGGGCATTCACCTCATAGACTGCGCTTTTCACAACAAACATTCAGTTCTTTGTTCTCTGTTTACAGTGAAAATGGTTAGTCTCATGTATGGAGATATTTATATCTGGCACTAAAAAATTTGAAGAAAACAATAAAAATGCCACAAAAATTGCAAACAGCAACAATTAAAAGCATTTTTCTTTCATTGGCTAATTTTGAAGAGTATGGTTATTTTTAGACACTCAGCATCTTATATAAGTACTTTGTTTTATTGAATTTAACTATGATGAGCTAATTTCCCAACAAGAGCCACTATTTTTCATATTCTTCTCTTACTTCCTATTGATAATTCTTCCTCCACAGAAATAAAAACTGGCAGATTTTATTATCGACTGCATCAGGCCCGTGGCCTGATACAGCAACACTCAAAGGAAAGGGAGAGGCAAGGATGGAAAGAGAAATACTTTCCAGTTGTTTCACTAGAAATTCCTTTTAAATTAGCTTATGTGCATCCAATAAGATCAGAGTTATTCAATTTTGTATAAGAATTACTAATTTAATATTATACTTTTAATGGACATGGCCTTAATAGATCAAATGGAAAAAAATACATAGAGGTTATGAATTTTAACTCTGCAATTACTGTTAGATGAATAGTAATAAGTAACACATGGATTTGAGGGTAAATTTTATGTCATTAGATGTGATGTTTATGTACCTTGGAGCCTTGTTTCTCCATTTTTTTAAAAAGCTAATAGTATGTAAAAAAAAGTAGATTTTGGATACCTTTTCTTATTTTTTATTTTAAAGTTCCAAAATTCTAAATATTACAAATTTAGGAACAGTTTTATATATTTAAAAATAGTAGAGATACAGGGCTACATTTGGAGAAGGTGGAACAAGAATGGCCAATAGAGTCTAGTATGAATGCTAAATTTTCTGTTCAATTTCCTGGATTGTAATTGTAAAAGGCGTCAAGAAATTGATAGTGAAATGAGGCCACTACAAAACTAGAAAGTAGTAAGTAATTTTTTTCTAAAACGATAGAAGTTGGATTATGTATTCATCTGCCTTACAAAGACCATGTGAACCTCCTGCACTTTCACAACGCCACTGTGTACTGCCATCCCTTATGTTTCCGTTCTCATCTTCGAGATCACACCCTTTCCTACTTCAAAATACAACAAGCTGTTTTGAGCTGACATTTTGAGCATAAGGCCATCATGCTGAATGAAATATCTGCTAAGTATTTCTTCTCCACTGCATCTTTCTGTCACCTCGGGGATCATACATGTTATCCTCTTTCCACATTTTCCAATTTCTGCTACTCAATGTCAGTATATCCATCCTCAATTCCTATCTCTCCATCTTTCTCCTTTGCCTCCAGGTATCCCTCTAATGTGTCCCTGTCATTTATATATTTAATTCGTTTACTTATTTTTACCAACTACTTGGGGAAAATATTTCTTAGCTCCTTTACCTTCGGGATAACACCTCTGTTCTTCCTAATCTTTTTTTTTTTTTTTTCTGAGCCTGAGTCTCACTCTATTGCCCAGGCTGGAGTGCAGTGGTGTGATCTTGGCTCACTGCAATCTCCGCCTCCCAGGTTCAAGCAATGATCCTGCCTCAGCCTCCCAAGTAGCTGGGATTACAGGCATACGCCACCACACCAGGCTAATTTTTGTATTTTTAGTAGAGATGGGGTTTCACCATGTTGGCCAGGCCGGTCTTGAACTCCTGACCTCAAATGATCCTCCTGCCTCAGACTCCCAAAGTGCCGAGATTACAAGCATAAGCCACTGTGCTGGGCCATTCCCAATCTTTTCTCTCATCTTCTTCTCTACGGCAGAAGCACTGAGACAAGTCGTTGTGTTTAGTTTCAACAGATTTTTGTTTTATTGGGCATTGGTGCTCAAGGTTTTAATTTTCTAATTTCTGTTGGTAAAAAAAAAAAAGTTATGTAGGTGGCACAGAATTTAGTATACTTGTAAAATGTACTGATATTTCCCCATGACTTCCAAATGCTTCTTTACATCAATAATCACTGACCTGACTACACCTGTTTGTCTTCAACCACATGAGACGCAGATATGTATTATAAACAGGCTCTCACTCTGTTGCCCAGGCTGGAGTGCAGTGGCATGATCAAAACTCACTGAAGCCTCAAACTCCTGGCCTCAGGCAATCCTCCCACCTCAGCCTCCTGAGTAGCTGGGACTACAGGTGCATATCACCATGCCTGGCTAATTTTCTTAATTTTCTGTGGTGACAGGGTCTCAAACTCCTGGCCTCAAGTGATCCTCCCACTTTAGCCTCCCAAAGTGCTGAGATTATAGGCATGAGCTACAGTGCCCTGCTAAACATATGATATTTAAATTATGTACTATTCTACTATACTGTTAATAATTTACTATATAGTATATTTTAAATATAGTATAGTTTTTGTGGGTTTGCTCAAGAGTCCAATATCCATCTAAAGACCTACTTTCTCTCCTATCTGACATCTAAAGTTTTTGAGATTTGTAGAGTTTAGATCTAGAAGAGATTTCAGAGTGTAACACTTTTGAGAATGAGAGGCCTGAAATTCAGAGAATAAAAGGGCCAGCCCAATGTTTCACTGCAAAGCTAGGATGGGGGATTATGCTGCATGTGCAAAATCAGAGAGCCTGATGCAGCCCTCATGTGTGGCCAGAGTGTGCCAGGTAGTTTTGGACTGCAAGTGAACAGTGGGGAGAATGCAGATAAAAGGAAAGGCAAAGGTGAGCTCATAAGGGACTTTTCCTGTGTATTGCTGACACATGGTAGCCACTCAATACATTTTTTAAAAAATGAACAGTTAGATGCCAAGCAAAGGAACATGAATGTTATTATACAGCTAATGAAGAATCACTATAGGATTATAATGAAGAGAATGACAATAACAGACCTGCATCTTAGAAATTAGTTACAGAAGCAATGCAGTGGAAAATGGATTTCTGTGAGATGTTACTAAAAGCAAGAAAGCCAGTTATCAAATAGCAATAGTCCAGGCTGGGTGTGGTGGCTCACGTCTGTAATCCCAGCACTTTGGGAGGCCAAGGTGGGAGGATTGTTTGAGCTCAAGAGTTCAAGACCAGACAGAGCAACATAGTGAGAACTTGTCCTCTGCAAAAAAAATTCTTTAAAAATCAGCGAGGCATGGTGGCACACATCTGTCATCCCAGCTACTCAGGGACTGAGATGGGAGGATTGCCCCTCAAAAAAGAAAGAAAGAAAGAGAGAAAGAGAGAAAGAAAGAGAGAAAGGGAGAAAGAAAGAAAGAGAGAAAGAGAGAAAGAAAGAGAGAAAGAAAGAGAAAGAAAGAAAGAAAGGAAGGAAGGAAGGAAGGAAGGAAGGAAGGAAGGAAGGAAGGAAGGAAGGAAGGAAAGAAAGAAGGAAAGGAAAGGAAGGAAGGAAGGAAAGAAAGGAAAGAAAGAAAGAAAGAAAATTTAATAGTCCAGATAAGATATGATAAATTATTCCTGGATTGAGATAATAACATAAGGAAAAAGAAGAAATAGACTCTCTCTCTCTCTCTCTCTCTTTCTGTGTGTGTGTGTGTGTGTGTGTGTGTATTTCTCTTCTGTATGTTCTCATCATGAAACTCAATTGCATTGCTTTGTACGAAGGCTGCATGTTTAAGTCCCTCCCTTATACCACTCTAACCTGACCTCATCTGTAAGATGTCTTATGAAATAATCTTCACAAAGATCAAATAATATCATTAAGAATTCTGAGCATTCTCACTATGCAGCCATAAAAAAGAAGGAGATCACGTCCTTTGCAGGGACATGGATAGAGGGCTAGAGGCCATTATCCTTAGCAAACTAACACAGGAACAGAAAACCAAATACCACATGTTCTCACTTATAGGTGGAAACTAAATGATGAGAATACATGGACACATAGAGGTAAAAAACACACAGTGGGGTCTCTTGTGGGGTGGAGGGTGGAAGGAGGAAGAGGATCAGGAAAAATAACTAATGGGTACTAGGCTTAATACCTAGATAAAGAAATAATCTGTACAACAAACCCCCATGACATAAGTTTACCTATGTAACAAACCTGCACTTGTAACCCTGAATTTAAAACTAAAAAAAAAAAAAAAAAAAAAAAAAAAAAACTGAGAGTTCTCAAAAATATTTCTCTTGAAATAAAAGTTCCCCAAATTCCATTTGCCAAATAAGAAATTTCCATCTATGCAAGCCAAAGTAGTTATATTGGTAAAGTAATAACAATAACAATAGCAAGAACACTTGACACAGAAATATATATATTTATGTGCCAGGGAATATTCTACATTGTTTTCATGTATTAACTCATTTAATCCTCACAACTATATGAGGTAGATACTATTATTACCCTCACTGTATATTAGTAAATGTGACACAGAGAGGTTTACTCACATGTGTAATAGCAGACACCTACAAAGATTCAAAGACTAGATTTGAACTTCATCAGCCTGACTGTAAATCCTACATGGACTATTTAATTTTAGAAAAATTATGTTCATACAACCCTGCCCATTTTACAGATGAAGAAATGAAGTAAAATGGCATTTTCAAGACCCTACTACTGATAGCAAAATTTTATATATATATATATATATATATATATATATACATACATATATATTTTTTTAAGTAATTAAAGATTCATTTGAAGAATAATATTACCTATACATGAACAAGTTTATATTTTTGTAAAACGTCTTCTAACATTTGATATATGACTTTATCTTTTAGCTTTGTTTATAAAAAAACAACATCAAATAGTTATGTCAAATATTTAACCAGTTATGCTTTTCCTACAATAAAGAGTTAAACATGAGTAATCAAAATTATAGTATTTTAGAATATATATCTTTTAGGAGGAAGAAACAATACGAAAATAAGCTGATTAAAAGAATAATACTTATACTTCGAGGCTTCTTAACTCAATTTCATATATCGCCAACATATTTTATCAGTTTTGTTCATTAAAAAATTGTACTGTGGCCAGGCGCAGTGGCTCACATCTGTAATCCCAGCACTTTGGGAGGCCGAGGCGGGTGGATCCCGAGGTCAGGAGTTTGAGACCAACCTGACCAACGTGGTGAAACCCATCTCTACTAAAAATACAAAAACTACCCAGGTGTGTTGGCGCATGCCTGTAATCCCAGCTACTCAGGTGGCTGAGGCAGGAGAATCACTTGAACCCGGGAGGCAGAGGTTGCAGTGAGCTGAGATCACACCATTGCACTCCAGCCTGGGTGACAGAGTGAGACTCCATCTCAAAGAAAAAAAAAATTGTACTCTGCACTTGTAAATTATGTTACCAGAGTAAAGAAAGAAGATGCCTTTCAAAAAGCGTTCAGTCAATAAATTATTATTACATATACCCATATTTATGAATCTCCAAAACATAATGTGGAATATATGAAGCCCCATTGAAATAATACATATTATATGATTATACTTATACAAAGATAAAAAACCATTAAAACTAATATAACTAATATATGGTGTTAGAATTCCAGGTAGTATGACTTTGGGAGAGACACGAATGGATAATGATTAAAAAGAGCTCCAAGGAGATTCTGAGTTGCTGGTAATATCCTGCTTATTATTCTGCATACTAGTTACATAAATGTGCCTAATTGTTAATAACTGTTTAGCTATACACCTTTAGTTATGTAATTTTCTGTATGCATATTTCAGTTAAATTTGTATTATATAAGACATCCATCAATAATTAACTTAGCAAATATTTTGACCACCTTATTATGTCAATAATACTGTTCTTAGTATTGAAGAAAGAAATTAATATGGATACAATAAAATTAAAATCAGAACTTGGAGAGTAAAGGAGAGAGGAAAGACATGAGAAACATACAATGTGGCATGACGGCAGCAGGTTGGCTTAGGAATGCTGTGAGTCACACAGGCCTTGCATGAAAAATTTGCACCATCACTTCTTAGTTTGGGACTCATCTGTTAAAAAGGGCTGTTGAGAGGACTGGATGAAATCCATTACTAGCCTTGAGTCTACAATAATTCTCTTGCCCCTCCAATGCTCTATAAAGTTGCATGCACATGTAAATGAAAGCTTAACATAAGCTATAAAGATGTAGAACAGTTATGAAATTTAAGAAGATTTCCCAGAAATGACAGCTGAGCCGATACTTAAAGCATGAGCTAAATTTCATCAAGATGATTTCAGGGGGCATCACATATTTCAGAAAAACAAAAGATCACAGACAGAGTTATAGAGATATTTAAGTCCAAGGATACTTAGTAGCATCTGTAAGTATCCCTGGAGGAGAGGAGTGAAGAGTTGCAAAAGGGGAAGCCTAGCAGGTATGTTTAAACCACATGGTGACCAGCCTCATCTACTAACGAAGGGGTGTTTTGCTTGGCTTGCTTCTATCCCACAGTTAAGTGGTGTAACATAGATATGTTAGGCTAACCTGGTTGCTTGAGATCTGAATAAAATCAGCTCAAACCTCCCTTCTAAGTCAAATCCTAAATAAAGTTTTAAGCCATATCACTGAATCCTGCTTCAGCAGTTGTGGTTTCTGTTTCATATTGCATCACCAAGTATGATACTCAGCATCTCCCCAGGTTTTCACAAGAACACACCCTCAAAAAAAAAGAAAAAAAACCTTTCCAGAAAGCATTTGTGAGTTTAATGCTCTTAATCCTCTTGTCTCACGAGTGAAAAGATCATAAGGAAACTGCATTGCACAAATGCATACAACTTCCAATTAAACAACAGACATTGTATTTCTTAGAACACTGCCTCACATCCAAGGGAATTTGAGGACAGAGGAATTCATTCCTGTTATCAGTTCATCCTTTCGAGAATGCAGTTTTGATCAATTAAAAGTTTCCGACAAAGTCAACTACTGAAAAAGTATTTCTCTAGATAACCTTGTATTTGATTAATCACAATATCCCAATCCTGATATTAAAGTAAAAGGAGTTCTAATGTAAACCATTTACTACTGGTTAGCCATTGATTTACAAAGTTGGAATTGTTATAGGTATGAGTGTTTTCAATATTTAGGCTGATCACGGGAAGGTGGAGTTTAAACTATTGAGCTACTACAACAAAGCTACTGCTAGTCTTCTGTGGTTAGAGACTTAAAATATCTAATGTTTGTATTCTTAAAACAAGCCAGATTTCAGAAATTCATTTTCTTGCTCGAAATACACACAGACACACATATACACACTATTTTTAGAAACTTAGTTAAAATTAAGTAACCATTTCAACCTTAAAATGAATATCGTCAGCAAACAAACGATTATAGAAGTCCTTTCTCTACCTTAAAACAGTAGTTCTTTACATTTCATAAAACCCTCTGGGTTGCTTTTTTGTCTTGACTTCAAAGAGATATATAAGCTTAGATCAAGTTTGCAGTGGTATACTGCATGATGAGAAATGAGTCCTGGCTCTGTTTCAGGTCATGGTGATCCAACCTCCAAAAATACTAAAAACTGTGTAAGTCTTATAAAAATTCCCTCTAGTAGCTGTAAAATAGCTAGCTATTACATTAAGATTGATTTAAGATATATGAGTCATTTGAAAAACTAACTGTTCACCTTTGGTTGGATGTTTTTGTATGTCATACTGAATATAAACAGAATGTAAACAATGGGTCCTCTAAAAAGTACAATACTACAGTTCTCTTTTAGACAAGATGATGCCTTCTGTAGAAAGATACACTCTCTTAAAGGCAATACAGAGAGCAGGTTTCAAAGAACATGATCTTACCTTCATAGATGCTGCAATTTCAAGAGTGAAACTATTAGGACACATTAAGAAGTGATCATAAATGAATTCAATATGAAAATAAAATGTGTTGATGCTTTGGTAAAATATTGTTGTTGTTTCCTTGTTCTATAGTTATATTAAGCAATTTTCCCCAATATATGTTCATACATGTTTAAAAAATGAAGGATGAGCCAGGACAGCACAGTTTCTCACATATGCCAGAGGAACATGTCAGGGGAACCCTAGAGGCTACAAACATTCCTTCTTTTCAAATTAAATTACATTTGCAAGTTTACTGTACACAGAATCCTAAAATTAAACTAAATCCACCAACTTGACTTTTTTAGAGAGCCGTAAGTAGGAAGAAAGCACACATGTGCGTAAGGGTACACTCATAGAAACGTGATTTTCATTAGCATAGACACAGTCTTACAGTGATTGATGCACACATGATGTTTCTTCCTAGTTAGGCAGAAATGCTAGAAGTCAGCAATTTGGTGGAAACAGAGACTGCCATGTGTATTGCCAGTTGGGCAGCTTGACAATATGGGGTTTTGATTCCTGCTTGTGAACTATGTGTTCCTAACAGCACAAGCCTCATTTGGGTGGAAGGAATATAGAAAATAACTCCAAGAAAAAAAAAAAAAAAAACGAGTGGGGAAAGTCAGTCAGTAAAAAAGGATATATTTAGAAGTACGTGAAACTTAAAAATTAACAATTATAATACAGGATCCAAAAGACACTAGACTGGAAGAAATAAATTTTTGATAAAAATACAACTTTCCAAATTAATGATACTAAGACAATACTCGCCGTTGCTCTTCCATCTCCCTGGCTCCCTCAATTCTGTCAAATTGTACTCAAATGTCACTCTCTCAGCGAGGCCTGCCCTGACTCTTCTAAACTGGGACCTCTCTGTCTCTATCCCACTGCACTCCCTATGCCCTCTTACTCCTTGACTTTCCTCCGTAGAGCTCATTACCATCAAACATGGCATATATTTTGCTTAAGCTCTTAATAGCCATCTTTTTCCCATTACAGTATAAGATTTGTAAGGACAGGAGTATTTTCAGGTGTGTTCACTGCTGTATACTCAGGATTCAGAAATTTCATGGCCAGACTAGGTATTCAATAACCATGTATAAATAAAGAATTCTGCTACAGACTGAATGTTTGTGTCCCTCCAAAATACATAAGATAAAGTCCTAATCCTCAATGTGATGGTAGGTGGAAGTGAGTCCTTTGAGAGATAATTGGGGACAGGGTTAATCCCCTTATAAAAGAGAAAGAGAAGTGATTTCTCTCTCTGCTTGTATGCACCAAAGGAAGGTGAGGACATAACCAGGAAGAGGGCCATCATCAAGAATCTGACCACGCTGGAACCCGACTTCTAGACTTCAGAACCTTGAGAAGTAAACGTTGGTTGTTTAAGCTGCCCAGTCTATGACAATTTGTTATAGGAGCCCAAACTGATCAGCACAAACTCTCACTGGTGAAAATGGTAAACTGGGAAATAGCAAAAGGATATTTTTTTGTCCATTAAGACATACTTTGAACTTACTTTTTTAGTTGTATTTTTAATTATCGGAATACTTTACATGTTGAATACATTTATATTAAAGATGGTTATGTTCCTGTGCAATCTAAATAAGTGGCTTCATTTCGTGTTTTTATTTGTTTATTGACTTAATTTATTTAATTAGAGCTAGGATCTCACTATGTCACCCAGACTGGAGTGCTATAGCACAATCATAACTCACTGCAGTCTTGACCTCCTAGGCTCAAGTGATCCCCGTGCCTCAGCCTCCAGAGTAGCTAAGATTACAGGTGTGTACCACCACGCCCAACTAATGTTTTTTTAGACATGGAGTCTTGTTATGTTGCTCAGGCTGGCCTCAAGCAAGTCCTCCATCTCAGCCTTCCGATCTTTCCTTTTTTATATTAAAACAGTAATTTCCACCCTGAGAAATAAAGTTTTATTACACAAGAATGTTAGGAGAAAACAAGGCAGGGACAGGTTGACACAACTATAAAGAATGAGTCAAAGAGATGTGATTACATTACAGTTTCAGTAAGGTCTGAGTAGCTTAAATTAGACCACCCCACCTGCAAGTAATGATTATATACAATGGAAAAAATACAAAAACTCTTAGAAGGCACTGGAGAGTGACTAAAAACAATAGGCAAAAGAAATGGAGAGGCTACAACCTTCGGAGAAGGAAAATCTTGGACAGACATTTCGCAAAAGATATAAGAATGGCCAATACGCACATTTAAAAAAAATTCAACATCATGAAGCATCATGGAAACACAAATTAAACCACGGTGAGAGATATCTCATATCCACTCAACTGCCTAAAGTAAAAAAGAATGATGACACCATGGATGGCAAAAATAGAAACAACCCTCTTCCACTGCTGGTAGAAATGGTACAATCACTTTGGAAAACTGTCTGGCTGGTCTTTTATAAAGCTAAACATATACTTAAGACACGAGTTAGCAATTCCACTCAAAACTACCCAAAAGAAATAAAAACATATGTCCATAAAAATGCTTGTATGATAATGTGTTAGCAACATATTCATAATAGCTGAAACTGAAAATAATCCAAGTGTCCGTTCGTACAAGAATGAATAAACAAATTGTGATATATTCATACACATAGAATTCCACTCAGCAATAAAAAATGAATGAACTATTGATGTGTGTAAACTCATAGATGAATTTCAAAACGTGTTAAGTCAAAGAAGCCACATCAAAATAGCATAAACTAGTGATCACATTCATATGAAGCTAAAGAAAAGGCAAAACTAATCTGCTGTGATAGATGTCTAAACAGTGGTTGCCTCTCAAGATAGGGATTGACTGGAAAAACTAATGAGGAAATTTTGGAATGATGGACATGTTCTATTTCTTGACTTGTGGTTACACGGGTTTGTGAGTATATTCACCAATAGTCATTGGATTAGATACTCCATTGTATGTAAATTTTACCTCAATAAAAAATGCGGGCCGTGCACGCCTGTAATCCCAGCACTTTGAGAGGCTGAGGCAGGCAGATCGCTTGAGCTCAGGAGTTTGAGACCACCCTGGGCAACATGGCAAAACCCTGTCTCTACAAAAAATACAAAAATTAGCATTAGATTCTCATAGAAGTGCAAACCCTATTGTGAAGTGCACATGTGAGGGACTTAGGTTGCATCCTCCTTGTGAGAATCTAATTTTCCCACCCCATCTGTGGAAAAGTTGTCTTTCATGAAACTGGTCCCTGATGCCAAAAAGGTTGGGGACCTCCGGGTTAGAGCACGGACTCTGGAAGAAATACCTGGTGTGAAAAGCCCAGCCCTGATTGGCCAGATTATCACCTTGGGCAAGTGATGTAATCACTGTAAGCAGCATCTGAAATGGAAATAATATATGCTGCATTGTGATGTGTAGAGTAATTGTAGGGATCTTTACAAAGTGTTTAGCACAGTGAGTGTTAAGAGTAATAATAGCTCAAGAAGTGTTTATCATCATCATCATCATCATCACCATTCAGAGTTCCAAATGAAAGGCTAAAGAGTCTCACTTTAAATCAGTTGGGATAAAAGGCTGCAATATTTTTGGTAGGTGGATCAGTGAAGAAATACTTAGTTCATGTTTCTGAACAGTTTAGTTCTCTTAATTTTTATGCCTAAAGGGTCAATCTAGATATATCAAGCCATTTCTAGTTGGCTTCATATCATTGATTTGCCTGATATCATTTATATAAAATCAACTACATAGTCACAGGAATTCCTTTTCCCATTCCACTCTCAAAAGATAAATATCGCCCATTTCCTTAAAATTCAGGACTCCTGGTCCTCTCCTCCATCAGGTAACCACTGCTGACCTTTGTTCTTTCTCCCACTTTAGTCCCCTGGATTTCAGGAAAGTGCAACCTCATACTGGCAGGAGGAAAGACCTCTCCCTTCTCCCATCCCATTGCCATCACACTGTGGTAAGCACAGCGTACTAGGAGATTTGTTCTTGACATCTCAAGATAAAATTCTGAATGCTTTTGTCATAGATTCGTTGCTAGGCTTCATGTATTGTGCTGTGGTTTGAATGTGTCTTCTCCAAAATACAGGTGCTGAAATTTAACATCCAATGTGATAGTATTAAGAAGCGAAGCTGTTATGGGGTGATTAGGCCATGAGCGCTCCTCTCTATGAAAGAGTTAAGGCCCTTGTAAATGAGACTTCACACAATATTCCATTGGCTCGCCCTTCTGCCTTCTGCTATGTGGAGGAACAGCATTCCTCTCCTCTGGAAGATGCAACAATAAGGTGCCGTCTTGGAAACCCAGAGCAGCCCTCAACAAGTAACCAAACTGGCTGATGCCTTGACCCTAAACTTCTCAGCCTCTTCAACTGTGAGAAATAAATTTCTGTTCCTTATAAATTACTCAGTCTTAGATATTTTATTGTAGCAGCACAGACTAAGACATATTGGCTGTTTATTAATATTAATTCCATATCTTATGTATAAATATTAGCTAAATAATTTTCCTAAGCAGATATAAAAATTAATCACTATAGATTTTAATGAGGAAATAACGTCTAAGTTAAAACAATGCACTTGTATTACACTTTGTGAATAAACTTCTACTTTATAAATAAAAAATGATGGCTTTTTTTCGAATTTCATAAAAGTAGATGCTTTTCCACAGTAAAAAAAAATTGATTTCTATAAAGACATTTTTATGATAGATTTTCCTCTAGGATCTGGTACTAGAAACTTCTCTCTTTTGAAAAGCCATCATGAATTAGTATAGGAAAGACCACAAAAGGCTGCTGCTCCTTTCTTCATTCTGAATTTTGACATATTTGCTTTCCTTAGCTTCCCTATTCATAAAATGGGAAGAATTAATCTATAAAACTTCTTGTAAGATTTCTGAAACACCCAGAGATAAGGTTTTGCCAGAAATGTTTCATCTTTTCAACGCTTAGCCGAATCTCAATTTCCTTGGCTGAAAATGAAAAGAATTTAGTTTTTCTTAAAAAGCCAAAAACCACATTAAAAGAATATATGGTTCTAACGGTGGGAAAATAGATTAAAAAGGAACATAAATTAATATCTCCCTAAGCCAACACATCATTCATTTTCAGAGATCATGTGACAACTACAAAAATTCAAAGCCATGAAAAGCAAGTAAAACAGCAATTAATGTGTCATATTTATCACTATGTTATATATATTTCTACTAAATTTTAAATCTAAAGAAATGAAAAAACCATAGGTAATTTACATTTTAAAATAAACAGTACTGAATACTTTTCAAATACCTAATATTTGTTCACCTTTTTAGCAAATTATAAAATGTCCTCAGATATTAGATAAAAGATACACTAATCTGCTTTTTGAAATCATATTTATATGTTTAATGTATTCATGAACAACTTTTAAAACAGAAAATGTGTTTTCTAGCACAGCTAATGAAACGAAGACCAATAACAAAGATGAAATAAAGAAGAAGGAAAAATCTCATATACATGTTTTGTCTTAAAAATACCTGTCAACTACTGAAAAACCAATTAGGTTAAAGAAAAAGAAGAAATAATACAGCAGAAACAAATTATCATTGAAATCCACCAAAACTTCCCAAAATAAGAATCCGTGCTGTTCTGCCCATTGTGGCTGCCATATGTGGCTGCAGGAATCTCCGAAGACAAGAATAGAGTCTTTCAAAACTTCTGATCATATCCCTGGTTTAGGCCCACCTCAGGCAGCCTAAGATTCTGTTAATCAATTAGCTGAGGTCCCTGCTAAGGCTAGAAAGAGAACACTGTAAGCAAAGAGGCTGGAGCACACGGAACAAAGCTATCTATTGCAGTGGATGAGCTTTTCTTGTGCATATGCACACTGGCCATTGTTCCATTCTTGAAGAATCACATTAATCAATGTTCAGAGGCTGCACCTCCAAAACAGAGAGTTGGCTGTTCATCAGTGATTTATTACAGAGCCCAACATGCATTTGACATGAAACAAGTTGAGAGTTTGGAAACTGCCACTGGAGGGGGAAGGGGAAGTATAATTTGGAGTGTGAAGGGTGCTAATGCAGACACAAATCAGTTCCCTTCAGCGGTCAGAAAGATACTGCTGCTGACAATTAGGGTTACAAATATCCAGGCTTTCGTTGAAGACCAAATGTATTATTTTGGTCAAAGAATAAATGCAGAAGCTTTAAACATAAATAGAAAAGAAAAGGGAAGAAAAGAGAGAAAGAAAGAGAAAAAAAGTAAAATTCAAGGGGGAGCAGGTTGTAATCAATTTTAAAAGGCCTTGTTGTTTTTCAAAATTATTTAAGTTTTTGAACTAAATCCTTGCTTATAGAATATATTTTGAAATGCTATCATTGGAAAGAAAACTGTACCTGGCCATTGCCTTGTCAAGTGCCAGAAATTATAAATCCAATGTAAAATTAAGCATAAATGTTAAAATCACTCCATTGCACTAATTAAATATCCTCTTATTTAACTGGATGACCAAACATAAACATAGTAGTTTCTTTGAAAAGCAACATTTTCCTTGGAAGAAAAATGATTTGTTCTTTGGCAAGATTTGGCATTGCTATCACAAAAGTTGATCAAGTGAAGTCACTGAACAGGAAACAGTGGTTGTGTTGTGGTTGTCATTTTAATTCTCAACATAATTTCTTTTGGACCAAAAGCCATTTTTAGAAGTAACAATCACACATTTTAAAACAAAAATCTGGACACAACATTTGATGTATTTCAGATGACCTACTTGGCAAGAGAAGTAAATTTTACTGAATTGGGACTCTCCTAGAAAATAAGAATTATACTTTTGTTGTACACTTAGAAGCAATCCTCAAAATGTCTGAGGTTGGAAGAACGGGTGTTTAATTAATCCTTTTAGATAAAAGTAATTATTCATCACCATTGACATATCATCAACTACACAAGACACCTAAACCTTCAGAGACTTAAGACTACAAGAAACAGCTGCTTTTGGTCAATTATGTTCTGGACTGTCAAGATTCATAATACTCAAACAATTCTCTCTCCCCATTAAAACAGAAAAAGTTATTCATATAGGTATGGTGATTGTACCAGGAATTGTAACTGGATTTAAAATAAGAGAATACACTCAGAGAGAATTACATTCTCCTTTCTTTGCCTTAGTTTGCTCAGCTGTAAAATGGAGATAGTAACAACACTCAACAAGCTAAGCCATCATATCCCCAGTGACCTGCACCTATACATCCAGATGGCCTGAAGCAACTGAAGATCCACAAAAGACGTGAAAATAGCCTTAACTGATGACATTCCACCATTGTAATTTGCTTCTGCCCCACCCTAACTGATCAATGTACTTTGTAATCTCCCCCACCCTTAAGAAGATTATTTGTAACTCTCCCCACCCTTGAGAATGTACTTTGTGAGATCCACCCCCTGCCCACAAAACATTGCTCCTAACTCCACCGACTATCCCCAAACCTATAAGAACTAACGATAATCCCACTACCCTTTGCTGACTCTCTTTTCGGACTCAGCCCGCCTGCACCCAAGTAAAATAAACAGCCTTGTTGCTCACAAAAAAAAAAAAAAAAAAAAAAGAAGAGTTATTTTAAGAAGTGCCTAATAAATATTGCCATGTGTCTAAATTTTAAAATATTGATAAATGTGATAATTTCATCAGCGCTTTGAAAATGCTTTTCTAGCCAGTTTCTTGTATTTGTTCATCTTGTGTTCATATAGGTAAAAAAGGTGGGGGTAGGGTGGGACAAGAAAGAGGAATTCCTTGGGCTCTAAAGTATCTGCTGCATACACCACTAATCCTAACAATGAACACATCTGCCTACACAGAAATAATTCTTAGTTCACAATCAACGGAGGCAGGATAGCAAGAGGTGAGAAAATGCAACAAAACTGTATGATTTACTCATATCAGCTGTGTATGAATGTGCATGCATGCACACACAATTCCACACACATTAGGCTTTGCCATCTCTCTATAGCTATGTTTCTGTAAGGAAACAATTTGGTGTCCTGACAGTGAACAGTATCTCACCCTCCTTATTCTGTACCTTCACAGTCTAGACCAGTGATTCAAAAACTTGGCTGAGCAATACAATCACCTGGGACCTTTTCAGAATTTCAAAGCTCAGGCCACACCTCCACTCAATTAGTTCACAGGCTCTGGGGAAGGAACACAAGCATCAGTATTTTTCGAAGCACCATCCTCCACCCACACCCCACAGATGATTCCAGTGTGCAGATAGTCTGGGAACCATAAACACATCAAAAGCAATTTCCAGGCAGGTAGCATGTTTAGAAGTCAGGACTTGGAATCGCTCTTATATATCCCTACATATCCCAAGTAGTTAGCATCTTTGTCATTCGGTAGATATGTTCATCAGTTGAGTTTACAGAACTTTAAAAAACAGTTAATTACAATCTTAAATTAATGAGATACCTTTTGAAAGGACTTGTGTGTTGCACTTTTGTTATTTTGAGAGCATAAAAGATTGCCAAAAACACATTTCTAAATGGCTATCAGCCCTTTTTATTTATTATAGTGCACTATAAATTTATTTAAAGCTAATTATTTTTAAAAGAAAATTATAAAGGGAATCAACATTTATAACATTACTTTTCAATGCATTTGCTTACTCATAATTCCCACATATCTAAACAAGAAGAAAACTTCATACCCATTGTTGAAAACTAAAAAGTAGTCTACTGCTGATAGATTTTTCTTTCTTGAGTTGTACCAAAAAGATGATACAACAAAGAGATGTTCAGATTTTGCATTTGGATTTACGAAATGCTTGTTAATCTACAACTTGCATAGTGAAAGGTAGAACTCATGTGATATAGTTAGTAAACCAAAATACAAAAAAAACCCAGAGTGCTTATTTTATTCATTTCCAAATTTAAATATAATATATAAATGCAGATAATTATGAACTGTATTACAAAATGAAATTGCTTTCAACAGTATCTCTGATGTTTTAGGACTTCCAAATTTAAATATATATATTTAATTTAAAACATATATTTTAAGTTCTAAAACATATATATATATATATGTTGATTCCCTTTACAATTTTCTTTTAAAAATAATTAGCTTTAAATAAATTTATAGTGCACTATAATAAATATAAAAAATATACTGATAGCCCTTTAGAGATGTGTTTTTGTTAATTTTTTATGCTCTCAAAATAACAAAAGTGCAATACACAAGTCCTCTATGGACTATATATATAGAGAGAGAGACAGATATATATATAGACAGATAGATAGATAGATAGGGTTTTTTTTTTTTTTTTTTTTTTTTTGAGACGGAGTCTTGCTCTGTCGCCCAGGCTGGAGTGCAGTGGCGTGATCTCGGCTCACTGCAACCTCCGTCTCCTGGGTTCACGCAATTCTCCTGCCTCGGCCTCCCAAGTAGCTGGGACTACAGGCGCCCACCACCATGCCCGGCTAATTTTTTTGTATTTTTCAGTAGAGACGGGGTTTCACCGTGTTAGCCAGGATGGTCTCGATCTCCTGACCTCGTGATCTGCCCACCTCGGCCTCCCAAAGTGCTGGGATTACAGGAGTGAGCCACCGCACCTGGCCCTAAAACATATATTTTTATATATCTATGGAAGTCTGTATATATTTAAATTTGGCATATATGAAAATAAATATGGAAGTCCACATATATTTAAATTTGGTATACATGGAAGTCCATACATAAATTTTGTGTATATATATGTAAAGTGATTTTTCTTTCTTCTTATAACATGTCATGTCTGTTTTCAGTTAGTTTGTAAACAGAATGAAGAAACCAAAGGGTGAAGTGGGTAGGATCCAGGTGTTGGCAAAGAGAGACTAGAAAGCCCAGAGGTACCAACCGTGTATATAGCGCATCCCCAAACTCCAGGCATCCCCCTGAGTCAGTGTATTTGTTCTTTCCTCTCACCTACAACTTGATTTATTTCCAATGTCCTGTGCTAGGACTGGTACCCTAGTGTTTATCAAATTTTGGAGTCATTAACTGGCTCAATGTTAAAATGGTATTTTTGGATCTATATTGTCACAGAATAAAAACATACCACTTTTTTTGAAAGATAAAGCAATTAGAGGCTGAGGGACAACTTAAATAAGTAAGTGCATTTTGTGAAGTGGAAACCTCGGCTCCTATAAAAATGTCATGCTGTGTGACTTCATGTACCTCACAGCCATTAAAATTGTGGGGAAATTTCATTGCAAAGAAAACAAACTATTATAATCTGATTAGGCAATTAATAGAAGTGACTGCTATTAAATGGTTATATGTTTTTAAATCATGGTAAATAGTTATTTCTTTGCAATTCAATATTCAATAAGAGGATGCATGGTTATGCCACACTTGAGGTAGTTCACTTTAGTTCTAACTTATATAATCCTATATTTGTGTTAGGCAATGTCTAGAAACTGGGAAAACTGGGAATGTTTGCTGTTCAATCAAAATTTTTAAACAACCATAAATATGGCATTGCTATAAAGTAACAGGAAAAATATGCTTCAAAAATAAATTAAGATCTTATATTCAAAAGTTAATATTAAACATCGTTCTTTCATTTAGATGGTAGGAAGAAGAAACACAAGTGATAGCATATATTGACAGATTTTTAATCACTATTTCTCTCATTTTCTGCCTATTTACTACAAAACGGCGATGGTTTTCCTTAAAAATAATATTACCTAAAAAAAACAACACATCCTGTCAAATAAAGGCAACTTCGAAGATTTCATTGATGTGATAGGTTAGCATTTGGAACTTAGACAATAAAATAAATGCAGATAATTAGGAACCGTATTAATGAAATGAAATTGCTTTCCACAGCGTCTGATGTTTTAGGATTTCTTGTCCACAAATAGTCTGAAGCACTGCAGTTGCTCTCTGGGTACTAGTCAGAAAAGCCTTTGGGGCTGTGGATGGACCTGTGAGGCTATTATTTCTGGGCTTTGGCAGTAAGAAATACGATCTGTTTCCCAGGAAAAACACTGAAACCAGAAGACATGGTAATTCAGGGTTCAACCACAAGAAAACAAAAAGTTCAGTTACACATAACTGCACTTTTCTAAGATAGAATCAATAGTAACATATTAACAACTAGATGTTAAAATAATATTTAATTTGGTTTGCCAGGGGAATTCTTAATAAATTCTGAATTATTTCATAATTTCTATATTCCTCAATGTCTTTATATGCATATCATGTAAAATAGAAAATTGTGGCTAAATATTTAATTCCCCAAAGAATAGGAGAATAGATTCATGGGTCTTAAAAATATTACATTGAACATTTCAGAATATTTTGACAGACCTAAGAATATAATCTTTTTCAGTTCTTATACTGCAGCTCTAATGGAAGAACTTGCATGATGTTCTTAATAAAAATGCTGGCTGCCAAATTTACAAAAAATATTTATGTTAACAAATACATTGATGTTTTAAAATTAATTGGTCTTAGATTTAGCTACATAAACACAGCAGTTTCAATGATGAAAAACATTCCATTCCTTTAATCTCTGCCTACATACTTGCTTAATGAGTGTATATGCGCTAATGCTCAACTGTGCAGATGTTCAGCTATGATTTTTGAATACTGAAAATATTTCCAAATTTATTTTTAATATTATCTTTAAAACAAAAAAATATATATATATTGAGTCCCAGAATATGTTAACCAATTTCCAATATAAATTTAAATGTTACTTTTTTCTGCAAAATAAATGTCATGTTCTTGGATGGAAAGAATGGAAATTGGAAACAGATAATTTTACAGTATTAATTTGACAGAAGTTACAAAAAAGAAGATAAAATAGAAAATGAAATGCAACACCTTTATTCATCTCATCTGTCTCTTTCTCATTACCCATCCACCAAGACACGAACAGCCTCAGTACAGAGAGAGAAATTGCTTGTTCATTTATTGTGAGAATCTTTTCCAGATAAGTGGCAATTTGCATCCACATGAGCAATGTATGGCAATGTCTCATCTGGCCTAATGCAGTATGCAATTTTGCACACGATGTCATGCTGACTTGAAGTAACTAGGATATATTGCTTGTGTAAGAAATATAATGCGTAGGGAAATATCACATTCATGTCTTCCAGCCCACAATTTTATTATGCCATGACAATCAAGAACACAGCAGATGCCACACCTGCAAATATTAGGAAGCTAATTGACCCACGAAATATCATCAGGAATTTTCATTCAGGCAACAAAAATAATAAAGTTCACTTAGATTAGAGACAGCAAAAGTTTTATATAACTCTTAAACATGTACAAAGAAAATGATTTAATAACGGATGGGAGTATGCCTTAAAGACATTTTACTTTAAAATATAGTAAATATAAAAGAGGAGCAATGTACAATATTAAAACTTATCACTAATTATAGGTAATTCCTGGTATCCAGTAGGGATTTCTAAAATAATGCCATTTATTTTAAAATGCTCTTTTAAATTGTCAGAAAGCTTTTAAAATTATTTTTGACTAAAATCAAGAGGGAAATTTGACTGCAGTGGGAGTAATGTGTCTCTCCCTAACAGGAGCGATTTAAATCTGTGAAAAGTGAGGCCTGACAGGCATAAATTGGCTCCTGTCTTTTGATATTTAGAAGACACATTAGCTCTCTTTTCTTGACAGAACACAGTATTCCATAGGTAGATTAGACCCCATCAAATGTCTATACTAATAACTTTTGTGATTGCCCATCTTTCCATTAGAGTGGCTACTTTTTCCATTGTTTTCTTTCTGTCATTTACTCCTGGGGTAGGGAGGGGAAGATTGGTCTGATGAAATATAAGTATCCTATAAAGTTCTTTCCAGGAAATTACGTTTATTTCAAAATTTTATTTTCTTTCCAGCATATTACATTTTATTTTCTTACAGACCACATCCATCTCAACCTCTGGAGTCCTTGATAAATACCAGCCTAGAAAGCAATGGAACTCAGGCATCACTTAGTGTCACAAATCCATGACCACTTGACATTTTGGCATCTTTGATTACTTTTAAAGCTATTGTAGGGGTAAAATATCTTCTAGGATTTATGAAATAAATATCTAGAATTTTATAGAAAGCTCTAAATAAATAAATGTAAGAAAATATATGCTTATATTTTTAGTATGTGGTAAAGCAGAGGTGTTTTTAGTATGCAAATCATGCTTGAAATTAAAGAATAAATGTAAGCTCCATTTTAGGTCAAAGGATTCTCTTATCATATTGCTATATCCATTGAGATTAAATTTCTTTCTTGACTTGCAAATGTTAGGTGACAGCTTTTTTTAATTCAAAACTGATTTCTTTCACTTTATGCTCTATGGGCTTTGATACACAAAGAATAGCTTTTAAGTATGCTTCAAACTGCAAATTTTTACTTACATGTGTCATAAAATGTTCATTTTGTGTTTTCTTAAGAAGGCATATTAATAAAAAAAATTTTATATAAAAAATAGGCTGGGTGCAGTGGCTCATGCCTGTAATCCCAGCACTTTGAGAGGCCGGTGGATCACCTGAGGTCAGGAGTTTGAGACCAGCCTGGCCAACATGATGAAACCCCATCTCTACTAAAAAGACAAAAATTAGATGGGTGTGGTGGCAGGCACCTGTAATCCCAGCTACTCGGAAGGCTTGAGGCAGGAGAATCGCTTGAACCCAGCAGGCGGAGACTGCAGTGAGCCCAGATCGTGCCATTGCACTTTAGCCTGGGTGACAAAGGCGAAACTCCACCTCAAAAATAAAAATAAAATAAAATAAACATATTCATTGGCACTGAAACATTTACTGGTACTGTCCAAAAATTCCAAGCTACAGCGTTTCATTTTTCCTTTAGTTAATTTATTTTCACACCTAAGCCACAGAAAGATGTCATTATGGTCAAGTAGAAAAAGATTTTGAAAAATTGCTTGTTTATAAATACAGAGTTTTGAAAACTACTCTCATAGGAAGAGGCAACCACAATTTAATAGGGCAAACAGAAACACAATTCTCTTCAAATATTTGATTCTCTTCAAATATTTACAAATATATCAGTAAAAATGATAAATGATATAATTAATGTTTGGCAGTTTTTATTAATATAATCCTCAAAGAGGTGCATTTTTAATCCTTTTTTGCAACTTCAAATGCCACACACATCCTATACTATAAATATTATGGTCTTTCAATTTGGGAAACAGAAAGTTTAACTATTAAACAATTAAATACTTTTTCCATAATTTGTCTCTTACTTTTGAAGTTTTGCCCTGTGACACACCCATACCCAACACCTGCCTTCCAACTTAACTTCAAAGAGATATTTCACATAAAAGCATGTGAAAAGAGGGAAAAAAATCTTGACACCCATACTTGTTTTAATCTCCACTTTTAATAAAAAAAAAAGTATAAAAAGAACAAATTTAGATTTACTTTAATAGAAAACTGGGACAATAAAAGAAGTACACACACACACACACACACACACACACACCTTGCTGCTCTCCTGATATTAGAATTCAGCAAAATAATGAAACATAGAAATTAATAGAAGAAATTCGACTTTATGTAAGTGTGGTTATCTTTATTTATTCGACAGTTCATTTTCTCAATATTAAACTAATGAAATGATTCCTTACTATACCAATATCATGGAATCAAATTTATTTTCAAATAAACCCAATTCCATTCTTTTCTATATGTTTGCAAAGAGATATTTAAATGCTTAAATCTCTTAGGCTGCATAATAAAAGAACTGAGTAAAATAGAATAGACCACACTGTCTTGGTACAAATACAGGCTCTGCCATTTAATAATTAAGTGATTGGGGTAAGTTAACTAATCATTTGAGGGTATTCTCCTGATCTACAAAATAGAAGAAAAAAAATTTTCTTATCTCAGAACACTGTTGTAGGAAATAACAGAGTGGCTCTTTATGAAGCATTTATAACAGCACCTGACACTGAATACTCAATAAACATTAGATATGAGTATATTAGTTAGATAACTATGACTATTATTAGTGTATGTATATATACAACATATATATACATATATATACAATATATATACACATATATTCAGTTTTTCAACAATTCATTCTCAATCATATACCACACTTATTTGTATGTGTGTCTGTCTGTATCATACCCAAAGGGTGTGAATCCATTCAGTAGGTTGAAGTTCACTTAGAAGAAATTCATAGGTGCTCATATAACTAATAGCAATACTAAAAGGAACATATAATCCATTTTACAAAGTTTTATACACCATAGCATTAATCCATTGTAATTATTCATGACAGGTACTACATCAGACAGTTTCTTACACTGGGATCAAATTCCATTTCTTTCTTCTGGCTATTAAGACTATCCCTGGCAAAGATGTAACTAGGGGAGAAAAATTCCCAAACGTCAATATGTCATTCTCTACTCCAGTTGCATTTATGTCCATTAGGAATTGGGGCTGGATAAATAAGCCGCAAAAGTAGCTCAGAATTCCATGCTCTCAGTAAAGGTTGGAGTGAACGAAAAAATGGCAAGAATCATCCAAGAGAACTCAAGTCCTCTGGGTTTGTCTGTGTGTATGTATATGTATACGTATACATATGTATATATGTATATATATATGTATATGTATATATATGCATATATGTATATGTATATATGTGTGTATATATATGTATAGGTATATATGTATACATTTGCTGATATTGGAATTCAGCAAAATAATGAAACATAGAAATTAAGAGAAGAAATTCTACTTCAAGTGTGGTTATCTTTATTTATTCAACAGTTCATTTTCTCAATTGTTAAACTAATGAAATGATTCCTTACTATACCAATATCATGGAATCAAATTTGTTTACAAATAAACCCAATTCTATTCTTTTCTGTTGGTGGGTAACTTACTATAACACCAATAATAAAGTCATATTTATTATGGGGTCTTATTTCTAAATAATTTCCTAAGTTGCTTCTACCATATTTAAAAGTAATTAAAACATAAAGATGCTGCAGGAATAATATAGAAACACCAGAAATATTAAATTTTGAGAGATTACACCTTTATCATTAATTATTAATTGAACTGCCTGGCATACTTCTTCCTAAGGAGCTCTTCTAAAAGGTTATTATTATTTCTGCTTTCACAGTGTACTTCTAAAATCTAAGACTACGCTGGGATACTGAGAGGCTTGTGAGTGGGGGTCCAGGACTAAGGGAGAGAGAAAGAGAAAGATTATCTCCAACATTACAACTCTGCTGATGGGATTGGGTGCAGTGGCTCATGCCTATAATCTCAGTACTTTGGGAGGCCAAGATGGGAGGATCACTTGAGCTCAGGAGTTCAAGATTAGCCTTTGCAACATAGAGGGACCCTAAATTAGCCAGACGTGGTAGTATGCACCTATAGTCCCAGCTACTCAGGAGGCTAAGGTGGGAGGGTGGCTTTAGCTAGGGAGATGGAGGCTGCAGTGAGCTGTGATAGTGCCATTGTACTACAGTTTGGATGACAGAGCAAGACAAACACACACACACAAAAACTCTACTGTTGATATCAAATACTAAACAAACTGATAGATGACTATACCTGGAAAAAATGTGTATATATACACATTCACATATAATAATATAATTAAGCACTCACTATAAACAAGGTGCTATATTTCATACTTAAATGTGCTTTAATATTCACAATAAATCTTTAAAGGAAGTACGATTACTCATTTTTTGATGAAGAGATGAAGCCTCAGTGAAGTAACTTGCTAACATTAAAACAATCATTAAGTGGCGGGGGCAGGATTTGGATCTAAGTACGTCTGACTTTAAAGCCAGTGTTTAAACCACTATGACAGATTGTCTTCTGCAGCTAACAGCATGACTGTCAAGGTGAGGTATGATGGTAGAGCATACAAAACAACATAACTCTAATAAAAGTCTAAGAATGTTATAAATGTGAATACTTTTTTGTTGTTTTTCATTTTTGTTTTATATATATTGCTATTGCTAACAACATTCTTATTTCAGAATCCTACGATTTTTCCTGCCATATTAGACTTTCTCTAACATTTATTATGAACAGACCAGCTGTCCTCCATCTCTCATAAAACAGCTTCTAATTCACACGGAATCGTGTGCCCCAAACTCCTCTCTCCTGTCTTCTTTAAAAAGCATATGTCACAGCTGCATTTCAACTAGGCTCAAGTAGTGCCTCATCTGTGAGCCACCTCAATGGACAACTAACATTTTGAAGTGCACACAAAATGGGACCAATGGTGCCTTACTGTTAATTAAAACCATCCTGACAGCCACTGACTTGGCCTTTATGATGCAGCTTCTCTCCATGTTTGCCCAGTTAAGTAAACATGTCTGCACCTGTAAGCTGTCTTATGATGAATCAAATGTGAAAACTGAAGGGATCCTTAAAAATCAGGAGGTTTAGACTCATTTTTCTTAAGATAAGCAACTCTCCTGGACCAAATATGTATGAGTACATGTAGTACATCATTATTCTAACAAAGGAACATTAAACATTCTGATACTTTAAAAGCAGTTGTTCTCAAATGGTTTGATGTCAAGACAGTTTTGCACTCTTGACAATTATGAGGACCCCAAAGTTCTTTTACTTAGTTAATTATATTGATATTTAGCCTGTTTGAAATTAAAATGTAGAAAAATGTAAATACTTATTGATATACTGTAAAATAAAAATAACTCCATTACATGTTAACGTAAGTAACACTTCCATGAAAAATAACTGTATTTTCCAAGACATAAATTTTTTGAAAAAAAAGACATTGTTTTACATTTTTGCAAATTTATTTAAATGTCTTGTTTAATGAGTAGACAGATTCTTCTATCTACTTCCTTATTCTGTCTGTTACAACTTGTTTTGTTTAAATGTATGAAGACTATTCAGCTTCATAAAGACATCGAGTTGGGAAAGGGAGAAGTATTTGCATAGCCTTTTCATATAATTTGGATTTTCTCCTTTCATACTACACTAACACTCAACATGTGGTAGATTTTTAAAGGTTAGTGTCAAAATGAAATCTAAAACCACATCACTCAACATTTTGCAATGTTATGTTAAAATCTACTGTTCTGTGTTGAACTTTGAATAGGTCCTTTACCCATGCATGATTTTGACCTTGTTGGCCCCTGAAAAGATCTCTTAAAAACAATGAGAATCACAAAAAAACAAAACAACAACAACAAAAAAAACAACCACCTCTGAAAATACTATGAATGAATCTAGCACAGTGACAAGGGAAGATGTGGAATTATACAAGTAATTTGCAGAAAGGTTCAAGGTCTTGGCTAGTTCATACTAGCATTGTGCAAATTAGAAAAGAGCCCCTCCTTGAGATTTTGAGATTCCGCCTTTCAAATCTGACTCAGGGATGTACAGTGAGTTGGACTATAACCTTCATTTATTCCCTTGACCAGATGACCTTTTGCAGTGAACAAACTACCAACTATATGTGGTAGTCCTAGTTACATTTGATAAACAAGGGATGGCAATTCACATGAAAAAGAAATATTACACTCATGAGTCATAACAGTCTGATATAATTTACGTCATTTTCTAATTTTCATTCCTTCACTTCAGAAGTGTATCCATGACAAGTTTGACAGTAAAAATCATGGTCAATAGAAAGTAATATCAGGTCTTGGCTGAGTGTCTTCATTTCACAACATGTGAATTATATGGGAAAACAGAAGGTACATTAAGAAAAACATGAAAAGAGAAGAAAATCTATTTTTAAATCTTAATATGAAGAAAAATTTTTAAAGTGAATAACTCCCTTCAGTTAAGAAGGATAACAATAAAATTTCTAAGCATTTTGACTTTATTTCCTAATGGAAAGAAGCTGTATGCCGCCCAAAGTATCATTCATGGAAATACAATGGAATATGAATGAGATTCTAAAATAGTAAATTGTATAAAAAACAAAATAATTATAAACTGACATTGTTATGTATTTCTCTAAAACTTGAAGTCACTCATTTTAACTGGCCTGCATCAACTAAAGAACATATCAAAGAAGAAATATATAACTGAATTAACATTCAACAAAAAAATCTATTTATATTTCATTGCTCTTTTAATTATCCAGCATCCTGCAACGATTCCCAGACTCACAACACTCCCTTATTCAATTTATTTGTACTTAGTTACAATACAAATCTAATTTTTTACCAACATAACCTACCATCAAGAAAACCAGCTATTTCCCACTATATCTGGTGACCAGAGGGCACAATTCCAAAACTAAGGAACTGCTAATCATCAAGGTCTTTTAGAGACTTGTGCGTTGCGGTAAATATGCAATTTTGTAAAACATAGGGTTCATAAATGATGACTCATATGTACTGGAGATTACCAATCAGTCTGAGTAGCCATTTAAAATGAATATATTAAAAGCTGGTTATAGAAAAATTACTGTATTTGGCACTAATTGTGGTTCTTTTTCCTTTACCACTTTCTGTGCTCATTAGAATCATATGCTATGCGAATTCCTCCCTTTTGGAGAAATAGACACTATTGCATTCCTTATAGCATTAGTTTACCTCGGCTTTCTTCTAAACCAAACTGCTACAGCCATTAAAAAGTATAGTAATACAGCAGCAGTGGTAAGCACAGTTTTTACTCCACAGATGAAAAGCACACATGGGCTGTGTAGCACATTAATCTGTACTCTGGAGATTCCTAGAAACCTTTCTAATAGTTTAGTCTTTAGTCTTTTTAACAGGCCTTAGTCTAACAGACTTTGTCCACCTTTCAATATAGATACAATGAAAACTAAAATGCATTCCATACTCTACTGTAAAAATTCTGTTTTAAAGTTATACTGATAAAAGCACTAAAAACAACTAGAATGAATAAAAAATATGAACATTAAGTTTGAAGCAACTTAAAGATTACCTTTAATTACAAAAAGGATTTAAATTACAGGCATACAGATGGTGAGGCAGAATGAAAATATGATTATGTTTCATGTCTCTTTTAATAATGGTGACTTATGGAGCTCTCCATTGCGGAAATAATGTTTAGCATGAGTATTTCTATTTATCTAAAGTTGCCTACGCCCTGCGAGAGTCAAACTCCAGTTGGCCTACATATATTAGAAATATCAAAGATATTCTTCTTTAAACAGAAAAAAAAATTCACATTAAATTTAAAATTGTTACAAAATAAAAACAAAAATTGCATATATATACAATAATAATTTTTATGTCCACATCAAGTATTATGTCATAATTTTCCTATTGTTTAGAAGTATGTATTTAGTTGGTCAGAAAGGAATATGTAGCCAATGTGAGTCTTCTACTGTTAATAGCATGAGAGTCTTGCCCAAGAGTTGCAAACACAAAGGTTATTTTTCTGGGGGTAAAAGGAATATACATTAAACTCGATGACGTGTTTCAAGCATAACAAGCATCTTTTATCTAACTACATTTTTGCAAGAAACCTTCTGATTATAATTTGATTTCCTGGCAACAAAATAATTTATTTGTGGTGGTGAATATTTTGGTTTCCTAATAAATAAATCATCAACCTGAAAACTAATCAATTACTATTTTTATTTCATTTTTCTTTTGAAAAATGTAATCACTTGATATTTATGTACATGATGTCAAAGATAAAAGAGCAATTCCAAGAGAAAAATCTAGGGAAAAAAGTCTTTTTTTTACACCACCAGTGTATTTTAGTAAAACAGTTATTTAATTTTATGATCATGAATTATGCAACTGAAATGATATAAAAGATAATTTTAATAACCATGAATATTTTTGCTGATTAACTGTTTGGTATACTAAATTGATTCTAATATCTCCAGCTATAAAAATCAATGATGCTGTAATAAAAGAATGAAATTATTCAACCCTGAAATTCTTCAAAATTTAATTAATGTAAAGTCAGACCTCCGTAGACACATTTCATAAAGACATTAAGAAGATGAATATGGGTATTAAAATATTCCTGAATCTTAACATTATATTACTTAAGGATAAAGGATTTCTTTATTTTGAATGCAAGAACAAATGATGGATAATAATTTTGCAGCTGAAAATGAATAATCTTCAATATATAAAATACTTAGCATTATATGTTTCTTAAGGATCCTGCGTGTTCCTATAAAATAAAGCTGCTGTTAAATTCACATTTCAAGCCACTTTATAAATTCATCTTTTATATACATAACAGAGGCAAACGTCCAGAAAGTTTTGTGTTTGTTTTTGTTTAGTTTCTGTAACTTTTTTACTGTTCCATACAAAATTACTTCAAATCATACTTAGGCTCACCCGAGGACTGGCAAATTTGTGGAAACAGGAGAAAACGTGGGAATGTTTTACTGTTTCTAATCCTACTAATACCAAATCTGATTCAACTCCTAGAAGGGATCAATGATAATATGAAATGTCATCAGGTAATTCGTAACAGTTAACCAGAATCAAATATTAGGGCAATCTTGTAGAAAACTCCAAAGTGGATAAAGAGGATTAGGATGGAGAGAAATGAGAAAAAGAGAGAAACGGCAAATGACGGGATATGACCGTGGTCTACATAAATGACCCTCTCAAGTCAACTAAGCAAATGTTTTTACAATGATTTGCTCAAATGCTCGGCAAATATTTTACATATTACTTTGGGTACAACATTCTCTCCATTGCATTAAAGATCACAGTTTTGAAAGGCGTAATGACATATGCAAAAAGCAATGTTAAAGTATATTTTCTAGAGTAGAGGTTCTCAGTGTGTGTTCTCTGAACCAGCTACATGGGCAATACTTGGGAACTTGTTAGAAATACAAATTAACAGGTCCCATCCCACATCTGCTAAATCAGAAGATCTGGGAGTGAGGCCTAGCAATCTAGGTTTTAAGAAAACATCTAGATGATTCTGAAACGCACTAAAGTTTAAGGGCTGCTGTTCTAGACTTCAAGAAAACAGGGTTTGGGGTAATTATAACCTGAGGAGAAAATTAAGTCAAAGAGATCATTGAGTTTGTCACAGCACTAAATAATGCCAACTGTTCCAATAATGTGTAAGTAACAGAAGTTTACAATGAGAAAACATGGAACCACAGACATGAAAGAACCTAAAGGAAATAATAGATAATTGCATCCATACTTTGAGAAGCTCCAAAATCCAATCTATGGCAAATAATTGTGATATTCACATCTGTAGTTTTTAAATTCACTTTTGTAGAGCATAGTTACCTAAATGCTTTTATGGAAGTAATGTATGGAGAATTCAGGCCATGAAATTTATTAAAATGAATTTGAGTGGTTAAGTTTTAAAAAGCAGAGCATCTAATTCTTGCAAACATGGATTTCATGTACGTGCTGAACCCCCAAACTCTTTCATTCAGAGTTACTTTGTGACTAGTCCTACCTCTTTTATAGATATGAACTGTATTCGTGAAATTGTCTGTGCAATACTTGGACAGGAGAAATGGAAATAATGTCCGTTGTGCTGTTGGAAACTGCTGATCCTGATCCTACTGAGTAAGGTGTCATGCACTAGTAACCCGACCTTTAACCTGAACTTGCCTTTGGGGAATTTTGAGAAGCACTAAATCAATTGATATGGTCATTGCAATTGAAGGACTTGTCAAATTTTTTCCAGTTTTCAAAGGGGGTAATTGGAATCTAAAATGGCCTGTAAACTACACAGAACTACAGTTTTCAATATACACAGAATCTAACAACATTTCATTTCTTCTTTATATTCTATAACGCAAAGCAGGCAAAACTATTAAACACCACTTCCCAAGGAAAGGCTGAGATAGTCCGCTATTTTGATTCCAATACATGTCCAGTGAGTCTTTCTTTAGTATAAGAAATGAAACATACTGTAGTTTAAACAAGAGAGAAGAAATATTTTTTAAAATGAAATTTAACAAAAATATTTTGATGGTAATGAACTAATAATTCCCCCAATAACTTCGTAAGTCTGGAGAATATGCAACACAGGGAAGAAAGTTCCCTTACACAGCTTAAAGAAAAAATACTTTATAGATGAGCCTAAAGATAATATTGATTTTACAGTTAAAAAACAGTTAAATTAAGCAGAATGATTTTAATTACAAATACTGGAATATACATACATATTTTTCATCTGTTTATGCTGTGCCACGAGCTGCATTTTTATACTGGACAGAAAGAGAGCATGGTTTTTAACATCAATATATGTTTTAAATTATACTAATAAGCAACATATCAGCTGCGAGGTGAGACTACATTGAAAAAGATGGCTTCGGCTTACAGAAAATACCAGCTGTCTCCACTCCGTGAAGACAGATTACCACCTGTCCTGTTATCTTCCATACACAATACAAGGCACGTTGGCCATTTTAACCAGGATAACTGTACCCATATGTCCTTTAATTCTGGTCTGCATGCTGCCTACCATTAAATATTCGTAATGGATTATTGTAAACAGGAGATTAGCATGGGAGACAGGGTGTTAAAGCTGAGTCTCAGCCTCTGTTTTATTAAACTTCCTTCCTTGTTCTTGAAACCTTGCACAAGCTATAGTATTTGTGATAATATCATCAATTTTAGCTAAATAGTGAAGCATCCATGTGCAAATAGAAAACTGTGAGTTTATTTTCAAAGCCGTAGAAAGTTCAGGCTGTATGTCACAATAAATTAAAACCTAGGTTACCCTTTTTAAAAAACATTAATTTTCAAATGATCACATACATAATCTGTGAGTAAACATCAGATGTTTAACAAAAAGAATGTTATCTTTAGTTTGAAGAATAAAAATGTAGAATTGTGTATGAGTCACAAGAAGTGTTTCTGCTGGTTACTGCCCTCTTGAACGTCCAATTTTCTCCTCCTCACTTAAACAAAACAATTATATTGTTGAATGCACTCAACAGAAATAGTATATGTAAAGAAGCACAGATTTTTTGATATGATTTTTTGTTACGACAGCTGAAAAATGTTACCTTTATTTGAAAAATAAAATGTATATTTACCATTATATCAGTTCTTTGACTAACTTTCCAGCCAACAAATGGAGATGGTTAAATAAATGTGCATTTCTACGATGGAATAAATGGAGTAGAAATGTGCATCATATTCAAATGAATTTATATACTTGGCCAGCCTAATATGTCACCAATAGTATGTAGAATATGGATGATGAGATAGTGAATTCTGTTTTGGTGACAGTAGGGCTAACCCAGCTAAATAGAAATCAAACCCAAAATTGTGGCCCTTTTATATTTACATTATGTATCGCAGTCAACTGAGCAAGGGACGTAACAAGAGATTTACCAGTGCCTCTTTTGCTTAGTTTTCAATTTTTAAAATGTCAAGCCAATATAAATTAATCCAAAAGATTAATAATCTAGAGCAATGAGAAATCATTTATTTAAAAAAGAGTAAAAAAAATATTTAAAATTCCATTGATTCATTTTGGATTAACTAGAAAGAGAAAAATAATTTCAAATATAATCTCTCCTTTGTAAATAGTAATAAATTCCAGTCCTCACAAAGGAAAATAATAGACTGATGTTTGCAGATGTATTAATATATTGTCTTACGGTGTTACGTGTATTACTGAAACATTTTATTTTTTTTCAACTTGTGAAATGTTAGAGTTTCTGATTAAACTTTGAAATAAAAAGAATAAAGAGAAGCAAGTAGAGATTAAAGAAACACATTACAAAAGCTTTCTTGATTTACAAAACTTTTCTTAAAGGAAAGCAGAAAGCTATTATAATGGTTAAAGACAGAGCCCTTTTATGTGTGCACATGGGAAGTACTTCTAGAGAGGGTCGTATTTCCCTAGGCTAGAGACCAAGAAAACTTCACGGCCCCAGGCCTTGAGTTTTGTAGTGAGAACAATTCATTCATTGAGCACTAAGATTCAGTAATCAAAGTATGAGGACAAGGGTGTGATTTTCATCTTATCTGAGGGCAAGGGAAAACCAATTCAAAAGAAACAAATGGCAGTAAGAAAATGGAATCTCCCATATGGCTAAAACATTTTAATGTATGGGCCGTTATTTCTTCACTTTTAAGTTTCATTTTGTATAAATCACTGACTATATAATATGCCAGAGACATATGTTGTGCTTCACAATTTGCAACAATAATTTCATATTACATTATTCAAATCTCTTCAAAAATCATAAAGGCTATATAAACCATATTGCATCAAAAATGGAAAGAAATAGACAGTATACGAGTTTACCAAATATTTGATATCAACAAACCATAATAAAGAGAAACATACGCAAATTCAAAGGTTAACAATTACATTATTTTTCAAACCCTAGTTTATTCAGTGGACATAAGGAATTTTGTTGAAAAGGTTTAAGGTTATAATGCCCCTAAGAACTAGATGAAAAATCTGTGTATATTTAGTATACATGCCCAATGTCCAATCAACATCCTATTTGGGCTCCAATGGCTCCAAGTATTTCCCTGACACTACTCCAAATTTCAATGAATGGCCACAAGAAACAAAAATATAAATCAATGTTTTTATTACACGTAACTTGCTTAGTTTCTGAACAAGAGCTTTGAAAATAGTTGCTTTTAATTTTATATAAAATTTATATATTTTATTTATAATTTATATTTATAGGTATATATTTTATTTATAATTTTATATATTATACCATGTATACATTTTATAAATTATATATATATATTTATATAAATATGCTTTTAATTTTACCCATTTAAACTTAACTAAAACCTTAGGTAAAAATGAAAATAAATGCATACATGAAGAAAATACATTCTTAAGGTAAGATAATAAATGCCATATCAATTATCTATTATATAATATATGAATGTACTTTCTCAAGGATCAGCATAGAAAACTTGGAAATGTGCCTGCTCCCTTTTTGCATTATTAGGTGTTTGATTAAAATTAAGATACAAATTAAAAAACAAAAACAGTGGCAAACTGAGAAGACAGAAACGATATAGAAAATACAGGTCCTACCAGGGCACTCTTATTCCGCATGTGGCATGATAAAGTAATGAAACACTATCATCTATTATGACAAAGTCAAATTTAGCCTTTGTACTCTGGGATCCTGGAAACACAATGCTCAAATATATGAAACTGACAGTGGTTTAGATTCAGACTTACCTAAGATTATGAAGGCACCTAATAGTAAGAAACATCAAGAATGTTCAAAAAGAGTTTCCTAATTCTGAAAATATTTCAAAATTTGAAGAGATAAAAAGAAAAATTACCACCAGGTGTTTCCGATTTAATTTTAACCGCTTCTGACAAAAGTTTAAAGATATTTATATTCAATTTCTACTTTCAAATTAACTTCATAATCCTCCATTTTTACTTCCAAATGAAATCATAATAAATAGAGCAGATTAACATAGATTTTTATCTGATATAACATATTTCCAGCATTTCCACACATTTTAAGAATGATTAGCTTTTCCTCTTACCACTTTATGTATATTATTTATACCAATTTTTATAAATATCTTGTATAATACTTACTGAGACATAAAGTTTAATTATTAACATAAAATTTAGTAAAATTTACTGAAGATATGCATTTAAAATTCCTTCCTTCCTTCATTTCTTTCTGTTTTTTTTGAGGCAGGGTTTTGCTCTGTCACCCAGGCTGGACTGCAGTGGGATGATCACAGCTCCCTGCAGCTTAAATCTTCCCACGTCAGCCACCCGAGTAGCTAGGACTAGGTGTGCGTCATCATGCCTGGCTAATTTTTAAAAAATGTTTATAGAGATGAGGTCTCACTATGCTGCCCAGGTTAGTCTGGAACTCCTGAGTTCAAGTCATCCTCCTGCCTTGGCCTCCCAAAGTGCAAGTGCGAGAGCCGCTGTGCCCAGCCTAAAAAATTCTTTATTCTGGGCCAGTCGCGGTGGCTCACGCCTGTAATCCCAGCACTTTGGGAGGCCGAGGTGGGCGGATCACGAGGTCAGGAAATCGAGACCATCCTGGCTAACACAGTGAAACCCCGTCTCTACTAAAAATACAAAAAATTAGCCGGGTGTGGTGGCGGCGCCTGTAGTCGCAGCCACTCGGGAGGCTGAGGCAGGAGAATGGCGTGAACCCGGGAGGCGGAGCTTGCAGTGAGCCGAGATCGCGCCACTGCACTCCAGCCTGGGCGACAGCGAGACTCCGTCAAAAAAAAAAAAAAAAACAACTTTATTCTTTTTCTAAAGTGTCACGCCTGTAATCCCAGCACTTTGGGAAGCCGAGGTGGGCGAACCACCTGAGGTCAAAACTCGAGACCAGCCTGGCCAACGTGGTGAAACCCCATCTCTACTAAAAATACAAGAATTAGCCAGGTGTGGGGGCGGGTGCCTGTACTCCCAGCTATTCAGGAGGCTGAGACAGGAGAATTGCTTGAACCTGGGAGGCGGAGGTTGCAGTGAGCCAAGATCATACCACTGCACTCCAGCCTGGACAACAGAGCAAGTATCTGTCTCAAAAAGAAAAAAAAAAAAAAAAGAAAAAAATGGAATTAGTAAGCAATACTGTTTTTTTATTTATGTAATCTTTTATCAATATTTCTTACCTTATATCTAATCAAAACTGGAAGCTTTCTGCAAAATTATAGTTGTGATTTTGACTTTAAGTATGGTATTATAATCATTCGATTTACATTCTTTAGTCTGGTTAAATAATGTAGTTTCTGGAAATTACTATCTAGCTTAGTTCACGTGGGTAAGGGTCTGGATAGACATTACTGTGTGAATTCAGGTATTCTATTTTTGAAGAAAACAAAAGAAGCCCATATGGTGGCTAAAAACTGTCATAACCATCTTCTTTGAACGAGTGAGACCAGGAAAACTTTCACCCACAACTTTACTATGTAAGTGTAGGTTGAGTAAAGAAATGACTTAAGCATTAGCAAATCAGATAAGTCTGAAATTAAAATATTTCATTATGAGCTCTCAAGCTAAATTATTAAATTCTTATTCCCACTTAATAATGGTTAATGTCAGTATAGTCAGAGTTGTTTTTTTGTTTTTCGTTTTTTTTTTTTTTTTGAGATGGAGTCTTGTTCTGTCACCAGGCTGGAGTGCAGAGGCACAATCTCGGCTCATTGCAACCTCTGCCTCCCGGGTTCAAGCGATTCTCCTGCCTCAGCCTCCTAAGTAGCCAAGATTATAGGTGCCCGCCACCACACCCAGTTAATTTTGGCACTTGTAGTAGAGATGGGGTTTCACCATGTTGTCCAGGATGGTCTCGACCTCCTGACCTTGTGATCCACTAGTCAGAGTTTGTTTTTAAATGACTATTTACTTATTTTAAAAATATAAAGTATTTTATTAACAGGGACATCATCTTTTAGAAAAATAACAAACGTTTTTGAAATAATTATGAAAAATTAAGCTAAATTATACAAATTTAGGCTATTTTGACTGTGAGGCCATCTTAAATATAAATGTAATTTGTTGAACATGGTAAACTCACTAGTTTTGCATCTAGAAATAATTAATTTTGTAAAATCTGAAATTCCATCATGAATAATCAGCTATAATAAAGAAAAAGAAGGCATACTTAAGAAAGAACTAAAACTGCAGTGTCAAGAAGTCCTTAAACATCCGGAACCTTTAAGCGGAACTTGGCATAAACTCAGATCATGTCCCAGTAAGATAATTTCTCTGGGGACATATTGCTCACTCAGCTTTGAAGGATTTATTTTAGACAGATTTGTCTGGCCTATTAACAATTCTAATCCAAAGAACCTGAAAAAGAAAGCAAGGAAGAAGGAAATGAGTGGTTTTTTTTCCAACCACAACTCTCAGCTTCCATTCAGAAAATATCTTCCTTCATTTTACACTTTCCTATGTGAATTCATATTAATATTTAAGGACAGAAGCTACTACGACACAGAACCTACATTGTTTGTGATTGTTGTATTTCTTTAAGTATGTAGCCCAGAAATGCACATGGAAATGCCATGCAAAGGCTTTCAGTACATATTAACTGACGCTGAATAACAATTGACAATAAGTTAAACATGAAAACATTAGATTGTGAGCATTCAAGTCTGTGAATAGTAGATTTTTAATCAACTATTTAAAGAACACATATATATGGTAAACCATTTATGGAAAATTGTAAAATAATTCTAATTTATTCCTTCTCCCATGAAATAGGTTAAATTGTGTTGATGACATTTACATCTATAGATGTAAAAGAAATCAGAGTGAAAAGCCCATTTTGCAAAGAGAAATATATAAAAATTTGGAATGTCTATGGTCTATAAAACACCCAGAGTGCTCACAGGATGAAAAAAATGTATGAAAACCAACCATGACAGAGAGCGGCTTGGAAAAGTTATTAACCCAGGAAAGATTCTAACATGGTATGGTAACTTTTGTTCAATTCAGAGAACTAAAATTAGTTATATGAATCATTATCCCTTATTTGGCAATTTGGGGATTTTGTTTCAGTTAGTTTACAGCAATCTTTCCTAACTTAGTGTTTGCTCTGTGTTTTATACTCTTTAGGGTATAAAACAATCTCTAGGTAGTCTGTTAGAGGACAGCCAAAAATAATAAAAGACTGGCTCAATTAGATTCTGGCTTTCTTTCTTAAAATTTCCAAGTTTAGACTGTCAACTTCAGCTTTTCTTTGGTCTTCTCAGCTGCCTTCTAAGGTACCCAGGAAGTTAAGTACAAATATCCATATGTCCCACATACTTCTAGGAAACCTCATGTAGAACACAATACTCACAGATACTCATAGCCCACAACCATAAAGTGAGTACTTTATGAAAAAAGGATATGAAAAAGGAAGCATTCTGGCAATTGTCCTAATCTAGGTAACCTAATTCTTCAACACATGTTTCTGCAACCAAGTTAGTGATTCTTTCTTGTGGTTCTGGAGCAAAGGAAAGTACCACACTGTCATAATTTTATCTACACTTACAAATATTTTACCCATTTTGGAAAAAAGGTCAATGACATATCGACAATATGTTATTTCTAAAGTGTCATATTAAGATAATTATGCCTACAACCCTCAGACATATATCAATTTGTGCTTGACTTTCTTACCGGTTATTACATCAGACCATAGGGAGATTATGGTTACGTGAGCTTCAAACAGGCTCAAGTGTATCCTCACAAAGTGACTCACTGGATCCTCTGAACAGGGGAATTCACACACAGACTAGCTTAGACAGTGCAAGGCCAGACTGAAATACTAGTACTTTCACATCACTGAAAGTTACTGGCCAGAGATGAGTAACTTCTTGTCTTTTTTTAACACTGAAAAATAAAAGGTGATTCTGACAATATAAAACAAGCAAGGTTGAGAATCAATTAAGTAGAATCAAAGTAGATGGGCCTAAAAGAAAGCTGAACATGGCCCAAGAACAGCCTTGTCACTGCAAGAAAATGGAAATAGTATGTGCTAACACGGTAAGCCAATTGAAGCTTTACTGCTTCCCAGCTATTTACTTAGTGGATTGTCCTGTCAATATCTAGGCTTTAAAAGATTACCTATTCCATGTCAGAAGATCTCAGTATTGATCCTGCCTGGACATGATCTCCCTGGTCATGTTATTTTACAGGGCCAGATTAAATAATGGTTTCTTTACCCAAAGCTACTTTGTCTTTACATCACAGAAAAAGTTGAGGAAGGTAAATCGATGGAGGTTAAAATTATAGGCCTTAATAAAGGACAATAAAGGCAAAAAGAAGAAACAACCAACTAGCAGTTTACCTCCTTTTAGCCCATCTCAAATTTTATTGGAGGAATCCATTTTTTAGTATACTAATCTTGTGATAACTTGATTTGCTAATAATGCATAGATATCAAAGCCACAGCTTAATCCTAAATGCAAAACATAAAGGTCTGGAACCAATTACCTGTGGCAGGGTGAAAATGTAATAGTTTCATGTGTAAGAAGGAATTAAATGTAAAACAATCCTAACATTGTACTGATTGTTATCTATGATTCAGTGTGAATTCGGAAAACAAATAGGAAAATGTAAATTAAAAACTGCGTATTTTGCAACATACTGACTACTATAGTAACAATTATATTCCCAAAGGAAATAAAATATATCATGCCTTAGCATTATTTAGTGAGAAGGTAATTGTCTTACATACAAGATGAATTTGTCCTACATTTCACTTTCATGATTAAGAATCCTTCATGATTAATGAAAGGCTTTAACTGTTAGAGACAAAATAACATAAGGATTATAGGCATGGACAATTTTTTTTTTCTTTTTTTTGAGATGGAGTCTTGCTCTGTTGCCCAGGCTGGAGTACAGTGGCACAATCTCAGCTCACTGCAACCTCTGCCTCCCAGGTTCAAGCAATTCTCCTGCCTCAGCCTCCTGAGTAGCTAGGATTACAGGCAGGTGCCACCACGCACGGCTAACTTTTTTTTATTTTTAGTAGAGACGGGATTTCACAATGTTGGTCAGGCTGGTCTCAAACTCCTGATCTGATGATCCGCCCACCTCGGCCTCCCAAAGTGCTGGGATTACAGGCATGAGCCACCGTACCCAGCCTTTCTTTTTCTTTCTTTCAGTTTTTTTTTTTTTTTTTTTTTTTTTTTTGACAGAAGGTTTTACTCTGTTACCCAGGCTGGAGTGCAATGACACAAACACAGCTCACTGCAGCCTCAACCTCTGGGCCGTCAAATGATCCTCCCATCACTGCCTCTCAACTTAGCCTCCAAAGTAGCTGGTACCACAGGTGCATGTCACCATGCTCAGCTGATTTTATTTTTTTACTTTTTTTAAATTTTATTTTACTTTATTTTTGCAGAGGCAAGATCTCAACATGTTTTCCCCAGAGTGGGCTCCAACTCCTGGCCTCAAGCAATCCTCCTGCCTCAGCATCCCAAAGTGTTGGTTATAACAGGCATGAGCCACTGCGTGTGACATGGCAAATTTATTTAAACTACCTGAGCCTCGGTTTCATAATCTCAAAGTAAGAATATTAGTAATACCTACTTCACTGAATTGTTCTGAGGATGTAGTAAATTAATAAACATAAATCAGTGCCAGACACATAGTGAACACAAAGTACTGGCAATTGTTACAATTAACATGATCTTTCACCTCAAATTCTTCCTCAACTATAAAAAACTTAGACTATTTTATAATATGGTTTTCCACAAAACAATTTATCCCACTAAGTCAAATATAAAATAGATATAAATTAATTATGTTAGCTTTATTTAAATCACAGTATTTTTCTTCCTTTGGGTCTGTTCAGAATTTCAGTGGCAATTATGCATATATATATAAACACAATTTCCATAGCATAAGTACCCTCTCTATGGCGCTTAAAAATCTTCCAAACATCCAGGAATGTACTTAAGCAGTTTGATTAGCCCCTTATGTCAGATAAATGAACAGTTTTATAAACAATAACTGCAACACAGGTCATTTTGAAATGAGAGATTCCCTGTAGTACAGTAAATGTCCCAAATGGAATGCCTCTGAAATAATACGATTTTGTTCGCAATATAAGCTCACCTTATTTTAGGAAAGTAACAAGCATTTTTCAAAAGTTTTTGAGTAACAATACAAATGGGTATGTTTGTATATAAAATATGTAAAAGTTCACTGACACAGAAACACACTTTTAAACAGGGAACAAAATCTGGCATGAATAGTTAAAGTTTTCAAAATATTATGTACAAGGAAAACACAACACATATAAAAGAACAGGAAACAGCTCTAACAATCCTTTTTTTTTTTTTTGAAACAGAATCTTGCTCTGTCCAGGCTGGACTGCAGTGGCACGATCTCAGTTCACTGCAACCTCCGCCTCTCGGGTTCAAGCGATTCCCCTTCCTTGGCCTCCCGAGTAGCTGGAACTACTGGCGTGCACCACCATGCCCAGCTATTTTTTCTTATTTTAGTAGAGATGGGTTTTTCTTATTAATAAGAGAAAATTTCTCTTATTTAGTAGATCATGAGGTCTGCCCACCTCGGCCTCCCAAAGTGCTGGGATTACAGGCAGCTCTAACCATCTAAGAAATCAAATATACAAAAGATAAACTAGGTTTACATGGTATTGAAGGCATGTACAGGCAGTCAACATAATAGTTGCTGTGAGAAGATAATACAAATCAAAGGCTAAAGTTGCTCTTCCAATTTGAAGACCAAAAAACTAACCTCTCACCTGAATGGATTCCCTGACCCCCAAGTCATCAACCAAAAATGTTCAGGAAAATCATGGAGGAACGTGCCTTCTGGAAACAGGCTTCATTTCTGCCAAAAATGATCATGGTCTACCCTTACCTACCAATGTATCCTAGACAGACACTCAAAGGTCCTATCATCAGGCTAAAAGGCTAGAAACATCAACAAAAAATATACAAATTCTCATAGAAAAGCATAATTTCAAAGAAAAGTTCATAGGCAAGGTAGTCAGAGCTAACTAATTTAAAGTCCTCTCCCTGTCTTTCTCCTTCTCCCTCTTCCTCTCCCTATCCTCTCTCGATTACTTTTTTATAAAACCACTGTCTGATTTTCTTCTTCTCCTTCTTCTTCTTCTTTTTTTTTTTTTTTTTTGACAGAGTCTCATTCTTGTTCTGTCACCCAGGCTGGAGTGCAGTGGCACGATCTCAGCTCACTGCAACCTCTGCCTCCCGGGTTCAAGCGATTCTCCTGCCTCAGCTTCCCGAGTAGCTGGAATTACAGGCATGCACCACAACGCCTGGCTAACTTTTGTATTTTTAGTAGAGATGGGGTTTCACCATAGTCTCGAACTCCTGACCTCAAGGGATCCACCCGCCTCTGCCTCCCAAAGTGCTGGCATTACAGGTGTGAGCTATCGCATCTGGACTCATTGTCTGATTTTCTTTCAGGCACTAAGACTGCAGTTTTGCAAAACCATTAGAAATATCAGAAGTTCTAAGGACATCATTGACTATTTAATAAAGATAATTATCTCTTATCTGGATAATGCCTATCTCTGACTAGTGCAAATTATTTTCCAATAGTTATCCAATTATGCAATTATTAAGCAAGATAACATATAGCATTGCCCTCTTATAGACAAGAAAATGAAGTCACAGAGTTCCAGAGATACTATCAGGTCCTTACCTTTCAGCCCCAGAAAATCAGCTTCAAGAGTTAAGCTCAGAGTACATTCATTCACTAAACATTTTTGAGACTTTTTCTGTGCCAGGTACTGTTCTAGATCAGCAGTTATTAGGAGTTACAAGGTCCTTATCCTCATGGAACTGACATTTCATGAAGGAAACTCAATGGTAAGCAAAAATATCTTATTCACATGATCCCATCCCTGGTTTGTTTCATTTATTTTTTGCAAGTCATTTTCTAAAGTGGAAAGGGACTGATTAATATCTTCCCTTTCCCCAGGACCAGAGTGACTGTCCATAGAATTGTAGATTGCCACCAGACAGATTCCAGAGACTTCAGCTGAATCAGAGAAAAAGCTTTAAATGGTGTGTGTAATGCTACTCTATAGTAGTCTCCGCTTTTCTAGAAAATTGAAATGCCGCTAAGGGAAGAAAGAAATGATGTGACTGGAAAGAAGAGGAAGAAGTGAGAAACTTCTCATTCCAGAAGAAGTTACTCCTTCCTCAAGCCACCTCTCCAGCTCATCAACTCAAGCTGCCCGAGAAATCTGTCCCCATAGGAGGTCCTCTGGCCTCTACCCTTCCAGGAGCTTCAGTGGAGCAACAGCTCTGATTACTTGAGTTCCTCTAAGAAGGTGAACTGATTTCCTGAGTTCCTCTGAGAAGGCGAAGGAGGCGATGCAAACAGTCCCTCAAAGTAGGAACTTGTGTTTTATGTGGAATGAATGAGCTATGTTTTCAAATTGGTTAATACTTGCATTTATAACAGTACTTGTTATATATGTAGTATTATTGAATTATGACCTGAACTCCTTAGGGAAGAAAAAAAAGGTGATGTCTAAATTGAGTCAACTCTGTTATCCAACAAAAGAAAAAAAAAATACACATATATAAATACATATACACACATACATGTATAAGTATGTATACATACACATACACACATTATAAAACATGATGTATAGCTATGAGAAATGGTGCTTTTGAATAATAAAAAAGTGAATAATTAGGAAGACATTTATACCAAGCTATCTAATATACACTTAGTATTCTAAAATGTGACAGTTACATCTAAACTTGAAGCTGCAAAATAATTTCAAATTAAATATTAATCAAACGTACAATTATATCTAATCAATTTCATGCTTTGCCTTTTTAAAGAACTAAAGCAAACTGAAATATAAATTATTTATAAGAAAAATAATCTATAATAACATGGAGCTAATTATCACAGTCATTGTAGCATTTCAGGGCAAGGTTAGAGGGAGAGGGATTCCTTTGTTCATATTTTCCCCCTCTGAAATTTCATGAATAAATCATATGTTTCAACTTTATTTTTAAAAAATAAAAAATATTTGGATCTGACATTCTAAAAACACTGAAAAACAAAAAAGAGCTGTAACTGCATCTGTAACAGGCATATTAAAATATTTCTTCAGTGTGTGTGTGTGTTTGTGTATACTTTCTGTGTTCAATAAAATCCCTTTAAAACTGAACGACTCCAGTTAAATTAACTTTTTTCCTACCTCCCCTAAGTAGCATTAATCATTATAGCTTAGAAAATGGTTACTATCAGCACATCTCAGTCAAAGGAAGCAAGCTGCAATGGCAAAGGCTGTGACATTCTAGTTTCTGAATTTTGTGTCTCACTTTAAACAAAAGCAGAGTGTTCCAAAAATAATTAAATATTTAGAGTCTTAAATATTTAATATCTGTAAATTGTTTTACATTTACATGGAAATATTTATATTTTAAAATACTTAAATTAATAATTTTGATAATTTAAAAATAAAGTAGCAATTGTTTTTAAATCTATTATTTTTTTAATTTAATATTTTAAAAATCTAAATTCCAAATTATTTTCAAGGTTCTATGTTGTCATGCCTTTTAATTGAGTTTCAAGCGGTACATGTTAGGTTATTAAAGTAAACATTGAGGTAAACTTTTACACTATACATTTAGCTATAATGTTAATGAATACTTTTTTCTGCTTATGTAACAATTTAAGGAAACTTTTGCTTATTTCTAGTGATGTCCATCAATGCATATTCCCCTTTAAATACCTATGTATAATATCTGCTGTTTAGTATAGATTCTGAAACATAATTTCATTCTACTTAAGGTTCACTAAATTTTATAGTCAAATTTTATCATCTGAGCTAATGATCAGAATATGTATTAAATAATGTTGTACTTGAAGCTCTTTTGAAAAAGCTGAGCTGCATTGGACACTCACAAATATGACTTCTAATTAGTTTATTCTAGAAAAAAATTATTTGTTTCCAAACAGGAAAAAAATGAGGCATAAGGCCGAGCAGGTATAAAAATATGGATAATTTGTGCGCAATCACTCATTTCCACTGTGGGAACAAAATGTAAATTGTACCTTACCCTTCAAATATAACGAAAAACACCTTTTTTCATTGATGTTGGTTGAAAAGAATCTTTGTATACAATCTTTTATTGACAAAAAATTAATAATAATACTTTTGTGACCTGTGCCAGGTACTACAAGGTATACACAGCGGTGAGAAGTAAGTGCCAAATACAGAAGAATGAAGATTTCCTCACAATGCAGGAGTGACATACTATGATAAAGGGATAGAGGGTGGTCCATTTATGGTTACCTTTAACTTGTGGTGGGTGTGGGAGGAGTGGGGATAAAGAAAAAGAGCCCAGGTGGAAGTGATGGCTCTGCTGAACTCTGAAGCAAAATGTACTTTTTTTTTTTTGAGACAGAGTATCGCTCTGTTGCCCAGGCTGGAGTACAATGGCGCCATCTCAGCTCACTGCAACCTCCGCCTCCCAGGTTCAAGCAACTCTCCTGCCTCAGCCTCCCCAGTAGCTGCCACTCCAGATGCCCACCCCCACACATGGCTAATTCTAGCATTTTTAGGAGAGATGGGGTTTCATCATGTTGGCCAGGCTGGTCTCAAACTCCTGACCTCATGATCCACCCGCCTCAGCCTCCCAAAGTGCTGGGATTATAGGCGTGAGCCACCACACCCAGCCAATATATACATTTTACTAGATCAAAGGGATGGGGTTGAATTCTAGGCCACAATGCTGGGGTCATATAGATCCTTGGAAGTCATTTTTAAAAATTAAGACTTTAGAAGCAATTGAGAATCTCTGAGTGAGCATCTAGAGGGACTGATGAGATTTGTACTTGCAAAAGAGTATTATAGTTACTAAGATGAGAAATAATGGTGATTCTGATTCAAATTGCAAAGGAAATGGAGATAAGTGGGAAAATACTGAAGCTGTTCAGGAGAAAACATCAGCAAGACCTGAGGCTCAACTGCTGTGGAAAGAAAGTCGGGAAGAATCAATCGCAGGTTTCTGGTCTGGAGGGTTGGATGGATAATGGCATCATTATCATCGTTAGGAAATAATAGAGGAAAGTCAGGAATGAGAAGCAAGATGAAAAGTCGCATTTTGGACATTTGAGCTGCAGGTACCACCAGGACCTCCAAATGGAGCTGAGTATAGAGGTTCAGGCTGGGGATGAGAGAACAGAGAGTGAATCAGGACAAAATTGGTATGTGAATGCAAGGAGGTGGGTGTGGTCTTCAGGGTAAGTCATAAAGCAAAAAACAAAGCCTATGACAAATCCTCGAGAAATGGAATATTTTAGCTATAGGCCAAGAAAGACTCAGCCAGATGAATAAGAGGAAAATCATATAAAGCCACTATACATTCTCTATATGGCCTATCTCAGGCATTAAATTTAAACCAATCTGGTTAAATGTCCTAACTTCGGTTACATGAAAGTTGGATGCAATCCTGATATAGCTGGGTGCCATGAAATTCTAGGAAAGAGAATATTTCAAAAAAAAAAGGTCAACTATGTCAATTGCTGACAAGAGGTAAATTATATCCATTATAAAAAGCAAAGTTTAGAAAGCTGAGATCAAGGCCATTAAGAGTAACAGGATATCAGTGAGAGAGTGGGATAAGGCCACACATGGTACTAAGCATCTCTTTGGAAAATGTCGGTAAAGCTCCATATTTGAATTGCCTATGTTTAAAATCTTGAATGGGCTCCTATTATATTCTTCAATATAGGACAGAACAAAACATTCCTGGAAGACAAAATGGAAACAGAACAGTACATTCTATTCTTACTCTTACATTCTGCAAATAAAGGAATCACGAAGACAACCACACATCCAAACCTGAGATACCAAGGCACTTTTAAAATTGTATTTTCTTCCACAAAGTATGAAATATTACACAAAATGTCTACCCAAAACATTTTCTGGGAAAAACAAGACAGATTATTCATACAAAATGTTTTTGCAGTTCATATAATTGTGGAAGTCACACTAATTGAGATCCCTTACTCGTGTATCATATCATTTTTGAATATTTTAGAGACTGAAGTCTTACAGAAAAGAGGTATGTTTAAAAGTCTTTTTAAAGAAGTATTTTCCAAATTATTTTTTAACTGCCAAAATAATAATTCATTGGTATATATTTTGAGAAAAGCCACAATGAAATATCTAAATGTTAACCATGCCACTAACAGCAGCTTTATAAACCTTCAAAGATATATTTGTCATAAAACACAGACCATGTACTGATATATAAAGAATACATATCTTTTCACAATAATTATGTGGACTTATGTATGAGAAGATGACTAACCCAGGAGAAAGAAAGATTATTCTAAATGTAACTATACATGGAATTAGTTTTTCAGCATTTGCCTTTCTGAAATGAAGAGACACATTCTTTGGAACCATATACATGGAAGGAATCAACCGAAGAATGAGCCTAACATAGTAAACAGCAGATGTTACAACAGCTACAACTCACACATACTGCCTGCTGTCAGCCAGGCACAGTTCTGAGCACTATAGATACACCAACTATTAATCCTTCCCAAACCTCTATTAGGTAAGCATAATTCATATCCCCATTTTACAGGTAAGAGAACTGAAACACACAGAGACTAAATAATTTCAGCAAGATCACAGAGCTGTACTAAATAAATCATTTATTAAATTTGTTGAAAACAAAATTTGTTTTGACTTAATGACAGAATTAATTGTCTGTAACTAAAAAGAGTATCCACAATGTCCACTACAGAAAGGAGTCATTGGATAGGGTTAAGAAAACCCATTAAACTAAAACAGAACAAAACGCCTTCTAGAACAGTTCATAAGAAATGTATTGATTAGAACTCTGAGGGAGGCTTTAAGAATTATTACCAACATGGTCCAGAAAGAACTCATTTAATGGGAGACAATGCAGTGACCTAAGTGTTAATTACTTTTTAAAAAGAAAAGAAGAAAAGAAAAAGAAAAATGTTAAGAAATTGACCTTATTGTCTACCAATGTTAGAGTCCAAACACAGAATTTTAGGGCTACTTTGCGTGATTTAAGCAAAAGTGACAAGCAGAGAGAAAAGCAAATATCCACAGATTCTCGATCCACTGGTCATATAAATATTGTTCCTCTTTCATCAGTTATTGACTCTTTACTGGTTTCTTCCCAGGGGTGGTCCCAAAGGAAAATATTCTAAATCATATTTTCCAAGAATGCCTTTAAGCAAGAGTCAACGAGATTGCAACCTGTACTACACTTCCATTTGAGAACACTCTCATAAGCTATGACAAGTGCTGAATTACATAATTAAAATGTTCTAAAGGTCCTTCTACATTAAATGCTGGCTCTTAATCCATTTTTCTGGTGCCTGACTGAGATGAAAATCTGATAAAAGAGTAACTTAATGTGACTAAATCTACATACAGGACAGTATTACCTGGTAAATATGTACAGAGTCGGGGAGGGGGAGAGATTGAGATATATAAATACTTTCGTGGAGGTGGTGTCTTTGCCCATTTTCTCTTTAACTTTTTAGCTTTTATTCTGAATTTGCTCCATAATTTACTGGATAAGATTTAAAATGTTCTCATTCAGGCATACTAAATAACTTGATCATAAACTTTTATTTCTCCTGACAAATGTAAAATGTCATTTGCACTATTAAAACTTCAATTTAAACCCTGGGTTAAATACAACACAATTTAAAATGCGACTGAAGTTACAATTTTCACTTTAGAGACTAAGAGACTGAGATTAGACTTAAACATCAGATATACTGAATTAAAAATTAGGCCCCAGATAACCAGATGCACCTTTCCATTTTATTCATTTATAAAGACAGTCCTGTCATTGTGTGTATTTTATCCCCTACCAGACAGAAAAAGAGAAAGTAAAGGTTGCTAGGTCCTGTTTTGCATATGTAAAGTGTCTCAAGCAACCTCAGGAAATTCAGGCACTGTCAACACAGAAATTATTTCTTTTCCAGTATCATTTATTTATTTATTTATTTATTTATTTATTTATTTATTTAGAGATGGAGTCTCGCTCTATTGCCCAGGCTGGAGCACAGTGATGCCACCTCAGCTCACTGCAACCTCCACATCCCGGGCTCAACCAATCCTTCCACCTCAGCCTCCTGTGTAGCTGGGATTACAGGCATGCACCACCACGCCCGGCTAATTTTTGTATTTTTTTGTAGAGACAGGGTTTCACCATGTTGCCCAGGCTGGTCTCAAACTCCTGAGCCACAAGCCATCTGCCTACCTCAGCCTCCCAAACTGCTGGGATTACAGGTATGAGCCACTGTGCTTGACCGAGAAACAACTTCCTTATCAGTTAGGAAGAGCTGAATCCTCTTCATGGTCTATTAACTGATCATTAGGGTAAGAAACACAGGTTGAGATTGCACGGAAGGGTCACTACACTTAGAAAGACAGCTTTACATTTATCAGAGCCTAAAAGCAATTCATTTGGCTTCTCGTATTACTGGAAGTCAGCTAAATTCCCCAAGTAATGTTATCCCCAAAAGAGATACTTAAATATTCCAGAACGAAAGAAAACAAAACAAATAAAACCTCCTAAGGAAATAGTACCTGATGACTGTATTCTAAATCCTGTGCTCTCAAAGTAGTGTTTGAGAGCAGGCAAACTCCCTAACTATACAAAGAAGTTGTTGGGAAGTGAGTGAAAAAGGTAGATTAGACTGCTCCTTGATGTGGCACTATGATGCTTATGATGTTCATCACACAGGAAGTAAAATATTTCTGAGTTCCATGTTAGATCACTTCACTTCCAATAGGCCAGGCATGGTGCTAGGCACTTGGGATGAAAAGACAAATGCTGCATTTTAAGGCAGTGTGCTGGGAGCCATGTGAGCACAGACTGCAAGAGGCTAAACCCAGTACACTGGCCACATCATGGTTTTGGGAAAGGGGGGCCCTAAGCCTACAATAAGAGAGTGACAGGTGGACTTGGAAGAAGAGCACATTCCAGGTAAGAGAAAAACAGAAAGTATACTTTCTCGGGATGGTGATGGGATGAAGCATACCAAACCGCTATAAGCCATTTTGAGCTAACAAATCCTAATCCAAACTTCCAATTCCATTTGCAGTCATAGGCTTGACCTTGACCTTGTCATCAATTGCATCTCCTGCAAAATCTCAACTTCTACTATTTAACTCTCTAAAATTAAGCCAAATCTTTGGTCCCCAAATCTAATCCTCTCTTTTCTTTTCATCTCTATTACTACCACCAGCTTCAAACTATCAACATTTCTTGCCTGGAATACTAGAATAGCCTCCTAATTGATGTCCTCTGACTATTATGCAACTCATTCTCTACACATGTAACACTCAGGTACAACATAGGTGATGTTTTAAAATGTAAATCAGATCCTGACACCCCACCATTGCATATTGCCCAGTAATATCCACATGTAATTCAACTCTCAGCTCTGACTAAATTCCTTCCTGGCACTTGTCAAAATTAAGCATAAAGTTATTTATTTGGCTAGTTGCTTATTTTCTTTCCCCCCTGCTCCTCTCACCTCCCATTGTCCTGGAATTTCCATGAAGACAAGAATCATTTCATTTTTGGTCACCATTGACTAGCTAGAGCTAAACAAAATGCCTGTAAGAAGTTACTTTAAAAAAAAATCACTTTTTTTTGGACAAACTATATTTTGGTATTCTTCACATTTTTATTCAATTTCTGACTTTTAAAAACAACATTTTCTTTTCTTTCTTTCTTTTTTTTTTTTTTTTTTTTTTTGAGACAGTTTCACTCTTGTTGCCCAGGCAGGAGTACAATGGCACGATCTCAGCTCACTGCAACCTCCGCCTCCCAGGTTCAAGTGATTCTCCTGCCTCAGCCTCAGCCTCCCGAGTAGCTGGGATTACAGGCATGCACCACCATGCCCGTCTAATTTTGTATTTTCAGTGGAGACGGAGTTTCTCCATGATGGTCAGGCTGGTGTCGAAGTCTTAACCTCAAGCGATCTGCCCACCTCGGCCTCCCAAAGTGCTGGGATTACAGGCATGAGCCACCGTGCCCAGCCAAAAACAACATTTTCAATGTCCATATTGTGTAACAAAACAACAGAAGAACTTTTATCCACCAAGGGTATTTAACCATGTTTTATTCTAACCTGACAAATCTATGGTACAGCAAGTATAGATTTTAAAAGGTTTAAATTGTCCAGGTACAGTGGCTTATGCCTATAATCACAGCACTTCGGGAGGCCAAGGAAGGGAGATCATTTGAGACCAGGAGTTTGAGACCAGCCTGGGCAATACAGAGAGATCCTGTCTCCACAAAAAGTAAAAACAAAACAAAACAAATAGCCTGGTGTAGAGGCACACACTTTAGTCCCAGCTACTCAGAAGTCTGAGTTAGGAGGATCGCTTGAGCCCAGGAAGTTGAGTCTACAGTGAGGGTGACTGTGCCACTGCACACCATCCTTGGTGACACAGTAAGATCCTGTCTCAAAAATAAAAAAAAAGTTTAAACTGGTAAGTACTGAGAGCTTCAGTTAAACTCTACGGTATTAATTAAAATTAATTATACTAAGGTTTAAATTAAACTTGTGAACCAAAACCTTTAAATACAAATGATTCTCAAGTTAGTCTATGAATATGAGAAAGATTTCTAGCATTTAAATAATAAGCAAATTAGGAGGATTAAAAAGAGTGATCTGATGATAAGGCTTCAGAGATAACCAGATGCACCTTCTCATTTTATTAGTTTTTAAAGACAGTACTGTTGATACAAGGAGACACTGCCAAGAATTTCCCATAAATAACCAAATACTGAATTGATATTCTGGACGTCTCAAGAGGCTTTATATCTAAGTATCAACTAGTGTTGAAATACTCATCTTAGCACTTTTCAGCATGTATGAATATCAGCTACTTTTCAAGAAAATAAAAGGAGTAGTTCATGAGACTGGTAATAAAATACGTCACCCTTAACCCCAAGATTACCAGATTGAATCTGTTCCAGGATAGTGTATCCAGTAATACTGAACACAGTTATATTGACAGCAGCTGTTTTGTAGCATCCAATCTAGAGAGTCAAACTTTTCCATTTAGTCTTTATGACATAGCTGACTATGTATTCCAACATACCTAATGCCTTTTTTGGCCACCTAAGAAAAGAGTAAATATTATTGAACAGTAAATAGCTTTCCATAGAAAATAAGAAAATACATATGAAATACCTGCTTATAGGATCGTTCTGTACATAATGTGCAGGAAAAAAAGACTAGACGGATACACACCCAAAGTTCAATAGTAGTTATCTCTGGATAGCAGGATTGCAAATGCATGTATGTATTTTAAAAGTGTTCTATAATTAGCACATATTACTTCTGCAATCAGAATGTAAAATATAATTTTAGAATTTTTTTATAAAAATGATTTTTGTAAGCTTATAAATCATCTTAGTTGACCTGTGATGGATAATAAAAAAGGAAATTGTGTAAAGTACTCCCACTCTAAGATCTTTCTAGAAAGTTGCTAAGGATTAATACACACTTCTGTGAGATTAAACAGAAAAAGAAGAAGCTAACTAAACAGATATGTGAGCCTATAATCTGTTTAACTAAGCATAGTTTTAAGATAGACTATAACCTGAGGTTATTTATTGCTAGAAGGAATATTACATTCTCTGACACAGCCATGTTCTCTAACACTCATACTGAAATGGTCAGCAAACTGTCCTTTTCTGCTGAAATGCCCATTGAAACTCAAATCTTCTCTTTCTGCCCATTAGCACTGAAATCTCTCATATGGCTTATGAAACGTAAGTTTCTATTTTGATATTTCATATTAACTACTCTTTGGAAAGCAAAATCTAAAAACATAAAGAGAATTTTATGTGCTTTCAAAAGAAAATGACAAGTGTCTTTTCTCTTAATGTATATCCAAATACTTCTGCTTTTTTCCCATCAAATACAGAATGCATGCTATATTTACTTCAAGAGATAATGTGCCTATACCTCACTTATGAAACAATTTAAACCTGATATTTGGATGCAACAAGTGGACTGATGGACTCACTACTTACTGACATCATTGAGATGTCATTATTTTCTGATTTTTATTTTTTGGTCATTAAAGATGATAAAATAACTACTAATAAAAATCCAAATATATTGTTATGCAAGGCAATGACAGAAGAACATATTCTGAGTGATAGCAAAAAAGTCTTCAATAAACATAATCATGTCATGAAACTTAGCAATATGGCTTCTTTACTTAAGTGGACAAATATAAATTGAAAAAGAAAATTTGAATATAAAAGTTAAAAAAATAAATTTGTTCCTGAAACAAAACTGAGTGGACTCAAGATTATTTGCATGTCCTGCATCACCAATGAGGATCTAAAGTGTCAATTTCCCACATGATCAATTTCAAGATGGAATTTAGTAGGAAATACTATATATACTTAAGTATATTGTTTACTTAATCAGAAATTAATTTAAATAAATTTAATTAATGAAGCATTTTATTTAAATTTAAGTATCTTAGCAAATGTATCTTCAAATTCAAAATAAAGTAAGAACTGATCTCATTTTTGAAATCAGAACTGTCCAAGTCCCCTTTAGATAAGAGGATTTGTTTAAATAATCTTTCAGTTCTCCAGTGTCTAACCATAATGGAAGTAAAGAGAAAAAGGTAGTGAAAGCAATAGCAAAAACAATTGAGACTTATGAATTATAACCATGTGCTAGTAACTGTGTTATGTATTTTACATGCATTATTTCATTTAATCATGAATCATTTTTGGAATGAAGAGCCAGTACATTTTACAGTATACGTGTACAAAAGAGTAAAATGGTGTTTAAAAATTGAAACTAAACCACCCTTTAACAGTATTCTTTGAATACTGAAAATAAAAATAAGATATATAAAAATGTTTTAGAATCTGATCAAAGCATTTTTAAATGGTACTTTTTTTAAAAGACAAAAGTAAAGGAAACAAGGAATATTTTAAAAGATCCAATATAAAGTTAGTTCAATTTCAAACATAAAAAGTCTGTCCAGTAAAGATATATACATATATGCATGTATTTTCACATACATATATTTATATATGGCTTTTCTGCCCTCACCAAAGACCATCTACTTCTGTGAAGGAGTTAGTTCTAAGCTACGGTGCTGATATCTCAGAACTCAGGGATTCTCATCTATTCCAAGCTCAAAATGGGGGGACCCAATTTCCAGTCTTCATTCTATCACTGATCTGCTCTTTTATATTGAACAAATCTTTCCTTCTCTGAATATTTCTGATGATACACACATAGACACACACACACACCAATCAATCAAACAATATTTTATAATAACATATTCTATTTCCACTCCACTTCATCTCATCTGAACCATTTTACCCCTAGGAGTAATCCTTCCATCTTCCACGGACTAGATTTTGGAAATACATTCTATTGTACCTAGGTAAACACGTGGCTACTCAGCATACATGGTCAGTTCATGTTCTCATTTTACCCACATGAGGAAAACTGTATAATTTGAATTCTAAGTCACTTTAAGAAGCATAAGTTACTAATAATAACAATGAAAGAACATAATATATTGAAAGCAGCGAGAAAATATTCCTTCAAAATGCATACATTTTAGTTCAAAGCAATTACTATTAAAAAGCACTCCAGTTAGTAAAATCTACAAAAGACATAATCTTTAATTAATTAGCAAAATACATATACACTTTTAGGAAAAATAGTTCTTCTATGGTTTTGCTGCTAAGATAGCCAGCAGATGTCTGCCTAGTCTGGAGGGAATTTTTCTTCCTCAGGAGAAAACAGCTTAAATGGAAACAAATAGCCATATGCTGACTGTATACTGCTTAGCAGATGATGTAGAGAGCCATGTTCTACAATGGAAAACATGAGGGTCAAGGTTCAAATCAACTTTCTTTAAACTTCAATGTAATTATCCAAGATCAAATTACATATTAAATATAAGTTGTGTCAAAGATCTGTGTTATCAATTTGTGACAGGCATAACATGGAGTTCTAAGTTTAATCATTGGTGATATTGGTTACAGGAGAATAGACCCACAAACTATTTTCCTAATAAAGTTTTAAATAGAGCTGATCCAAAACAAGCAAGAAAATACAACTCGTAAGACCTTCTTAGAAAGTTGGGTTTGAAATTGAATTAGACAAATAGTGAGTTTTTATGTCTTAAAAACAGCAAAGTATTCTAAATTAAATAATTTCATATTCTCATCAAGACATGATTATTGGTTTGCAAAGAAAAATAATCAATAAAAAATAAATTTTAAAATCACATTTGTGCATAAAAATTGTTTTCTTTTATAAAATCAAACTTCAAATACTTACAAGTAAAAATGTTAGAGATAAAAACTACTATACATTTCCTAGCATTCCAATTTTTTGACTTTATAATTGTGTGAGATAACTTTAACTGCATCAATACTGTTTTTGAGAAAAAGGTTTACAGTTTTTAACTACACAGCAAAGAACAGCAGCAAAACATTAACCAATATCTGCACTGAGGTCTACCCTTGTTATAACTGGGATATAAATGAAAATAAAAATAAATAATCCCCCAAATAACTGATAAATAGAATAACTTTGGTGCATTACTTCAACTTAAATAAATATTTAAGGCACAATAGACAAAAATATTATTTCTATACAGAAATAAAGGTTTTAAATGGCATTCTATATTAATTTTTTTTCAATGTTTGAGAGGTTGACAATTGTTAGGAACCAAGAAATACAGTTGTTGTTACAGCTGTAAAACTTGGTTTAAAGGCAAATAAAACACATGAAAATGTTTTGAAAGCATTACCAACAACTGCGCTATGAAACCTGTGTTGCCTCAAGACACTTTTCGTTAATGTTTTTACTTGGGGGTGATAGTTTAATATCATAACTTGATAGTAATATCGTAACTTTTGAAATATGACTTTATCAAAACATGCAGTTGGTCCTCTATATTCATGGGCTTTGCAACTGTGGAATCAACCAATCACAGATGGAAAATAATAGGGGAAAAGAAATGATAGTATCTATACTGAATATGTATGGTCTTTTTTTCCCTTGCGATTATCCCCTAGACAATACGGTATAGCAACAATTACTATATGAGCTATTGTACATAATTTAGACATATTTGTAAGTATATGGGGGAGGGTGTGCATAGGTTATGTGTAAATACTACGTCATATATAAGGAACTTGAGCATTCATGGGTATTTGTATATACAGCAGTCCTGTAACCAATCGCCCATGAATCCTGAGGGAGGACTATACATTCTTTTATAAATAGGTCGAACATTTAAACTTATTTTGCATGGGCTACATTCAAATTGGCCTTAAAAAATAAAAAAAGCAAACTAGCCTTCTGTTATGATGACAGCTGTCATTCACCTCACTAATTTAGTTCTGAGACCTTTACTGAGAATCAAGACAATAAGAGAAAGGTCATAAGTTCATTGTTAGTTAACTGTGAATAGGCAAATATAAACTGGATTGTAGAACTTCAAAGAAATATTTTAAAAATGAATAGCTAGTTTTAACACAGTTTAAAATGGTTACTTTAATTTTTATTGTATCTAATTATATTTTACACTCATATCAGAAATTTTTGGCATTCTGTCTTAAGTAATATGAGGCTCTGGGAGAGTGATCAAGTCATTTACATTCTCTAGGGCTGATTTCACGTTAATAATATGATTGAGTTGGAATAATCTGTCTCTAAATCCCTTTCTACATTTATAATTTTATAATTATATCAATGTATAATTTTATGCTTATTTAAGTTATAGTTGAATTTTGAAGACAATTTTGGAGACTATGAAAACTAATTATATAATTAAAATTTTGAACATATATTAACATATCAATTATCTTGGAAAAACATCATATATAAATATATACATGGTTATTTATATAGTTTTATAGAGAATTATATATAAAGTGAATTTTATCTAAATTTCATTTGTCTCTCCAATCCCTATGCAATTCTCAATTTTTGTCATATTATATACAGCAGGATCCTTTCAAGGGGATGAATCATTTTGGCTACTCCTTGAATGTAGATAGAAAATAAAAGAAGCCCAATTCTTATTCAACTGCAATATAAATCTAGCCTATAGATACAACAGTTTAATGGTTAGTCAATAAATCCTTCTTGAGGGTAATTTCAAATGAGCTGTATTTGGTGCTAGTGTAAATAAACTGAACCATAAAACTACTTGAGGATAACATACACCTGTTTTCTTCCAAAGGCACCCCACAGTAGCCAAGAAAATAAAATATAAGGCATATACATATACTTTTTTGATATAGCTTTAATAGAAATATATTTCTAAGAATTAGAAATGGTTTAAAACCCTAACTTAAACTGCCAGTTGAAGGTATTTTTCTTAATGAAGACAAATTTTTAAATCCCACACTATCTTATTTATAGACAAATTCTCATATGTAGCTATGGATAAGAGAGAGAGTGAGTGTGTGTGTGTGTGTGTGTGTGTGTGTGTGTGTGTGTGTGTATTTTTTGGCTATTCACCGGCATGATCCCACTACTGATCAGCATGGGAGTTTTGATCTGCTCCATTTCTGACCTGATCCTGTTCACTCCTCCTTAGGCCAACCTGGTGGTTCCCCATTCTCAGGAGGTCACCGTACTGACACCAAACTTAGTTTGGACACCCAATGGACATGGTGCAGTACAGCCCAGAACCCCTGGGCTCAAGCAATTCTCTTGCCTCAGTGTCTCAAGTAGCTGAACTATAGGCAGCACATGGTTCCCTATTCAATATCTTTAAAGGTAACAAAGGAGGGGATGGAACAATTTTAATAAAACTTTCCAACAGAAAATCACTCCCAATCAAAAGTCAAATTGTTAACCAACTGTGTGTAAATACCAATTTAGCTTGAATAACAAGTTAGGATGAGAAATACAGAAAACCGAAATAGTAGATTGTATTCACATACAAAGCTAGAGTTTATCCTCAGGTAAGGCCTGAGATACAAATTCGACTTTTCATTGCCATGATCAAACAAATGACGCCACTCTGCCACTCCCTCTGCCAAACACAGAGCGCCCAGTTTACTTACTGGCTACTTCCAGCGATGCATTGTGGCTCACAGCCTCTCCAAGGTAATTCCTTGCTACACAGACATAGACTCCTTCATCAGGTCTACTTTTCCGTCCATGTACTATACGTAAGAAAAATAAAGATCCACTCGGCAGCAACATTCGGTGTGAGCGAGGGTCATCTTTGTCTGTCTCCACTCTCTCTCCCCCTTTGTACCATTCAATAGTGGGTGTGGGGCGGCCTTCAGCTTTGCAGTTCAAAGTTGCAGGTTCTCCTTTTGAGACAATCAGGTCTGAAGGGTGTTCAACAATGCGAGGTGGAAAATCTTCCTGACGAAGACGGGAGCCTGCAGAAGAATTCACAAAATATCTTCGTATATCACTTGAAAACAGTTAATCGCTTATTTTTAAAGCATTGGCTTAACCATTACTATTTAAACACTGCATAACATTGGCCTAGCCTTCCTACCCTATTTACTAACAATCTTTCTGGTGTCCGCCTTGACTACACCTTCCAATTCTTGAATCCTTTTGAGTCTCCACTCAGAAACTTCTCTCGCTTACACATTGCCTGTGCAAATCCTGTCCTCAAATCCCTCATCCCCAGGTCCTTTCAGAACCCATTACATTGTGTGTTTATACCATGCATGTGTCCATTTCTGCAGAGGAATGTGTTTATTACAAATAATGGCACGGTTCCCTGGAACCTCCTTTTTAACGAACATCAGTCAACACTTCAACAAAACATATGTGGCCCGGCGCGGGGGCTCACGCCTGTAATCCCAGCACTTTGGGGGGCCGAGGCGGGCGGATCACGAGGTCAGGAGATCAAGACCATCCTGGCTAACAAGGTGAAACCCCGTCTCTACTAAAAAAAAAAAAAAAAAATTAGCCTGGCGTGGTGGCGGACACCTGAAGTCCCAGCTACTCGGGAGGCTGAGGCAGGAGAATGGCGTGAACCCGGGAGGCGGAGCTTGCAGTGAGCCGAGATCGCGCCACTGCACTCCAGCCTGGGTGACACAGCAAGACTCTGCCTCAAAAAAAAAAGAAAAAAGAAAAAAAAATGCTATATACTAATGAACATTTGCATTCAAATATATACTAGAACTGTCCTTTATGTAGACTTTTATATCTTCCTAAATAAAAAAAAGTATATACACTTCCCCAGAGTTTTTATTAATAAATTAATTTTATTAATAATAATTTATATTTTAATAGACTTCAGAGATGAAATGCTAAGTACCTGAGTTTAAATAATTAAATATACTATTAAATGGAAAAGGATATTGAGTGAGGGGCTTCATTCTGGACCTTACATATTACTTAATAAATGAAGCCCTGAGTGTCTATGTCACTTAAATATTTTCTGTGTCTGTACCTTATTTTTTCCAATGAGATTATAACTCAAAAACAGGAATGATGTTTCATATTTTATAACATTCCTATCTTATTTCTGCTTATATACAGTAAATATGTAAATTTATCAAAGATTTCTCAAATTCAACAGCCAAAGGCCTTACTGAAAGAGTCCCAAATCATGCCCTCATCTAGTGTTTCAAGGTCAATGAATAAGGCAAATTAGAAACCAGTCTTCCTCTCTTTCTGTCCCCTAGTTCTTTCCAAATTCCTCCTGAAAAGTTCTCAAATTACTCTGCTTAGCCTCATCTATATAACCAGCTACCATCACAAGTCCAACTACCGTCTCTTTCCACCAGGATGTAGGAAAGCCTGTGAAATAGTTTCACTTCAGTGTAGCCAGATGAAGGCTCTGAAATGCAAATATAATGTGGGTTGTCCTCTACTTCAGTGGCTCTTAAAATAAACTTACTGCTCTTAACGTAAGTCTTTAACTAGACCTACAAGAGTTAGCCTGTTCATTCCCTGATCCACCTGTCTAGACACTTCCTGTTCCATGCTTTTCTCTGCTGTCTTCAGCCTGACTTCTCTTAGCTCCACAAGTACCTTGCGCATCCTCCTGCAACATGATTTATGCCTGCCACAGGGCCTGGGCTTGAAGTAATCTTACAGTAGAATACACCTACTCTATTTCAAATCTCTGCTCTCTCTAATCTTTACAAGTTAAATGTTGGTTTTATAAACCGAAATAGCACTATACAGCTACCCTTGGTAAGAATGATCAGAATTACAATATATAAATCTATTTGTCGGATGCTATTTGTCCGTTTTTCCCACCCTTCTGTAAGATCTGTGGGTCTGGTTTTGCTCATGGTATTTCCCTTATGCTTGGCAGAGTGCTGTGCACATTACAGTACTCAGTAAACCATGTGTTGAATAAATGACAAAAAAGAATGAAGTGCTGACAAGAAAGACCTAACTAAGCAGAAGGAGAGGAAGTTTAACAATCATGTATTCTATGACAAGACAGGAAAATATGTTATTTTTCAAAGTTATAACTAATACGTATACATTCAACCTTTAATAGACTGTAAGCCCTACATGAGGCTTATTTGTATCTAATTTGTAACTACTCCAATTAATGTTTTTCTTAGTGAAATATATTAATGAATAATGAAAGATCTATTATTTGCTCATGTCCACCATGAAACAAAAATTATAATTTGAAATGCCAATAGTTGTATAATCTGAAACACTAATAACTTTAGCTTAGTGCACGTATACAGCATGGTATAGATTTTTTCAATGAAACTAAGCTCTAGAAAAGGAGGAAATAAACTAGCAATATAAAAGAAAAAAATTACTTGGAAACTTATACTCTCTAAGGCTATGTTGAAGCCAAGTGAAATTCAGATTGGATTTTATATTACTCATCACAGTCAGTGCTATACAACTTCAGAAGATTAAGTATTGTAATATGTTCTTGGCCTTTACCTTGGCTGGAATTCTGAAAGGTGGATACTAAGGAGGATTGACTGCTGAGGAGATATTTATTTAATTAAAGCAACTTTTATTTTAAAATCTGAAAGTCCATTTCAGCTAGAAAATAGGGATATATAGGCTGTTATGAGGATACAAAGAAGGGCCACCGAAGATTGCCTGAGCAAGTCAGAGAAGAAACTCAAACACATTACGTTTGAGATAAGCCTTGAAGAATGAGTCAGAAACGGAAGACAGGTGATGATTTCACCCAGAGGCACAGCTACAGGAGTATGTGGTACACTTGTGGGACCTGCAAGCTGCTTAGTATGGCCTGAGTATAAGGTGCATTTCAGAGACTGTGAAGTGTAAGTCTGAAGGAATAGCTAAAATAAATAACTTCTTGGGCTTTGTACAATGAGCCACAGTTTTGGAACCCAGTGGAAGACAGCCAGAAACCATTAAGAAATGTTAAGCAATGGATGAGTATCATCAAGGCTGGTTTTAAAGAGCTCACTATTGGCAGCATGAAACTGGACCTAACAGGATGAGCTAAGAAGGAATTAGTGAGGACCCGTTTCAAGCAATAAATCTGAAAACCAGGGTCAAGCATGGTGGCTCATGCCTGTAATTCCAGCACTTTGGGAGGTCAAGGCAGGAGGATCACTTGAGCCTAGGAGTTCAAGACCAGCCTAGGCAACACAAGGAAACCATGTCTCTATAAAAAATTCAAACAATTAGCCAGGTGTATGATGCACGCCTGTAATCCCAGCAACTCAGGAGCTCAGGTGCAATGATCACCTGGGCCTGGGAAGTCGAGGCTGCAGTGAGCTGAGATCACACCACCACACTCCAGCACAGGGACAGAGGGAGACACTGTCTCAAAGATAAAGAAAGGAAGAAACCTGAGAGCCAGAACTTAGACATTAACAGACAGAAGGGAAAACAGAAGGAAGAATCTCAAGATATTAATTCATAAAATCAACAGAGTCTAGCCACTTACAATATGGAGTAAAAGGAAATGCAAATACACAGGATGGAGGACAAGCAGAGGGTAGGGAGATTCCATGTTTCTTGTCTCTGTAATGGGTGAAGAGCAGTCTCACTGAAGGCAGGGAATAAGAGAGTGAAATTTGGTAAAAGGAAGAAGGGCAAGGAGATAATTCTATTCAGTATGAGACATGAAGAATTTGGGATACTTCTAGAATAGCCAAACGGTACTGACAAGCTGTCAATTGTATATCCTTAAGTTTGACCTCAAAAAAGAAACCTCAGCTGGAAAGTCAATTAGAATACAGCCAATGATTAAATCCATAGTAAAGATCAAAACTTCCTGGGGAAGCCAGGCCCAGTGGCACACGCCTGTAGTGTGTCCCAGCTACTCAGGAGGCTGAGGTGGAAGGATCACTTGAGCCCATGAGGCTGCAGTGTGCTATGATCACACCTGTGAATAGCCACTGCACTTCAGCCTGGGCAACATAGTGAGACCCCATCTCTAAAAAGTTTATTTTTTTTTTTGCCGGGTGCGGTGGGTCACGCCTGTAATCCCAGGACTTCGGGAGGCCAAGGCGGGCAGATCACCAGGTCAGGAGATGGAGACCATCCTGGTTAACATGGTGAAACCCTGTCTCTACTAAAAATACAAAAAAAATTAGCCAGGCGTGGTGGCAGGCGCCTGTAGTCCCAGCTACTCGAGAGGCTGAGGCAGGAGAATGGCGTGAACCTGGGAGGCGGAGCTTACAGTGAGCCAAGATCGTGCCACTGCACTCCAGCCTGGGCGACAGAGAGAGACTCAGTCTCAAAAAAAACAAAGAAAGGTTTTTGTTTTGTTTTGTTTTGTTTTTAAGTCTAGAGAGATGATGTACAGGAAGTAATGACCAATTACAGAATCTGGATGTCACCCAGGCGCCACTAAAGTGCAGTGTTGCTGAGAGTTCACTCTGTCCCTGATTTGCAGTCCCCTATAGCGAAACCACAACCAGTATGGCTTTGGGAATGGAACTCAGGACCAAGTTTTTACCATGATGTTTGTACACAACAATTCAGTAAATGTCTCAGCAATAAAAATGTTTTCCATATTATTAAACGCTAAATTTCTCAAAAGGCTCTATGGAATATTCTTTCTTCAGATTGTTACTAGGCATTGCTTCAAGGAAGAGTTGCAGTTCTCAGGGTGATTAGTCTGCTAAGGCATACTATGATGTACAAGAAGAGGGGTATAATATGTAGCATTTCCCAACTTATTTGGCCACTGAACTCTTTTTTATTTTTATTTTTTGCAGAATATCCCACTGAACTTTGCTTCTAAGAAACACATTTCAAGAGAAAATATACACTATCAAGCATTTAATAATTTGAGGAGAATGAATAGGATCAGCAAAAAACCTATTACTTGACTATTAAGCCAATACCCTTGGAGGTTATGACAAAATACAGAAATCTCACATTTCTCATAATGTATAACCTTCAGGAAAAAGATCTTCCAATTTCAGAGTGATGATTTATGAGTGATTGGTTAACTTTAATAATAAAAACCATAAATGGTAATCATCATCTTTATTAAAAAAGTATAATGAATTATTATTTGTTATAAAGTCTAAGCAGGAAGAAAAGGAATAGAAAAGAAAACCACTACTAATTATCCACCATCTTCTGTATTACAACAACATCTTTATGAAGTGTGTGTTGTTATATCTGTGTCCATATGGGGGAACTGAGACTCTCAGCTGTCATTCAGCTGTGAAGTGGCAGTGCTGGAATTCAATCACAGTCAGATTCAAAGTCCTTGCTCTTTCCAACTATTCCATAAATACTGCTATGGTTAATTAGTTAAAATCCATAGAGAAACATGCTTTGTTCACACTTGCTTCCAACACTGGAGGTGTTCACTTTGCACTTTGATTGCTTACTTTTAAAATATAGATGATAAAAACACCAAGAGCTCTCCTGCTCTCTTTTTCTCTCTCTGCCATGTGAGGACACAGAAGGCAGCCATCTATAAGCCAGAAAGTGAGCCCTCATCAGAAACCAGCCATGCCTGCACCCTGATGTCAGATTTCAGCCTCCAGAACAGATTAAAGAGTTCTTTGGGGATAGAAGAAAATAAATGTGGAGGGAGGAGCCAAGATGGCCGAATAGGAACAGCTCCGGTCTACAGCTCCCAGGGGGAGCAACGCAGAAGACCAGTGATTTCTGCATTTCCAACTGAGGTACCGGGTTCATCTCACTGGGGAGTGCCAGACAGTAGGTGCAGGACAGTGGGTGCAGCGCACCGTGTGCGAGTCAAACCAGAGAGAGGCATTGCCTAACCCAGGAAGCGCAAGGGGTCAGGGAATTCCCTTTCCTAGTCAAAGAAAGGGGTGACAGATGGCACCTGGAAAATCGGGTCACTCCCACCCTAATACTGCGCTTTTCCAATGGACTTAAAAAACGGCACACCAGGAGATTATATCCCGCACGTGGCTCACAGGGTCCTACACCCAGGGAGTCTTGCTCATTGCTAGCACAGCAGTCCCAGATCAAACTGCAAGGCGGCAGTGAGGCTTGGGGAGGGGTGCCCGCCATTGCCGAGTTAGTTGTTTGATTAGGTAGACAAAGCTACCGGGAAGCTCAAACTGGGTGAAGCCCACCACAGCTCAAGGAGGCCTGCCTGCCCCTGTAGGCTCCACCTCTGGGGTCAGGGCATGGACAAACAAAAAGATAGCAGTAACCTCTGCAGATTTAAATGTCCCTCTCTGACAGCTTTGAAGAGAGTAGTGGTTCTCCCAGCACGCAGCTTGAGATCTGAGAATGGGCAGACTGCCTCCTCAAGTGGGTCCCTGACCCCCGAGTAGCCTAACTGGGAGGCACCCCCCAGTAGGGGCGGACTGACACCTCACACGGCCGGGTACTACTCTGAGACAAAACTTCCAGAGGAACAATCAGACAGCAGCATTTGCAGTTCACCAATATATGCTGTTCTGCAGACACCGCTGCTGATACCCAGGCAAACAGGGTCTGGAGTGGACCTCTAGCAAACTCTAACAGACCTGCAGCTGAGGGTCCTGTCTGTTAGAAAGAAAACTAACATACAGAAAGGACATCCACACCAAAAACCCATCTGTACCTCACCATCATCAAAGACCAAAGGTAGATAAAACCACAAAGACGGGAAAAAAACAGGGCAGAAAAACTGGAAACTCTAAAAATCAGAGCGCCTCTCCTCCTCCAAAGGAATGCAGCTCCTCACCAGCAACGGAACAAAACTGGATGGAGAATGACTTTGACAAATTGAGAGAAGAAGGCTTCAGACGATCAAACTACTCTGAGCTACAGGAGGAAATTCAAACCAATGGCAAAGAAGTTAAAAGCTTTGAAAAAATATTAGATGAATGGATAACTAGAAGAACCAATACAGAGAAGTCCTTAAAGGACCTGATGGAGCTGAAAACCAAGGCACGAGAGCTACGTGACAACTGTAGAAGCCTCCGTAGACAATGCAATCAACTGGAAGAAAGGGTATCAGTGATGGAAGACGAAATGAATGAAATGAAGCGAGAAGAGAAGTTTAGAGAAAAAAAAAAAATAAAAAGAAATCAACAAAGCCTCCAAGAAATATAGGACCATGTGAAAAGACCAAATCTACGTCTGATTGGTGTACCTGAAAGTGATGGGGAGAATGGAACCAAGTTGGAAAACACTCTGCAGGGTATTATCCAGAAGGACTTCCCCAATCTAGCAAGGCAGGCCAACATTCAAATTCAGGAAATACAGAGAACACCACAAAGATACTCCTCGAGAAGGGCAATTCCAAGACACATAATTGTCAGATTCACCAAAGTTGAAATGAAGGAAAAAATGTTAAGGGCAGCCAGGGAGAAAGGTCGGGTTACCCACAAAGGGAAGCCCACCAGACTAACAGCTAATCTCTTGGCAGAAACTCTACAAGCTAGAGGAGAGTGGGGACCAATATTCAACATTCTTAAAGAAAAGAATTTTCAACCCACAATTTCATATCCAGCCAAACTAAGCTTCATAAGTGAAGGAGTAATAAAATACTTTACAGACAAGCAAATGCTGAGAGATTTTGTCACCACCAGGCCTGCCCTAAAAGAGCTCCTGAAGGAAGCACTAAATGTGGAAAGGAACAACTGGTAACAGCCACTGCAAAAACATGCCAAATTGTAAAGACCATCAAGGCTAGGAAGAAACTGCATCAACTAATGAGCAAAATAACCAGCTAACATCATAATGACAGGATCAGATTCACACATAACAATATTAACTTTAAATGTAAATGGGCTAAATGCTCCAATTAAAAGACACAGACTGACAAATTGGATAAAGAGTCAAGACCCATCAGTGTGCTGTATTCAGGAGACCCATCTCACGTGCAGAGACACACATAGGCTCAAAATAAAGGGATGGAGAAAGATCTACCAAGCAAATGGAAAACAAAAAAAGGCAGGGGTTGCAATCCTAGTCTCTGATAAAACAGACTTTAAACCAACAAAGATGAAAAGAGACAAAGAAGGCTATTACATAATGGTAGAGGGATCAATTCAACAAGAAGAGCTAACTATCTTAAATATATATGCACCCAATACAGGAGCACCCAGATTCACAAAGCAAGACCTTAGTGACCTACAAAGAGACTTAGACTCCCACACAATAATAATGGGAGATTTTAACACCCCACTATCAACATTAGACAGATCAACAAGACAGAAAGTTAACAAGGATACCAAGGAACTGAACTCAGCTCTGCACCAAGCGGACCTAATAGACATCTACAGAACTCTCCACCCCAAATCAACAGAATATACATTCTTTTCAGCACCACACCACACCTACTCCAAAACTGACCACATAGTAGGAAGTAAAGCACTCCTCAGCAAATGTAAAAGAACAGAAATTATAACAAACTGTCTCTCAGACCACAGTGCAATCAAACTAGAACTCAGGATTAAGAAACTCACTCAAAACCGCTCAACTACATGGAAACTGAAATACCTGCTCCTGAATGACTACTGGGTAAATAATGAAACGAAGGCAGAAATAAAGATGTTCTTTGAAACCAATGAGAACAAAGTCACAACATACCAGAATCTCTGGGACACATTCAAAGCAGTGTGTAGAGGGAAATTTATAGCACTAAATGCCCACAAGGAAAAGTAGGAAAGATCTAAAATTGACACCCTAACGTCACAATTAAAAGAACCAGAAAAGCAAAAGTAAACACATTCAAAAGCTAGCAGAACACAAGAAATAACCAAGAACAGAGCAGAACTGACGGAAATAGAGACAATAAAACCCTTCAAAAAATTAATGAATCCAGGAGCTGGTTTTTTGAAAAGATCAACAAAACTGATAGACCGCTAGCAAGACTAATAAAGAAGAAAAGAGAGAAGAATCAAATAGACACAATAAAAAATGATAAAGGGGATAACACCACCAATCCCACAGAAACACAAACTACCATCAGAGAATACTATAAACACCTCTACACAAATAAACTAGAAAATCTAGAAGAAATGGATAAATTCCTCAACACATACATCCTCCCAAGACTAAACCAGGAAGAAGTTGAATCTCTGAATAGACCAATAACAGGCTCTGAAATTGAGGCAATAATCAATAGCTTACCAACCAAAAAGAGTCCAGGACCAGATGGATTCACAGTCGAATTCTACCAGAGGTAGAAAAAGGAGCTGGTACCATTCCTTCTTAAACTATTCCAATCAATAGAAAAAGAGGGAATCCTCCCTAACTCATTTTATGAGGCCAGCATCATCCTGATACCAAAGCATGGCAGAGACACAACCAATTTTAGACCAATATCTTTGATGAACATTGATGCAAAAATCCTCAATAAAATACTGGCAAACCAAATCCAGCAGCAAATCAAAAAGCTTATCCACCATGATCAAGTGGGCTTCATCCCTGGGATGCAAGGCTGGTTCAACATACACAAATCAATAAACGTAATCCAGCTTATAAACAGAACCAAAGACAAAAACCACATGACTATCTCAATAGATGCAGAAAAGGCCTTTGACAAAATTCAACAACTCTTCATGCTAAAAGCTCTCAATAAAGTAGGTATTGATGGGACAAATCTCAAAATAATAAGAGTTATCTATGACAAACCCACAGCCAATATCATACTGAATGGGCAAAAACTGGAAGCATTCTCTTTGAAAACGGGCACAAGACAGGGATGCCCTCTCTCACTACTCCTATTCAACATAGTGTTGGAAGTTCTGGCCAGGGCAATCAGGCAGGAGAAGGAAAAAAGGGTATTCAATTAGGAAAAGAGTAAGTCAAACTGTCCCTCTTTGCAGATGACATGATTGTATATCTAGAAAACCCCATCGTCTCAGCCCAAAATCTCAAGCTGATAAGCAACTTCAGCAAAGTCTCAGGATACAAAATCAATGTACAAAAATCACAAGCATTCTTATACGCCAATAACAGACAAACAGAGAGCCAAATCATGAGTGAACTCCCATTCACAATTGCTTCAAAGGAATAAAATACCTAGGAATCCAACTTACAAGGGATGTGAAGGACCTCTTCAAGGAGAACTACAAACCACTGCTCAAGGAAATAAAAGAGGATACAAACAAATGGAAGAACATTCCATGCTCATGGGTAGGAAGAATCAATATCGTGAAAATGGCCATACTGCCCAAGGTAATTTATAGATTCAATGCCATCCCCATCAAGCTACCAATGACTTTCTTCACAGAATTGGAAAAAACTACTTTAAAGTTCATATGGAACCAAAAAAGAGACCGCATCGCCAAGTCAATCCTAAGCCAAAAGAACAAAGCTGGAGGCATCACACTACCTGACTTCAAACTATACTACAAGGCTACAGTAACCAAAACAGCATGGTACTGGTACCAAAACAGAGATATAGATCAATGGAACAGAACAAAGCCCTCAGAAATAATGCCGCATATCTACAACTATCTGATCTTTGACAAACCTGACAAAAACAAGCAATGGGGAAAGGATTCCCTATTTAATAAATGGTGCTGGGAAAACTGGCTAGCCATATGTAGAAAGCTGAAACTGGATCCCTTCCTTACATCTTATACAAAAATTAATTCCAGATGGATTAAAGACTTAAATGTTAGACCTAAAACCATAAAAACCCTACAAGAAAACCTAGGCAATACCATTCAGGACATAGGCATGGGCAAGGACTTCATGTCTAAAACACCAAAAGCAATGGCAACAAAAGCCAAAATTGACAAATGGGATCTAATTAAACTAAAGAGCTTCTGCACAGCAAAGGAAACTACCATCAGAGTGAACAGGCAACCTACAGAATGGGAGAAAATTTTCGCAACCTACTCATCTGACAAAGGGCTAATATCCAGAATCTACAATGAACTCCAACAAATTTACAAGAAAAAAACAAACAACCCCATCAAAAAGTGGGCGAAGGATATGAACAGACACTTCTCAAAAGAAGACATTTATGCAGCCAAAATCACATGAAAAAATGCTCATCATCACTGGCCATCAGAGAAATGCAAATCAAAACTATAATGAGATACCATCTCACACCAGTTAGAATGGCAATCATTAAAAAGTCAGGAAACAACAGGTGCTGGAGAGGATGTGGAGAAATAGGAACACTTTTCCACTGTTGGTGGGACTGTAAACTAGTTCAACCATTGTGGAAGTCCGTGTGGCGATTCCTCAGGGATCTAGAACTAGAAATACCATTTGAACCAGCCATCCCATTACTGGGTATATACCCAAAGGATTATAAATCATGCTGCTATAAAGACACATGCACACGTATGTTTACAGCAGCACTATTCACAATAGCAAAGACTTGGAACCAACCTAAATGTCCAACAACGATAGACTGGATTAAGAAAATGCGGCACGTATACACCATGGAATACTATGCAACCATAAAAGATCATGAGTTCATGTCCTTTGTAGGGACATGGATGAAACTGGAAACCACCATTCTCCGCAAACTATAGCAAGGAGAAAAAACCAAACACCGCATGTTCTCACTCATAGGTGGGAATTGAACAACGAGAACACACGGACACAGGAAGGGGAACATCACACATCGAGGCCTGTTGTGGGGTGGGGGGAGGGGGGAGGGATAAGCTTTAGGAGATATACCTATTGCTAAATGACGAGTTAATGGGTGCAGCACACCAACATGGCACATGTATACATATGTAACAAACCTGCACATTGTGCACATGTACCCTAAAACTTAAAGTATAATAATAATAAAATAAATGTAATATTAAATTAAAAAAAAAAACAAAACATCAAGAAACAGTCAAACCTGTTGACTCTGTTGTGCTTTCCCCATGCACAGAATATCCATCTGCAAATGATTTCATAGTTACTTCACTCAGTAGAGACCCTGCTGATGAATAAATGGAGATATAAAGCTTTCCATGTACTGTGCCATCTTCTCCAAATATGAGCTTACATTGCTGAGTAAATATCCTTACATGATCAGTTTTTCATATTCTGAGAACCTCAATTCCTACACAATTGTTTGCACAATTAAAATTCAATATCATTGGTTTCTAACTTTTTTTCTGCCAATATACTTGAGGGAAAACCTATATCATAAATAATATATATAAAACCTATATATGTGTATGTTATATATCATATATAACCTATATCATAGATATATATAACTCTGACTCACTTTCTTAAAGGAAAACTTTAAGGGAGTTACACCAAGGCCAAATATGGAAGAGCATATATAAATCTCATAAGAGTACGGATGAAAGCCTCCAAGTCCCAGATATCAGTGATTGCAGTCTTCCACCCTAAAAGTGGTGTCTACCTTCACTCTGTCACAATTATTTATAATATTATATATTTACATACAGTACATATATATAATATTCGACTCATTATTCATAAAAAGCTTTCTCTCTTCATTCATAAATTCCACATTCCTATAAAACATCTGATAACCATCATTCTAGTTATGTGAATTTGTACATATTTTATGTAATAAGATACAAAATTTCTATCCCAATTGGCAGAACCAACTTCCAGGTTTCAACCACATTCTGCATAGTAAACCTAATAGTTACAAAGAAGAGGGGGTTAAAAAAAACAACAACACCACACAGACTGATGACGTGAGGCTTTTACAAAGGAACTAGGATGATACTCTCTCTGACACTGTCAACTGCCCTCTGCAAGAATCCTGGTAGAATCTTGAGAACTCACTTCAGGCAAGACCAGCATCAGGGAAAGCGCAGGGCAGGATTCCTTCAACAACTGCCCAGTTGGAAGATAAAATATAAACATGAGTGACTGAAATATCTAAATATTTACACAACCACAGCTGGAAAAAGATATACACGTAAGTGCTAAGTATTTCAAGGAAATATATCAAAGTCACACAAGATTTATGATGAGGAAACCAAACTCCTAGTTGGATGTAAACTGCTTCCCCCTCTGAGAGGTCACTTTTACACAAACACAGAAAGTAACCATTTAAGAGACTGCTCGTGTTACTATTCTGTTGAGGTAAGCATAAACATATGTATTAAAAGAATTATATATATAATTTTATTCTTTATTCATATATATGATTTTTTTCTATCATGACATTAATATTTACCTTATGGTTTTGTTTATTTGTGTTTCAGGTCTGTTTCTTAACAGACAGAAAAAACAGTATTTATTTTATTAGTAGTTTTGTTTTGATCCAACCGTTTTCATACTCTGCTGTATAAAATTAGAAAACCTAAAATGATTAAAGTATCTGTCTCCATCAAATATCATATTAATGTATCTTGCAGCACAAAAATTCTTATAAAACTGTTAAAAGCAGAAGAGGAACAAATTCAGTGAGTAGCTGACAGATACACCATAAATATTAATAGACAATTAATAGAGAATTTGGCGACATCTGTCCAAGGTGGGGACAGGGATGTAATTATATATATAATATATAAAAATCTATATATTTATATATAGGTTCAAACCTATATTCTTAAAAGAGCCTTGCTGCTTAACACTTTTATTTAAGCTCCATTTACCTTTAAAGGAGCAGAACTGCCTCCAATTATTAACATAAATCCTATCATGGGCACTAATCCTGTAATTTTCCTGTCAGAATTTCATCCTACAAGAAGACATTTGTTAAAAAATAAGAAGGCAGCACCCATTAATTACTCACTGTGCAGAGTAGATTTAAATATCCTCTATTAAGTTACACACATTTCCAAATACTCATGCTTACTGTTGAAATAAGAAGCATAAAAACAGTCCACACTCTACAAAAAAAGCTAAGTACTTTCACCCAAAATTATACATAGTACATGAATACAAGGAAAATGGAATGGATTATAATAACTACATGATTACTACATAATGCCATTTCGCTCAGCTACTTTATTTTATTCTAATGTCTCTTGATTATAAACTTCTACCTAAGCAAACACTATTTAGAGGAAAACTTCTCCAGTCAAAATTTAGAATAACCCTAATAATTAACTGAGTGCCATTGGTAGAATTTATCATCTAAAATGGTTACCAAAATAGACCAAAAGGAAATTCCAGGAGTGAATGCCTGGTGTTTTTGTAATATTCCTAAAGAATCTAATATCGTATGGCTATGTCCCCAGAGATATGAAAAAGATTGGCAGTAGCATAAGTTACATTTTAGAAAGAATTTTGCCTCCCCTCTCCCATTGTTAATAATACATAGACAACTAAGTAGGAGAGGGTTTTCTGTCATGAGACCCAAATATCATAGAAGCTAGAAGGGCAATAACTGGAGAATTGTCACTATTGAACCAATTCAGGCAGGATTTCATCCTGAGCTGTAACTAAGGGAACTGGAAGGTTGAAGCTGGCTAGCTGAGTTCATTCTTCCTATTTGCCCCTTAGTAAAATGCTCAAGTAACATGCAAACTGAAGAATTTTACTTTCTGTAAAATACTGAACAAGTATATTTGCATGTGTTAAAGTCCAAATTCTCTCAATCTCCCATCCACCAATTTATCCATTAGTTGTTTACCTGTATATTATTCCTATACTGTAGTATGAATTGTGTTAAGCATTGGCAGCACAAAGAAATATGAAATAGAATCCCTGATCTTAACAGCCTGAAGTCTACCAAGGGAGGCAGAAATATTAACAAGAATAATATTGAAAAATAAGAGCCATACAAGAGAAGACACCAGTAGAAGAAACTGGAATCAAAGGAAGAAACAGCGTGAGGGTAGAGGGACATAAACTACTGTAACACCTGAGGGGAAAGTAATTAAAACTAGAGACTGGATTCAGATGGTCTGGGTTCAAATCTAGCCTCTGGTACTTCTTAGTTGTTTGAACTTGAATAAACTGCTTAAACTCTCTGAATATTAGTTTCTCCATCTGTAAAATGAGGCTAAAATACCTACACTTTACAGGTTAGCATAAGTTCTAATGCACAAAATAATATTACATTGATCCATGAGTTGGAACCATTAATCAAGTATTTTGGAAGCTGTCATAAGCACCATTATTTGATTTTAGATTCTCCTCCTAACTCTTTTCTGGAATTACATTAGGATTCTTAGTAATTTGTAGATGAATTAATTATTTTCCCTAGATTTTTAAGAAACACTGAAAATAAAGCTAAATCTTTAGTTTAAGTTGAGCATTCAACTTAAAATAATTTTCCACTTATACAGGTCTTGGCAAGTTTTGGCACAATTCCAGCAGAGCATCTTTCAAAAGACAGAAAAGAAAAAAAAAACTAGAGCATTTAGCAGAGCCAACTTACTGTTTTACTGAGAAGCATCAGAGACTGACTAACTAAAGCCATCTATAATAAAGCATCTCTGTTCCTTGTGGAAAACATTGCAAATATATCCACTGAGTAAATGTATTGCTTTCAAAATTTTAAAGACACACTAGTGCTTTTAAAATATTACTGAGTGAATAGTCATATTGTTTTTCATCTCCTTTTCATTAAAAATACAAAAATACTATGGGTAGCCAGAGTATAGATTGTTTGTAATTGTGCATCCGTAACACTCATTCTAATGGACCAAAACATTTAGGTCTGAAAATAGAATATAATACAACAAATATAACATAATATAATATAGTAGCTTATTTCAGCTGTTAGAACCAATCAGACGTTTGAAATGTTCACTGACAAAGGAGTTTGGACAATATTTTTCAATCATGAAAAACAGCATTTGGGTGGTCCCAGGATTTTTTTTATTGCTATGGAAACATAGTTAATTATAATCTTCAGTTTTCTTTATATTAGAACAAATTATATGGTACTGCAATCAATGTGAATCTGCACTTCATTTCTTTATAATATAGAAATAGCAGATGGTTATATATTTGAGCCAACTATAACCTCAATATACAGAACATGAGCAGATTCCTCTATTGAAGTGGCAACTTAAAAGTACTCTTATAACTTATAAAATAAACCTTGCTTAACAAAACTACTTTGTTCTCAATTTAAATTTCTAAGGAGAGAATTTCTTTTTTCTGAAGTTAATCTTACTTTCGTGTTTAAAAACTTTTTTTTTTTTTTTTACTTTTATGTTCAGGGGTCATGTGCAGGTTGGTTATATAGGTAAACTGTGTGTCATGGGGTTATACAGGTAAACTGTGTTCCATGGGGTTATATAGGTAAACTGTGTGTCATGGGGGTTATACAGGTAAACTGTGTGTCATGGGGTTATATAGGTAAACTGTGTGTCATGGAGTTATATAGGTAAATTGTGTGTCATGGGGTTATATAGGTAAACTGTGTATCATGGGGTTATATAGGTAAACTGTGTGTCATGGGGGTTATACAGGTAAACTGTGTGTCATGGGGGTTATACAGGTAAACTGTGTGTCATGGGGGTTTGGTGTACAGATTATTTCATTACCAAGGCAATAAGCATGGTACCTGACATGTATTTTTTCTGAACCTCTCTCTCCTCCCAACCTTCACCCTCCGGTAAACCCCAGTGTCTGTGGTTCCCCTCTTTGTGTCCATGTGTTCTCATTGTAAAACCATGTTTTTAAGCTATCAAAGTATGTAAAAACAAGTATGAATATAATAAAATTCCTTAACCATAGGAGGGTTTTTAAAATTATAATTAAAGTAATATTTATGAGTTCTTTGTCTAAAGAGTTACATCAGATTTTCATGGAATCTGTATATTACAAATATAATTCGCCAAAAGTCAATAAACTAAAATCAATTAAAGTACTAAAAATAAAGCTTTCAACTTTTTGCATTAGGCAATCATACTTGTGTTATACTTCAATAACTCTTGATTCTAGGTGAGTTACTAATGTCTGCAAGATAGCATATGGGATTGCAATTTTAAGGATAACTGTCTAAAAACAATTACACTTTTAGAAAACAAAATACTTAAAATAACCTTTTAAAGGATTACTGAGAAATCCCTATAGGAATGCTGTCAACTTCACTCATTTTAAAAACTCAACCAGTACTTCTGACATGAGTAAGAATTCCTGAAGAAAACCTTTTACACATTAGCAAACTAATTGTATTCTTTCTCTCCTGATATCTTCCTCATATCTTTCTCATTATATCTTGGCTTTAGCTCTTGCAGATCCTAAGGGCACCCCAGTAAGATACTGAGAGGCAGCTTCTAATCATTTAGCACACAAGATATAGAAATTTGAAAGGTATTCCAAATGTTAATGCAAAATCTAAATTTTAAGTAATCATAAATACTTAAATAGTATCCTATAGTACATACTTTAGTAAATATTTAAATGAGTAATTAGTAATCTTTATTTTCTAAAGGGGTAAGTAAATAATTCATCATTCCAAAACAAATGTCTAGTTGATCTAATAGACAAAATAAGCCATAAATATTAACATATACAACATTTAATGCAAAAAGATTAGAATACCCCAAATTTTCCTAATTCCAAGAACATTTTATTATTGATAATATAATGCCTACATGCATTTATCATTTTGTATTTTAACGCAACTTTGAAAGGGAAATCTATTACTTAAACTATCTTGAGAGTGGTGTAATTCTTAATTTTGAAGGAAAAAAGCCATAAAAACCAGTTTTGTTGAAATATCTGTGTTTAATTAATAAATAATTAACCATAACTGAAATATTTCCACATCCCCATTGCCTGAAACAGCACCTAGCATGTGGCAGGTACTCAATAAACATTTGTTGAATGAATAATCAATAATAATGGAAGAAGAAAATGTTAAGTGATGCCATAGGCATTTATACCTAGTGGTATAGACAAGCATCATTCTTGGAGGCAGTCAGTGTACCTCTGAGCTGAAGATAAAATAAGGAATAGCCTTAATTCTGCTTATGGGAAGCAGAAATCCACAAGGGAAGGGAGTCTTGAAGACACAGCCTTCCTGTAAGCAATTGGCTATACAAGGCTCTTGGCCCATTCATGGCTGGAAGCTCTCCTTAAATTTAATTCTGAGGACACTGAAACCTGAAACGTGAACACAGTATCACATGTGGTATAAATACAAGAATTAACAGAGGTGAAAGTTGTACAATTCTAGCTTAAAAGACAGACTGAGAAAAAGAGAGACAGAAAAAGAAGAGACACAGAAGAAAGGTCTGAAAAGAATCTTAACATTATTTCTTAGAGGCTGTTGAAAAATGTGTAGTTTTTGTTTCCTTCTCTATAAGTGTGTGTCGTTTCTAAATAATCCACGATCTTCTGGTGTTATTTTCATAATAAAATCTTTTATTTTAGAAGTTCTGAAAACCAACAAATATTTTTTGGGAAAATATGGAGAAAATAAAATTGAACCTTTGTTAACTCTTTTGCATTCATTTATTCACTCGAAATATATGTACTAAATGTCCATGCTGCACCAGGTCTGCACTAGATGCTGGTGATACAAGAATGCCAAAAAAAAAAAAAAACCTTCAAAAAAACAAAAACAGTAAGTGGTACCTGTCTCTCTCTCTCTCTTTTCTTCTAGTTATTAAAGTTTCAAAGTTAATACAAATGGCAAGTGACACTGTGTGCACTTAATCAATGCATATGCACTTATATACCTCTTAGCCAGCTTTTTAACATGGGGGCCCGTAAACAACCAGTAAGCAAATCTGCAAGTTGTGTATGCAGAACTGCATGCAACACGGTTACAATGAGTGGGAGCAAATGCCTTCGACAAAAATAAGCTTTCCTGGAAATGTGAAAAGCCTGAGTGAGATTACATGAATAGAGACCACAAACCCTGAGGCGCATAGCTGCTCAGTCATGCCCTGTGTGATCCTTAGGAGTTAAAAGACTGGATATGGATTTAAACCGATTAACAGGTATCAATTGCCTCTTCTCTTTAGGAGGCAAATAGACCTAATTGTCTTACTTATCTTCCATGCCATTACATGCTAATTCCTAGTCTATGCTGCCCAGGGAAAACCATTTATTTAAACTTTACATTATTTTTCACTTCACATTTGATTATTTTTAAGCATGTGTGAGATCCTTCAATAATAATAAACCCAATTACGTTATTAAAATATACTTTCTTCCCACTCAGCCTGTAATAACTGATATATCTCAATATAATGGGTTTTGCTCTAGCTTTCTGCTAGCACAGAAACTACAAGTGACATAGACCGAGATGCAGCATAAGGTTCTTGGTTTTTTATATAAATTTACTTTGTCATTAATGTTAGGACAATATATAATACAGTCTTTTGAAAAAATAAGAGGATTTTTCTTTTGAAATAAGTATTTTGTTTACTACATATATGCATAAACGTCTGCTTTGGAAAAACCTAGAGCAAGGTTCAAAATATGGATAACTGTTTTCTTACCTATTCAGTCATAATCTCTGGGTACGAAGACTAGTAACTGGTCTTTTCAGGTATGCAAGGTGATTTCTAATGTACACTAAAGTTTGGGAATCTTATTCCTTAAAGGGCTTTGAACTAAAACATTTAAACATTTGTTAATTCTCAAAATAACTTTAAATTGTAGTTGGAGAAATATTCAAGTTATAATTCTTATTTATCCATTAGGCTAACATTTCAATGGTTTAAACATCATTTAGAAACACAAATAATTCCAAATTTTGATGTGTTTGAGAATTAGATATATCCCATCATTTTAGGACCAAGTTCTGAGAAATGCCTTCCGATAAGTACCCTCAGTTTGAAAACAGGAGTATCTCTTTTTCTGAACACAACTTTCAAATAAAACTATATATTAAAAAAATCCACGATTTCAAGTTTATCGATGACTTAGTAAGATTAACCAATTCTTTTAAATACAGGAATCTTATCCTACGTTGACCAATTCATCCCAGTTTAACCAGGACCGTCCCAGTTTAACCAGGATCATCCCAGTTTTAATAATTAAAGTTACCTCAATCAGTCCCAGGTAAACCAGGATGCTTGGTCACCCTTTCTTCTTCTTTTTTTTTTTTTTTTTTTCCTTGAGATCAGGTCTTGCTCAGTCATCCAGGTTGGAGTGCAGTGGCGTGATCTTGGCTCTCTGCAGCCTCAACCTCCCAGGCTCAAGTGATCCTCCCACCTGGGACCACAGGTGTACACTGCCACACCCGGCTAATTTTGTTTATTTTTAGTAGAGGTTTTACTATGTTGCCAGGTGGGTCTCCAACTCCTGAGATCAAGCTATCCTCCTGCCTCAGCTTCCCAAAGTGGTGGGAATACAGGCATGAGCACTGTACCGGCCCACCCTTTCTTCTTAATAAGTCAAGTGGAACAGACTGAAAGAGCAAATATCCCATCAAAAAAAATTAATCATAGTAACTAGTACCAAAAAGCATATTCAAATTGTCCTATGATATAAACTGTTTTAAAACAAAGAATGCATTACAACCAAATTTAAAAACAAAGTTTACTGAAAGGCAATATGTGTGAAAGAAAGAGATTGTCACATTACTATCATATTTGATAAACTAGTTTTATTATAAGAGTAGAATAGTCTACCTACTGTGAAAATACAGAAATAAATCCAATGCAAAGAGGAAAACTACAGTAAATTCTCTACTTGTTTTTTATATTAATTTTAAAACCAGAGGAATAATAATTGTTACATGGCAGAGACCCGAGAAAAAATAATCTAAAACAATGAATGGAAGTAAAATTATTTCAAATCAACAAATATTTACTGAGTAACTATTCTGTACAGACCCCTATAGATTGTAGATAGAAGCCCAAAATTTATAGCATTTATGGGCCTGTGATATAAGTATAGTAGACAAGGGAAGAAAGAACAGATCCACAAAAGTTCAATACAGAGCTATACCATAGATTTGCTAAAAGTTTTGTAAATTCACCCACTATGTGATCAACAAGAGATATATGCCATCTAAAAACTTCACAATGATACCATGAAAAGCAATATAGCAAGATCTGTGACAATATAGCATCTGGTGTTTAATACACAGATAGCACAACATTTCAGCAATGATAAATTCCTTGATTATTTTCACCTGATTCACAACTGGGGTTAGCTTGGAGGTTGAAAAGGTACAACCAAGGATTATTAGTCAAAAGTATATGCTTTTGGGGAGTGGGGGAGGGTGGCATGATTAAATTGTAAGATTGAAAAAACAGCCAGCTATTTCTGCAGCAAAAATTGTCTAATCAAGCCAGGTAACAGCGGTGCCTGTGGTCCCAGCTACTCAGGAGGCTGAGGTGGGAGGATTACTTGAGGCCAGGAATTCAAGGCTGTAATGCACCTATGATCACACCCGTGATTAGCCCCTGCACTCCAGCATGGGTGACACGGCAAAATCCCATCTCTAAAAACATAGAAAATTAAATTTAAACTTAATTTTTTTAAACTTATCTAATCAGAAATACAGTGCCCTTAAAAATGAATATCTGCAAATATCTACCAATGCAAATAGAGGTAATATTAATATGTAATATAGCAATATACTTTTATAATATCATGTTAACATATAGCAATATATATTTTATAATATATTAATATATTATATAGCAATATGTATTTGTAATATCTATATTTCTATGTATTATACATAAACTTAAAACAATTATTTTATATTTACCTGACTAAATAACACTATGGAAGAAGAAAAGTTAAAAGAATACATAATGGGTCCGGGTGTGGTGGCTCACACCTGTAATCGCAGCACTTTGGGAGGCCAAGGCAGGTGAATCACGAGGTCAAGAGATCGAGACCATCCTGGCTAACATGGTGAAATCCCATCGCTACTAAAAATACAAAAAGTTAGCTGGTTGTGGTGGCACGTGCCTGTAGTCTCAGTTCCTCGGGAGGCTGAGGCAGAATTGCTTGAACCCAGGAGGCAGAGCTTGCAGTGAGCCGAGATTGCGCCACTGCTCTCCAGCCTGGGCAACGAAGCGAGACTCCGTATTAAAACACACACACACACACACACACACACACACACACACACACACACACACACACACAAAATGAAAATGGTACAGGGTACAGAAAATACTTAAGGAATTAAGTATTTTTACTGGTTTTCCATTCACAAACTTTTTACTTGGCAAACTGTAAGCAGATCTGTTCTAGTGTTTTCTGTTTCGCATCACCCTAATCGTTGCAATACGCTGTATGTATAGCCAATTGGAATCTTATTTATGCCACTTTTCAGAGTTCTCATTTTCCTTCATAATAGTTTTGAACCATAATGTACAAAATACTATTTTAACTGCAATTTACAGAAAATTCCCTCTCTCTGAATTATTACCACTATACATATACTGGCAATACTTCTGCAACCTTTGAACTTAAAGATATTTATCCCTCTTTGCAAATCTGACACCCAAAAGTATGCAAAAGCCCTACCAAATACAACAATTGTAAATTTTTCATACAAAAAAAATTTGAAAAGACAGGGAGAGATGAATCAAAATTTTTATGGAACATAAGATGCAAGGAGATGGTCAAGATGACACTACTACCTTGTATAACCCACAGAATGCTTGTTCTGACTTAGTTCTGCACAGTTAGCTGCACTGATGTGTTTAAGAATAGTAAGAACAAATGGAGCTTTCTCAAAACATCTCAAAAGCACACAGGTAAGATTTTTTTTAAATTATCTCATTTATCTTGAATGTCAGGTTAGAACAATAGCTAAAATGTACTTACGTTCCAATTTGATTAGGTGTTTTAATTCTCATAGTACCCACAACATTCTGAAGTGGGCACTATTATTATCCATAACTTACAGATGAGAAAACTGAGGCACAGAAATGAAATAACTCATCCCAAATTTCACAGACACTAACAAGTGGAACTAATATTCAGACTCCTACAGTCTGTTCCAGAATGTGGGCAGTGAACCACTAAACTATAATGTAAAATAGTGCAATGGTGTAAGAATTCACCTTGTACAAGAATGTACTGCATAGACCCATAATTTTTTTTTAAGTCCTCAAAGTTAATTTAAATTGAAGAAAACTACAAAACACACTTTTGTTGTATGTGGTAGTTGGGAGGAGAGAAGGCAGTAGATTCATAGTCACAGTACTTGGGCTTTTCTTCTAGGCCCATGTTTTTTGTTTTTTGTTTTTTTTTTTTACCTCTCTACCCTCAGTTACTGGGTCGGTTTCTTCATCCATAAAATGAGGTTAATATAGCATGTTAAAGCTGGAAAAAGAACAGATAAATTCGTCAACCCTCACATTTTCCAAACAAAGGAAAACTAATCACTAGAGTGAAAATACTTGATCAAAGTTGACAACAAATAATCCCCTCTCACTAGAACCAGGATCCTGTTCTAACTCCCATGAACACCAAGTTAGGAGTAAAACTTTCCATAAAAGACACTAAAGAAGAGATGTTCTTTGCCTGTTCAGGCAAAGTGCCTGTGCTTCAAAGTGCCTGTGAATCTTGAAAGTGGAATGCAAATCTCTCTGGGTGTGAATGAAGATATAAACGCAACAGTCTTAGAAGAGGGTCTAATCTTTAAAAATATAAGTATAATTTTCTTTACTTTTTTGGTGGAATTTTTAAAAAGCTCAGCATGGTAAATCACTTGCACAATATTTCCCTAATAATTTGCAGTGAGCTGAGAGTCAAACTTAAAACTGTAAACTCCGGGGTCTGCCATCCTTCCCTGGTACTGTCAGAGAACACTCCTCCGCCTTGTCATTTTAAAACTTCTTTTCGGCCGGGCGCGGTGGCTCACGCCTGTAATCCCAGCACTTTGGGAGGCCGAGGAGGGCGGATCACGAGGTCAGGAGATCGAGACCATCCTGGCTAACACGGTGAAACCCCGTCTCTACTAAAAATACAAAAAATTAGCCAGGCGTGGTGGCGGCGCCTGTAGTCCCAGCTACTCGGGAGGTTGAGGCAGGACAATGGTGTGAACCTGGAGGGCAGCGCTTGCAGTGAGCCGAGATCGCGCCACTGCACTTCAGCCTGGGCGACAGAGTGAGACTCCATCTCAAAAAAAAAAAAAAAAAAAAAAAAAACTTTTCACATTTACTGTTCTCCTGATGCTGGACTCAGTACAAGACGAGTGAAGTAACACCTGTTATTATTACCCCTTGCCCAAGCAGGAAGTTCAAGTTATTTTCTGCTGGGAAGTAGTTTAGCAGACATTAATATTCTTAAGAAAGATAACAGCAATGCAGGCACTCGGTGTTGAGCATGGAGTATCTTAGTATCTTCCAGGTAAGTACTGGGCATTGGATACATGTGATCTCATACTTGATATATATATATATATATATTACCTTGCAATGCTGATGATAGGAGGGTGGGTATGAAGAACTAACCCTATCCTTCAAAACCTGATACAAATCTTATAATCTAGGAGTTTGGTATTTAGAAAGATTAGAGTTTTCAAGTTGAGAGAGCTCGGAGTCCAAGAAATATGGGATGAAGTACCAAAAGCAAAATATATACAGTACATTTCCAAAGAGAAAAGACAATCAAAAGTTAAGTGAAGTGGGCAGACTCTCTTCACAAAGAAGATGATGCCTTGGATGAACATGGTGGGTTAGAAATAATTTGAGTGGATCAGAGACTCTTTACCTCTGAAATTTGTTGGAGTTTTGTGTTTATAAACATATATGCATTTTTTTTAGAGAGAAGATCCAGAGGAAAACCTTCAGTTTTTTTTTTTTTTTTTTTTTTTTTTCTTTTTTTTTTTTTTTGAGACGGAGTCTCGCTCTGTCGCCCAGGCTGGAGTGCAGTGGCGCGATCTCGGCTCACTGCAAGCTCCGCCTCCCGGGTTCACGCCATTCTCCTGCCTCAGCCTCCGGAGTAGCTGGGACTTCAGGCGCCGCCACCACGCCTGGCTAATTTTTTGTATTTTTAGTAGAGACGGGGTTTCACCGTGTTAGCCAGGATGGTCTCGATCTCCTGACCTCGTGATCCACCCGCCTCGGCTTCCCAAAATGCTGGGATTACAGGCGTGAGCCACAGCGCCCCTCCCCTTCAGATTCTTTAAGAAGGTCATGAATATACAACAAATTTTAAAATAAAAAACAAAATAGTGAATGTATTAGTTTCTTTGGGCTGCAATAACAAAGTACCACAAAATGAGTGACTCATACAACAGAAATGTATTGAATTCCTCACAGCTCTGGAGGTTAGAAGTTCGAGATCAAGGTGTCAGTAGGGTTGGTTATTTCTCAGGGCAGTGAGGGAGAATTTGCTCCACCTCTCTCTCTCCCAGCTTCTAGTGGTTTCCTGGCAGTTCCCCGGCGGCTGCTGCATCACCTATCCTGATCCCTGTCTTTATCTTTACATGGTGTTCTCCTTACATCTCTATCTTTGTGTCCAAATTTCCCCTTTCTATAAGGACACAGCCATATTGGATTAGGGCCCACCCTAATGACCTCACCTTATCTCTAGCATTTGCAAAGACCTTATCTTCAGATAATGTCACATTCACAGATACCAGCGGTTAGGCCTTCAACAACATTTTGGGGGACAAAATTCAACCCGTAACCATAGGATAAGCAGAGATGTATGGAAAACGTGTCTCAAATGGGGTGTACAGGGGCAGAAAGGGAACAAGCCTAGCCTGGTTTATATGAAGGGTTCAGTTAAAGACTAGTGAAAATAGGAGTTAAAAGGCAAACTTTTGCCAAACTGTAGAGACCTAAATATGTCCAAAAAAAAGGCTTTTTGTTCTTAGCCTAATAGCAACACAGAAGTTCTTAAAAGAGTTTCAGAAGTACAGTGACATGATGAAAATGCTGTTTAGGAGCACTCAATTCACAGGGCTAGGGAGAATGAAGAGCAGTGGGAAGAGACTCAAAACCTGAGAAGATAACCATCCCCATAATACAGGAATGAAAGAACAGAGGTCATAAAAATGAATAAGAAATGAAAATTACGAAGAAAGAACTCATACAACTTAGTCCAATGGCTCAGAGTTTTAGGGGTCTAAAAGAGGAAAGCAAGCTTAGGGTTTTTTTTTTGTTTTTTTTTTTTAAACCTGTGTTTCATTTGAAACCTTTTTTTTTTTATTTTTGTAGAGACAGATTCTCTCTCTGTTACCCAGGCTGGTCTCAAACCCCTGGGCTAAAGTGATCCCCCCGTGCTGGGATTACAGGCATGAGCCACTGCGCCCAGCCTATGTTTCACTCTGAGAACGCAAAAAATATTGTCAATTTAAGGTCTTTTTTATACATTATATATGACTTCAAACTCTAAAAATTTTTATAAACCAACTTGAGGTTCAATAGATGATATAAATAATGTTGAGGTGAATTTCTTTCTCATAAACATAGAGTTTACTATTTCAAGGACTATATGTTTCACATTATAATCAATAATTATAATATATACTATATACTTTCTGAAACTCTTCTAAAACAATTTCCCTTGATAATTTATAAATTACATTCAATACATTTAGGAAAATTCTACCAAACTAGCACACTTACATTCAAGATTTAATGCTGAATTCCATGCACATTTTAACCAGAAGCTTTTTTTGATGATACACAGCATCCAATGGAATGCAGCAGTTTTAGGACAAATTCTGGAGGTTGCTTAGACCACTTAGTTTCCTTTTTTCATATCATCTTTAAGCCTGTTTTATAAAGCGATAAAATATTTAGGCCTTTCCTACTTCTTTGAGCAGAGTGAGAAATGTTCTTTGGGGGAAAGTTCTTTAGTGGGAAAATCCCTTATACATCAAAAAACTCTTCAGATGATTATCATTCCCAGGACAAGTTCAAGCCACCTAAGTAATTTATCTTCTTTAAGTATGTTTATTCATTTCAAAAAAAAAAATAAAGCATGTAATATGTTATTTAATCAGAAGCATTTTTAATATAAAACTCACTTTTATAAAGAAAATGTCTGCTTCTACATAAAACAGTAGTATTTAATAAGAATAACTTCAAAACATAATTTCTCACTCCATAACAATTATACTGGAGCAAAAATTCTGGGTTCTTACCCTCTAATCCAGCATTGTCAAATATAACTTTCTGCAATGATGATGAAAATGTCCTATTATGTGCTCTTTCTGAAACAGTAGCCACTAGTCACAGGAGGCTTTTGAATACTTGAAACTGAACTTTATTATTTCATTTTATTTTAATCAATTATCTTTAAATGCAACAAGCAACTAGCTATTGTGTTAGACCAGGGGTCCCCAATCCCCAGCTGCAGCAGCCGGCATTAGCCCCTGAGCTCCATCTCCTGTCAGATCAGTGGTGGCATTAGATGCTCACGGCACAAACCCTACTGTGAACTGAGCAAGCAAGGGATCTAGGTTGTGCTCTTCTTATGAGAGTCTAATGCCTGATGATCTGAGATTGGAGGTGGAATAGCTGCACTCCAAAACCATTCCCTGCCCCTCTCTGTCTGTGGAAAAATTGTCTTCTAAGAAACAAGTCCCTGGTGCCAAAAAGGCTGGGGACCTCTGTGTTAGACAACATTTTCTAACCTATGGTTAAGTGAAAATAAACGCAATGGGGGAAATCCCAATCTGTAGCAACAGCTTTTCAACACTGGTATACATTACAATGAAAATCTTAATTTGTATCTACTGATATTTAACTGCTTGGTACATCACAGTCGACGAGAGAGGTCGGGACTGCTAATAATTCAGATGTCAGAGAAGCCCACTTCTGATCTACTAAACTAAATCTCTTAGTGATGTAATTTAACAAGTACCAGAGGTAATTCCAAGGCACATTAAAGTTTGAGAACACCTGATTTCTTTCGCTTACAATCCAAAGTTAAGTCACTGGTTTTCTCTAACAGGAAATAGGTATTTGTACTGCTTAACTATTGAATTCTAATATTAAAACATATTGCTTTAATTTAAATACAATTGGCACCTCTTAATCAACATTTCTTATAGAGCTCCATCTCCTTAGAAATGACTGGAAAATAAATTATTTCACATTTTAAATACCACTAAGTATCAATTAATTTCCCTGGACAAATGCTACACTTCATCAGATCTGGTCTCTCTGTAGATCCCACAGTAAATGAATTATCTGCTTTAATTATAGCACACAACTCTTTCTTCAGTCCTACAGCTTTAAACCCATATCCTAATATTTGGTTACATATATCTATGTGACATTATTCTGATTCTCAATTTCCTCATCTGTAAATGAAATAAAACTGGAATGAAAACTCCTACCTCACAGGATTGTTACAACAGCCAAATGTAACGTACCTAGCAGAGTGTCTGGCACATATGTAATAAATGCTAGGTATCCAGTTTCCTTCCTTTTCCTAGTGACTGTTTTTCTATTTATTTCCCTTTTAATATACTCCATCTGTCAATACTGTTGATGGCTGCCTGAAATCACTTAACTCTTACTTGCAGGTTCAGGGCCAGAGGAGCCCTAGAGCACTGCTTCCCTCGGCAAGGGAAATATAAGGACATGTGACTCACTGGCTTCTCATCAAGTCAGTCCTGTAAGGCAGTTCTGTTATGACCTGGCCATGCTTTCCCACCTCCCCACCCCCACCCCATCCTTGAAGCTAAGCTATTGTTTTATCACTCCAAGCCAACCCCTATTCCTACAATTCCAAGCCAAGCCTAGTTCCTGTAACTAAAATCTAACTTCCCTCCTTCCAAAACCTTATTTTGAGGTTTTGCCTCACATCCATCTAACACTCCCCATTTCACTTTCTCCAAGAGAGAAAGAAACTGGGCACTGAAGTCTTCCCGAATTTAGACTGAACTTGGGAGTAGGAGACATACAGCATTAGATGTATCTTGTTAAAAACCTTTTTGTTTCTAACAAGCAATCATGACCCTCCTTCATTATTTGTGGAGTTCTATAGCTGTAGGGCCGGTCCCTTATTTTTAGTATTTTTTAATTTTAAAATGTTAATCCCTTGTATAAATACCAACAATCTAAAAAGATCCATAAATCTAATAAAAATATTTCAACATTATATACAGCAAAATGATTTATTTAACTTATAAGAAAAGATGGATAACTAGTCTTAAATTAGGGTGAAATTAAATGGTATCTTTAAAAAAAGAAAGGCAAAGAGAAATATTTTCAAACTGGCTATATAGTTAAGGTCATAATTCTCCTGAGGTTTACTTGCTCTCATCTTCCAAAGGTGAACACATCATAAACTTGCAAGTCATTTTGAGATTAGAACGGCAAACAAATAAATGTTTTCATTTCAGTTTAAGAAACTATGAGTGGAGGGAAATCAATCTTTCATCTTAAACACAGTTTATTTTTAAAGTTCTGTTACAGAAGTATCAAAAGATCTGCAAGTTTTATTTGTTATCTCATTGGAGAGGGCATGGAATTTAATTTTAAAGATAAACCACTTTTCTATGTCAATTTTATAAGGACCTTGAATGCTAACAAAACACTCAGGTGGGAGCCACAGGAGTCATGAAATGGAAAACATGTCACTTTATAGGAACTGTATAGATTCTTTTTTTTTTTTTTTTTTTTTAAGGCAGAGTCTCACTCTGTCTCCCAGGCTGGAATGCAGTGGTGCGATCTTGGCTCACTGCAACCTCTGCTTCCCAGGTTCAACCAATTCTCCTCCCGAATAGCTGGGATTATAGGTGTGCGCCACTCACATGGTGAAATTAGCAAGCCCAGCTACTTTCACCATGATGGGGATGGGGTTTCACCATGTTGGCCAGGCTGGTCTCGAACTCCTGACCTCAAGTGAGCTGCCTACCTGGGCTTCTCAAAGTGCTAAGATTACAGATATTCTTAAATAAAATAGATATTTTAAAATGATCAACTCTTTGGTCTCCAAAAAGAAAAAAAAAAGGCAGTAAGAAGAAATTAAAGAATCAAATTTGGCCAAATTTCACTCAGTCTTCTTTCTTTCTTTTTTAGGAGTTGTTTCTAGGTCAATTCAATAACAATACAAATAAGAAAGTATAAGTTTTTGTATTCTACAAGGTGCAATGCATCCTTCTTGGCTGACAAATAGGTTTCATTCAAATAATATACCAGTAAATTTTGTATTACATTTCATTACTGGTAAGGTTAAAAGATGAATTTTATAACAGGCACAAATAGGCACCAGTGTTTTCTGTATTTTATCTTAATGAATCTCCATGATATTCCTATTTTTAAATATTTACAGATGGTTAGAAAGGAAGGCTCAAAATAGTTAAGTACTTTGTCTGAGGTCTAATTTTTAGTAAATAACTTGTCTGTCTCATCCTACTCCAGTAAGCTGAAATCATCTGATTTTTGTGAAGCTGAAGTATATATGAGTGGATCCCAAAACCTTATTGCATAAGCATTGCTCCATAAACTAATAAACTACTCTTTGGAAAACAACGCTTTTTCCCTTAAATATAAGAAGATAGTTATAATTGATAAAATATATGGTTTATTTTTAAAATTACTAAATTCCTAGAAGCTCTGTTTCTCCAAGTCAAATGGCTGCTAAACCTATAACTACTATCAACATGGAAGCTCAAATATTAAAATCAGGTCCCTACATTCATAAAGGATGAAGGTGAATGTGGTAGAAGACAGCACTACAAGTCTACAAACAAAAAGAATACTTAACTTCCATTTCCTTTTCCTAGTAACTATTTTGAATCACATATTAGTTACATTGCTAATCACTTGACACAGAATGTTGGAAACATGATAGCAGAGTAAGGTTGACAATAACATATTTTATCCTGACTCTAGATCAGGGTATTTGAAAATGACTATAATCTTAGTAGAATCAAATAAATCTATGGTGAACTCCACTTCCTGGGCATTCTTAGTCAATCTGCTTGGGAAGTTCAGTATCATCTGAGTACGCCTACTCAATGCTGCATGTGTTGCACTGAAACAGCAGCCTATTGTGACGTGTCTGGCAGAGCCACATGTGGAGATTTTAATCCCTCACATTTTCTGAAGTTTGACTTTCAAAAAACCCAGAAGCCAAACATATGAAAAGGATTATTTTATACAAAAATCATATGGACACAAACTTAATTTTCCATTGCACATCAAACTAAAAATAAACAATAATTGAAGAACCTGGTTTTTGCAGACAGTTAAATTACTTTATTATTAAATGTTGCTAAATACTCAGTGAGTTACGACTGAAACATATTTCACACAAAAACAAAAAGATAGATAAAAATTATTCTCATTTGAAACTTTGGCAGTTTTAAAATATAATCTTTTTGGATACATAGGGGAAAGAGAATGACCTACAAATGGTTATTGTGCCAGTTTATATTTTAGAGCACATTTTATTTCTTAAAATGAGAGGACAGAGGAGCCAAAGACTCATTAAAGGTGAAGAAAAAGAGAAAAAGTAAACTTACAATAATTACTTCAAGAGAATATATTTTTCATTATATTGATTTTGAATATATTAAATACTTTTCAAATGAATGATTTCCCAGCACTGATGATTCTGTAGGACTGATAATAATATTTACTTCACAGATTAAATAATTTAGAAAAAATTACTCAACTAGGTAATATATGTTCACATAACGATGTCTCCTTTCTGTTTTCCTTCTTTGATGCTGGCTAAACAGACCAAAATAATTTCTGATTTAGAATAATACTACACTGCAGGGTGATATAAACAGCTCTTTTATCACAGGCGTCCAACCTTCAAACAGTGAACTATATCTACCCCTACCATATTTTAAGGTACTTTAAAGTGAGATTTTATTTACATGTTTTAGAAACTAAAATCATAATTGTTGTTTAACTATCACTTCCCCAAATCTGAAAAATAAATAGGTTAAGAAGTTCTGAATTCAAATGACTTGTCCAGGGATTTTAATATTAAAATAATCTATAACCTAAACTAACCATAATAGTAGAATAATTAACTATTAAAATGACAAAAAAATCTTTGCAGAGGTAATAAGGAAATCATCTTCCAGAACAATTATAATTTATCCCATTTAATTCACAAGAAATGGATGCTTTTATCATCCCATTTACCATAGGGATATGGGTAATAATACAGTCAAGTGACTCACCCAAGTTTATTCAGTCAGTTAGTAATAGGGCTACGATTTCAATCTAGGTCATTTGATAGCAAAGCTCTTCTCACCATAGTTGATATCTCTGAGTGTTTATTGTTAGTATAGATTGCAAAAAAAAAAAAAGTCACTGTATCCTCATATGTGGCAACAACAGAATTAAGAGTACAAAGAATATACACATACAATACTAGAATACACATATGACAGTGTACTAGAATACACAAAAGCAGTTTCTTAGATTTGGTTCAGAGTAGAATCACTGGGGAAATTCCTATTAAAAATGTCCAGGGGCCAGCTGTGGGTGGCTCATGCCCATAATCCCAGCACTTTGGGAGGCTGAGGTAGGTGGATTGCTTGAGGTCAGGAGTTTGAGACCAACCTGGCCAACATTGTGAAACCTTCTCTAAAAAAATACAAAAATGAGCCAGGCATGGTGGTGGGCATCTGTAGTCCCAGTTACTCGGGAGGCTGAGGCAGGAGGATCACCTAAGCCCGGGAGGCGGAGGTTGCAGACAGCCAAGACTGTGCCACTGCACTGCACTCCAGCCTGGGTGTCCTAGCAAGACCCTGTCTCAAAAAAAGAAGTGTCCAGGACTCAACCCAGGGATTCTGATTTGGTAGGTCTAAAGTGTGGCTCCAACTATGTTCATTCACCAGACTATAACCTAAAAAAATGACTGAGAACTGCTGATACACAGAAAAGGAGGTCTTGCTACAGGAAAATGGGTTACCCTCAAAAGAATAAAATGGGTAAAGTGGCCAGGCCAACCATACTGCTCAACCCAGGAACCCTGATATACCTCTAACCTGCCTAACACAAAACCAAAACGTTTAGAGATCTAATGGACAAATAAAAGAGCTTCTATGCAATAGTATGAGTTAGATAAAAAATCAAATACTTTGTACTGACATCTTTTAAATATTTTTTTTGTTGTTGTTGTTGTTGTTTGTTTGTTTGTTTGTTTTGACAGAGTCTTGCACTGTCACCCAAGTTGGAGTGCACTGGTGCCATCTTGGCTCACTACAACCTTCGCCTCCTGGGCTCAAGCAATTTTCCTGCCTCAATCTCCAGAGCAGCTGGGATTACAGGCGCCCGCCACCATGCCCACTTAATATTTTTGTATTTTTAGTAGAGAGGTGGTTTCACTATGTTGGCCAGGCTGGTCTCGAACTCCTGACCTTGTGATCTGCCCACCTCGGCCTCCCAAAGTGCTGGGATTACAGGCGTGAGCCGCCGCGCCCGGCCTTAAATCTTTTAAAATATCTCAAAAGTTAATTAAACACATTCCTTATAAATAGTCATAACAAGGAACATAGCCATTGGTCATATGAGTTAATTCTCACACAGATGACTACAGTCCACAGTGTAATTTTATAAATTCCTTTTACTTCTTGCATGAACAAAGGGCTTAGTTTGAGTATTTTCCAAGAAGTGTCAAAGGCAAACCTTTGAAGGTCTATTAAACAAACAGGACAGTTCTTTCAACATCTGTGCTTTGAAAACCAGGTCAACGCTACATAGTATAATCATAACATCATACCTTTCACAAACATGAAAAATGGATCCACGGATTTACCTTAAAATAGCTCTAGAATTTTTCATTTTGAGAATTTGATGATATAATATTATGACAATGATATTACAATTTGAAAACAAACAATGTACACAACTCTGGTCAGGGCTGTACTAACTAGAGTTGTATTATAAGCTCACTAACATATAAAGAAATTAGACAGTGGGTGGCATTCCTAATTCCATTCATGATTCGTTTTCTTTCATGGATTGGTTTAAAAGATTATTAAAATCATTCATTCCCCCTCATTGTTAAGGGACAAATAGAAATTTTCTTCAGCTACATATAAACTTCCCATGGTGGCAATTTTTTGGTGATAGTGGGAAAGTCCTTGGCCTGTACACCCTTCCTCTGTTTTTCAGATATCAGGTTCCATTCCTCGATCACAGTGGTAAGCAAAGGCCTCAGGCTGGTGATACCAATTACTGGTACCAGAATACACAGATGACTAATGTTGGGGAAACTGGAATCCTTCCTGGGATTTTCCTACCTGGAGCTGGCAGGGGAAAGCTATTAGATTGTGAGATGCCAAGCATCATGTTTGCTCTTGCACAGAAAAAAGATTTGTCTGTAAAGTAGAAAAATAAAACAACCACACAAAAAGAAGCAGAGAAAAGAGAACCAGAGCACACTGATGGCACTCAGTCATTAGTTTCACTTGGCTTTTAAGTCTGATCCTGCCAATGCATTTTCTATGGCTTGAGCAAATGAGTCAATGAGTTTTTGCTGTCTTGTTGTTACTCCGTGAGTTTCTTTTGCTTGCAATGAAATAGTCATAATATACTAATTTCCCTATTAATTCCAGCTTTTCCTCCCTTGGACTGTGTCACCATGGAAAACTTGCTAGAAATTTTATGTTATCACTCCTCCACTTCTCCATTGCCTTCAAGGCTCTCTTTATCTCCTTGTCTTCCATTAAGCCTTGTTAGACCAATATCATCCATGTCCCCTTTGTACTGAAAAAAAGACCTATCTTCTTATCTATGACTAATACTCAATTATATACCTTTCATATATATATATATATGAAGCTATATATATATAGAAGCTATACAAGAAGCTATATATATAAGAAGCTATATATATATTATATATATAAGAAGCTATATATATATTATATATATAAGAAGCTATATATAATATATATAAGAATATATATAAGAAGCTATACATATATGAAGCTATATATATATATATATATATATAGCTTCTTAGGTTAATAACAGCTTGAAGGTAAACTTTTTTGCAATCACCACAGATTACTATATACTTCCAAGCATACAAGGCAATTAAATAAATTCTGGCATACTTTTCATATTTTTCAGTGAGAACTGAGGAAGTAATGTTAGCTAAAAATTTAATTTATTCAGATGAAAAAGGTTACATAAATATCGCATATTTATCATATATCGGTTCTCTGAATTGTTCTAAAGTTTTTATTCTAAACAATAATGTCTGAGGTGGACATGTAGTACAGTCACATTAAGTTTCTTAGAGAATTATTTTCAAAACTCTTGAGTGTGTATCATATTTTCCTTACAAATACGTAATCAGCATTGTACAACTTTGGTCTAGCAGAAAGTTATAAGACTGAGTAGATGAGCTACCAAAATGAAACTGTTAAGTATTCACCAAATCAAAAGCATTTTTCTTAAAGCAAAATATTCTTCCTGTTTTAATTTCAAAAAAAAACATCATTAGCGAATAATTTTTAAACCAACTTATACCTAAATTACTTATCTTCAAATATTACAGGCATCCTGTATTATATTTGCATCATGGGCCAATATAACAATTTCTATTAGTGTACAAATAAAGTCCATGGTACTCATTTCTCTTGAAATACAACATTAAATGAATATGTTTCAACAATGTCAAAGAGGGAGAGAGAACGAAAGGGAAATTCCAGTGATTCAGAACTTTAGACTTAGGAAATTAAAAAAAAGAAGAAGAAAAAAAAGGACACTTTTCTTGATGGAATGTGTTTCAATTGAAAACCGAATCAAAACTCATGGTAGCGGCTGTGGATTCTTTAGACAGATGGTGTCAACAGACCAGTCGATTAGTCAGCTTGGCAATAGAAGGATAGATAGTTTTACGAAATGCCACCAAACTCAATATACGAAAAAAAGAAAGAGGCATGAATTTGTACTCTGATACTTGATCCTGGTTACTGCATGGTTTGTAAAATAGGCTACTCTTGTCACCAGCAGTTTAGAGTTTCCTCGTTAGATTTTCATAGAAATGGTTCTCAGAACACAAAGCCAAATCCCAGAAGGGACAGCTGGGTTTAACAGGTGAAGAGATCACATCTAATGGTTTTTCTATCCAAGTCCCTCTGCTGATTTTCTTTCTTGTTTTCATACCTAATATAAACTAACAGTATCTATTCCTATTTTTCAAAGATATATCATTTGAGAATGGATAAATGAAGACAAGCAAATATTGTACCCCAAATTTAAAAGTCCCTATTTATAAATACAAATACAATAATTTAATTTTTGGTTGCTCAAGGTAAAATTCTATATTAGATTACATTTAGTCAAGCTAAAACTAGTGTTCAATAATTTTTTCCCCAAGAGCCTAAGACCATGTCTACTAATGCTGCCAAATTAAATCAGAGCCAGAAAGTTTAATTTGATTAGTAATTTTCCTGGTGAGTTTGGGGCCCTTCTAATGTAAATTAGAATTTTTATTAAAATGGGAATGAAAGCAGGATACTGAGCCCTACAGAGAAAACAGTTGGTTAAGGAAACGGGTCCTGCCTCTAAAAAGTCTCTTAGACTAATCTCACTCTTATATCTTCAATTTATACTTAAACTAAAATATCTTCCACACCAGCTCTGACAGTAAAAGCCAGTTAAGTGTACATGCTAATTAGCTCTGAATATATCATAGCATGTGAAAGATTATCTCCTATGTTCATGTCTTTGCTTACATATAAGGGGAGTTTGATCAGATAAAATAACTTTGGTAACAATTTTATCAGTGGTTTCATAAAAATAAAGCCAGTATGCCTTCCTGAGAATATTGAGAGAGAATATTGAGGGCACAGTGGATAAAAAGAATGAGAATTGGTTCTTGGAGAGACTCTCAATTCTGCCATTTAGCTAGTTGTGTAAACCTGGGTGACCAGTTTCTTAACCTTAGTTTCCTGGTTTTAAAAAAAGGGAGAGGGGATAACCACTGAGAGGAAATGAAAGATAAGGTAGAAAAGACTTAGTAGAGCCAGACATAAAAACAAGCTTTTAATAAGTTTCTTTTCAAAGCTAAAGTTTTTAGATCACAAATTTCTAGACAGCAAATGAGCAATGTTGAGGTCAAGAAAAAACAGTTGTTGAATATGTGATTACATAAGCACTGAAATTAATTCGTCCACCTCTTCCATAGCCCAAGGTATTCTGCAACAAATACAAAAAGGAAGAAAAAAGTACCAACTCTTAAGTGGTGAACATAATTATGTTTCTATATTCATGTGATATTGCAGACCATTATTTCCTAACATTCAACTTTGATCCTGAAAATGCTTTACTTGGTTTAAGGCAGCATAAAGACCTTTACTCAACAAATACTTAAAATATACAGCATAACGTAAAAGTCAGCCTAATTTTGTTCTTTTGTTAATTGTGTTCTTGTTTTTGTGTTTTCTAAATCCTAAGTTTAATCAGAATTGGTTCTTCATTCTATTAATAGGCTATGGCATCGAATAAGTGCTAAGCAAAACAGACTCAGTGCAATACACATGTTAGAACTGCTCCAGAAAGCGCAGTCTCAAAATCAAGAGCAAAGAATTAAGGCACAGTACTGAGAAATAACAGTGGCAAGAAAAAAATGGATCTTCATCCTATACTATGCAACTGAGACTCAGGGTCATCCTGCATCCCAAAGTTCAGACAGGAGCAGTTACCTGAAGAATAGAGGAAAAGGATAAAGTAGCCCTAAATCATGTAGTTTCATTAGTACTGTTAGTGCCCACCCACTTCTTGAGCCTGACCTGAGGCTGTCTCCACTGTGCCGGTGAGTCTTTGCGCTTATCAGGAACCTATGAGACTGGAGATCCCTCAGGATTCCAGCCTTCTGTCTGCCCAGATTTACATGCAGCCTATATTTTCGGACAGAGCTTCTGGCTTAAGGCACATAACAAGCCAATTCTTACCTTTATGGTACCCCACAAACCCCTCACTAATTGTCAACAAACTCTTGGCCCTTTTCTGTCTCTCTACAGCAGCATTTGCCCAATTTTAGTTCTATCTCAATCCTATGCTGATTCTGTATTTTCATCAGTAACTAACTGAACCTATATACTATATATACAGCTATTCCTTTTTGAAGTCTTTCTTCACTTAATATAACCAAGGGTGTATTCCTTCATTGTGAGAACACTAATAATGAGTCCAGCAATTAAAGCACATGAGATAACCCTATGCATAAGAGAGCAAAAACAATATATTAATTTTCTCCAAAACGTCTTTAAAGACCACTATATATGGTTGCCATGTAAACTGCACAAATTATAGCAAACCTACGTATTACCTCCTTACATTTCAATGATAAAATCAGAACTTTGTGTAACACCAAGTGCCATTTTCTTTAAATTTCTTCATGCTATTTGAAAAGGGGATTCAACTAGAACTTTAAAACAAAACTCAAAATTGGTAAAACAAAAACAAAAACAAGAACAAACAAACAAAAAACACTTCTTTCTCTTGTAAAATAACTATGGCCATTTAAGCAGAATATTTCCAATTTTCTACAGATTAAATCCCAAACCACTTACCTTGTCAGTTAAAATCATCCACAACCTCATCTCAGTCTATCTTTTTAAACCTCAATTCCCACAGTTTTCCTCTAATTTAGAAAAATCAGATTACTCACTGAGATTCCCACATGCTTTGCTTTTTACTCACACACTTCCCTCATCCTAGAATTTCCTTTTCTTTCCCATTACTCTCCTTTTTACTCTCTTCTTCAAGATATATGATTAATTAAAATAACTTTTTCTGGCTTGAAATGATTTCTTCCTGAAATGTTTTAAATCATTTTCCTTTGTTCTCTGGAATAATTACTTAAATTGAATAGAATATTTATTTTCTTCTCTCAAACAGCAATGTAACCTCCTTAAGAACAGGAACAGAAATTTTTACATTTTCATATTCTAACTGTAGCAATTAGCAAAGGATCTTGATTCAAGCAGTCAATATATATATAATATATATTTTAAAAAAAAAGATTATTCCGTAAGCTACACTGAAAAGAAATAATGGAAAGTATAAAGGAAACTAACCATGAGAAAATAAAATCTCCTGATCCACCTAGAAATATATACCACAATGTTAGTGTCACACATTTGGAGGTTCCTTACTCCTACTCACTGAGGTATGCACTACTGCTCACACTGGTAATTAGGATCACTTAGGACCTTACTGAAACTCTCACCAGTCTCTGTAGGCTGAGAAAAACTACTTAACAGTCTATTAATGTTTTTAATATCTATATAGTAAGCTGTTTTAATGTATATAAATGAATTTAAAAATAATTATAATAGTGCCATCTAAACTGGCAAGACAAAATGTCCTGCTAATTATTTTTAAACATTACCAACACATTAACCATAAACTGCATGTATTCAAATCTGCAATATGCAGCTCCAGAATCTTAGTTATTTTTGCTCTTTTTTCAAATACAGAAGAGTCTCAGTCTAGTTAGTTAAAGATTTCAAAAATTATCAGATTGAATTGACTGTAGATGATATTTTGATTTCAGATTTACACATTATAAATGACCTATTGGTTCACAGATTAAAAAAACCAGTAAACATATATGCTTCCATCTAGTGGCCAATTCAATTAACCAAGGTAGTGGGGGGATGGAGAAATGAAGAGGGAAATCCATGTGTAACTTGCAATCTCCTTTCAACCAAATAACCCTGTCCTCCTTGGACCAAGTTTCTAGACTAGGTGTCTTCAGTTTTTACTTCTTCCATAGACTGCTGCTTTACATTTGTTTGAAATGCTGAGAAATGACAACACTGGTATTAATAATACTAATGGCGACAGGCACTTTGGGAGTCCTTATTGAACGCCAGGCACCACACACAGTATTGCCCATATTATCCCTAAGCTTCACAGTGACATTATAAAGTAGGTAATATTATCCTCATCTTGAAGGTAGAGAAACCGAGACTCAAAGAGGTGAAGGACTTTCCCTAATGTCCCATACTAGTTAGCAGCACAGGGATTCAATTCACATCCAGGTCTAGTTCTGCTGGTGCAGAGCCTTGTACTTTTTCCATAATATTCTGCACGATTAAAAGGAAGTACAGTATATAAAAAAGAAGTAAAGGGCCAGATGATCCTAAAATAGATCTTCGCTCTCAATAATGAAAATCTGACTTTACTTAAACTGAATGAGTTAATTTTAAAGTTCTGTAGACTGTATTCCCACCATCTCCCTCCCAGCTGAGGTCAGATACAGCTAGAAATCTATTCTCCAACTATTTACAAACCTCCTTATCAACATTAGTACTCTTCAAGTTCTGACATCTCCCTTCAGGGCAGAAGTATTTATTTAATTATCAAGTACAGCTTGAGGAACATCAGGCTCTTATTCATGGTTAAGTAATTAAAAACGGAAAACACATCACCAAGTGCCTAATATATGCAAGTATGAATTGGTTCAATTGGTGAATGTTTCCCCAGACTGCATTTGTTTCTTATGGACGGGTGCTGTGTTCCTGTCCATGCCTCATGGCTTTCAGGGTTTGCTAATTAGTGCTTTCCTAATCCCATTCAGAAAACTAGAGCAAGTTTGTGCCATTCCCCTTCCATAAATGAGTGGTCACTGAGATTAGGTCAAGCCAGCTCAGCCTACAATAGCATCCTTAATCAGCCAACGTGAAATAAAAATGAGGAAAAAATCCGGGCTTTTATCTCACACTGTCTTTGGAGCTAATTAAAATGCACAGGCTCTTCCTGCCGTTACAACCCTGCTGTTCCATACACTAATAAGGCAACAAAAGGTGCTGAAAGCAATGGACTGAATAATTGTTGAAATTTACAGTCCCTTTAAGGAAACTGTTAAAAGATTTCTGTCTCCTCAGCAATGTAGATAAAATTCTGACAAAGTATCACTAAGTAAGATCTCTCACATTTATATTAAGAATCTCAGAGATTTGGGGAAACTTAGGATACTATAAATTGATGACTGTTTTTCCTGACACTGTTTTACTTCTTTAGCTTTCAACCCCCTTTACTAACCAAAGAGTTAAAACAACACTATGTTCATTGAAATCTGTCCCCAGAGTGCAGAGGGAGCTCTGCTGTTTTAAGGGGGTCTATGAAAGCCCCCTGGCATAAGAAACAAAAAGGTGGGAGGGGGAAGTGAGAGAAGACAGGATGCGGGCAGAAGGAAAGAAAATGAATACACACACAAACACACACACACACACACGAGATCTACTTGGGCTCACACCCTTCCTAGTCATTTTACCCGCCAAAAATAAATCCTTAAATTAATAATCAACAGTAATAAAACTGCTTTCTAAAATAGAAAAAGCTTTTGATCTTCCTGTTCCCTGCCTCAGGGTATTCCTTATATTTATTAAAACGCACCTTGAGCATGTTACAAGTAAAACAATAATTTCCTACACTTTAATACATGTACAAGCATATAATTTAAGAAAACATTTGCCGAGGGACACCATATGTTCCAAACACATATATTCAATTAAATTAATGTTATAATTATATTTAAAAATCAATACATTAAGTAAGAATTCAGCATGTTCAAAGAGGCACATTAGCCCAAAACTGTAATTATAAGAAACTGACCTACCTTTCTAAGACTGAGCAGGATGTTAGATGTCTGGACAGATGGTAAGGATTACAATCACCACTCCTTGCCTCCTGTCCCACATGTACCTCAAAAACATCCATACGAACAACATACAAACTTTCATCTGTGTTTGGCATAATGTCACCATGCCACAGCATTATGAAAACTTCAAGAGGAATCAACTACTTTCATGAACCTACACAAAAACTCTAAATATTTTAAAAATATAAATACACAAGGTTACCATTTTAATAAAGCATTCTTTTCCAACAGGAGAATATTCTTTATACCAAAAACTTAAATATCTTCTTGACTATCTTCATCACAGGTTTCCACATGTAAAATTGCTGTTTCTCTGAAGTCTGATATTCATTTAACACAAACACCGTAACAATAACTACTAGTGTTTGTAGCATAGGAAACTGGTTGAAAGATCTTCAGTTAAAAACACCACCACCACCAAACTTTCCATCTTATGTGGAACTTAGTTTCCTAGGTCTTTTTTCCCCCTTGCTTTGGTATATGTAATTCTATAAACCTCCTCAAAACACTTCAGTCCATGGAAATAAATAAAACTTACACCCCTGGTAAATACAGCTAAGATAACTCATAAAGAGAGATAATATTAACTATGAGGAAATAATTATTGGAAATAACTTGTGAGTTTTAAAAATATTTTAATTTAAACTATAAACTACTACCAACATCCAAACTGTTGTTACATTCTAAGTCATCAAAGTCAGAGGATGATGACAGTCATTCGTATAAAACATGGGATATGTGTTATATGTGTTAACTTAATAGTTTCAGCAAGATATGAAATAGATATTACTGTTTCATCCATTATAGAAATGAGAAAACTGGAGCATAAAATGTTTAAAAAAATTCGACTTTCCCAAGCTCACATGGCTGGTAATTGGGCATTGAGTATGCATACTTAATCATATGCCATTCTACATAATTAAATAAATTATAGTATATTACAGTTTATTTTATAGTACCCTAAATAATAGTAATGGTTCACATTTATAAAGGGTCATAGACTATGAATGTTAAGATCTTACACAAATTCTCATTTAAATCTTTCAAAAGCCCATTACCATCACCCTCTTACATGACTATCAACCAGCATCTCAAATAACAAAGAAATGCCCCACATTCACTACACAAAACTCAGGAAGCAGTAGCACTTATGTCTACATTAAATACTGAACTTCTTGTTTTAATTGTGGTAAAAAACATAATATGAAATTTACCATCTTCATCATTTTTAAATAGACAATCCAGTAGTGTTAAGTATATTCACATTACTGAGAAACAGATCTCCAAAACTTCTCTTAATCTTGGAAAACTGAAACTCTATATACTCATTAAACAACTCTCCCTTTTCCTCTACCCTTAAAGTAGTACCAGGGCTCAGAGAACAATACCCGAAGTATAGCACTTTGTCACACTGAGCACTTTTGGATTAAAATAAATTGGAAGGGCTTGAAGGCCGCCTCAGAACCAAGGACTTCCCAGCCTTCTCTCATTTCTCCGCTCCCATCCCCTGGCCCCTGCCAACACACACACACACACACACACACACACACACACACAAAAACACACCCACAGTGAGGGACTTTCCCTAGAAATTCCTGAATCTGAGAAAAACTTCTTCCCAATGAAATCCAACTGTCTTAAAACCCCCACTGCAGGAATCTCATAAAAAACAGAAAAGATTAACCACCCAAGAAGAAAAAGACTAAAAGTTGTTGCCACATCCAGACAGCCTTGTTCTGTATTCTACTGAGGGCAGCTCCCAGAGGTTACCTGGGAGACATTATCTGCATAATTAGACAACCTTTGTTCACAGGAAAGTTCTACCTCTTGCCTTTCCAAAAGTTGTCATCACCTCCCGCAAGAGCTCTGAGGACATTTGTCCCAGGCAATCCTGTGTTCTTTCGGCTCACTGATTTCTCCTAATAATCATTTACTACCCCTCGGAATTACCTACACCCCAATTCCTTCTCCTTTATGAAGAGGGGTATATAAGTACCTAAATCTCATTGGATTATTGAGTAATCACTCTCCTATGATTTTCCCGCCTGCATATTAATACCTTTGTAAGCCTTTTCTCCTGTTAATCCATCCATTGTCAGTTAATTACAGTGAAGCTTCAGAGAGGACAGGGGAAGTGTTCCCTTCACTCCTACAGTATTCAAATAATGAGCATTTTTGCATCATACACACGTCTATAAACAAACACACATACATCCCACCAAATGCTAGTACTGGGTTTAAAATTGCATTTTGCTTTAGGAAAATAATATCTTAAAATTATAGAAATATCAGAGATGCTGACTTAAAGTCATTTACATTGTAAAAGTAAGCCCCATAGCTGCCTTTTTGTAAATTTTACTTTTTTCTTTTTTTTCTTCAAGATGGAGTCTCACTCTGTTGCCCAGGCTGGAGTGTAGTGGCGTGATCTCGGCTCACTGAAACATCCACCCCCCAGGTTCAGGAGATTCTCCTGCCTCAGCCTCCTGAACAGCTGGGATTACAGGCATGCACCAACACGCCCAGCTAATTTTATAGAGATGGGGTTTCACCATGTTGGTCAGGCTGGTCTCGAACTCCTGACCTCAAGTGATCCACCGGCCATGGCCTCCCAAAGTGTTGGGATTACAGGTGTGAGACACCACATCTTTTTTTTTTATTTTTTTGAGACAAAGTATCACTCTGTGGCTGGAGTGGAGTGGCATGATCATGGCTCACTGCAACCTCTGCCACCTGGGCTCCAGGGATCCTCCCACCTCAGCCTCCCAAGTAGCTGGGACTACAGGTGTGAACCACCACACCAAGCTAATTTTTGTAGTTGTTAAAAGAGATGGGGTATCACCATGTTACCCAGGCTAGTCTTGAAACTCCTGAAATAAAGTGAGTTTTTACATTTTCAAACAAGAAAAACAGCTGAGGTCACTGGGAAAGGTTTTAATGTGCTAATCGCAGCTATCTATTAGAGCTAAATGTCTGAGAAAGGGAAATTTGAAACTACGTAACAACAACTAAAGAACAAGTTTACACACTCCCTTCTTTTCACCTTCTCCCCCTATACACACATCTACAGGCTAATTTCCTAAAGGGAACACAAAAACAATTTTTAAATTAAATTACCACATGCACCATATTTTTCTTCATTGCTGAAATGCAAATGCAAAGAACCCTCGAAGACGTTTAAAGAATCTGCTTCTCAATTCTCAGAGTTCAGGACATTTGCTATAATGCTGATCAAAGAAGCATTTTGTATTTAAATGGCCATAAGATTCAAGTATTCAAACTTTGCATAATAAAAAGGTAGAACAATCTAACAAAACTAATAACGTAATCTCTATTTCAGAGGCTGAATCACACTTGACAATATAGAGAATAATACAGAAAATTACAAAAAAGTTAAGCAACAAAACACAAAAATCTTTAACATAAAGGGATAGACAGGTCTGATTTTAAAATAAATAAAAAGGCAAGGATGTGACCACTGTCACCTATAAATACAAATATTTGAGTACTTAAGTACTTGAGAAACTAGCGCCATCTTGGTTTCAGCTGGAGGGCGACTGGAGTGGCAGGGGTAAAGGGTGACACTGATAGGTTTATTGAAAGTGAGGAAGGCAAGCTTCTTAAGAAGAAAAATTTAAGGCCAAATGGCTCAGTTCAGTTAGTACAAGTAACTTGTAATGTGGAAGTGGCAAAGTCCAATAAGGTGAAACATAAACATGGTTAGGAGAATTCATGCTATTCATGCATATTATCCATGAATCCATGCTATCCATGCATTAAAAATAACATCATTAATAACGAAGAATAATATAAAAAAACTTACATTATCAAGGCTTTGTGCCAGACACTGCTCTATGCTATATTAATATTTTACTTTATTCCCTCAATAATCTAATGAGAGGACTGTGGTGGTGGTGGTGATGATGAGGATGATGATGATGATGACAATGACCATGATAATTTTATATATCCACTTTAAAGAAAGGGAAATGGAGGCTTATAGATATCAGGGGAGTAAGTTGAGGCAGTCCGACTCCTGAGCTTGTGTTATTTCATGAGATGAAGAAAATTAGCAGTTATTGCTAAGCTTGCCTTTCCCAAACCACAGCTGAGATGATTCAGAAGGTAGATGAAGGGAGAGAAGCCAGCTAAGAGTTTGTTTCAATAAACATCAGGTTCACAACAGAAGGATGTGAGAAGTATACAAGCAAATAATCAATAATACTTACACTGGGAAAATAAAAATGAAGCGAAAAATGTTATAAAGGTATTTTAATGCCTTTCCGGTCCATGCTTTCAGTGTATTTCTCTGCTCTTTTAGCTCTCAGAGCGGTATGATGAGTGAGCATGATGTAGTCTTCCCTATTCCTCCTCTACCCCAGAAAGGTTTTCCTTGTTCTTAGTTAAGGATGTGGAAAAATGGGCCATTCGGACAGCTGGCTAAGAGATGAGACTATGTAGGCAACTACAACAAACTTGTTCCAAGAAAGTAAAACAAAGTGATGGCATTAGCATAAAAGGGCAGTATTTAAAAGGTGTGAATGTTAAATGGGGAAGAGAAATACAGTTGACCCTTAAACAACATGAGTTTGAACTGTGTGGGTCCACTTATACGTGAATTTCCTTCAGCCTCTACCACTTGTGAGACAGCAAGGCCAACCCCTCCTCTTTCTCCTCCTCCTAGCCTACTCATTGTGAAGATGAGGATGAAGACTTTATGATGATCAACTTCCACTTAATGAATAATAAATATATTTTATCTTCCTCATGATTTGCAGTGGCTCGCACCTGTAATCCCAGCACTTTGGGAGGCCAAGGCAGGTGGACTGCTTGAGCCCAGGAGTTGGAGACCAGCCTGGGCAACATGGCAAAACCCCATCTCTACAAAAAATAGCATGGTGGTGCATGCCTGAAGTCCTAATAACTCTGGAGGCTGAGGTGGGAGGATCGCTTGAGCCCAAAAAGTTGAGGCTGCAATGAGCAGTGATTGCACCATCGCACTCTAGCCTGGGAGACAGAGTGAGACTCTGTCTCAAAAAATAATAATAATATTTTCTTTCTCAAAGCTATTTTATGTAAGAATACAGCTTATAATACATATAACATACAAAATACATGTTAATTCACTGTTTATGTTATTGGTAAGGCTTCCAGTCAACAGTAGGCTATTAGTAATTACATTTTCAAGGAGTCAAAAGTTATACCAGGATTTTAGACTGCACGAGGGGTCAGCACCCCTGGCCCCAGTGTTGTTCTAGGGTCAACTGTAATTTTATTTGGTAGCAGGGTTTCTCAGACTTGGCACTACTGACATTTCGGGCCACATCATTCTTCATTACGAAGGGATGTAATGTACATTACAGGCTATTTAGCGGCATCCTTGGCCTCTACTCACGAGATCCTGGTGGCAGAGTTGTAACAGCCAAAGTTACCAAATATCCCAGGACAACTGTTTTAGACAGATTTAATGTATTTTAATTTAGTTTTGTTTATTATTAATTTTTATTTATACAGAGCAGTCAAGATAAGATTTGCAGACAGTAACAAGGCTCGAAATTCAAACAAAGCCTGGGAAATACATGTTGCTAAAGTATCATGGAAATTCTGCCTAGTCAAATATCAGCTATACAGAGTTAAGATTCAAGTTATGTGGATGATGAAAACCCCAACAATGAAAAGAAGGAGGGGCAGCAGAGCCCAAGACAAAGCCTTAAGGAGATAACATGAAGTTAATGATCATGCACAAGAAAAGACATGAGAAAAAAGTTTTGAAAAGGAAAGAACAAGCTTATGGCATCTCATCTTCTCCAGAGCCATCAGGAGCTTGAAGAAGGGTGTAATCAGAGGCAGAGTTCACGGGAAGGTCCAAGAAAATGAGAACCCAGATGATACATTTGCTTTGAGCCAAAAGGGAATGATAGGCTATCTTAAAACGAAAGGGCTCTAGAAAAGCATTTCAAGCCACCACCTCACCATTTGGTGCCCTGGATCAGTCCTTAATTACAATCATGGAATGAAAGAGTTAATGTATATTCTAACATGCTTGGGTCACTAGCAATTACTATCAGCATAGGTTATAATTCCATGGCAGCATTCAGTGAGGAAAAAAAGAATAAAACCTTTTTTTTTTTCTTTTTTTTTCCTGAGTTGTGGATGCAAACCAGTCAACCATACTGGCCAAATCCCAACTCTCAAATCGCTTTGTAATATATACTATTCACCCAGCCTGGAGTCTTCAATGACAGCTATTCATGTGTCCCAAGCTGATCAAATGCAGACCATAGTGATGGTTCAGCACTACTTGCCCTTATTGAACGAACAGAAAATGTTTCCTTCTCCATCTGGTGCACAAACTCTGCTGCTTCTTTTAGACTTTTAATGGAGTGTCCTCTAAATGGCACATCAGAGAAAACATTTTGATCTGAAGAACATGTATAGAAGGCAGCTACTTGTTCAGCAGCAACCCTGGCCTTTTGGGATATGTGAAGTCTTGGTTCTGAATACTGGGGTTGACGGGGGAAAAAAGCTTTTACTGCTATTCTAAACACCCCTTAGTCTCCTTTGACTCAAAGCCGCTAATTATGCCAGGCAGGCTGAATGATGAGTAGTGGTTTTGTGATCCCAACTATTGTTCAGTAGGGCTGAGATCACCAATGCATTTTACTAGGTATAGAGAATTTGAAGGGAAAAGTCTGAGTACTTATTATCTCTTTGTTTTCTTAAACAGTGCCTATTTACAAACTTTTCACTAGTGAGTAAAAACATTTACTGGCAATAAAACACAGCAGTGTTTCTGAATGTTAACCTCTCCCCCCAAAACATGACGAAGTACTCTAAGTTTCTGGAAGGAAAAAAAAAAACTGCTTTTTTTTTTTTTTGTGCCATAAACACAGGGTGAGGTGATGGAAAGGAAAGAGTAACACGTTTTAAAAAAGAAGAAGAAAAAAGAAAGAGTAAGATATTTAGAAATAGTTTTTTTTAAAATAAGTATATGTTTCTTTGGAGCTACCTATACTACAAAATTAAGAAACTATACATTGCCTTTACAAAACCACAATAAAGTAAGTAAACAACGTATCACAACACACACGCAACAGATGGGGTTTGGGGCAGGGAGACTCTTAAGCCTCAAGAAATTATATCAGCAATAAAATACAGGGCATAAGAATGAAGAAGAGTGAAGGCAAGTAATAAATCCTGTGCTTTCTGAGGGAGACTAGCCATCCTTCCTTTAGGCAGATATTTATTTTCTAAGAAGTGAGGAGGGATACTGTTAAAACATTTATAGTTTTAAAACATTTTAATTATCTCTGGTCTTTGCCTTCATAAAGGTCCTTGAGGTAAAAGCCATGAGGTGTAGGGGAGGTGGAGATGGTGAATGGGTACCAAAAAAATAGTTAGAAAGAATGAATAAGACCTAGTATTTCATAGCAAAACAGGGTGACTATAGTCAATAAGAACTTAATTATGCATTTTAAAATAACTAAAAGAGTATAATTTGATTATCTGTAATACAAAGGAGAAATGTGTGAGGTGATGGATACCCCCATTTACCCTGATGCGATTATTACACATTGCATGCCTGTATCCAAATATCTCACAAACCTCATAAATACATACACCTACTATGTACCCACCAAAATAAAACATAATTATATTATATAAAGTTGCTAAATAATTAGAACTGTACCCAAATATAAATAATAAATAATTGATGAACAAGATAAAAAGTGAAAACACACTTGTTTTCTACACGCAATGTATATTCCCTTAATAACTTTTGGTGAGTAAATAGACATGGCAATGTCTTCTTTAGCATCATGGATAGTGAAATAATCTTGGGAAAGAGCTGTGATCATGTACACAACCTAACTATCCAAATGTCATTTTCACTTGAGTGGACTTTAAAATCTTGCTCTCTCTCTTTTTCTCTCATTCTTTTACAACTTAATTCGAAGTTCCCTTTTTGTCAGCGTTTTCATCACAATTAAACAGAGCTACGAACTAAAAGGCAATTTTTTACTGAGAAATGTGTTTATCTCACAAAATTACCAGACTTCTCTGTCTGGTGCAATTTTAGGGAGGATTTCAATTAGCAAAAATTCAAATTGAAAGAGCTATGAAGATGGAAAAAGAATAACACCTTCCCTAACTTACACAACATAATTCTCAAATCTCTATTATTTTTGTGGTCTAACATTTCCCTTAGAAGGCACACTACATTACTTTTATCTCCAGAGACCTTTTATCCCCACCTGCTGGAAGCATGAAACATAACTGGGTCCAAGATAATCATTGACACATTTCAGGAAGAGAAAATATTTACACAAGTTAGATTTTAAAATCAACTGTTTTAAGCTATATCCTTTGGTGCATTATTTCTGTCACTGAAGTAATTCACAACTCTAAAACTCTTTGTTTTGTAATTGTTACAAGGTTTATTCTCTTCTATTACTTTTACAGATTTAAAATGGGCTGTTACATTCCATCAAAATTGTCAAGCAATTATTTTGCAAACCAAATAAAGGAAACATATAACAGTTGTATACTAGCCAAATTATGATCCTTAGGAAAGACACTGGTATGGAAAGATCACATATCACATACCTTGAGTTATGAGGAATGTGATATACATTGTCTGTCATATACCAAAAAAAGGTGCTGGGATAAGAGCTTCGAAAGTAAGATATCAGTTGGTATCACAAAAGTAAAAAGTAGAAGAGACAGGCTGGAAGGTGTAGGGAGAATAGAGGGAAGGGAGAGATTTGTTAAAGGATATAAAATTACAGGTAGATAGGAGGAATAAGTTCTGGCATTCTATACCACTGTAAAGTAAGTTCTAGTGTTCTATACCACTGTGAAATGACTATAGCTAATGATAATATAGTTTCAAATAGCTAGAAGGAGGATATTGAAGGTTCCTAACACAAAGAAATAATAAATGTTTGAGAGGATGGATATGCTTACCATACATTATATGTATTAAAACATTATTATGTAGCCCATGAATATAAAGTTATTCTTTGTCTATTTAAGAAAATAAAATTTAAAAATAAAAAAATTTAAGGTCAGGCACGGGGGCTCATGCCTATAATCCTAGCACTTCGGGAGGCCAAAGCGGGTGGAACACTTGAGGTTAGGAGTTTGAGACTAGCCTGGCCAACATGGCAAAACCTTGTCTCTACTAAAAATACAAAAATTAGCTGGGCATGGTGGCGCAAGCCTGTAGTCCCAGCTACTCAGGAGGCTGACGTGGGAGGATCACCTGAGCCCAGGAGGTAGAGGTTGCAGTGAGCAGAGATTGCAAGACTACACTCCAGCCTGGGTGGCAGAGTGAGACGCTGTCTGAAAAAAATAATAATAAATAAAAGTAAGAAATTAACTATTTTTAACAGAGGAATACAGCTTTCTTTGTCTAGGATATAACATTGAGTTTTCTCAGTGGGAAAGAAAGCAGAAAACAGCTGCCTTGCATTTTCCTTCTGTTGTATAAATTAATTGTCATTGTTGACTATTCACTAATTTACTTCAAAAAAACCCTATATACCATTGAAAAAAGATACTTCCATTGGACAGGAACATTTTTGAATTTAATATATAAATTAAGTTAATGCTCTTCTGGATTGTTTAAATATAAATGTATATAATAAATTATTGAGTGGAAGCCTAAAAAAGTCCATAGAAAACCAAAATAAAAGTCCATAATGCGTATAAAAACAAAATATTTGCCTTTTGATTAAAGAATTGTACACCTTAGTGGTGTTTAATAATAGCAAGAGCCACTGCAGGAAAAAAGAAAGAAAGGAGAAATTATCAGTCAACATTAGATTTCTCTTTTAAACTAACTAGAATTTTAAAATTTTTCCTAAGAAAATATTTAATACACTAGAATATTTTTCCTAATGCACTAGATTTTGTTTCCCCCTTGGTGTTCTTTCAATCATTGTTGATTGGCGATATGCCATTTTGGTCATACTGAATGTGTAAGAATAAATGAATAAACTGTTTTTTGGCTAATATTCCACGATGTTAAATTACAAATTTCCTCCAGCATTTAAACAGGAGAGCTGTGGAGTGTCCCTGCCAAAAGTTTGCCACCCGCTACGAGCATATATTTCAATGAATCTGAGACAGGTTCTGGCAAACAAGTCAGTTTTCCTTGTTAGCTAATTATAAATAAGCAACAGTGAAGACAAGTTGGTAATATTACCATAATTTATAACTAATAACAAAGCAATGAGATTGGATTCATATTTTCAATATATACTTATTGAATGGTTATTATTTATAAGTATTGTACTTGGCACAGGAGAAATCATAGACAAAAAATTTAAGCATCTTCCATCCTCTTTCAAATCTACGTTTAGTTCACTCTAAAGAGAGTAAGGTATGTATATTCTTTCTCAAATCTCCAAATCAGTTCTTCATCTTTAGTTAGGCTTTATTAAAATTTAAAGAACACATTTTATACATAAACTAAAAAAAACTACATACCAGGCTATTTTCAGTAACTAGCACTCATAGAAGTCCCATCAATAGTTGCTGAATGAGTGAAAAGAACAGCAAAATGAATTAATTCTGGATTTACATATTTATAAATGAAACTTAGCAAGCAAGCTTAATAAAATAAAATGGCAAATATAAGCTCTTACACATACAGTTAAAATAAGTATAATTTAAATTGCCTTTGTAATAGGACTCAGTCTGTGGTTGTTCCATTTAAGGGTCTAATAAATCATTGTGAAAACATTAGCACTGTATTCCAACCAACCATGTTAATTATTACAGGTAATAACCTACATTAAAAAATCTAAATATAAATTATATTATGGATAGGATTAGCAATTGATTAAGGAGGCAGATCAGGCACACACAATGCCTCCTCTATTTCTGAAAACCCACTGAAATAAATGTGCAAAGGTACTAAAGGAAAGTCCTGAGATGGAAAAACAATTGGGGTAGGAAGATGGGTACCACCAATGAACAAGAGATATTAGTACAATTTGAACATGTTCAGGAATTAAATAGAGCTGCAGCTTAGAATCTGCTGCAAAAAAGCTCTGGAAAATGTAGAAGTGTGTTGAAGTAGCTTTGGAAACCAAGATCCAAAGTCAGCAGGAACTTTGGAAGATGGATGTGAAAAAGGAACTGAAGACACAGATTAATTGAAGGTCTGTATAAGGACAAATCTTTCACTTGTCATCCCCTCCCCAAATGCAGGCAAAAATCAGGCAGCTGGCATTTACCTCCAGCAAAAATAGCTGACCCTTTCCCAGTGAAACTGAACAAACTACCAGGTGAAACCTGGTATAATGCTCACTATTTGATTTGAGTGATCCTGTATCCTGACAGCTGGCTTCCTGGCTTCCTTGCTGATCCCAGTAAAGCAAAAGTCTCACATTTTCTTAAACAGAATTCTAAGTGATAATTCCACATGGGAATCAGTTGTAACACAAAAACAGAGGACTTTGATTAACGATACAGTTGCTTATTCCATAGGAAGGATTATCAGACATACGAGAAAAAGCAGCAGGATGAGATGGAAGGGCCAAATTTAAGAAGCTAAACATTGACACCAGAGGAAATGGAGCTAACTCAGGCATCATAGAAGAAATTATGGAAAAAAATACTAGACAATAAACTCTGAAATATTTAGGAAGATATTCTATCTACAAAAAAAAACCAAAATGCTATGAAAAATGAATAGAGAACTAGCACATACTTGTAGAAATTAAAAGTATGACTACATTTTAAATTATGGCTAAAATTTAAAATGAAAACTGTGTCACAGGCCTACAAAGAAAACAGTCCAGATTATAATGTAATGATAGAATGCTCCAGGATAATAATTTCTACTAATAAGTGTAAGACTGAATACAATTATTTGACAAAGAACGTGGTGCCATATGCCTTCCTAATGGATTTCATATTGTTTAGGCATCCATGGCTACCCAACATGTTTCAGGTGAAAGTGATACCAATCCTGGATCCTGGTGTAGATATCATCTCGCTAAGCCAACCTCCACATGTCATTTCCTTGGTACGTTTATTGGTGCAAAGGTAGTATTTATCTGAAGGTGGCTCAATAAGACTGATGGGAAGGGCTTACATTGTTAAGCTGGAGGAGGGTTTCCTCTCACTATTGCTGAAAGTGAAAGAAGGATCCCTAGTCACCACTAGCAACAATTTTGCCTAAACAAGGAAAAGTAGTCCTGAGTAGAAGCAGACCCTGGCAATGGCAGGAAATATGCAGTGCTTGATGACATTTGTGAGCAGTTTGTGTCACTTGAATTATTACTTGTATGACATAATACATTTACTTACTGTTTAAAACAGTGTGAGTCAAGGTGTGCTGTGGCTTGCTAGTAAAAGCTACACAATCCCAAAGCCACTGTTTAAACAGAATACAAATACCCTTGGAGTTGTGGCCTGTGTCAACTTTGTCTTAAAGGCATTTAAAATCAAGACCAAGACAAGTAAAAAAAGAGTCTAGAAACACAATATTATCACACATTGTTTCACACTAGAAGACATTCATGAAATTCAAGCATGTCTGTGTACACCTAGTGTTTTCCAGAGCAACAAAACCCTTGTTCAAGGAAAGCTCTGAGGTGGATCAGATTCTTCTATTTACCAGAAGCTGAAGCAGCAGTAAGGACAAAAGAACACGCCAAGATTTTCGTAGGAGATGCGAATACATATATCTAGTTGGCCATGGAGTGGCAGAAAAGCTGAACAATATTTTCTCTAAGTATTTCACAACACTGAGCCAGACTTTCTCAATTCTCCTCTCATAATCCCACCATTTATAGAATCTAACTCAATTTTAAATCATCAAAGGAAATCAACTCTGAACACAAGAGGACTGCATTCAAGCCAAATAATGTAAAATTAGTTCACACTTGTGAATCTGACATGTTCTGGAATCAGACATGTGTGGGTGGATGGATATGATAAAAAGATTAATTTTAACAATAAGATGCTCAAGGGTGCATGCACAAGCACAAGCACACGCATACATACATGCATACTTTCAAAACGTTTCTTTAAAAATCCTACTTAACAAGCATACTCAAATCCTAAGTAAACTGCATTGTAAGGAGACCTTATTTTCCCCCTCATAGTTGTAAATTCCTTGAATTTGAGTCAAATTTAGGCAGGAATACAAAGGCCTAAAAGCCTGCATTTACTCACTTCTTTATTTAAGTGGAGGCAAGGGTGTAATACACTTATATATGTAGTTGAACCCAGTCAAATCAGTTCTTAGACTTATTAGAGCATGACACTGTTGACACAAGGCTAAGTGAAAAGCCTTGACCTTTGCATTTCCGCCATGACCTCAGGGACTAGACCTCGTCATCTCACCCCAACCTTTACAACGTGAATCACACCAGATCGGGTGGCTGTGTTTTTTGAAGGATCCATTGGCCCAAATGAAAACTATTTACTTTGCCCATAATTGTTAATTCCTATGAGGCTTTTGCTGTGTTATTTAGTTTTCCAGGGCTTCCAAAGTGAAATCTATTCTACTTCTGTAAAAACAAGATGTTCTCTAAATTCTTTAAAGTTTGCATCAAAATCTGTTAAGCCAAAATGGTTTTTTTTCCCACAAAATCCTGTCACATTTTGACAGAAATTCAAATCAAAGCAAAAGTTATGTGTAAAAAGGGTGTTAAATATTAAAGGAAAAGAAAGAGAATGGTTATTTTACTAGATACCAGCTTTAAAAAAAAAAATGACTAGGATGTTATAGTTCCCAGCACTTACATGAAGTTTCTCATGAGAGGCCTCAACAAATCTAGTCATTTCAGCCAAATTGATCTATATAGATATCAGACTTTATTTCTCATCTGCCTTTAAGATCAATATAGATACAGAACAGAGTTTTAAAAGGAAGCTTTCGCCTTTTAATTCCATTCCTGGATGGTCACAAGTAACCTTATGCCCTCAAACTCCATTCCTCGACTGATATCCAGGCTCCAAGATTTGAATTCAACCAGCGAAAAGGAAAGGGCTGTATCAGATTACCCCAAGTATTTACTGAGATAAATGGTGAGGATGGAAGCATTTTGGGGGAAGCTGGAGCTATTAAAAACAGTGGAGAAAAAAGGGCAATTTTCTCCTCTAAATGTGCGCTACCATATTTTATGGAGGTAAACCACCTTCTTTATGTAAAAGATAGTAAATCTGTTGATGCCATTTGTTAGGATAGCGTTATCTTAACAAAGGGCATGACATTCAGGGTTTAAAGTATTTAAATCTCAGCAATGTGAAACACGGCTTTTAAAAGAACTTTCAATTGGAAATACCGAGTAAATGGGTTCACACAGCATGAATTTTATTGTAGACCAACCTAATTTTCACATTTTCCTCTCTAAAACAAGTGAGTCATTTGTTCTCTGTACTCATAATGGAAAGAAAACAAGAGTTTCTTTGTTTGTGTACATTAACTCAATGCTGTAAAAGTCATGCAGCCAAGCTTCACTATACTTTCACCTTTAAACCTTAACCTGACTTGTAACAATATTTGTAGCCTCTAAAATTACACTGGTTGAACCCAGACGGAGTTAATCACCCTTCACTGTCTCAGTGAAAAGTATAATGACCTACCATTTAATGGGAGGCCATTAAAACGCTAGAAGGGGCAAGAATTCACATCGTGTGTTTATACATACCTCACAGACATGAATCCATACATTCAGCCTACCAGGACAGTTTTCATATGGCACTTGCTTAGAGAACCAGATGGAAACTAATGACTGCTATACACTCGAAGCCAGAAGTGTCTATTCTGCTGTCTTCTGTAGTGCACCTTATACTTTTAATACTGACAAAAATTAATTCTAACCAATTCCATCTGTAACTGAACAAAGAATAATCCAAATCAAAGTTGGGTAACTGATGATATTCTTTTCTTTCCGTAACTACCGTTGCTTCCAACACAAGGCACATTCATCGCCAGGAGCCTTGATTTCTACCTGCAAAGTATGTCCCAAATCCTGCCTTCAGGAATGCTACATTGCACAAATCCAAAGGGTGATATCTTATCACTCATGGTGCCTAGGCTTGCTCCACAGGGTGGTTAATGACGCCAGCAAGCATGATGAACCTGGAACCGAGCAACACAGAGCCCTGCACTGCTTCTATCCACCTCCCTGGCACCATCTCAGACAGAGCCATTATCAAAGCCTTCTAAAGTGATCTCTTAAATCTCTGCCCCATCTCCACTCTTGCCTCTATAGCCCGTCGATCGGGAGCATGTTGGGTAATCTTTTCCGTTTTTAAAGTAAATCATGTGACTCTTCTGCTTAACACCATCTTAATTCACGTTTATGTTCTTTAAAAAATTCTAGGTCTGAAGACAACGGCTCAGGCTTGTAATCCCAATGCTTTGGGAGGCAGAGACCGGAGGATCACATGAGCCCACGAGGTCGAGGCTACAGTGAACTATGATGGTGCCACTATACTCTAGCCAGGGCAACAGAGCGAGACTCTGTCTCCAAAAAAAAAAAAAGAAAAAAAGAAATTAAAAAGTAATAAAAAAAAGTCCTTACTAGGCCCTTCAAGCCCCTAAATTAGAGAATAAAAAGTGTGTACCTACAGGATCAGGTAGTTAAGTAAGAGCAACACAGGCCAGACATTCAGATGTGGGCATACATGATATAAGTGAAGGGTACTGGCAAACCAGAGAACATGGGGGCTGCCTAAAGGGGCAGCTCCAATCCAGCTCCAAATGAAAGATTCCATATGGGAGGGAGAATCTGAAGTTATCAGACCATCTAGTTTTTTCAGAGAAGCTAGAAGTCTTGATTTTTATGAAAAAATTTCAATTTTTATATGTTACCCCAATATTTTTAAAACAATGTGAAATAAATCAAATACCTCCACCAACTGGTATATAAGGCTCTTGGGTGATGACTTCTCAAAACAATCTCCCAAGCCAGGCACGGTGGCTCACACCTGTAATCCCAGCACTTTAAGAGGCTGAGACAGAACTGCTTGAGGCCAGGAGTTCAAGACAACCCTGGCCAACACACTGAAACCCATCTCTATTAAAAAAACAAAAAAAAAAAACAAAAAAAAAAAACTCCCACTTTATCTCTATCCTTGGACAATCTACCACTTCTGTTTCTCTAATTTATCAAGCTTTTCCTACCTCCAAACCTTTGTACTTATTTTACCCATGAATTTCTGCATTTATTCTATCTAACAGTGGCCTCTCTCTGCAAGTCACTGCAACATCACCCTATTTCCTATTTGATTCTCTTATAGTGTCTCATCCTCATGGAAGATTTGACCAGTTCACACTGGTAAATTTAGTCGACAAGGAACGGCTTTACTGATGTATTGATAAAACCCATTTTCAATAAAAATCAATGCAGAACATATTTAAATGAGTGAACAAGATAGATCCACACAAACACACACATGCACACATACACACACACAAACACACACACACACACCCCTTTTGAACTTCAGGCTAACAACGCCATTTGTTAAACATCTAAAATAAATTGCTACAAATATTGTTTGTGTGTACACAGATACATAAGCATGTGTGTATACACATAAGAATACATGTTTATATGTGTATGATTTATGTAGAGGTGGATTAATACATAAGTAGATATTAACCTACCTCAATGTTGTTCTGCCAGATGGACTCTTTTTAAGGAGTATCTTCATGTAGATATAAGACAGTGTTTCTCAACTTTTGTTCCCCAGAACACCTGGCAATGTCTGGATATTTTTGCTGGTCATAAATGGGGGATGCTATCTACTGGTAGTGAGACAGGCCCAGGAAGGCTGCTAAACATCCTACAATGCATAGGACAGCCTCTACCACAAAGAACTATCTGATCCAAAATGTGATTAGTGCTGGACTTGACAAACCCAGATAGAGTTTTCTCCTTCCTCCACTCCAACTTTGCCAAAAGAAGGAATAAGCATCGCACATTTTTGGTTTTTGGGGGGTGTGGAATAATTTCAAATGTTCCTCAACACCACTGTGAAATACATCTTTTTTTATAAAACAGGATTGATTGTTTCTCTGACCACTAGCATATAGGTTCCATGAGAGACTAGGAAAAACGTGGGTTGTTTGGTTTGGTATGATTTTGGTATTCACCGAGTAGAGTGGTGATCCATTCTAAGCATTCGAGAAATGAACAAACCATTCCACTAGCAGTAATTCACTCTTCTGTGCTTCACATTCTCCTTGTCATTAAATGTTTGTTCAATCAATGCACTCAGATTGAAGCAGGAGACACTGTATTGGGTTCTAGGCACACAGAGATCAAGAAGAAATCCACTATACCCTCAAATTATTCAAAATGTGGAGTGGAAGCAAACAAATGTAAAATACAACACAGTGTAATTGACACATTCTTACAGTAAAGACATGTACAGAACACCACAGTAGCACACAGAAGGGGCCAACTCACCTAGACTTGAAGAATTGGAGTTGGGGAGGGGAGGATAAACATCCTCCTGAAGTGATGCTTGACCCGTCTTATGTGTGCTGAGTATTAATTGGGCAGTAGGGTAAGAGGAAGAAACAGCATTTCAAAAGATGAGATCTGAAAGTTGCATAGTGCAAGCAGTTCAGCATTTGTGGGGAAAGAGAAGGTCTATCTTTGGAAATGAGAAGAGTAACACATAAAGACCTTAATGTGTAAACATGAATGAATTTCTGTTTTAGTATATGTTGGACCAGACTTCATTATTTTCTTCCCACTCTGAGATTCAGTGAACCTCTAATTTTATTCTAGACAATGTTACATAGTGATTGCTCAGTAAATATTTGTGGAATTAAATTGTAACTTGCACCTACTCCATACCCCATGGTTTTTCTAAATCAATAGTGTATATTGCAATTGCGACGTACTTATCAAAGAGTAAACTTGTTCAAAATTGAAGATAATGCAGCTAATACGACTCAGAAATAACCATTTCCTTTAATTCTGTCTTCTTTAATAACACATACGTCTAATCTTAAGTACCAGCTCACAGTATTTTAGTCTAAATAGTAATAGTAATAACGACGGCAAAAGTAGGCCGGAAGAACTAGTTTTATTTCAGGCCATGTTCTGTGTCTACCTGCTTGCTCTCAAGCCTCTATAGAGAAACTTGCCCTACACTTATACTCAGATTTCTCCTAAAGCTGAATCTTTACATCAGATTATTATCTTAATATTTTGTAACATTTCAGGCATTGCATTTCATGTTTTGTAAAACGCTTAGGTGGACAACCCACTGGCATCACAAAGTCAACCTAAGTGCAATTCCCAGTGTTTCTTGTAAACATAATTGTTCTTCCCTTACCGCTTAAGTCCTTGTTGTCCATGTTAGTCTAGTCTCCTGATTGATAGTCACCTGAAATCCCTTCCTGCTGACTATATTCTATCAGTTCTATCTGTTCATTCTACTATCCAAAAACTGTTTATCCTTCCTCTTTGCTTCATTTCCAGTAACAATGTCTTTACTCATCATCTCTCCCCTTTATTAGTTTAATAGCCTAATCCAACTTCCATGCTACTGGTTGAGAGATCTTTCTGTCCCACCCTATTTTGGATAGGCAGTTACCTACATAAAAAGCATTTAATGGTTTCCTTTGCCACATAGTTAAAGGCAGTCTACTTAACACAGAATATCTTCATATTCTGTGATATACAAGTGGCCAGGAAAAATATGAAAAAATGCTCCACTTCACTAATATTCAGAGAAATGCAAATCAAAACTACAATCCATACCATCTCACACCACTCAGAATGGCTATTATTAAAGTCAAAAATAACAGCTGTTGGCAAGGCTGTGGAGAAAAGGGAACACTTATTATACACTGTTGGTGGGAATGTAAATTAGTGGAGATACCGTAAAAAAAAAGTTTGGAGATTTTTCAAAGAACTTAGAACAGAACTACTATTCAAGCCCCAAATCCCATTAACCAAAATAAAACAAATCGACCTACAAAAAGATAAATACACTTGCATGTTCATCACACTACTTACAATACCAAAGACATGGAACCAACCTAGGTGCCCATCAACAGTAGAATAGATAAATAAAATGTGACATGGAATACTATGCAGCCATAAAGAAGCATGAAATCATGTTCTTTGCAGCAACATGGATACAGCTGAAAGCCATTATCCTAAGCAAATTTACACAGGAACAGAAAACCAACTTTCACATGTTCTCAATGATAAGTGGGAGCTAAAATTTGGGTACTCATGGACATAAAGATGGGAACAATAGATATCAGTGACTGCCAGAGGGGAAAGGAAGGGAAAGGAGCAAGGGTAGAAGAACTAACTTTTGGGTACTATGCTAAGTACCTGGCTGACTAGATCATTCTTACTCCAAACCTCTGCATCGTGCAATATACCTTTGTAACAAACCTGCAGATGTACCCCCTGAATCTAAAATAAAAGTTGAACAAAAAAGAGAAAATCTTCATATTCTGACCATAGGTTTATCTTTACAGGCACCTGATGAGAAAATAATTCTAAATTATTGATGGTTTCTTCAGTATACATACAACATGATTTTTCTTCTCTCTGCCTATATGTTTTACTTCTGCTTAGTCTGATGGGCAATCACGCAAAACACATAGAATATTCATTAATATTTAGTTCAAATTTTCTTTAAATACTCCTTGACCCTAGTAGGAAGTACATTTTCCCTTCTTGCACTTCTATTACCATGTGGGTGTGTGTTCATCATATTCTAATTATTCATATGCCTTCCTCAATTATTAGACAATGTGAACTGTATTAATTCGTTCCCATGCTGCTATGAAGACCTACCTGAGACTGGGTAACTTATAAAGGAAAGAGGTTTAATGGATTCACAGCTCAGCATGGCTGAGGTGGCCTCAGGAAACTTACAACCATGGTGGAAGGGAAGGCAAATACATCCTTCACATGGCAGCAGCAAGGAGAAGTGCACAGCAAAAGAGGAAAAGCCCCTTAGAAAACCATCAGATCTCTTTGATGGGGTTGTTTTTTTCTTGTAAATTTGTTTAAGTTCCTTGTAGATTCTGGGTAGTAGACCTTTGTCAGATGGATAGATTGCAAAAATTTTCTCCCATTCTGGAGCTAGCATGTTTACTCTGATGATAGTTTCTTTTGCTGAGCAGAAGCTCTTTAATTAGATCCCATTTATCAAACAACCCCATCAAAAAGTGGGCAAAGGATATGAACAGACACTTTTCAAAAGAAGATATTTATGTGGCCAATAAACATATGAAAAAAAGCTCATCATCACTGGTCATTAGAGAAATGCAAATCAAAACCACAATGAGATACCATCTCACACCAGTTAGAATGGCGATCATTAAAAAGTCAGGAAAGAACAGATGCTGGAGAGAATGTGGAGAAATAGGAACACTTTTACACTGTTGGGAGTGTAAATTACTTCAACGATTGTGGAAGACAGTGTGGTGATTCCTCAAGGATCTAGAACCAGAAATACCATTTGACCCAGCCATCCCATTACTGGGTATATACCCAAAGGATTATAAATCATTCTACTATAAAGACACATGCACACGTATGTTTACTGCAGCACTATTTACAATAGCAAATACTTGGAACTAACCCAAATGCCCATCAATGATAGACTGGATAAAGAAAATGTGGCACGTATACACCATGGAATACTATGCAGCCATATGAAAGAACAAGTACATGTCCTTTGCAGGGACATGGATGGAGCTGGAAACCATCGTTCTCAGCAAACTAACACAGGAACAGAAAACCAAACACCGCATGTTCTCACTCATAAGTGGGAGCTGAACAATGAGAACACATGGACACAGGAAGGGGAACATCACACACCGGGGCCTGTCAGGGGGTCGGGGGAAAGGGGAGGGAGAGCATTAGGACAAATACCTAATGCATGCAGGGCTTAAAATCTAGATGACAGGTTGACAGGTGCAGCAAACCACCATGGCACATGTATACCTATGTAACAAACCTGCATGTTCAGCACATGTACCCCAGAATGAAAAGTAAAATTAAATAAATAAATAAAACCATCAGATCTCATGAGAACTCACTCACTATCATGAGAACAGCATGGAAATAACTGCCCCCATGTTTCAACCACCTCCCACCAGATCCCTCCCACGACACATGGGGATTATGGGAACTACAATTCAAGATGAGATTTGGGTAGGGACACAGCCAAACCGTATCGTGAACTTTGTGTGTAGTGACCATAACTAATTTTGTTTTCATATCATCACTGCCCAGAAATCTTTGACTTATGGCAGGTACCCAGTAAAGGTTATATAAATTATCCTAAAGAATAGAAGAGAGTTTCACTGTACTTTTTCTGCCCATCTATATATGAGTTAGTTTCTGTAAGATACTAGGCAATTTTTAAAAAATTATTTTAACAATAATTTGAGGTTCTCAAATTGTCTAGATGTTTCTCAGCAATCTCAAATATAGAGCTTATCACTATAATTTCCTAAAAGAAGCAATTCAACATTTAAATGTGTCTCTTTAATAATACTGAAGGCAACCTCACTGTGAGCTCTTTACTATTACATTTATGGAAAAAATAATCAATATTAAGGATAAGCAAAATATTAGATAACATAAACTTATTTAATTTTCAGTTTGGAGGAGAATGTATTATTTTTTCTTAGAAATGCTTTTTTTTAGAAAGTTAAAATGATCAGTTTAGAATTTCATTCAATCAACAAACAGTTATGGAGCTCCCACTATGTGCTAGGTGGTGTGGTAACTATTTGGATACTTTAGTTCTGTAAAATAGCCATGGGTCATCCCACACAGTGACAAGAGACTATAGATATTTACAGGAGAATCTGTAAGTAAGGAATTCAAGGAAGGCCTCCCTGATAAACTGACCATGAGCACATGTGAAGCAAGTGGCAATGACAGGCATACATGAAATGCTGGCCTGGAATGAAATAGACAATATGAAGGGGGATATGTCACACTCAAGTTGGCAGCATTGGAAATTAGGCTGCTCTTTTGGTCATGGAACCTACACCTCTCCCTACCTTCTTCAAATTTCTTCCAGTATTACTATTTCTAATTGGTACTTAATTAGCATTAAGTATCAATAGTCCAATATTTTGCTGCTTTCTTGGAAATATATGTTCATATGAAGAGATAAAATTAAATAATACCTATAAGAAATTTGTGTGTTTTGCATTTAATCTATCCCTCATTTACAGATAAGGAAGATTTAGAAAAGCTAAATATAATCAATTTCACAGTTCACCAGTGATAGTGTCAAAATTAGAGTACAGCCAGCCAGACACACAAAATGTGATAATTATTTATTAAATGAATGAATGACTCTAGAGGCCAAGCTGCTAACCACCACATTACTCCATAAATACTATGAATTTCCCAGGCTTATGTCAATTGCTAACCTGAAAATCATGTTCTTAAGCCACAGTATTAATACTTTCAATTTCATCTTTGCTTTCTTGAGGGTGTAACTTAATTAGTAGAGAAGGAAGTTGGAAACAGTGTCTCGGGATTCAAAAACATTTTCAACAAGTGAAGTTTGCAGCTAATACTTCACCTGTCTTTAGAACTCCCCTCTCTCAATGTGGCCCACTGTATTGCTCCAGGACTCAAAAGGGCCTCATTTTTCTCCATCTTCCACATTTCTCAGTCCCTGTGCCCATCCCACACTCCACATGAAAACCTCGATTCCCCAATGCTAAAGAGCTGAGCTCCAAGTAAAGGAAGATCTATAATCTGATTAAAATAATCACAGTAATTGTAAATCTCTTAATCCTCTTAGAAGCATTAACATTTTTTTAAATGTGGGAGTGGGGAAGCAAGCTGATATAGCCTCTAATTGTTGGCATTTTTGTACAGCATAAACATTATTATATTTTCCTTTGCTGGGATAGAAATGGCCATCACATTGACATGGCAATCTGCCCAGAAATCTGTCTCCAAACTGTCAAATTAACGCTGAATTTTCCTTGACAATGCTCATGCCTTCTCTGCTTTTGTTTGCTGTTTTGAAATCACCGGGAGGGGAGATTAAATTATTTTTAAATTTGGGGTTTGGAAATCAGGGTCTACACCCAGAACTAACATAAACTAGTTTCTTTAAAGAAAAATAAAGCAAAACAAAACAAACAAAACTTGATAAAGACTACTTAATTAGGAAAATAATAATAGAAACAATGCAACAATTCATACTAAATAGAAGTCAAAACATGCCGAACACTCTTTCAAGTACTTTACATATGTCAACTTATTTAGTTTTCACAGTAACCCCATCAAGTAGATACTCATATTATCTCAATTTTAATGATAAGGAAAGCAGCAAAAAAAAGAAAGCACACAAAGAAATTGTACGCATTTTACTGTGAAACATAATGAAAAATAAAAATTTCTATTGACATAATCCATTCAAGTTGACATGGCTAGTTGGTAATGAAGCAGGATTTCAAACCTAGGTATTTTAACCCGGAAGCCTTATAACCTATGCTCTACTGAAAAGCACACTGAGGAGGAAAAACTCATTGACAAATAATCCAGCTCACTGTGTTATTCCTAGGTTAAAAACTACAGCACTTCAATTCTGGAAGAGACTAAAATATCCACTGGTTCAATTCCTGCATATTACAGATGAAAAACCACATACCCATGGCATGGTGAAAAACTATTTAATGGCAGATTCGAAGCCAGCAACAACCTACTCTAAATCCAAGACATGTTTTTCTCCTGCACTATACCATAATCAGTCTATAGAAAACCCATAGAAAAATCCACAAACTCCAAGCCAAGGTAGACATCCAAAGTCCTTAGCAACCTATTTTGTGAGATCCAGTACAAATATAACTGTTGAGTGCCCCCATTTATAAATTACTTCTGAATTTGGTGCTATACAACATTTCTACCACAAGTTGTTCCAAGACTTTTGATTTTTTTTTAAACATGGGGATGTAAATTTGCGATATTTGGCAATTTTGGTATTTCTTCTTTCATGTGTTCATTTTTCTGTTTTTAAAATAACAATTTGCTCAAAAATCAGAAGACATATTCATCCCTTCTATAACTCCTGTCAAAGCAAAGTCAAGAAATTCATACTCCAATTTTATTCCCTAAATCACTTATTAATTCACAGAATGACATATGTGCAGGTTGTAAGTATTTAACTAGACACAGACTCTCGTAGTTTGAAAGGAGATACAGATGAGTGTATGCAATATGGCATGACTGTGGGCAAAGACAGTATGTAGAGGATGCTAGAGAAACATAAGAAATACATCAAATCTATCCTGGGTAGGTGAATGGGACAGCTAAGGTTTACCGGAAGATGAGACACCTGTATTGATTCATTAGGACAAACAGGAATTGGGATGGAAAACAGGGGAGGGAAAAGGACAGACAGGAAAGGATATAGACAGTGTATCCCCAAATAGAGGAAGCAGATGTTAGAAAAGCCAGAGGAGTAAGAGTGTATTCGTGTGGTTAAAATTGGTGCCCTAATTAGGCATGTGTGCAATGTAAGCAAATCAATAATTCCAACATATCCAAATACAAGGTGCTGTCTCATAAGAAAATGAATTAAACATTCTATTTCTATGGTTCACAAAGAAGAAAAGGTCTTTGTAAGGAAATAAGGAGAAGAAATAGAGTTACGGTCCCAGGGACCATAAAAATCATCAAAGCTCAGACAAATTAGCCAATATATTCTCACTACATTCTTCTAAAGGCTGCAGTTATCATCTATAGAAACAATTTCCAAAGAAATGTGGGAGTCTTGGCTGCCTTTTCAAATAACGAAGAATCCGTTATTATTGGCAAGCTATTTTGTCAAGGCATCAGATAATGCTCATCTTTAAACATGCCTCCTATGGACAATAAAATGTTGGTGACGGTTTCCAGCTTCAAATGAATCAGCTCTCCTTGCCCAGGGCACATTACTGCACCTGACCTCTTCCCTGCCCGTGCCTTGACCTTCTCCCACTCAGACGTTATTCCCTTCTTCATGCCTGTGAGCGTCTCATATGATTCCTGAGCTGTAGCTCTAGAATTTAGCATGAGGAGGGCTGCCCCTGATAGATGTCTTACATGAGTAATGCTCTTAATGATCCCCAATGGGACTACCATATTATTCCAGCAGGATGAATCATTCAGACACAAAAACAAATTCTATGTATTTTACCGTGAAACAGAATGAAAACTAAAAATTTCTACGTTTAGAAATATTTTTCTTAAATTTTGCAAAAAATAACCAAGTTTTCCCAGTGAAAAAAGAGTTAACAAAAGTTTCTTCATATAGTTTTGTAGTATATCTCAACCACCTGAGCATATTATACCATTTCTGTTGCCTAAAGAAATCCTCCAAATGTTATTTTAGAAATATTTATGAATTATGCACAAGATTCCTCACAGAAATGCTAGATATGCTCTTGAAAACTGTGCACAAATCAATATTTTATAAGTCAAATAACATTTTTCACTGACAAATTATTTCAGAGATGCTTTCTTTTCATTTCTGGTTAATATTCAATTGTTAATGATTACTGACCCTTCAGAGTAAGCTTCTCTCCTGAAAATATTTCTGTCAAACAACTAATACTCTATTAGCAAATAATAAAACAAATAAGGGAAACTAGATTTCTGCAAGAAATACTTGCAGAAGGTAGGGACTTCTTTGCAATTCAGCCACAACCTCGATTTTCTTTATTTTTATTTCTTAAAATTTCCTTAATGTATTTTCTTAACATGTAATTCATATGCAACACAGTAGTGCACCTCTTAATAGCAATCAGTAAGCTTTAAGCCATTTTGATAATTTCTCTTCTTATTCAAGAATATATTTATTTATTCAGCTCATCAGGGACTCTTAGCTCATCAAAGGGCTCGTGGTTTTGTTGTCTTTGTTTGTTAGCTTTAGGACAAAAGAATAAACATAAACAGTAAAACTGATCACTTTGCCTGGCTCAACAAATACAATTTGTAAAATGTAAATAGCTACCAATAAAGGAGAAGCTTTTGGTTAAGTAAGCCATTATGTAAACATTTAACTAGTAACCATACAAAGAAGAGGGGCAAACACCAGAAAAATGAAAAGGTAAAACACAGAAGATAACAAAAAGTAAGGAGATACTGATGTATTTAAAGTAGAAATAGGCAGCAACAGATAGGCCAGTTGGCCATAGGATGAGTGGTGTAATACTGCAGCCACAAAATGATGACTATATATCATATTTGGTGCAAGCGCTTATTATTATTATTAATTCACACTCAACTACCCATATTTATTGGTTAGGAAATTGTATTTAAAAACGCAGAATTATGCTTCCTCTTGAAAAGTCCATCTGAAAGTCCATCTGAAAGTATGTCTACATTGAGGCTGTATTTCCCTGGAGCAAGATTCAGCCAGCCACTCCTTGGCCCTAATACAAGCACTTCCTTTCTTATACAGACCTTGTATAGGCATTTCAGTTTTCAACCCTTACAAAATATCGGAAAAAAAAAAAAAAAAAAACAGACTCTCATAAGTTTTATTGTGAGACTGTGACTTTAGACCAGACTTCAGATGGTTCAGTGGGAAATAAAGATGAAAAGACCAGTTATCTAGCTTCTTAATACATTTTAAATCTCCTGATCCAGAAAAGTAGGACATCCCAGGATACCAAGGGAATATTTATAAAATGCAAGATTTGTTGGAAGGTTAGAAGAAAATTAAAAGTTATTTACATTTTTAAATAAACAGGAAGGTAGACTCCTCAAACTTGACATTACACTTTAGAAAAACACTGGCTAATTAGATATATTGAAAACAATAACAACAAAAACAACATAACCAAGGGAAATGAATCTGTATCAAATAAGAAAAATTTAAAAAAAAGGGCATCTTGTGCCTGAAGAATAACAAGTTTAAAAAGAACAAAATAACTCTCTTCAAATACTGAAACTAAATTAGATTTACCTTGGGTAGCTTTGGAGGATAAAACCAAGGCCAGTAGGTCAGGAATTAGAGTTAGGTTTTAGCTTAATATGCAGACAAGTTTTATAAAAATTGTAAATGTCTATGCTATGAAGAAATAATTCCCGACACAGAAAGTAATGAGGAAAGAATAAAGACCGTGCTCAGGGTACCACGGAGAGGGCAGAAGGACAGAGAGACAGTGATATTCCAGGTACCGCCCAAGGGATTCTCTGATAGATTGAGAATAAAAATACACATAGCATTATATCAAAGTCTATTTATCTGTATACTGCTATCCATAACCTCAAAGAAAATGCCAGAAAACAGATGTTTTAATCTCTAAGAATTAGGTTATCAAATTTATATTTATTTTACTTTCACCTTCTCTCCATTTGGTTGAAGCATGTTTTAAAATTATTTGTTTTTTAAACTGACAAATAAAAATTGTATGTATTTATGGTGTACAACATGTTTTTAAATATGCAAACATTGTAGAATGGTTAAATCAAGCTAATTAACAACTGCATTATTTTTTATGGTCTAAATATAAGCTCACTCAGAGATCATCATGCATACCTCTATTAAATCACCTACACAGCAATCAACCATTTACCATAAATTCCTTAAGCACAGGGAATGAGCATTTTTTTCTACTTTGTTGCCTGGTTAGGTGACTGAAAGAATGAATGAGATTATTAAATAATGCTCTTTACAATACAACGTCATAAGTGAAATTCTGTAATAACCAATAGCTGTAAAGTCTACCTCTGAAAGCAGATTTTTCAGATCACCACTCCTAAACGCACCTCTCAAATACCTTCCCTAGTCAAACAAGTTATCTCCATTATTTCTCTCAGCACTGTTTGGGAACCTACTTATTCCAGGAAGAGTTTCCTGACTAAGTTAAATCCCCTGACCCACCAGTTCCCAAAATGCAATTCTCCCTTCTTTCATCATATCAGAAACATCTTTCATTCATACAGTGCCAACAATTCACTAATGTAAATCGACATTTCATTTTGTGGTCTATATGTACACAACTTGAATCTTGTATTAAAAGCTCTTGCACATTATCAGGTATGCCTGAAACATTCCTTAAAGTGTCTAACAGCAGCAAAAGTTGGCAGCTGCTTAATAATAATTTTTTATTATTATCACAATTGATAGTAGTTTACTGGGGAATAAATAATTTTATTAAGCTCCATTAATAATAAACAAGTAGCATTAAATGAATGGCAAACTGCTAAGCAATGGATGTACTAAAATATATTTATTATGCAGCACGTACGTGTGTGTGTATACATATATATAGTATACATACAAAGTAACATATACATGTATATTACATATATACATATATATATTTATGTATACGTGCATTTTTTTTTTGACAGACAGTATGCCACTTTGTCACCCTGACTGGAGTGCAAAGGCATGAACACAGCTCACTGCATCCTCAACCTCCTGGGCTCATCCACCCGCCTCAGCTTCCCAAGTAGCTGAGACTAAAAGCATGCACCACTACACCATGCTAATTTTTTTTTTTTTTTTTTCTGTAGCATCTCATTATGTTGCCCAGGCTAGTCTCAAACTTCTGGGCTTAAGCAATCCTCCCACCTCAATCTCCCGAAGTACTAAGATTACAGGCATGAGCCACTGCACCCAGCCGTGTGTGTGTGTGTGTGTGTGTGTGTGTGTGTGTGTGTGTGTATGGTTTTGTTTTGTTTTGTTTTGTTTTGAGATGAGTCTCGCTGTTGTCACCTGAGCTGGAGTGCAATGGCACGATCTCGGCTCACTGCAACTTCTGCCTCCCGGGTTCCAGCAACTCTCCTGCCTCGGCCTCCGGAGTAGCTGAGATTACAGGTGCCCACCACAACGCCCAGCTAATTTTTTTTTTTTTTTTTTTTTTTTTTAGTAGAGACGGGGTTTCACCATGTTGGCCAGGCTGGTTTCAAACTGCTGACATCAGGTGATCCACCCGCCTCAGCCTCCCAAAGTGCTGGGATAACAGGTGTGAGCCACCACGCCCAGCCTGAAGTATATTTTAAGACAGTGTAAAAACCTTAATAAGAACCAAGTCTCAAATAAGGGAAGGTTTTAGACATGATACTGTTTTGATTAGTGGTATAGTGTAAGAAACTGGGGAAAGCTTCAATCTTCATTTAAGCCTTATGCAAACTCCCAAACCTATGGAAATAGATGAATATAAATATACAATCCCATCTACATATTTGGAAATAACTTTGGAAGACCACTGAATTCAGCTGAGAAAACCCTACCTAAGAAATTATACAACAGCCATAGTCAGAAACACATACTTAAAACAGTAAGAAAAGCAAAAGAATGGTATTCCCAAAACCAACTGCATTACTTCTGAAAGAGTATTGATTACAGTGCTGTTTTTGATAGCTATCACAGACTTACACAGGTTTCATTGGCAGGAATTATGTGAACCAATGCTAAAGTCTTTCTTTGTTTTCCATAAAACTTGTCATTGGAGAAGAACACACCTTTAAAGGAATGCTAATCACAGATTCTAACTAAGCTTCTGCTTAACATGTTTTATTATCAATAACATCTTATCACCATTTATTATCAAAATCAAAAAATGAAAATGAAACAATCAGTTCCTTACAGAAGTTGGATAACAGTGATTCTATTTTCTCTCTAAGGACAATTCTACTCACACAGTTGAGCTATCATAAAAACTAGTTGGTACTTACAATTTCAAATTTATTCCACAAACTGAACAGCACTGAAAAAACCATGTTATGGGGCTGGACTTATGTTTCTGTGTTGTAGAGTGTGTAAAACCAGGGTACACTCTTTTTTGTGGGTTATCATGTGACAAAGAGAAGAAAGCAACAGACAGTAAGATGTAACATAAAAATCAAACATCTAAAAAGGAACTAAAACAGGTTGGCAGCATGATGTAGTTCCCTCCCAAAAAAGCATCTAAATATGTTCTAAACATATTTTACACTGTTTCATCTACATTCATTATCTTTAAGGGAATAGTATAGTGTGTTTGTAGAATTGTGAAAAGCAAGAATTCTGAGATGAGACAGGCTACTTTTATGTCCTCACTCTACTACTTTGACTGGCCATAGTTAAAGAGCTTAACTTGTTGAACCTCATTTTTCATACTGACAGACAGGGCTAATAACAACACATTCATTTCTAATATGATTGTTTTAAGTATTAAATAAGATAAGGCATGTTAGCACTTTGTCAAGCAGATAACAACACTCTGTAACTTTTAGGCATTATCAGTATTACCATTATTATTAGAGATATTATTGATTCCTAGTGTTTCAGGTTCCGTGTATACAACTGGGCCTATACTACTACATCGATCATCATTTAATAAGTCACTTGGGTTTTTTCATCATGTAAACACATATATTTATTTATCTATATCTACATATAGACTCCTAAAAAGCAATGAGCTCTTAAGATTCAATGACCTATGACAGGAGAAAAGATCAAATACCACAATGAGTTTCTTTTTCTTCATCACCCTACTGAATTTAAATCAAAGCTGTTCTTAGGATGCTTGTGTTCAATCTGAATTCATGGAGATTAATAGCAATGATCTTGTCAGTGAATGCCCCTCCTATTTGCATAGATATCTGAATGAAAGCTTTACGTCTCCCCAGTTTTTCTTCTACAGATTTAGATTTTGGAAATATATTACTAAATTCATTCATTTTAGAAAGTGGTCGTTCTACCAGATTGCTAGGAAATTTTCACTTCTCTTCAGATACAAGGGAAATGAACAGATGAGTTTTATTTTCCACAGCCTGTACAAGATGGTTTACTTTACTCAGACAACTTGCTAATGGAACGGTCTGGATATACTGAAATTACTTCCCAAACCAAGCAACTAAAGAAGTTGAAAGCTACCCAGAGGTATGTGTAGTTAACACATACAAAGGTACTTTAACTCACTTTGTTGTATGAGCAAGGACAATTTTAGTGAAGTTTCAGAGTGACAGGCTTCCTTTTCAATAAAGCCTAAGTATACAAAATCAGCTTTAGAGCTATGCAACTAAAAAGCGGACATGTTCTTGTATAGGAAAGGAATTGCAGATAGATATATTTCTTTAGCCAAATTAAAAGTCCACCATTAGTGAAAAAAGAAAATCACGTGCTAAACAAGAAAATGTAACAGCAGGCAAGTTAAGTTGGAGATCAAATTATGAGACTTAGTGTATCTCATTAGCACTGTGTTGCCAAATGATATTGAAACAGACATTTGTGACCTGATTCATTCATTCTTTGGCTTCATGTTCTTTTCCTACTCTACCTGAAATTGCTAATAACATAAAAGGGCTTCAATCACGTTAGTGCAGAGAAGCTAAAATCTAGCCTTCTACCAAAACCCAGGAATGAACTTAGCAAGTTGGTGTTTTATATATATTTTTTTCATAATGTTTTATATATATTTATATATAAATATATATGTTTTTCATAATATATTATATATATGTTTTCATAATGTTGCATAAATTATGACCATACCTAACATGATCCAAAGACTTTTATGTCATATGAATACTATCTTGTTATGCTCATTGAAATTGTAAGTTAAATCAAGAGATAACATATACCTGAAATGGCTTTTCAAGAACTTACTAGTCATACATAACAATTTTTTTTGCTCTTTTACTTTCTATACAAACTGGGCATACGAACTGTGTTTCAAGCAGAACACTGCAAATAATCTTAGAGGAGAGCTTTGAGGACTCCACGCTCCTTTCATGGCTGACTGTGGACAAGCTGTCCCCAGCTCTCAGGTCCTGTACACATGAGTTGAATTTAGACATACTTTGAACTTGATACTTTCTGAAATCTAACCAAGAGCATCTTGAGAAAGTGTTTTAACTGTGAGCTGTTATTGCCAGAAGTAGCTTAAAAATGTTTTCTAGTAAACCTTGCTCTACTTAACTGAAAGACTAACATGATTTGAAAAATAGATCCCCAAAATACTGTATTATTAGGAACCAAAACCGACTATTTCCTATATGCTGCATACAAAGCAATCACTTGACACAAAAAGACTATATTCCCACTTAACACAGAACCACACTGCTCTGTTGACATTTGCTTGTATCCTTTGATGGTGCTTTTAACGCTTCATTTAAGTGTCAAACTAGGTGACAAGCATTAAGCCCAGATAGACTATTTAGTCTCATCTTGTGACCCTAGAACATTTTCTACAATTGCTTACCTTCTATCCACTTTCCCCTCAAAATAATATGAATTAATTAAACAAAATAAACAGAATATTATTTTCCGGCTCTAAGCCATGGACAGCTGTGAACGCCACAGAGGTACTTCTCTCTTTGAATAAAGTCAGAAAGATATGCACAGTCATGCTGTTCAAAATATTATTTTATGTGTGGAATAACACTGTCATAAGACATTTGGAAGCCAAGTAAAATCACAGAAGTAAGAGGATTTGTAGCAGCCTGTTTTGGCTGAAGGGAAATGAGGCTGAGCTCTCCCATGAAGCAAGCAACATGACACCTTTCGGTGTTAGAAATAGCCTTTTGGATGGTTAAAAAAGAGAGAGGAAAAAGCAAAGCAGTGGAGATCAAAGCTATCTCCCTGTACACTACAGATCATCTTTTTTTCTTCCTCTTCTTCAACAGCAAGATTGAAGGAAGGGGCTGAAAGTGGAGGGAGAAGGGGAAAGGAAATCATGCTAATCAAGAATTGTAAAGAATGGAGGTAGCCTTTTGATCTCCACAGGATGGCAACTTTATTGGCTATGCATAAGCAGTTTCCAACCAGCTGATCAACCAGGTATTAAGGCTCAACCCTTCCATGATCAGTAACCATGAAGTGAGTTATCTGTGAACAGCAGTCAAGCAGAAGGCTCATCTACTAAATGATCACCAGCCCATACTCAACCCAGAGCCTAAGAGCAACCACAGGGGAAATGATTGTCTCTCCACAGGCTCTTCAGTGAGGAGTACCAATTACTTGCCTTGGGATTCAGAGCAGAGCAAAATCTTTCCTCCAGTGTGCAAGAAGAACAATGCCATTCATTTTCCAAAATACAACTCGAAAGCCACGTGCATCTGCATCACCAGCAGACAATGTTTTGAATCACATTCAGTCTCCTCTTTTAAGCATGCCAGAAAATGCAGATATAATCAAGGCTCAATGTGAACTGGTTAGATGATGTAAAGAACTGACTGTCTTGCCTGGTGATCTAAAAATTAGAGACCATTTTCTTAATGACAGGAAGAATAATGCCTTCCTTCCAAATTCTCAAGTGTTCAAACCACAGTTTCATTTAAGTGGATTTTTTCTGAGACAAGTTTTAAAATAAAAAGTGATTGAACCATAATCTTTTTTATTTAAATTCTTCATTTCTCTCTTTCGACTAGGAAAATGCACAGTAGTTGAGAGTTTTAGAGCCAGCTTGGTTCAAATCCCTGCTGAACCACATTCCCTAACTTCTCTATGATATAGTTTCTACAACAGTAAAATCAGGGCACAGTAATATCTTAGAAATAACAGCATATATGTCATAGGATTTTTATGAGCATTAAATAAGATAATGGTGAGTGTTTAGTAAAGTGATAGTCCTAGCTTCACAGTAAAAGTAGCCATTTTCATGAAGTTTCTTATTGCACCTAGAGTTGGAACTCCATCTCATCTTTTAATTATTTCCTTCTTTCACTTTACTGGTCTCCTTTAAGCAAAAGCGTTACCATACAGAAGGTAACTACTTGGTGTATCAGTCTTCTATATACATTGAGGCAGTCAATATTCTAAAGTCTTATCATATGTAGCTTAAAAAAAAACTGTTCAATTGATTCATGAAAGAGTTAAACATGCTTCAAATTGCTTTTTTTGTTGTTTTAAAACTGCAAACTATCTAGTTCTTTATATAGTTGTTGAATTTAAGAGAATATACACTGACATCATATTTTCAGAAATCCACTTTTTGGACCGGGCACACTGGTTCATCCCTGTAATCCCAGCACTTTGGGAGGCCGAAGCAGGCAGATCACCTGAGGTCAGGAGTTTGAGACCAGCCTGGCCAACACAGTGAAAACCCATCTCTACTACTAAAAATACAAAAACTAGCCTGGCATGGTGGTGGGCATCTGCAATTTCAGCTACTCAGGAGGCTGAGGCAGGAGAATCACGTGAACCCAGGAGGCAGAGGTTGCAGTGAGCCAAGATCACACCACCACACTCCAGCCTGGGCGACAGGGTGAGACTCCATTTCAAAAAAAGAAAAAGAAATCCACTGTTTGGATTTGCTTCATGTGCTGTGTGTGGTCAGAGGGCACACTCCCACTTGGCTGCTCTGTCTACTTCCACTGTATCCCTGCCTATATCTTAAACTAGCTTAATTCTGCAGCTCAGTTTCTACTACACTTCTCCAGACTTCTGCTTTTTATTTCTTTATGTTTCTTTTTGGTGCCTTTCTTTCCTGTAGTCTATAGATTACCTTAGGCCTAATTTTAAATTGAATGATAACTTTGCTTTCCTTATATTTTCCTATATGAAATCGAGCTTGCAGGGCAGTTTATATTTTTGTTTTTAAAATTAAACATTTTTTTAAAGGTCAGAAATTAACCTAAGTATCACCTTAACATCTTTTATTAACACAGATGATAATAAATAAAGATTCAACCACTTATAGTCTTCACTGAGAAGCTGTTATCCTGTTTCCTTCCCACAGGATTCCAGTTGCCCATTATTTTAAATTAGAAATATCTAGTCAATGTAAAAACGAAAAATAAATGGTCATTGTTAGTCTGAAATTTAGCATTCTGTACCACTTTAAATTACATAAGAATATTTCATTTGTTGTAGCAAAGACTAAGAAAAAACTTCAGGTAAACTTTCTGTTCTAAGACCTTTAAATCACAAATGTCTTATGCATTATAATGCCCATTATCAAGAAATAAAGATATTTTAAAAGATATCACAGTATTCAAGTATGTACATTTAAAAGCCAGAAAGGTTATAAAGAAACTAGCCAGATCGTATCGGAACTACACAACAATCTTACCAGAAAGCAAGATGGAAGGAGGGAAAGAGGAAGAGAGACCAGAGACCAGACAATTGGCTCAAATAGTGAAACTTATTTAAAAAAGTTCCTCTTCCCAAGAGAAACCCTCCCCCACGCCCCCCCCCAAAAAAACAAGAAAAAGAAAGTACCAGTAAACTATCATTTATTTGAAATTCAAATCTCATCCTAAGTTTGAACTGAAATTCAATTAGTTTTTCACTTAAAAGCAGGTTTTAAGCAAGTGGATTTGAGCAAGTCTATGAAGGAAAAGATGTTTAGAATCAGATCCTGAGAGATCACATGGATTCGTTTCAAGGCTACCTCTCCTGCACCCTCCCACCCCGCAAACTCACCAGAAGTCTGTCTGTCCATAGAAAAGGCAGATAGACCAAGTAATTAAAGGAATCTACCTGAAAAATGAATTTCTGAAGGAATAACCACTTTTTATAAATCTCAGTTTCATTGAATGAAAGGTTATTTTTTGTAGCATCAAGTTAATAGATAAAAGGCTATGAGAAGTGAACACTCTTAAGCACAAGACTTAGTACTAAGCATGCCATCAACATACCAAAATGGAGTTTATAATCTGTTTGAAGAAAACTGTTGGACTTTGTTAAGTTGGCAGGCAGTTAAAAAAGGAAGAAAAGAAAAAAGAAAAAAAGAACTGACAACCAATAGATGCTTTTACAGGTTAAATCTTGTTGAAGGTAAGTTATCCCCTCAGTACACTTTGATTTATTTAAGCTCACCACATTTCTCTTAAATACACTCCATTAACAAGTGATAGACTGTGATCTTAGGCTTGGGGCAAGACATGAAACACAATCTTTCAAGAACTTCATTCATTCTCTGACCAGGTGTCTTCAACACACCCAGGTTTCTAGTCACTTGAGTTCTGTGAAGTATTATTCAAATCGATAGTGTTGCTTTATAACTGAACACTGTCATGAAATCACCCTACTAGCTCAATAGTTTGGCCTCCCAAGTTCAGATTCACAGCATGAGCGAAAGTGATCAGAGGAATAAAAAGCTTCAGGTTATGTATGAGGGAGCACTTTAGAAAGAAGCTTTTGTCCTGAAAAGTGGCAAAGCAGATAGGCACACCTATAGGAAAAACTTAGGTTTACAAAAATCATCAATGGCTTAAATGGAAAATTAAATTAGAAACAGAAAAACTAGAAATTTTAGATTTCTAAAAGCTAGAAATCAGTGTAGCTCTAACATTATAATTGTCTCATATCTATTCAAATTGCAATCCTCAGATATCTACTACTCAAATTATTAAATCTAATAGGACAGTACTTCCCAAATAATTCTCCAAGTGAAGACAGAACTTCCAAGTTGACACGACCAACTTTCAGTGATACCTTATTAATGTGACCCTATCTTTAATCTACAGCCATGATAAAATGTTCCAACATATACAAACTCAACTCAAACAGTGACTAATGACCATTAATCCCCCTATCTTCAGTAATCTGCCCCTCCAGTCATTTATCACAATGACACTTCACTTTACACACGTAAATAAACTTTAACCAGAAAGGTGAATCAACAGAAATCTCAAAGGTATCTGAAGCTGTAAATTAAACTAGGCAGAGACACAGCCAAGGGAGGCAAATAGAGAGATCAGATTTTAATGTTTTTGATTTGCATCCATAGCTAGGGGTGGGGGACTGGAGGGACTATTCAATTACTCCGATATGCAAACTAAGGAAAAATAAGGCATTACAGAAGGAGAAGCTGGAAGTGGGGAATGACAACCTCGAGGAGTTAGTCTACTCATCCCTCCACTGTGACGTACATGAGATATACCAGGTTGAAACTTCACTTTCTGTTTTCTTTAAAGAAGTAACAATTTAATAATTTTTAAAATTTACTTTAGTTGCAAATCTTCCTTGTAACTTTCAGCCAGCAGGCACAATTCACAGGCTAAAATTCTTTTAGGGGTTTATTCGCTATCATTTAGCTGACGTATGTGGTTTTTTTCCCCCCTTTTCTTACTCTGTTAACTGTCTTAAGTAAAATCCCTGGTCAAAACATAAATGATAACCATAGACCACAAAAGCTCAAACTAACCTTTAAAATCGTTTCATAATTGTGCAAACTGAGTGACTCTTACCGATAAGCCCTGATGCAATTTGAAGCTCAGTATGCGAATGTGACTATAAAAATTCCGAGGTGCAGTGTGTGTGTGTGTGTGTGTGTGTGTGTGTGTGTGTGTGTGTGTTTTAAAGCCTGAAATCGGATCCGTGATTGAAACCAGAATCTACCAAAAGGAAAGAAACAGAAGTTGAGTCGTGGCTCAGTTCACCCACAGTAAAAAAGTTTCCTAGGGAGTGTATGAAAACTATTTACAAGTGTAGATACAGTGTGTACTCTTATGTCAGAAGGGCCCCGTTTCAGCATCCTTCCAACACTTCATATGGAATTTCAGTATTATTTAATTAATCCTAAACATCCCAAATTCAGTTTTCTTTCGCCAATGAGAATCCCCAGGCAACTCCCCTTTCCGATGCTTGCAACCGCCTGTTTTCCTTCTAAACCCAGCGAGGCAGTGGCTATTTTATATCCTACCTTAAGAAGGAGTTATTTCGTGAAGCTTCTTCAGAATCAAATTTAATTACAGACTTTGGTTACATAAAACAACTACTAATAACCCCTTGTGCTCGGAAGAGGAGGGGCTAGAGAGGACTAGGCTCAGGAATCCTGGCAAGCCTGCGGGCCACAAGCTCCCAGGGCGCACATTTCCCTCCCCAGGGAAGCAGCCGGCGGCTGATACTCACTTCGGCTCATCCTGGGGGCCCTAGCTCACTGCCAGCCGCTGCCTCCTCCCACCCTAGTGCTTAGACGTGCGTTTGCCCAGAGTAATCTGGGCGTGCCCTGAACTTGGCAAAAGGCCGAGATCTGCAAAGAGTCTTGAGGAGGTTCAGGGGTGGAGGGGAGGTTTTGGGGAGTGGGGAAAAAGAGACAACCCCAAATGCGAACTAGGAACATTTTCGCCTAAAAGTCTAGCAGGAATCGAGCCCCTCCGGCCTTAGGAGGGAGGGGTAACCAAAATACACTTCTGGGTTTGATCGTGCAAAGTGGAGAGGGGGCGAACAGGGAGGATCAAGGGTGAAGAAAGAAGACGCGGGGTTACCTGAACAGAGACATATTAATCCAAACAGGTAAAAGTGAGCGGGCTCCGCAATCATTGTCCTCGGGTGGATCCTGTATACAGTCTCATGCCAAGAGGAGGGAGTGGAAATAGGGTCCCCAAATGTATGAAGCCACACACCACACACAAAGGCTTAATATAAGCAACGTGGGTCAATTAGCCAAGAGTTTTCAGGGCAATTACTCGTCGACCTTTCCGGACGCTTGTCAGTATCTCAGAGACTTTTGCAGAGGAAGAATTCCAAGGTTTGTCTTCTCCGGCCCCAGGATTTCCGAGGAGGCTCAGACACTTTCAAGAACCATCCAAAGCGAACAACAAAGAGCCGAGGCAGAAGCGCAGTAGTGCCGTTTCCTGCCTCCACGGTCTTGCGGAGCCTCCCGGCGTGCGCCCCCACAATGTGCGGCCGAGCGCCGCTGCGAGGGCAGGCGCGGCGGCGGCGGCAAAGTTGGGGTGTGAGAGCTGCTGAGGGAGGGCCAAAAAGTGCTTCTCCGTCTCCCGGCGAGCCCAGTCAGCAGCGGGCCACCCGCGGCGGCGGCGATAGCAGCCAAAGTAGAAGCAGCAGCTCCGGAGGAAGGGCTCGGGGTGCCGGGAGTGTGACTGGGTGACTCCGCGCGCAGAGAGCGAGCGAGGGGGCGGTGCGGCGACAGCGGCTGCCTGGGCGGGCCCTTGTTCCCATCACTTGGGGGATGCGGAGGGTACTGGAGACAGCAGCAGGACCGCGGACACTCGCACGTCTTCTGGGCGCCCCCAGCCCCGCGCGGCGCCCAACATCGCCCTCGGCCCCTCGCCCTCTGGGGCGCTCGCAGGCACCCCTAAACTACGCAGAAGCCCAAACTTCCTGGGGGCAGCTGCCTGCACCCCTGGCTCGTGGAAGCTGTAAAGAGGCAGCTCCCGGCTCTCCCCGGGGTGGCAGAGAAGGGCAGAGAGGATGCTGCTGCGGGTGGGAGAGACGGCCGCCGCGGCTCACCCCAGCTCCTCCCGGATCAGCGGCGTCTGAAGTTTCTGCTCTCACGCTGCCTCCTCTCCAGCTCAATTGCTTGTGGGTTTCCCCCACAGTCCCCGCGGCTCCCAGTTCCCTCCCTCTCCTCCCCGGCCCGATAATACTTAAAGGGGCCGCGTGGTCCTTTCCATGCTTCACTCTATTCTCCAGGCGCTGGTCAGGCAAGTTCTGCTCCTCAATATTTCCATCCACAAGCCAGGGGTGCCCAACTGCGCCCTCAGGTGAGAATCCAATTGCTCGGAATCGGAAATCCAGGCGAATGAGAAACTGTCTTGTTTCTCTCGCCACCCCTAGCTCCCCTGCACCTTTCTCCAAATGGAACCTCCCAGCCAAAGACTTCAAAAATCCTCCTGGTCCAACTTAACCTCTTCCTTGCCGCTTCCAGGAATTGGAATAAACTCTCAACTCCACTCTCACTTCTCCCCATTCCCATTTAAAAAAAAAAAATCAATTTTGAGCAACATGGCTTTAGGACAGGAGGTAAACAGAGAACTATCCAGAACATATCAGTAGATGGGCAGTCTCTTACAACCATCCTTTTCTTTTAAGTTGCAGTTGTTGAAGGTCTTGTAGAAAAGATATCCAAATCATAAGGCACAGGGTTGGGCCTTGGGATCATTTCCTCATGTTTCAGTTGAAACTCTCTCTTTCAACTTCATACTCCACACATTAGAAAGCTAACAATGGGGATGTAATTTTAAGAGAGAGAGAAACAAATGCAAAAAACAATCTTGACAAGCCCAGAGTTTGCAGTTAGGAGAAGCTAGTCAGGCATAGGTTTGACACTCAGTATACCCGCCCTGAAATCCCAACCTGCCAGTTATAGCTCTGTGACCAGGTCTGTTTTCTCTTCTCTGTTTCTGTTCTCGAGATATTTTATTGCATTAACAAAAAATACACAAAGCAAAACAAACCTGACACGTCTGAAAGGCATTCATTCATTGAGTCAGTCATTTTTCTTTCTTTCTTTTAAATAGGACACAGTGGCCAGGCGCTGTGGCTCACACCTGTAATCTCAGCACTTTGGGAGGCCCAAGCGGGCGGATCATTTAAGGTCTGGAGTTCGAGACCAGCCTGACCAATATGGTGAAACCCCGTCTCTACTAAAAATTCAAAAATTAGCCGGGCGTGGTGGCGTTCGCCTGTAGCCCCAGCTGCTCGGGAGGCTAAGACAGAAGAATTGCTTGAGCCCAGGAGGCGGAGGTTGCAGTGAGCCGAGATAACTTGCCACTGCACTCCAGCCTGGGCGACAGAGCGAGACTCCGTCTTAAATAAATAAATAAATAAATAAAAAGACACACTATGTGAAATACCTAACATGCCGAATGCTGAATAAATGGCAGAATTAATATCTACAGAGTTGTGTACCATAACTTCAAAAAAAATTATTTGGTGTCTAGCAGTACATGTAAGAAGCTGCTTTCGGTGGTTGCCTCTGGAGGACAGAACTGCGCAATGGATAGGGCAGAGAAGGAGGATTTGCTCTTTTCTACATAGTGTTGTGCTTTTCCATGTCTTTTCAGGTGAGCACATTCATTACCTAATGGAAGATAAAAATTTAAAAGCAAATTGTACATTGATTTTGGTTGCTGCTGGTGCAACCAACGACCTTAGAGCGACATTTTGTGGAAACTCTGGTTAACAGCACCTATCTTTGAAAGTGAAAGATAGTCTAATCCTGAGAAAACTGACTATAAATTCAGTAAACAGCCTGGAGATAAGAATTCAAAGACTCCAACCAAAATCTTTTCAGCAGTAAAAATATGAATGGGCAGTCAAAGCTGAAAAGCATACATCGATTTGGTCTTGCTAAAGGATATTTAGTGAAAAACATAGAATATATCTCTTTTTTCTTGGAATACAAAATACTTTTAAGAGAAGCTTACCTAGTAATAGAAAACAAACACTAAAGTGTAGTACTTGAGAGAAAGAGAGCAAGATAGAGAGAAAATTCAAATCCTCATATCATTTGAATGTACGTTAAATAAAGATGTCAAACTTTCACTTAGTAATGGGGGTATACTTTTAAATATAATGAAGAATATGTGTAAGGATCCCTATTGCATTGTTCCCCCAAATGGATCTCCTGGTCTCTGGAAGTTTGCTCGTATCTCTCAAGATTTCTTTTGCCATTTATCTCATTGAATGCAAACCATATTAATATCACCCTTGATGTCTCAACTTCAGTAAGCAACACCCATCCCCTCTCTTCCACTCCTAGAGATGATTTTTTTTTTTTTTTTTTTTTTTTTTAGAGACGGAGTCTGTCTTTGTCGCCCAGGCTGGAGTGCAGTGGCGCGATCTCGGCTCACTGCAAGCTCCGCCTCCCGGGTTCACGCCATTCTCCTGCCTCAGCCTCCCAAGTAGCTGGGACTACAGGCGCCCGCCACCACTCCCGGCTAATTTTTTGTATTTTTAGTAGAGACGGGGTTTCACCGTGTTAGCCAGGTTGGTCTCGATCTCCTGACCTAGTGATGCACCCGCCTTGGCCTCCCAAAGTGCTGGGATTACAGGCGTGAGCCCTGCCGCGCCCGGCCTAGAGATGATATTTCCGAGGACAGTCAGCAGTAAGTATCTTCAAGGAACTAACTTTTGGCCAGCCCCCTGATGAAGACTATCATCACCAACTCATATGTGTTAGTCCTTTCTTTTTCCTGTCTCATCCAAAGTGTATCTATTTTCTGTCTATTATATTGGTAAAGATGGCATGCAAAGACAAGAACGTGTATTCAGAAGGCATTACGGATCTATAAGAAGTGAAACTCAATGCATCTGAGAACTTTTGTATCTACTTCCTTTTCCTCACTCGTGCAAATAAACACTTAGTGAACATCATCTATGTGCAAGAAACAGTAAAGTGTGCTATAGGGACAAGATGCAAATATAATTCCTTTCTTTTAGGCTTTTAGAACTCCTACTATGGGAAGGTGCACAAAACAGAACAGGCTTCAGGGTGGAATCTGTCTGAAAAAAATAAAAACAAAGTGCCATTCAGGTTAAATGACATCCCAGTACATTCCTAGAGATGGCTGGATCATAGCAAGTTGTCACCTTTTCACTTTTGCTCCTGAACTTTAAATTACCCAGAAGAATGCCTGAAATGCTCATGGTGTCTGTGTGAGTGCCTGTGCAAGTGTGAGTGTACACATGTGGACAGGGAATGTACTCACATCAGATCTTCAGGGAACTCTGACATGTACAAGAGAATCTTGACTCATCAGTTTGGGTGGGAGACACAGCACCAGGAAGGAGAAAGTGTGGTAACTTGTACTCAGGAACCCTTTTCTGATCACTGTGATCTGAATGAATCGTGGGTTCTAAATTTCCACTTAGAGAATTCTCATCTCATTTAGAGTCTATGAAATTCAGGATCCCCAAAATTCAGGATCTCCCCTGAGAATTCTGAAGAAACCTGAAAATAATAGATTTCAGTAGTCCCGTGAAGAAGGGCTTTTTGACGGTCAAAATTCTAGAGCAGTAATGATCTCTTGCGTTGCTCCAATGATTATATCTTTCATGGAGGTAGCCACAGGAACTCTGGAAATAACAGAACACTCCAGGTCTCTCCAGGGATTGCAGATACCACTTACTCCGATGAGTAGGAGTGAAATAGAGTTCCTAAGGTAACTATAATACAAACCAGAACATCTCTCTGCCTTCTTAGCTAAAAGTCTTAGAATCAGACCGACCCTGGGATGCAAGCCATAAGTTCCAGCAAAACTGATGAGAAGCAGTGACACATGCAATGCACACCAAGGCTGTGCTGAACACTCCAAGATCCCATCCCTCAGAGTGCAACAGTTAGTTCAGTAATTCTTACATGAAATTGCTGAGTAATCTGCGTGATCCTTGGTATTTAAATTGATGAACTGAGAAGAAAGTTTGAATAATTGAATGTTTGAATATTTTCCTAAGTTTGGATATGTAAGAAAAGTCCGATCTCAGAAAGCAAGCTAAAGTGATCCGAATAATCCGAATAAAAGGAGAGTAAATTGAGATTTCTTGGAACATCTACTGTGTTTCAAGAAACGAGGCCTATTTAGTTTGAGCTTTCCTGACTAAGCTGCACATGGTAGCTTCAAATGTACATAAGGTGCCTTTTAACAGTATTACTTTTGTTTGTTTGCTTCTCTGCTACTTAAAACAGGTAATTATGTGTTCCAAAACAAAAATCACAGGGAGGAGAAATTCCCAGGGTTATTCGTCTTCATTTACTTAAAGACTTCAGGCACTGTAAATAGGGCCAATTTTTTTTTTTTTTTTGAGACAGAGTTTTTTTTTTTTTTTTTTTTTTTTTGAGACAGAGTCTCACTCTGTCACCACGCTTGAGTGCAGTGGTGCGATCTCGGCTCACTGCAACCTCCGCCTCCCATGTCCAAGTAATTCTCCTTGCCTCATTCTCCCAGGTAGCTGGGATTACAGGTGCTGGCCACCACACCCGGCTATTTTTTTTTTTTTTGTATTTTTAGTAGAGACGGGGTTTCACTATGTTGGTCAGGCTGGTCTCGAACTCCTGACCTCGTTATCTGCCCACCTCAGCCTCCCAAAGTGCTGGGATTACAGGCGTGAGCCACCGCGCCTGGCCAGGGCCAATATTTTTAACACAGCATTGTGAAGATACTGTAAAGGACCATCATCCCAATGGTCCCACCAGATGATGTACTCCAGCCTCGCTATTGCTCTGTAAGGCTTATTAAGAAATATAAATATGAGATACTCAACTTTGCTGTGGAATTACTGTGACTGTGTTTCTGTTTTAGCATCTCAGCATCTCACACACATTGTAGATGTTCTAACACTAGGTGCTATCCTGCTAAGTGCTTTTGATAGAGCCTGGGGCCTTACATATTAGCAACAATGGGTCGGGCTAGAATTTACTCCTTTAATGTGAAGAGGGGGTGAGCTTTTGAAGATAAAGGAGAGGATATAGAAAAGTGGCACTAATTAAGGTCACTCTTTGGGGTCCCTTACAAACATTATCTAATCTAATTCTCACCACAGTGAAGTGAGGTGATGTTATTATCCCACTTTAGAGATGATGTTGAGATTACATAATTAACTCAAAGTTGAGAGGCTCAGTAGCCAGGGAACTTATATTTGAGCTCAGTTTGTTTTGAACCAAAGCACTTGAAGAAACAAAGATGAGTTCCATGGTAGGATAGACTTGGGAGACTTCAGATTCAATACGTTTAAGGATTCCCCAAAGCTTTTAATATGCAGATGAGCATTGTGAGTCCCCCAGAGAGGATAGTTATGAGAAATCTTGTCTCTTTAATAAACATTGTTCAGTTTATAGCATTTGACTACTGTGGTTATATCTCTAATACCCAATACCTTACACCTGAAAATTAAGAGCTTCAGCTTTCCTGATTAAACTGCATATGACGGTTACTTGGCAGTAAACTTGTGTTAAAAGGAGCAATGCAGTATTCCTTACTGAGAAAGACCATATGTTTAAGTCACTGCACTTCTAAGCTTTTCTTCATAGAGCAGTCAGAGGGATCTTGTTAAATCTGAGACAGATTATGCCTCTCCTCTGCTCAAAACCCTCCAGTGGTTTTCCTGTCTTACTTTAAGTGAGATCCCATGTCTTTCCAGAAGTCTTCAAGGCCTAACATGAGCTAGTCCCTCATACTTTCCTGACATCATCTCCCCCTACATTTACCTGCTTTTTTCTCACTTTGTTCTATCACAATGGCTTCTATGCTGTTCCTAGAATGAATTAGACAGCCTCCTGCCTCAAGGAATTTACATGTGCTCTACGTGGAGTACTCACCTTCATAAATCTGTGAACTCGCACTCTCCCTTCTCTCAAGTTTTTGTTTCATCAAACCTCAGAGAGGCTTTATCTGTCCAGGTCCTTTAAACTTACATTCGCACGCAATACTTCCCATATCCTTTCCACTTGTTTATTTATTTTTTCCTCTAAAGCACTTATTCACATCTAAGATACTATATATATTTTTTATTTTGTTGCTGCAACCCTCCTTTTAGAATGAGGCCAGGGATTCTTGATTATTTTGTTTACTTTTTTAGTCCCAGCATCCAAAACAGTGCCTGGCACTGAGTAGGCACTCAGATGTTTGCTGAATGAATGAATGAGTTTTATCTCACTGTTAATATATATTTTTGAAAAATGCTTCTTTAGTTAACTATTTCTATAGTTCTAAAGTTTATTTTCTCTAATATATAGTTCAACCACTTATCTACTTCAATAGAGAACTAACTGAATATCACTTATGGAGCTCATGTTTCAGGGGACTTTAATAACTTCAAAATCAAAGTTCTGATTAAATAAGCACACCCTTATTTAGATCAGGTTATTTGGGTCCAAGAGATTGGGAGCACTGACTGAGGTTAAAGTATATAACATTCACAAGAAGCAAACCTCAAGATTAACTTTTCATAAATGAGAAAACTGAAGCTTAAAGAAACCAACTTTTCCCAGAAGACTCCTTTAGTTAGTGGTTGACTCGTGACTGGAACACAGTTCTCTAAATTGCTAGAAAACACTTCTTTCTACCAGAATAATCAGCAATTCTTGATCACGATTCTCTACCTTTAACATCCTTACATCATTAGATATGGCATAGTATAATAGATATTGTGTCATTATTGTATTACATGTTATGTTTTACATATAAGTTTTACAAATATGTTTTACATATTGCTGACTGATCAGGAACCGGGAATGCTGTTTTTGTTGTAGCTCCAGTTTCTAATAGAATAAAAATTATAACAAGCAGTATTTATATGACATTATGTGCTGTGCATACTATTCTAAGTATTTTATGTATTCTAACTGATTTAATCCTCAGGAAAAAATATTATTCGGTCAATTATTTTTATTATCTCATTTTATACATGAAGGGTAAGCATAAATTTGAACTGTGAGGTGCAAATAAAAGTTGTTGATGAAAGTAATATAATTTTTACAGATTCAGTTCTAGCTGAAGAAAGCTATCAGTGTGTATGTTTTGGTTTTTGTGTGTAAAGATCTAGTTTCATTTTGGGACTCAATTCAAGAAAATGACTCTGAAGTATATGCATTTTTAGTTCTATTTCTATATGAAGTAAGAAGTTCAAAGCTTTTTTATTTTATGTCCAAAATGTTCAAAGTGGTTTCATGTTTCTTTTAACTCTAATGAGATGACATGAAAAAATATATTGTACATGTTGGTTAAGACATTTGAAGGATATTGGGAAACATAAAGATATATATGTATAAATCTACATCTCACCATGGGATTTGCTATCTTTTGGTTTCTTACTTCCAGATACATCTGAAACCAAACATATACTATTCTAATCATGATTTAAAATTCTCCTAAATTGGGATCATAGTTAACAGCTGCACAGCTGAATGACACCCTCCATAGCCTTACAATTTGAACACAAACTATTTTGTAAGTAATTTACATTATGTTTAGTTCTGCAGATGTGTTTTACAAAACTGTTTAATGCTTTTGGTTTTTCATTGCTTTTTAAAAAAAAATCCTTCCAATAAATGTTTGTAGGATTGACATACATATGTTGGGATTTATGTCTTATTTAGTGCCTTCATTATGTTTAGTCCCACCTGTTGTTTGTTTATTCGGAATAATATTTTACCTAGGTTTTAAGTTATTTTAATCAGTTAGACAAATTAGCTAGACAAAAAGTATGAGCAAGAAGAAAGTCTGTTTGCAGATTGCCGTTATCTGGGCATTCATGCTTTTGGCATTTCATCTAACTATCCATTTCCTAGCGGAAAATGGGCAAGAAGTACTATGTTCATTTAAAAACCATCTTGAAATTGTACTCGAGTTTCCTATTTAGATGTTATTTTTGGAGTCAGTAAATAAAAGTAGTTCTAAATATTCAATGTTACACTACCTTTGGAAAAAGACTATCCAAGCTTATTAGTAATAATCACAATACTAAAGAATTCATTAAATTGTCATATCACATATTATTTGAAAGTTATTTATTTTATAACCTATTAATCTATTTCTCTCTTATATGGCTTATGGGAAAGCCTCACATTTGAGCAGCCAAATTGGGCCTTTGGGATTTAATAGCTTCTTGGTGTGACTGAGGACTATGATTCTAAATACGGAAGGGCTCAGTCTTGTGGGTAAATACTGAATCCAAATCCTGTAATTGTCACTGAGGAACAAACAGCTCTTGAAAACTGACATAGAATATAAACCTACTGTCTTAACAACAAAGATAATTATATATTTTCCCAAGAGTTTAATCACTCCTCTCTGACATCCTGGCCACATTCCAAAAGAAATCATCCAATTTCATTGCTGGAACTAAAAGCCTTTGTTGATTTGATCTAATCTCATCTTCTCAATTTCCTATCACTATATACTTCTTTAAAGCTGCTTTATTACACCTAGAAGGTAGAATTTCACTTGTAACACCATATCTTGTTGTATATATCTTATTTCAGTTATGTATCATATGTGTATCTGTGAAGCAAAACAGGTGTTTGCTGAAGCCAGTGAAACAATCTTATCACCAAAAACAGGATACCGAAATTATTCTATTTATACGAAGATTTCTAAATATTACTTTTTACCTACAATGTTTTAATTACAAAGTAAAATATTGTTTTACCAGTTTAGCATGTTAATTCTTTGCCAAAAATATTGTTAAGCATACATACTAAAAGTAGTATGGCTGATAGCCTTATATTCAGATGCTAATTGGTTCTAATAAGATTTTAATTTTTTTCACAATATAGAAGTAACATATTTCTAGAGCATTTGGAAACTGCCAGCAAAAGAAAGAAAAAATATTCCAATAATTCTCTCAAATATAATCACATATGCTATCAGCATTTTGTTGTATATTTTTTCTTTTTTCACTTTGCATATAAAGACTTTTTTTTTCTTACAACATGGAATAGCAGTTTAAAAACTGTTATGAAACCTACATTTTCACTCAAAGATCATCATAAGAATTTTTTTCCCAGACATAAAATATTCTTTAACACTATCATTAAAAGAGCAAAATAGAATCCCATTAGATGAATGTGTTAAAATACATGTAACTAGTCTCCAATTGTTAGACATTGAAGTTATTTCTAATCCTGTGAAGGTGTGCATAATCTGATTCTTTAAAGTTATATTAGAATGTTTTCTGGCTAAAGTCTTAGTAAATTTCATTTTAATTATAGATATCCTATTAAAGCAATACATACTTTCCACAATTTATTAAATTACTCAATTGTTTGAAGTTGCTTTGTAGAATGCTTATTCCAATGATCTTAGAACCAACATATGTAAGAGTAAGAAAGATCACAGATAACTATGAAAAACCGTGAGACAAATATTAACACCTAAATTTCCCCTTTGTATTTAATTGAATTATTATATTTTTGTTTAAGGGATGCCTTTTGTTTTTATTACAAGTGTTTAATAAATGAAAATGTTTGTTTTTCACAAATATGCCTGAATTTCACAGGTCTTGTATTTCACACCAGAAAGTAAACTCTTTTCTTTTAGTAAGGGCAATAAATTAAGACATAAGCGCTTTTCCTAAATAGTTACCTTTGGAAAAAAGTATAAACTGAAGCACAATTCATTATTTCACTAAATGTTCCTTTCAGCTGGGAGAGTATAGTGTTTAACATTTGGCTACCAAAATTATTTTCAGTGATTATGACATCACCATACATAAATATACTAGTCTAAATAGGGATCAACCTATCTGTGTAATGTGCATCATAGTTTATCCAAATCACATTACTTTGGCCTAACATCATCTATTTCTTGATTTTCCTTTAAATTTCTTAGGTTGCTTATCACACAACAGGAGTTTGAAAGACTTAGTTATCCCCTTTTTCCTAGTGAAAAATGAACCATAAAATTAAAATAATTTTTAAAAAGTCATCATCTCTTATGCTTTACTGATTGAAGAAGTAATATCATTATTTTTTGAGATTAGTAATTTTGTCGCTTTAAAAAATCAGATATTTATCTGGAAAACCCATCTGTCTTAAATAATGGTGAATATTTATCAGTTTATTTTAACTTATACTGGAATGTAGAGAACACTTGACAAAGTCTAATTAATAAACCACATTGTCCACTACACTACATTCTCTGATCTTGCTCCCCTTAATATTTTCCAATAATAGTAACTTAAAAGTTGGCAATGCATACAGAGATGTTTCTTTAGACGTGTATATTTCCTAGAATATCATTAAATGTGCTTTAAAGGTAGAAGCTATGTGATTAAAGCACGAGAACACAGTTTGAAGAATTTGCCATTTGGCCCATACTTCCCCTGGGTAACTCCAATTTATCTTTTAAGTTTCAGATCAAAGTCTCTTCCTCAGGAAAGCCTACCTAGACCTGCCATTTTCAGCCTTTCTTTACATATCAGATTTCTGTGTGATGATCCTAGAACAACATTGACTATTTCTCCATAGCACTGATCACAAATAATTGCTGTAAAAATATATCTCTTAAGCCTGTCTCTTCTGTACATCTTGTAAACGCAACAGTGGAAGTAATGACTTGCTTACCAATGGTATTTTCTCTCTTCCCAAAGTACATTAAGCATTGTTTTGTGTTGGCAATTTTGTGTAGTATACTAAGTTTTGAAAAACACTTAGCTAGACAAAAAGTATGATCAAGAAGAAAGTCTATTTGCAGATTGCAGATATCTGGGCATTCATGCTTTTGGCATTTCATCTAACTATCCATTTCCTAATGGAAACCGGCAATTGCTAAAAAGTTTACTCCATTTCAGTATTTTCAACTAGGGGTGATTCTACCCCCTTACTGTAATCCCTCCCCATTGACATTCTGCAATGTCCAGAGACATTTGTGGTTGTCACAGCTGGGAAGAGGAGTGGAGGAGGTGGTGAGAAGGTGGTATAGGCATCTGGTGTGTTAAGGCAAGGGATACTGCTAAACATCTTCCATTGCATAGGACAGTCTCCCTCTCACAACAAAGAATAAGCTTGCCCAAAATGTCAATAGTATCTAGACTGAGTAACTCTGCTCTAGTTAAACTTTAATATACACTGGGGAATGTTTTGGTTTATGTAAGGATTATATAAGATGGTGGGCATGTACCTTATGATTTGGGTACAGTTAGGCTCTAAAGTTATTAGTCAAGCAATGCTGTACCTACTATATGGGAGAGTACTGTAAATATTTATTATAAAATTCTATACAAACATCTTCAAAGCATTACTAAATGCTTATACATCTTCATAAAGAAAATGCAATTACATTCTTCTAATATGTTGTCATCTAGAGCTTTATATAAAGAGGCAATCTTTTTCCAATATGTTATTTATTTATTTTTTTGAGATGGAGTCTCACTCTGTCGACCAGGCTGGAGTGCAATGGTGCAACCTCAGCTCACTGCAGCCTCCACCTCCTGGGTTCAAGCAATTCTCCTGCCTCAGCCTCCCAAGTAGCTGGGATTACAGGCACGCACTGCCACACCCAGCTAATTTTTGTGTTTTTAGTAGAGACGGGGTTTCTCCATGTTGGCCAGGCTAGTCTTGAACTCCTGAACTCAGGTGATCCACCCGCCTCTGCCTCCCAAAGTGCTGGGATTACAGGCGTGAGCCACCATGCCCGGCCCCAATATGTTATTTACCTTCATGCATACTTGAATTCAGTAGGGTAATAAAGGTGATATGTGATGGTAAGGCAGAGTGCACCATTGAATCGGCATGGACACTTAGCTAGATGTAAGCTATTGAGAGTTAATCAAAACATTTATATGGTGATAATTTCTAAATGCTACCCAAGTTTACATGATGAAATGAGAACTAACAAAATTTTGCTTTTGTGTGGATGTGGCTTTGAATGAGTACAGTAAATATAGTCTATTGATATGTTTCAGTGTCTTGTTAGTCATTATTGAATATATATGTGTACTTTGAGATTTCTCCAGGAAAAAAACCACATGAATAACATGTATTATTCCTCTTCCAGTGATCTACAAGATAAAGGAATATCTCAGGCAACTTAAAAGTTAGTTTACTTAAACTTGCTCTTTGGAGCAGGAAAAATAAAATGCTTAGGTGCATATGTAGAATAATAACGAAGCACAATGTTCATTTCTAAAATGTGTAAGTGGGTAAGAATACAAATGTCCATCTCTGTCACTGACTAGCTGGGTGATGGTGGGTAAGTTTCTTAATATCGCTAGCACCTATTCTTTTTATATTAAGTGAAGAGCATAATAGTTCTCCCCTTCTAGGGGTTTTGCAAGGATTGAAACAAGTAATACACATAAAGCGCTTGTAACGGAATTAGCAATCATCAAACATTAATTGATTATTATTATTGTGATTTCATCGTGAAAAAGAAAGCTCAAGATTAAGTTTATAGTTAGTAGTAGAAAACTGAACACTTTTTCAATTAATAAGGGAAGTCATATAAAGATTGTTGCTTAAAAGATTGTTCAGAAAACCATAAACACAATTTATAACACTTCTACATACAGTACTCTTCTAAATAATTCAATTTGATTTTATTTAGGGAGTTTGCAATTAATATAGTATTTTTAAAACCCAATACTCTTAAACAATAGTGAGATGGACACACAGGCTTATATAGGGTATGAAGCCAAAAAAATGAAAAGGACATATTCAATGTATATACTTATGTGTCATGAAATGAGCTTTCTAAATGCTTACCTATTTGTGTGTAGATAAGGCTTAAGAGAGGGAAACAATAGCTTCTAGAATGAAAGAATCATAGTTGTTTAAAGCTAGGAGGTCCAGACATTCCCTGACCTTATAACAACGATATGTATTGAGCAAATTATTTTTTAATACACAATACAGGGTACATAATATCTTCAGAACTAATTTAACATTGAGAGAAAATATTACATTGTTCTTTAAATTAGATTTTTATCAAGATTTTTCTTCCATTGCACATTATACTAAATCCCACATAGTTTTTGAGAAATAGATTTCATTTGTCCATCATAAAATGATTTAAAAATGAAAAATAATATAATAAATTTAACTTAATAAATTAAGTTTAGAATGGGTATACTAATGGATGCTTAAAGTAAGTACCAGTAAACCATTTATTTGCAAAAACTTAAGATGAGAAGTTTTCTTTTAGCTCAGATAATTCACTTACTACCCTTTATGAAATGGCAATAGAATCTCTCTCTATAGAAACTTCTTGAAAAATACAAACATTTGTAGTTTTTGAAATGTTCTCTAAAGATTGGATAACATTTACCACTATGCTATTTCCTAGTTTTTTATTCATGTACCCGTGGACTAATTTCAGATAATGAGTTCACTATAGTCATAATAAATTATCAAAAACATAAATCAAAAACTCAAGGGGTGCACATACACATACACATCCTATTGAAATAGAAGTTGATAGCAGGTCTCTTTAATTTATGTTCTTATCTGTTCATAGCAGAAAATCCCTCCCCTATGAAATGTTTCAATTGGTTGAGGATGTTTAGTACACAATGCTCTATTGCCCTCTGCTGGCTGGAAAATGAGAAATAAAAACTTCTGTTCATTAACTAGATGGGACCTTAGAAAATTAAATATGGAAGATGACACAGCTCAAAATAATAAAACAATATATTAGAGTGGTAGAACATTAAAACATGAATTTTAAAAAATATTCTCACAAATTTCAAAACTCCTAAGATTTTAGTTTTTGTATTAGCTGAAAAGTTGATTATTTTACATAAACCTAAACACTCATTAATTCAAGATAATACAATTACATAATTTTAAAGTGATAATTGCAAGTCTCATAATTGTCCAGGAATTCTGGGGATTTTCCAACAAGATATGTATGGTCCAATTGTTGGCACATTTGTGGAATATTTTTATAATATTATGATGTCTCTAGTGTGTTTATTTCTTTAAAGTAATACTTCTACCTAGTTGAAAGAATATTCTTAGCATTTTTACATAAAATTTAAAGAGTTATTTACCAATTAGAGTGACTTATTTCACATTTTTCATTCTCTGTTGAAGCATTCTTTATATATGATTCACACATCACTGAGGAAAACCAACATTGTTATATAATGGTGTGTAAATTCTTTAATGAAAACAAAAGTGATAATGCCCCAAGGAATACAAAATGCATACAGCAATTAATCCACCTGGTTTGATTTTACCACTACATGCTGCTTTAATGCTTGATTACATTTATTTCAAAAAGATTTCTAAAGAATATCCTTATCATCCAGGGCAGAAGATACAGACTTTATCATTAGGGTGGCCTTGCTGGTTTTTCTAAAATGCACTTGGGTTAAAAGTTTAAAGCAAAGCTGTCATTGTTTTTTCAAAATCTTGACTGGTATTCTGAATTTGTGATTTATTTTATATTTTCAATAGTTCATCTCAGCTACAATATATATTAAAATACTCTGGTCTTCATTTCTCAAAGTGCTTTTTCTGGAGCATTTGTAAAACTCGAGCCATGGTTCTTTGAAATAGGATTTTATCCCACCGGCTCGACCTTCTTATTCTACCCTCAGAACTAGTGTCTATTACAAATCAGGAGCATAATTTTTCACTATGGCTTCCCTGCCAAAACAACTGTCAATCCTTTCAAAAATTTCTGGAGCAAATAGTGCTTTATAATTTACTCTAACTACCTCTGATCTAGATTGTATTCACATCTCAAACTCTCCAAGAATGTATTTTCAGTCAAATCTTTAAATCTCTTGAGGCCTTTGGTTCTCCATAAACAGAGGAAAAAGTTTCATCCTAGAAAATACTATTATTATAACAAAATGATGTAAACATATTTTTTTACTTCCCAATTCACAAGTGAGGTTTAAAAAGATGCCCTTTGCCTTTACAGTTATTCATATTTAATACTCAGAATTTTTTACAGTTTGTATCTTAAGACTCAGGAACATAGAAAAATGAGATTCACAGAGATGAAAAACGTCTCCACATTTACACAGGATGGCCTGTTAGTCAGAAGCCAGGTCTGCCTGACTTCTGGTGCATGGTCTTTTTATGACCCTTTGTAGTCTCTGGGAGTGAAGAACGAAGGAGGGAAACCATTTGTATTAGAATTATAAAGTGATCATGCCCTTTGATATAGTATTTCCAACTCTAGGAAGCTAAGGAAATATTTCATATATAGTAAAAGATGTCTATGGTGGTATTAAAACAACGTGGGAATAAAGAGGATAAAACTAGAAGAGGTCTAAATTTCTAATAAAATAACAAAGAACTTAACAATGGTATGTTATTAAATTGAATATTACAGTCATTAAAAATAATAACTGGGAGCTACTTGAAAACTTATGAGTTGCTTAGGATAAAATTAGCAATCTAAATCTTACATTTTATGTAATTAAAATGGAATACATAAGTTTATAGGTAGTGACAAAAAAGGTGTCCTGTGTGTTATTGGGTGAAGGAAGTTGTGAAGCAATAACATAAAATCCAGGATACCACATTAAAAAATAATATATATGTCCTAGAATATGTGAGCCCAATTTTGTGTAATATATATCAACTTTGTTGGTGAAACAGACAATAAAACCAGTAATTTTTAAAGTATATATTTCCATACTATTTAAGTTTTACAGCATGTGTTACTTTTAGAATAAAAATAAGAAAGATACAATATTTACAGAGTTACTAGAGTTATGTTGAAATACACCAAAATAGCAATCGTTGGTATCTTAGTGTGAGGAATATATATTTTTATTTTCCTAAATTTAAAATGTTTTCAGTATGTTTATATTTATTTTTATTGAAAAATATAAAATGAGTATTATAATAATAATTAAAGCTCTTTTCAACTTTTAAGTCAAGTCTCTTCTATTTCTTCGTTTGGAGAATTTTTATGAGAACTATTGTTTTACTTTCCTATTTTTGCAGTAGGCAGCAGGCGCTATTCATAAGTAACTCCCTCAGGTAGGTCTGTCACTTTTACGGATCTAACTTACTTTGTTAATTTCTATGGAAATGTTAAAATAGAAAGCTGGCTTGACTGAATTATTGACGATATCCATGAAAGAATAATGAGAACTGGGTGAGGTGGCTCATGCCTGCAATCCCGGCACTTTGGGAGGCCCAGGCAGGAGGATCACTCGAGGCCAGGAATTCAAGACCAGCCTGAGCAACATAGTGAGACCTCATCTCTACAAAACAAAAAAAACAATTAGTGGGGCATGGTGGTGGTGAATGTTTCTAGTCCCAGCTACTCTGGAGGCTAAGGTGGGAGGATCACTTGAACTTGAACCTGGAAGATTGAGGCTGCAGTGAGCCAAGACTGTGCAACTGCATTCCAAACTGGGCAACAGTACGAGACTTTATCTAAAAAAAAAAAAAGCATTAATAAGAAAAAGATTACCATATCATTCTTTTAATTGAAAATTCCCCAATTTCCAAAAGAAGTAACTTGAAATTTAGCTTTTGTTAAACAACTCGAAAACTTGTTTACTGCACAAACAAAACTATCTGGGACCATTAAAAGTGTTTAACTAAAGGACTCCACAGTTTTCAAGCATCTCAAGTTATTTAGAGATATGTTAACTTATAATTAATATTTTAAAAAACCATCTGTTTATGTACTTATTAAATATCTTCTTTAAAATTGATGAGGCAACATGTTCATCTCTTTATAATATAACCACAATATTTAGAAATTGCAACAAATTTTGACATGGGTTAACAAATTAATCTAACTTAATGGGAGTTTTCTATAGAACTAGAACAAGATATCAAAGTTTATGTCCTTATACCTCGCTTTCTAAATGTTTATAAACATAAAAAGGTTAATCTTTTTCTCTTTTTATTTTCCTCATCTTCTCTTTCTTTTCTCTTCTTTACAAGTCTGTAAATAAATGATCATTTATATAATCAGTATATTTTATCTTTATTTGGATGAATTTTGCCTTAAATAAAAAGCAAGTGATGTGAATTTATTCATCTTTTCCTTTCCACTTGATAACCACTGGTCTGGTTCTCTGTGGCAGAAAGAGCTAAATATTAACTTGCCTTAATTTTAACATTGTGTCAGACAGAGTAGAATATATACTGCCTTTCATATATAAACATCTTTTAAGTCTCATATCCAAAGAAATACTTGCTTTTGGAAGGAATCTTTATGTAGATGGTCTTACACAAATTTATTAAAACCACAAACACTTTATATCACTAAGATATAAATCAGATAATGATGTCAATATGTTCATAAGAATACAAGCATAGTAAAATTATCAGTTTCCTTTATTCTTCCTTTCTGGAAAAAAAAAGAGATATTGACTGGGAGTTTTATAATGACCCAAAGTAAAGAAGGTCTCTGTGTGCCTCAAATTCGATATTTTAAGTTGAAGTCAGCTGTTAAGAATTACTGAATTATCCAGGGCAGAATCTGGGGTATGGCTCACATTACACTATGCTGGATATGAAAAGTTGAACACACAAGGGGTGAAAACTTTTCAGTGATTAAAAAGTCCTGTGGGATTGAATTTTTAGATTCCAGAGCAGCACATAAAGAGAAATGTTGCAGATTCTCGAGTTCTCATAGCAAATTGTGTCTATAAATCGATGACGTGTTTCTGAGGAAACCTAACAGGATGGCTCTAAAGAGTATATATAAAATTTCTTTCAGTTCTCATGGGAATGAAAATTAAACCTTATGGATGAAAACAAATACCTAACAAAGTTGAGAAACTGATCACATCTAGATTTCAAGCAGACTAGCAAATAGGGTGGACACAGTTGGCTATTTCACATATTTTCTCATTTGTTATCCTTTGAAACAAAATTTATTGATGCTTTCAGAATTAATTTTAATTAACCAAATGTGTTTCTTAAATATTCTAGGTATTCGTTAGAATACAATGACACTCATCAAGGGCTTCTCTGTATGAATATACCATGATTTCTTCAGCCTTATTACCTATATTTCAAATAATTCCTCTTCCATTTCATTTTTATTCTCCTCTGAACCATTACTCCTTATAAATGCAACTGACATCTAGTGAAACACCATCAATTAGTGGTAACTTAGGATATGTAGACATTGTTGATTTAGCCATGTTACCCCAAGATCAATATTAGAAAGAGATTCTGTTATTCACTCAAATATTCTTTTTTGATGTCAGAAGGAATAAATATTCATAAAACTTGTTGCAGAATTTCCATATATTACTAAGGGATTTTATGTTTACCATGAAAATTGTTCAGAAGCCATGCTGCTAGATATAGTCGGCTCTTAATGTGCAAAAGTGTGTGAGGAAGTGTATTTGTATGTTTAACTTCAAGAGAAATAAATATCAGAAGTAAAATCTTGATTCTATTCTAAAAAAGTCATAAAAATGTGTGAAGTTATTCAAAGTAAATTGGACATATATATTTTTACATTACATTTTATGTTCTAATTTAGCTTTCAGTTGGAGTTTATTACGAACGGGAACTAAACATTTCTACAAATGTGTTCCTCACGATAGTTAGCTATCCCTTTGATGTCTTATTCTCAAAGAGGATAGTTCTTTTGAACACTTTACTTTGCAGAAATAAAAGTAGTTTTAAGTTTAATTATCTCTCCATTGTCCTTTCATTATGATCCAAGAAAGATTTTTTTAAAAATTAGATTTAAACTCATCTGAAGCAAGAAAGTGCCATATAATAGCACTTTCTTAAACTTTACAGCTCTTAACTATTGTACGTCATGTTTCCAATAAAATAATTGAAGATGATATCAGTTACACACTGGAATCTAAACCAAAGCATGGGACATGTAAAACCAAGTTTAGTAGAGTCTCATCTCTGTTATAGTGATTTGTGGTATAGAACTGAAACAAGAACACATTTGGCACATGCTCCAGGAAGACTCATACTGACTGAGCAATTGAAGGAGCCTTTGAACTTATGAGTGGCTTCTTAGACAGTAGAACCTCGTGGTGGTGGTGACCTCCCTACAGTTATTGCAGAATGATGAACTTTTGTCCATCTATGATTTGGTCTAAATTTCAAATTTTGCAGACAGTTAATCCCCTGATTCTCACACTGCCATCTTTATGTTTCACCATCAGCACAAATTAGGAAGAGTAGCTGCTGAAAGCAAGACACACCCTTGATTTACAGAAATAAACTTATATAACCTGTCAGTATACTTCTCACTCAAAGGTGAAGTAAACTTCTACCTGTATACTTGTTGATTTTGTAATTTTTTTCCTCATCTCACCATTCTTTATTTTCTCATCTCACTACTATAAACTGAATTCCTACAATGATTTTAAAATTCAGTCAAAAATAATCTATGAAACATTAAAACTGCAAGCAAAGTCCAATTTAAAAAAAAAAAAAAAACTCTCCCTAACATCGCATCTGGTACTAAATTAAATTCAAATGACTTTCTCAATATGACATGAGGCCATGAGTCAAATTCTACATTTCCAACTCTCAGCTCCAGACTGTAGCATTTCCTATGGCCAGGAAGAAAGACTCACAAGCACATGCCCAAATCAAGAGCAGAAAAGGCTGTATTCTCTAAGACCTGAATAAACACACACAGCAGCCTCCACATAGAGGCTGCTCCTTTCTCTCTATGCAGAAGAGAAGCATTCCTCTGTTAGCAGATAGAAAGCCAGCCTGACAGTTGAGAGTTTGTTGTGTGTGAAGACCCTACCACAAGGAAGAACGATGATTGAAGACTCATTTTTAGACAATGGCCCAGAAATAATGTACAGAAATAACTTTGTTCTGATGTTCTATATCTTTCGGTAAAGTTAAGGTGCAAAAGTTTCTAAAGAGAATTGGCTTTAATATCTATTTCAAAAAATAAAGGTAACTGCTCTACTTAGAGTTAGATTGGAGGTACTTTATTTCTTTCTTTTTATTTCACTGTGGAATCCAATTCTCAACTGTTTTCTGGGGAATGTATTTTCCCTACAGAAAGCCCTTACATTTTCCCTGAGAAATTCAGCGTTAAAGCTAAAGTGTTACGTAATTTTAGAATTGAATTGTCAACTTGAGTCATCTGTGGGTCAGGAGATTAGGGAGTATTGTACTGCCTTTCAGAGAAGAAAAGCTAGGCAGTAGAAATAGCCATGGCTTTAGAGTCAGATGGACATGGATTTAAAATTCTGTCTTGTGGCTGAGCGCTGTGGCTCACGCCTGTAATCCTAACACTTTGGGAGGCCGAGGTGGGCAGATCACGAGGTCAGGAGTTCAAGACCATCCTGGCCAACAGGTGAAACCCTGTCTCTACTAAAAATACAAAAATTAGCTGGACATGGTGGCACATGCCTGTAATCCCAGCTACTCGGGAGACTGAGGCAGGAGAATTGCTTGAACCAGGACCCGGGAGGCAGAGGTTGCAGGTGACCCGAGATCGCGCCACTGTGCTCCAGCCTGGGCTACAAAGCAAGACTCCGTCTCAAAAAAAAAAAAAAAAAAAGTTATGTCTATTAAGGACAATGTGATCTTAGGCAATTTTCTTAGCTTCAGTCTCAGTTTTCTCGTTTGTAAAATGAGGACAATAATAACTTCCTTTCAAGATTGCTATAATGATGGAATGAGATACTTAATACATATAAATTATCTGATATATGGTAAATGCTCAATACATAACCATCATTACTTTGACATGGTTGTCTTTCTGACCTATAGACAATTTAAGTTAGATTGATATTAATAACAAGTTACAACCAATCAGAGAAATATAAGAATTTCTTTCTGATCTAGGCTCTCAAAGGACTTCCATTTAGAAAGAGACTTCACAAGTACCCTAGGAAGTGCTAATGTTGGCAACTAAACTGCGACAAGAGATAAAGATTCGCCTCAATCTTTCTCCATAATCTTCACTGGGGATGTACGTCGCATCAATGGTGTGCTGGTCAAATGGGATAATAGTTCAAAATGTGCTTTGTCAGCTCTAACATCACAAAAAATGTTAAATCGTCATTGACTTCTTATTCATATAATTTCATAAGTCTATTATCACAAAAGTTCTAAATCATCATTGAATTACTCTTACCGTTTCAACAAATGTAATATACAAGAGCTTATAATCTTAAAAACTAAAAAGAATAATTTACAAGAAAGGATGAAATTGCCTACTCATTTAATGGGTAACACCAAAGGTCAAGTCATATCTTTATCTTCAAGCCAAAAACACAACTCGTATTTTTGCTTTTTTAATATAAGCACTCCATTCGTTTTGACTATTACTCATATATATAATTTTCTACTCTTCACTCTCATGACATTAAATATATTTCATATGTATCTGCTGTTGTTATTAGAGTGTTACTCTATACCCCTTGTTGTAGACACAAAACACCCTAAAACTACACTAGAACTTAGTTTTTATCTTGTCATTCCAGTGGTTAACTACAATTCCTAGCTCTTGATCACCTGAATCAGTTATCTTTTTCTTTTCAACACAAAGTATTCAATTGTGTAATACTTCTTTTTAAACTTCAATATGTCATAACTGCTTACGAAAAAAAAATTCCAGACACTTTAGAATAGCCCAAAAGGCTATGACTCTTCACAGTCTGACTCTTCACAGCCTGACTCACTCCTTTGACTTCCCTCCTTTGACATCCTCATGAGCCTTGGCAGAACAATCAGGTCCCAGAGTCTTCTCAGACATCACTCCCTACCCTGCCATTCCCTGCTGGGGACACGTCTTTCCTTATGGCTTCTCTCGCAATTTTTCATGGAGTAGAAGACACCAAATTAAATGCCATTGCTTCCATCACTGTTCTCACTCCTCTAAGAAGAAGGGATATGCTTGGGGGAAGTCAGTATTTTTTTAGTATAATCCCTTATACTTTCATTTATATAGCACTCGTCATACTTCCCTATTGCTTTCTCCTCTTTTTTTATTTTTCTGTTACTTGTGTGTCTGTTTCTTTCATTTGTAAAGTGAAATCTTGAATGACTAAGACAGCATCTTGTTCATCTTTGTATATCCAAGACTTGGAGATTTCTCTTCCACTTCCTCAACCGAATCTTAAAGATGTAAATATTTGAGAGGTATTGCCTCTACCTGAAAGTTGAAATGGTGGCATCTAAAAGCAATTATTAGTCCTATGTTGCAGAAACTTTTTTTTTTTTTGCAATCCCATAGAATGTTCTTTACGGGTCTATGCATATCAAATTAACAGTTATATTTTTGAATTATTTTCTCTTCTCAAAGCACTGATGCTGTGACAGAGAGTGGAAGATATAAGTAAAAACTGTAATTAAGCTAGCATAGTTTGGCTAAATTCTGCAAGGACAGATCTGCTTTTTCCAAAAGGAGATGCTCTGTGTGGGTTCATGTGGTTATCCCACACAGATAGCCCTTAATACTTTATTTTCCACAAATGGGAGGAAACAATGCTGTTAACCTCTCTGTGGTCTCTGAGCAGATGGCATACATGCCACCAGCCTCTGGACTGGGATTGGAAATGTGAAGCCCTATCATGGCCAAATATTTGGCCACATATTCATGGCTATTGTGGTGGTGGAAATAAAGAAAGACATAATTTTGCTCTTAGTTCTTTATTCATATTAGTGACAGAAGTAAACAACTCTGGCAGGTGAGACTATAGCATGACCAATTCCTCTTTCCCTTGGCTCTGTTTGGTAACACCCAAGGGAGGCAACATTCAGAGCACTGAGATCTTGGAACACTTTGGATTCACCTTATATCATTCCCCAGAATAATAAAAAAGGATGAAGGCTACTATTTATTAAGCATTTCTATTTTTGAAGCATCAGATATACACATACATACAGGTCCCAGATATATATGTAAACACACACAATTTATTCATTCATTTGTTCATTCATTCAACAATATTTTGAGCAGATAAAATATTCTGGGTACTAGTCTACACATATACATACATACACACACACATATGTATATATAATGCAACCTCTCACACACATGAGTTTAATATTTATAACATTCTAACATGTCTTTATCCTTTTAAAAATGAAAAATTGAGATAAGAGAAGAAGCTGAGAGTCAGAAAGGTAAATATTCCGATGGCGGTCGCACAGCTGACAAAGATTAGACCCTGCTTTTAAACTTCTCCACGGCGCAAAAACCCTGGTTCCTTCTATTTCCTGAGATTAATAAATGAAGAGAATAATTTTGCTTTGTAATTTCCAAAAAAAAGTTAAATATTATAAGTTGAGGGCACTGATGTTCTGAATCTAACAGATGATATCATATTTCTAAAATGTAATCCTGCAGAGAGTTTCAAGCATACATTTTCTGTTATCAGTTTACCAAATTGAAACTTTCTATAAGTACAAAATGAGAAATGTGTCATAGACTCTTTAGGTAAATATGCATTAAGATAATTATTTTTATCTATGATCTAATTTAGACGATAGATGATTCCTAAAATGAGCAAATCAACTCATATTTTACATGCACCAGGAAGCTGCTACTGAAATAAAATTCTATAATAAAATCTGAATTCTAAATAATTGCTTCTTAAAGCTCCATTTTACTGCCAAATGTCAATTTTTCCCCTCACTGGTTTTTCCCAAGCTCTTAATAAACAAATTCAGAAAATAAAATTGTATTTTCACCATACCCTTAATTTTAACTTCATGATATAAAAACTGCCAAATGTAATTCTTTTACTCCTATCTTTTAATGTCTGCCCTTTTTTGAGACTATCATAAAAGGAATCCAAAAAATTACACTAATTTAACATTTTATAACAGATTTAAAGAAATTGCCTAATGCTCAAGAAGATTGTCAATAAGAAACAGTAGATGCAATTCATCAAATGTTTCTAAGAAACCCATAATTGGAGGTTTGTGGATATTTAGCTTAATACAGTACAAAAAACAAGCCACATCAAATAAAAGGACCCTAATAAGTCAATTTAACACCAAATCACCAAATTCCATGTCCTCAAGTGGTCTGAAGTTTTATCCTTTATGAACTTGCTCTTCTCAGGCATAGAAGGCATACACAGATCTTAATGACTATTTTTAATTAAAAAAATTCTCTTTGGAAAATGATCCATCTGTTTATTGAAACAATCCTTTGGAAAGCCAACGAGGTCACTAAAGGTCAAAACCCATATCTAAGTTGGTTTAAGCTTAGGGTAATCTAAATAGTGTGTCAAATTGGACTACTAGATATATAGAATGACATCATATAGATTTTTTTTTAAAAAAACTCCTCTCAGATTCTGTATTTCTTGCAAACGACTGGTTTTAAGGGTAAGATTTAAGGGGAAAAATATTGGAATGCAAAAGTGCATTTAACGTTTGTTTATATTTCCACATCATTATGCTAGATTTAAGCTGTCAAACTAAGTTGATAACACATGTTAAGTATAGAAATGTATACAGCAACCACCTACAGCTAAACTAGGCAAACAAAGAACTCTTGTCAGAGGGTTACAAATTCCAAAGTTAAATGCAAGGTAATATTTTCAGGGCAAGATTTGCTCTCTATGTCTAATGGAATGATTCCTTTAAAATGCCTTGTATTTGTAAAACAGAGAAGAATGGATACATCTTGCTGTGGAATTCTGCACGATAATTCACCTACAAAACTTGCTCTACAAATGTAATTATTATATGGCTGCATTAAAATTTACCTTGAGATATAGTACTTGGGGTAATAGTGTATCAGGGGCGTCCAATCTTTTGGCTTCCCTGGGCCACATTGGAAGAAGCAGAATTGTCTTGGGTCACACAAAAAATACACTAACAGTAATGATAGTTGATGAGCTAAAAAAAAAAAAAAATCGCAAAAAAAAATCTCATCATCTTTTAAGAAAGTATACAAATTTGTGTTAGCCTGCAGTTAAAGCCATTCTGGGCCATATATGGCCTGTGGGCTGTGGGGTGGACAAGCTCAGTGTAGATGTTTTAAAAATGCTTAACTTTCCACTGCTTCATGTGGAGCAGGCAATTTGCACCTTACTATTTTTATTAAATAAATGAGTTAAAATAAAGGTCCTATCTAATATCATCTTATATCCATTCCTTGAAATATTTATCTCATTTAATTTAATAGCCAATGATAAAGTAGCTGCATTTATTATAGCATTTATTACATGACCTACATTCTAGAAGATATAAAAGTATAATATCTGGTTCCTCCACAAAAATACTTATAATTTGCTTTCAGAGATAATTTACCAACCAATAATGTGATAATAAATATAAGTGTCATGAAAGTACAGTGAGCTAGTTGAAAGTAGGGGCCTTACATTATTGCCTTTTGTTCAGTATCTATCTATGGGAGTTAGTATGGAAATTGGAGGAAGGGAGACTAAAACTTTATAGTGAAACACAGTCAGCTTTTTTTAAAAAAAAGTTAAATAACTTAACTAGAAAGTTTGACTAAATAGGCATATAGATAAAGAGACAGCTTTTTGACATTTTCTTTTTTTAAAAAAAAATTAATGGATACATAAGAGTTGTAATCAGACCCAGCCTTTAATCTAGAAGTTATTTGCCACTTGACCCAGGAAATAATTATATCTCAGTTTCCCCTTTTTTTGTTTGAAAATTGAGAATAGAAATACTCAAAGCATTGTATTAAATAATAAATGAAACAAATTATTGCACCCCTGGCTGAAACATAAACAAATATTATTTCCCACTATGTTTGCCTGTTTCAGCATGTGATAGGAATTGGGCTGTCAGCAAAGAATAGTTCTTTGAAAGACCATGAAGCGCTATGGAAGAAATGATCTGATCCTTGAAATGAAAGAATGATGCCAAAATAAAAAATAAACCCCCTTAAAGTAAAATAAAATAAATAATAAAAATACTGAGTTAAAAGGAAAATTAGAATTACTATAAAGCAATCCATGAAGAGACTAACAATGAAACTAATTTTTAGATTCTCCTAATTTTCATGATAATAATGATAAAAATGCGAATGTATTTTTAGCACGAACACCAAATAATGAACTATACATTAAAGTTTTTCTTAAAAAAGCTAGTGAAAATAAAGAAGCTTAATGATTTGTTGTGTTAGCTTCAAAATTATCAAATTAACTCCACTTTATACAAAATTTTCCAGTTTAAACTTCTTGGTTTTAGTAAACCTTAATAATTATAGAGAAACATATGGAGATATATGGAGAGACGATATAGATCTATATAGAGATGATAGAGATATGAAATGCAATATAAATAACACCATACAAAAATGACTAAACATGGAGAATTAACAATTGTTTAAAATTCTATACTTTAAAAATTGCTTTCTTGCATCATAAAATGTCACTTTTCAGCTATTGTGCATTAAAAAAATCCATTTTTAAGGAACTAGACGGTGCCCTACAAATATATCAACAAACCAACAATTTTATATAAGTTCTATCTATCCTAATCAACTTGCCTTTGTGGTAAAATCAATACTTATTAAGCTTCTCCAATTTCTCCAAATAATTCTTAGTCAATATGGCAGGAACAAAAGCTTTCTCTAGTCTGGAGGTCCTTAATACTACACAAGAGATTCGTGAATTTTGATGAGGAAAAAGTTATTTTTTCACGAAACTCTAAAGTCATTATTTTCACTAAACTCTAACTTAAAGTCAGCATTTCTTCCATTATGAATGTAGGTTATTGTGGTAGGTAGTCTCTAAGTTGGCCTTCCCTGATTCTCACCTCCTCGTATTTATGTCCTGTGTAAATCCTCTCTTTTAGTTTAGACTTGTGTATAACAGAATAGAGTAAAAGGAATGGGATACTGCTTTTGAGATTAGGTTTCAAAAAGATTGTGGTTTCTGCCTTGAGTGTTCTCTCTTGCTCCTTCACTTGTTTACTCTGAGGGAAACCAGCCGCCATGTTGGGAGCTGCTCTATGGGGAGGCTGTCTTAACAAGGTATTGATGTCTCTGGCAAACAGTCAGTGAGACCCTGAGGCCAGCTAATAGCCACCTGAGGGAGCTTGCAAAAGGGTCATCCCTCAGTCAAGTCTTAAGATGACTTCAGCCCCAGCCAACATCTTGAATGCAGCTTTGTGAGAGACCCGGAGTTAAAGGCACCCAGCTAAGCTGTACCCAGATTTCGAAGTGATAGGAAAATATATTACACGGTAATGTAACATATATATAATAACTATATATAGTTTATTAAGTATTAACTAACATGATCACAAGGTCCCACAATAGGCTGTCTGCAAGCTGAGGAGCAAGGAGAGCCAGTACGAGTCTCAAAACTGAAGAACTTGGAGTCCAATGTTCAAGGGCAGGAAGCATCCAGCACGAGAGAAAGATGTGAAAATAAAGAATTAGGAAGAATCAGGGAGGCTAGGTCTGTCTCTCCTTTTCACATTTTTCTGCCTGCATTATGTTCGCTGGCAGCTGATTAGATGGTGCCTACCCAGATTATGGGTGGATCTGATTTCCCCAGCCCACTGACTCAAATGTTAAACTCTTTTGGCAACACCCACACAGACACACCCAGGATTAATACTTTGTACTTCTCAATCCAATCAACTTGACACTCAGTATTAACCATCACATAGGTTCTTTGAGATAATGTTTGTTATAAGCTTTTAATTATTGAATTATTGAGATTATTTGTTATGCAGCAATAGATAACTAATACAGAGTTCGGCATCTAGAAGGAGAGGCCCCCATGACAAGTACTGAAGGTATGCAACTCACTTTGGAAGTAGGCAGCATGTGGAGGCTGGAAGAATGGTGAGTATAATGGAAGACACATAAATTGCCTTGAACAGACTTAGAAATCTGGACGTTGAGGCTGCTGCTGGTGAAGGCTCAGGAGGAGGTGAGAGCCTGTAATTGAAAACTTTAGGAAGGGAAAATGTTTATTATGTAGTGGGAGAATGTAGCAACACTATTGCAGTAAGGTGGAAAGTAGAAAATGTGCCTAATGAACTGGGTAATCTAGTTAAGGAGATTTCCAAGCAAAGTGTTAAAGGTACTGCTTGTTTTTTCTTGCTGCTTATAATAAAATGTGAGAGGAATGAGATATATTGAAGGAAGGACTGTTAAAAAAAAAGTGCCAAGACTTTTGAAAATGCTCAGCTTCTACAGATGGCAAACGATGTTAAAATTCAGAAATGGCTTTGGAGTGCTGATCAGATCCAGGGCACTATAAGGAAAAGGTAGTCTGGAGATGAAGCTAAGGGCAGGACTGTCATCTTTTCGTGAATATCTTAAAAAGATCAAAGCAGTACCTGAATTCTTGGTCCACAGAATCTGTGAGATAATAAGTGCTTATTGTTTTAAATCACTACGTTTTGGGGTAATTTGTTACATAGCCATACACATTTAGTATAGAATAAGCCACAGAGAATTAATAGTATGTCATGTGTCACTATAGAAAGTATGTCTCTCATCATATTTTATATGTTGCATCACTTTCCCATTCCTCCCGAAACCTTGAGCACATGGTAGACATTAAGCCCTACAAATGAGGACGTCCTAGAAGAAAGATGAGGAGACTGCAGTATGAAGCAACAGAGGCAGGGTAACCATGGTAATGAGACAAATGGTATATTCTGTCCCATGAGCAGAACTAAGAGAGTATTTATGTCTACTGCCAAAGGAAAGGCATATAGGCATATATACTTTGACAACACTAGAAGCCTTGCCGTGGAAACTTCTGGAGTCTTTGGTCTATCCTGTAGCTAAATAGAAACAGCCTTATTTCTAAACATTATCTTCACTTCTTGGTGTAACTGAAACCTGGGTCTTTTCTTAACCATATATGGTTACCTTGCAACCTTCCCAAGACACAGTTGTTTTTCACACTTTCAGTATTGTTTAGCCTAAGCATTAAGTAGTTTTCTTCATGCTTCCAATTCATTCCAATTAAACCTCTGGCTTTGATGATCAGGTCTTTAAACTGTGCTGCTCACCATGCCATCCCCATCCCGTGGCAGTCATCTACTGATCTCTGGTTATTTTTCCTTATGCTTTAGATTTTTAAACCTCAGTTCCAAGGCTAGTTTTGTTCATTCTCAATAATTGCAATACCCCCATAACATCAATTCAAGAATTTTCTTCCTTTACCAGCTTTTCATCTGGTAGCCTCCCCTTTTTCTCTAACAGGCATTTGCCGTAATGATTCTCTTGTACATCTAATTCTGTCTTGGCATGTGCTTCTCATGGAACCCCAAACTAACACAACTGGCATCCACGCAGCTGAGTGTGGTTGGAGAAGTATATATAACCATGTGCTGACTGCCATTATTTCAAATCCTTGACCACTAACTTAAATGGCTTATTCACTCTTTCGTATGAATAAAGTGTGCATTCCTCTCTCCTCATAGCTCCGCAATCTCTTCCCTCTATTGTCACACTATGATGATGATGATTTTTACTTCACTAAGAAAATAGCAGCCTCCGCTGTTGAAACCCAGGCAAACAGGGTCTGGAGGGGACCTCCAGCAAACTACAACAGACCTGCAGCTGAGGGGCCTGACTGTTAGAAGGAAAACTAACAAACAGATACGAATACCATAAACATCAACAAAACAGACATCCACACCAAAACCCCATCTGTAGGTCACCAACATCAAAGACCAAAGGTAGATAAAACCACAAAGATGGGAGAAACCAGAGCAGAAAAGCTGAAAATTCCAAAAACCAGAGCACCTCTTCTCCTCCAAAAGATCACACATCCTCACCAGCAAGGGATCAAAACTGGACAGAGAATCAGTTTGACGAGTTGACAGAAGTAGTCTTCAGAAGGTCGGTAATAACAAACTTCTCTGAGCTAAAGGAGCATGTTCTAACCCACCGCAATGAAGCTAAAAATCTTGAAAAAGGTTAGATGAATGGGTAACTAGAATAAGCAGTGTAGAGAAGACATTAAGTGACCTGATGGAGCTCAAAACCACAGCACGAGAACTTCATGATGCATTCACAAGCTTGAATAGCCCATTCGATCAAGTGGATGAAAGGATATCAGTGATTGAAGATCAAATTAATGAAATAAAGTAAGAAGACAAGATTAGAGAAAAATGAATGAAAAGAAACTAACAAAGCCTCAGAGAAATAAGGGACTATGTGAAAAGACCAAATCTACATTTGATTGGTGTGCCTGAAAGTGATGGAGAGAATGAAACCAAGTTAGAAAACGCTCCTCAGAATATTATCCAGGAGGACTTCCCCAACCTAGCAAGGCAGGCCAACATTCAAATTCAGGAAATACAAAGAGCACCACAAAGATACTCCTCGAGAAGAGCAACCCCAAGACACGTAATTGTCAGATTCACCAAGGTTGACATGAAAGAAAAAATGTTAAGGGCAGCCAGAGAGAAGGGTCAGGTTACCCACAAAGGGAATCCCATAAGACTAACAGCAGATCTCTTGGCAGAAACTCTACAAGCCAGAAGAGAGTGGTGGCCAATATTCAACATTCTTAAAGAAATGAATTTTTAACCCAGAATTTCATATCCAGCCAAACTAAGCTTCATAAGTGGAGAAATAAAATACTTTACAGACAAGCAAATTCTGAGAGATTTTGTCACTACCAGACCTGCCCTACAAGAGCTCCTGAAGGAAACACTAAACATGAAAAGGAAAAACCAGCACCAGCCACTGAAAAACATGCCAAATTGTCAAGACCATTGACGCTATGAATAAACTGCATCAATTAATGGGCAAAATAAACAGCCAACCTCATAATGACAGGATTAAATTCACACATAACAATATTAACCTTAAATGTAAATGGGCTAAGTGTCCCAATTAAAAGACACAGACTGGCAAATTGGATAAACAGTCAAGACCCATTGGTGTGCTATATTCAGGAGACCCATCTCACGTGCAGAAACACACATAGGCTCAAAATAAAGGGATGGAGGAAGATCTACCTAGCAAATGGGAAGCAAAAAATAAAAGCAGGGGTTGCAATCCTAGTCTCTGATAAAACAGGCTTTAAACCAACAAAGATCAAAAGAGACAAAGAAGGCCATTACATAATGGTAAAGGGATCAATTCAACAAGAAGAAGTAACTATCCTAAATATATATGCATCCAATACAGAAGCACCCAGATTCATAACACAAGTCCTTAGAGACCTACAAAGAGACTTAGACTCCCACACAATAATAGTGGGAGACTTTAACACCCCACTACCAATATTAGACAGATCAATGAGACAGAAGGTTCACAAGGATATCCAGGACTTGAACTCAGCTTTGGACCAAGCGGACCTAATAGACATCTACTGAACTCTCCACCCCAAGTCAACCCCAAGTCAACAGAATATACATTCTTCTCAGCACCGTATGGCACTTATTCTAAAATTGACCATATAATTGGAAGTAAAACACTCCTCAGCAATTGTAAAAGAACAGAAATCACAACAAACTGTCTCTCAGACCACAGTGCAATCAAATTAGAACTCAGGATTAAGAAACTCACTGAAAACTGCACAACTACATGGAAATAGAACAACCTGCTCCTCAATGACTACTGGGTAAATAACAAAATGAAGGCAGAAATAAAGATGTTCTTTGAAGCCAGTGAGAACAAAGACACAACATACCAGAATCTCAGGGATACACTGAAAGCAGCGTGTAGAGGGAAATTTATAGCACTAAATGCTCATAACAGAAAGCAGGAAAGATCTAAAATTGACACCCTAACATCACAATTAAAAGAACTGAGAAGCAAGAGCAAACAAATTCAAAAGCTAGCAGAACACAAGAAATTACTAAGATCAGAGCAGAACTGAAGGAGATAGAGACACAAAAAACCCTTCAAAAAATCAATGAATCCAGGAACTGGTTTTTTGAAAAGATCAAAAAACACATAGACCAATAGCAAGACTAATAAAGAAGAAAAGAGAGAAGAATCAAATAGACACAATAAAAAATGATAAAGGGGATATCACCACAGATCCCACAGAAATAAAACTGCCATCAGAGAATACTATGAACATCTCTATGCAAATAAACTAGAAAATCTAGAAGAAATGGATAAATTCCTGGACACATACATCCTCCCAAGAGTAAACCAGGAAGAAGTAGAATCTCTGAATAGACAAATAACAGGCTTTGAACTTTAGGCAATAATTAATAGCATACCAACCAAAAAAAGTCCAGGACCAGACAGATTCACAGCTGAATTCTACCACAGGTACAAACAAGAGCTGGTACCATTCCTTCTGAAACTATTCCAATCAATAGAAAAAGAGGGAATCCTCCATAACTCATTTTAGGAGGCCAGTATCATCCTGACACCAAAGCCTGGCAGAGACACAACAAAAAAAGAGAATTTTAGGCCAATATCTCTGATGAAAATCTATGTGAAAATCCTCATAAAATGTTGCGGGAAGTCAGGGACCCTGAATGGAGGGACCAGCTGAAGCCATGGCAGAAGAACATAAGTTGTGAAGATTTCACAGACATTTATTAGTTCCCCAAATTAATACTTTCATAATTTCTTATGCCTGTCTTTACTGCAATCTCTGAACATAAATTGTGAAGATTTCATGGACACTGATCACTTCCCCAATCAATACTCTTATACTTTCCTATTCCCGTCTTTACTTTAATCTCTTAATCCCATCATCTTCCTAAGCTGAGGATGTATGTTGCCTCAGGACCCTGTGATGAGTGCATTATCTGTACAAATTGTTTGTAAAACATATGTGTTTGAACAATATGAAATCTGGGCATCCTAAAAGAACAGGATAACAGCGATTTTCAGGGAACACGGGAGATAACCGTAAGGTCTGACTGCTTGTGGGGCCGGGCAGAACAGTGTTACATTTCTCTTCTTGCAAAAGCGAATAGAAGAAATATCACTGAATTCTTTTTCTCAGCAAGTAATAGCCCTGGGAAAGGAATGCATTCCCAAGGGGAGGTCTCTAAAATGGCCGCTCTGGGAGTGTTTGTCTTATGCAGTTGAAAATAAGGGATGAAATACGCCCTCGTCTCCTGCAGCACCCCCAGGCTTGCTAGGATTGGGAAATTCCAGCCTGGTGAAATTTTAGTCAGACTGGTTGTCTGCTCTTGAACCCTGTTTCCTGTTAAGATGTTTATCAATGACAATGTGTGCTCAGCAGGACATGGACCTTCATCAGTAATTCTAGTTTCAGTCTGGCCATGTGATCTCACTCTGCCTCTCTGCCCGTGTGATATTTTATTGCCTTTGAAGTATGTGATCTCTGTGACCCACTCCCTATTTGTACACCCCTCCCCTTTTGAAACTCCTAATAGAAACTTGCTGGTTTTGCAGCTCAGGGGGAATCACAGAACCTGCCGACATGTGATGTCACCCCCAGAGACCCAGCTGTAAAATTTCTCTCTTTTGTGCTCTTTCTCTTTATTTCTCAGACTGGCCAACACTTAGGGAAAATAGAAAAGAACCTACATTGAAATAATGGGGGCTGGTTCCCCTGACATCTGGCACCCACATGGTCTTTCTTTTTTCCCAAGTGCATGTGGGAACCCAATTCCCTTTGGTAGGTGTGGAGAAACATCATTGGTTCGGTCCACAGAAACTTGTTCAACTCCCTGACAACTGATGAGTAGTCTGTGTATGGTCCGGGTTAACTATGGGTCACAAAGAGTCTAAACATCATGCTTATCTCTGCTATATTAAACTCCCGTTAAAACAGGGAAGTGTCCAGGTAACCATGGAAAATATGGTCACTCTATTCAGGGAGGTGGAAGAACACTGTCCTTGGTTTCCTGAAAAAGGAACCTTAGATGTAGAACTATGGGATTGTGTTGGTGCAACATTCTGGGAACTGGTCTCCAAAGGAAATTATGTTCCTGTCACTGTCTGGGGTGATTGGGCCTTGATACGTGCCATCCTAATGACATACCAATCCCATGACCCCCTAGAGTTACCATAATTTTCTGAATCTGACGACCCTCCACCTCTTCCTCAACCTTCCTCTCCCACACGGCCTTTGTTAGCTGATCAGCCTCTCCCTTCATCTACTCCTCCCCCACCTAACGATTCTGAGACTTCAATATCTAACTCCAGTGACTTTGGATTATGGTCACCCCCCAATGACCTTATTTCTTTTCATGAAGAGCTGGTACTTGTAGTTCCCATGGCCCTGACTCAGACAGCCTGGGACCATATATATGCTAATTCTTCTCTCTTTAAACCTCCGGAGTCAGCTAATGGCTCCAGGACCAAACTAAAATTTACCTGTAATTCTACAGGCCCTCCCCCATCCACTTCAGCCCCTCACCCTCCTGTCATTTTGGTTCCTCAACCGGTCACTTTGCCATCCATTCAGCCTGCTTCTCTGTACCCTTCTTCACACATGGACGCTAGTAATCACCAGTACGCTTCTGCTCCTTCTGCTCCCCCAATACCCCTTTCTCACACTGTCATTCTGCTCTGACCCCCTCACCCTCAGTTTGCCTTATCTACACATGCTTTTCCTGTCACTTCTATGCCAACTCCATCTCAGATACCTACTCTTGAAACTTCAGTGCAATGCTTATTACGCCAAAACAAAGAAACAAGTGGATTAGATGTGTGGGCTTATCCGGTCATGCTAGAACCTCCCAACTTCCAAGGGATATAAATGTGTCATTATGTACCTCTAAATCTTACCTTTTTAAAAGAATTTAAGGATGCTTGTACTCAGTATGGTCTTACTTCTCTTTATGTTAAAATGGTATTACAAACTTTTTGTACTGAGGCCATTTTGCTTCCTTTAGACTGGGACCTTTTGGCAAAAGCTGTTCTAACCCCATCTCAGCATTTACAATTCCATACCTGGTAGTCAGAGGAGGCCCGTTTGCAGGCTCAGCTAAATCGGACTAATGGCATTCTAATTACTCAGGCTCAGCTCACAGGCTCTGATAGTTTCTCTGATACTTATGCCCAATTAAACTTTGATGCTCTTACCACAGAACAAGTAACAAAGGTGTGTATGAGAGCTTGGGATAAATTACGTGCCCCAGGCCAAGCTCCTGTTTCTTTTACTACAGTTAAACAAGGTCATGCTGAACTATACCCTGATTTTTTAGCTAAATTACAAGATGCTGTTGAAAAATTTGTCTCTGATGAGAGTGCTCAAGGTATTCTCCTTCGTATGTTAGCTTTTGAAAATGTGAACCATGAGTGTAAAATGGCCATGCATTCCATCCAATGACAAAATTTACCTGATCACGAGGTGTTACCTGCATATATTAAAGCTTGTGAAGGCATTGGTTCAGACACCCACAGAGCTATTCTGTGGGCATGGGCCATGAAGGACACCAATCAAACTGGCCCCACTAATTCTTTTCTTGGAGCCTGCTATAATTGAGGTCAACTTGGTCATACTCGTAAAAATTGCACTTAAAAACTTAAAAGCGGCCAAGCTGGCTCAGCAAACACGGCCAAATGCTGCTGCTACTGTTTGCCCACGTTGTTGCAAAGGGAAACATTGGGTAAGTACTTGACACTCTAAGTATGATATAGATGGAATCCCCCTGCCACAGAACCAGGGAAATGGGAAGTGGGGCCAGTCCCAGGCCCCAATATCAAACGGGATGCTTCAGACTCAGACCAACATTGCGTTTCCACTTCAGGCGGTCCCAACGCAGCCTCCAGCACAAACAAATTTATCTACAGCCAACCCAGATGGGTCCCAGCCTCTCCTTCTGTCTCAGTACAATGCTTGTCCACCTCCACAGTAGGGGGTAGGGTGGTCAATCTCTGTAGCACCATTCCTCTAAATTTACTACCTAATTCTTTGCCTTTAATTTTCCCCATGGGGGTCACTGGCCCTTTACCTCAAGGTTTGGTGGGCCTGGTGTTAGGTGGGGCATCCACCTCTGCTAAAGGAATCACCATTCATACTGGTCTCATTAATTCTGATTCCACTGATGAGATTAAATTAATCGTGTCTGCCAAGGTTCCTGTTTCCGTTCCGGCCAGTGAGTCAATTGCTCAACTGCTTTTACTACCTAATATCATTTTAAACAAAGGAGATAAGACACGTGGCCCTGGGATGGGCTCTGGTGGTGAAAAGGCCACTTATTGGATTAATATAATTTCTAAACAATGGCCCACCTGCACCATACACATTCAAGGAAAGAAGTTTGAGGGCTGATGTTTCTATTATTTCCTCTAGTTTATGACCTTCCTCCTCACTTAAACATCCTGCTAACATGGGACTAGTAGGTGGTGGAAAAGCTGATGAAGTTTACCAGAGCACATTTATCTTGACTTGCACTGGCCCTGATGGTCAAAAAGGTACAATTCAGCCTTATATCACACCAATCCCCATTAATCTTTAGGGTAGAGATTTACTGGCACAATGGGGGGCTGAAATTAATATTCCACATAACTCTTATAGTGCTCCCAGTCAGCATGTGATGGAAAACATGGAGTTTGTTCCTGGACTCGGTCTCGGTCCAAAACATGAAGGGATTACTAAACCCCTCCAAATTACTGTAAAAGAAGACAGGGCTGGTTTAGGTTACCCTTTTTAATGGCGGCCGCTGCCATGCCTCCTGATCATATCCCTTTACAATGAAAATCTGACACACCCATTTGGATTCAGCAGTGGCCACTCTCTAAGGAAAAACTGGAGGTTTTCACTCAATTAGTTTCTGAACAGTTACAACTTGAGAATGTGGAACCTTCTCTTTCTCCCTGGAATTCTCCTGTGTTTCTAGTAAAAAAGAAATCAGGCAAGTGGCAGATGGTAACCGATTTAAGGGCCATTAATGCAGTAATTAAACCTATGGGAGCCATCCAACCCAGCATGCCTGCCCCTGCTTTAATACCTAAAAATTGGCCTCTCATAGTTATTGATCTTAAAGATTGTTTTTTTCATCTTGCTCTACATAAATCGGACTGTGAAAAATCTGTTTTTTACTGTACCATCTATCAATAATCAGGAGCCTGCAGCTTGCTATCAATGGAAAGTACTTCCTTAGGGAATGCTGAATAGCCCCACAATCTGCCAGCTTTATGTTGGACAAGTGCTTTCACCAGTTCGAGCCCAATTTCCCCAGGCCTATATTCTTCATTATATTGATGACATTTTAATTGCCGACCCCACTGATAAAGAATTGACTGACTGTTATCAAATTTTGAGCTGCCATGTTACAGAGGCTGGATTACACATCGCTCAGGAGACCACATTCAACAGACCACTCCTGTTCAATATTTAGGAAGGGTGGTCGATAAACAACGTATTCAACCTCAAAAAGTTCACATTCGGAGAGATTCTTTGAAAACTTTAAAGGACTTCCAAAAACTCTTGGGTAACATTAATTATTTAAGACCTACTTTAGGTATTCCAACCTATGCGCTGTCTAACTTGTTTTCTATGCTGCAGGGAGATTCCAATCTCTGCAGTCCCAGAGCTTTGAACCCTGAGGCGTCACTAGAACTGGAATTCATAGACGAAAGAATCCAGACCGCCCAGTTATCTAGTGTACAGCTTTCTCAGCCTTTTCAGCTTCTGGTTTTCGCTTCATTGCACTCCCCTACTGGGATAATAGTTCAACATAATGATTTAGTAGAGTGGTGTTTTCTTCCTCATTCTGTGTCAAAAACTCTGTCTGTTTATCTGGACCAAATGGCCATTCTAACTGGATGAGCTCAGTGTAGAATACTTAAAATTTCTGGATTTGATCCGAATTTAATTGTAGTTCCTTGAAATCGGCTCGAAGTTCAAGCCGCCTTTCAACATTCCGTACTGTGGCAAATTCACTTGGCTGATTTTATTGGCATTTTTGGCAATAATTATCCAGAAAACAAATTGTTTGATTTTATAAAAATGACTTCTTGGGTGGTCCCTTGATTGACCAAAGATCAGCCCATTCCTGAGGCTGTTACAGTGTTCACTGATGGCTCCAATGAAAATGCTGGTTATGTAGGTCCTACAGACAAGCTTATATCCACCCCTTATACCTCTGCTCAAAAGGCAGAGTTAATTTCTGTAATTACTGCCTTACAGGATTTCCCCAAACCTTTAAATATTGTCTCTGATTCTGATTAACTTGGGAAAGAGGATATGTTTATGTTTCACCAGGAGATCATCAATCCCCTGTCTGGGTGCCCACTAGAGACTCAAGCTTCATGTGAATACTGACAACGAAAACCACAAGGAAAAGACATCCGTGTCAGAGACCACCCTCAGACATGGTGAAATCTGTGCCAACTCCTCAGAAGCTGGCACACCAAATCAAAATGGGTCTGGTTCAATCCTCCCTGATGGCAATGAAGACCCATCTAACTAATCCCACCTCTCCTAATTACCTTTCTTTTTCTCCTTACAAACCTAAAAATTTCACCATTTCTATTACCCTGGAAATAACATCCCTCTGTTCTTCTCTTCCTCCTTCAGCACTGGATCTCGCTTACAATGGGTTTTATTTATCCTTATACTTTCTGTCTCACCAGTTTCCTCTCACACTGATTTACCTGCTCCACAAAATTATTCTTATTGGGCTTATGTGCCTTTTCCTCCACTTATTCGACCTCTCACCTGGCTGGATGCTCCTGCAGAAATCTACACTAATGACAGTGTGTGGATTCCTGGAGCTACAGATGACTGTTGCCCTGCTAAACCAGGAGAAGAAGGCCCTGCATTTAATGTTACTATGGGTTACAGATACCCCCCTCTGTGCCTCAGACATGCACCTGGTTGTATCCATCTAGAAACCCAAATCTGGGCTGCTTATCTTCCGGAGAGATCAGCTACAGAGGAACCGGGACATTTGGTCTCCAGCATCTCCCTTTCTCCTTTAAGAAAAATGAAAGGGGGAGTAATGGGAGATACCCCACACTTTCAATATAAACCTGGGGAAAACCATGCCCTAAAAATTTTGAGGCCCCATCTAAAACTTTAATTTGGGAAGACTGTGTTAACTCAAATGCAGTAATATTAAAAAATGAGTCATATGGTTTAGTAATAGACATGGCACCAAAGGGCTATTTAAAAAACAATTGCTCCTCTGGCCAAGGGAATGCCTGGAGGCTACTTATTTTATTTCTTATTGGGAGAACAAAAATCATCATTCTACTTTGCATAGGAGGTTCATCTCAGTCTTTCCCTTAAAATGGGAAGATAAAGGCATTACCTCCCCAAGGCCTCGTATGATACTCCCCATTCTGAGCCCAGAACACCCAGAACTTTGGACATTGGCTATTGCCATGTCTGGACTGTGAGTATGGGAAGGGGAAACTTTTCTGTCTATTGTCCCCACTACCGTCCCCCTCCCTCAGTATCAACGTAGATCCAGACATTCTGCTTTGCTTACCTCCAACCTGACTGTTCCCATACAGAGTTGTGTTAAGCCTCCTCACATGCTGTTAGTGGGAAATATCAAAATTTGGATGAACAATCAAACTGTCCAATGCATTAATTGTCATTTATACACTTGTATTAACTCCCTATTTTGACTTCAAGAAAAGTGTAATGCTGGTTCGAGCTTGAGAAGGAATCTGGATTCCGGTAACTTTGCTCACACCTTGGGAATCCTCCCCCTCAATACATTTAATTAATGAAGTGTTACAGCAAATTCTAAAAAGATCTAAGAGATTTGTTTTCACTTTAATCGCTGTTATAATGGGCCTAAATACAGTCACTCCAATGGCCACCACTGCCCGAATGGCATTACATCAATCTATTCACATGGCTCATTTTGTTAATGATTGGCAAGCCAATTCCACCCAAATGTGGAATTCTCAACAAGGCATTGATCAAAAATTGGCTAATCAAATTAATGATTTAAGACAGTCTGTTATTTGGCTTGGAGATCGGGTAGTGAGTCTCGAATATTGCATGCAAATGCAGTGTGATTGGAATACTTCAGATTTCTTCATCACCCCGTATTCCTATAATGAGACTGATCATTCATGGGAAATGGTCAAAGGACACCTTCTGGGTAGGGAAGATAATTTATCATTGGACATAACTAAATTAAAGAAACAAATTTTTGAAAACTCTCAGGCTCATTTATCCATTGTGCTTGGAGCTGAGGCATTAGATCAGGGGCAGAAAATCTTTCTAGACTAAACCTCATGACTTGGATTAAGTCTACTGGGGGCTCCACTGTAGTAAATTTTGGAATTATGCTTCTCTGTTTAATCGGCTTATCTTTACTGTGTGGGACCAGTCAAAGAATCCTGCATCAAAATCAAGAGAATGAACAAGCCTTCATTGCCATAGCACATTTATATAAAAGGAAAGAGAGCGATGTTGTGGGAAGTCAGGGACCCTCAACAGAGGGACCGGCTGAAGCCATGGCAGAAGAACATAAATTGTGAAGATTTCATGGACATTCATTAGTTCCCCCAAATTAATACTTTTATAATTTCTTATGCCTGTCTTTACTGCAATCTCTGAACACAAATTGTGAAGATTCCATGGACATTGATCACTTCCCCAATCAATACTCTTATAATTTCCTATGCCTGTCTTTACTTTAATCTCTTAATCCCCTCATCTTCCTAAACTGAGGATGTATGTTGCCTCAGGACCCTGTGATGAGTGTGTTATCTGTATAAATTTTTGTAAAACATGTGTGTTTGAACAATATGAAATCTGGGCATCCTAAAAGAACAGGATAACAGCGATTTTCAGGGAACAAGGGAGATAACCATAAGGTCTGACTGCCTGCCGAGCTGGGCAGAACAGAGTCATATTTCTCTTCTTGCAAAAGTGAATAGGAGAAATATCGCTGAATTATTTTCCTCAGCAAGGAGTAGCCCTGGGAAAGGAATGCATTCCCAGGGTGAGGTCTCTAAAATGGTCGCTCTGAGAGTGTCTGTCTTCTGCAGTTGAAAATAAGGGATGAAATACACCCTAGTCTCCTGCAGCATCCCCAGGCTTGCTAGGATTGAGAAATTCCAGCCTGGTGAAATTTTAGTCAGACTGGTTGTCTGCTCTTGAACCCTGTTTCCTGTTAAGATGTTTATCAATGACAATGTGTGCCCAGCAGGACATGGACCTTCATCAGTAATTCTAGTTTCACTCTGGTCATGTGATCTCACTCTGCTTTTCTGCCCGTGTGATATTTTATTGCCTTTGAAGCATGTGATCTCTGTGACCCACTCCCTATTTGTACACCCCTCCCCTTTTGAAATTCCTAATAAAAACTTGCTGGTTTTGTGGCTCAGGGGGCATCATGGAACCTGCCAACATGTGATGTCATCCCCGGAGACCAAGCTGTAAAATTTCTCTTTTTTGTGCTCTTTCTCTTTATTTCTCAGACTGGTCGACACTTAGGGAAAACAGAAAAGAACCTAAGTTGAAATATTGGGGGCTGGTTCCCCCCATAATAAAATATGGGCAAACTGAATCCAGCAGCAGATAAGTAGAAGCTTATCTACCATGATCAAGTTGGCTTTATCCCTGGGATGCAAGGCTGGTTCAACATATGCAAATCAACAAATGTAATCCATCACATAAACAGAACCAATGACAAAAACCAAATGATTATCTCAATAGATGCAGAAAAGTCTTTTGACAAAATTCAACAGCGCTTTATGCTAAAAACTCTCAATAAACTAGGTATTGATGGACTATATCTCAAAATAATAAGAGCTATTTATGACATACCCACAGCCAATATCATACTGAATGGGCAAAAACTGGAAGCATTCCCTTTGAAAACTGGCACAAGGCAAGGATGCCCTCTCTCACCACTCCTATTCAACATACTGTTGAAAGTTCTGGCCAGGGCAATCAGGCCAAGAGAAATAAATAAAGGGTATTTGGTTAGGAAAAGAGGAAGTCAAATTGTCCCTGTTTGCAGATGACATGATTTTATATTTAGAAAACCCCATCGTCTTGGCCCAAAATCTCCTTAAGCTGATAAGCAACTTCAGCAAAGTCTCAGGATACAAAATCAATGTGCAAAAATCACAAGCACTCCTATACGCTAATAACAGACAAACACAGAGCCAAATCACGAGTGAACTCCCATGCACAATTACTACAAAGAGAATAAAATACCTAGAAATCCAACTTACAAGGGATGTGAAGGACCTCTTCAAGGAGAACTATAAACCACTGCTCAACGAAATAAAAGAGGACACAAACAAATGGAAGAACATTCCATGCTCATGGATAGGAAGAATCAATATCATGAAAATGGCCATACTTCCCAAGGTAATTTATAGATTCAATGCTATCCCCATCAAGCTACCAATGACTTTCTTCACAGAATTGGAAAAAACTACTTTAAAGTTCATATGGAATCAAGAAAGAGCCCATATAGCCAAGATAATCCTAAGCAAAAAGAACAAAGCTGGAGACATCACACTACCTGACTTCAAACTATACTGCATGGCTACAGTAACCAAATAGCATGGTACTGGTACCAAAACAGATATATAGACCAATGGAACAGAACAGAGACCTCAGAAATAACACTACACATCTACAACCATCTGACCTTTGACAAACCTGACAAAAACAAGCAATGGGGAAAGGATTCCCTATTTAATAAATGGTGCTGGGAAAATGGCTAGCCATATATAGAAAGCTGAAACTGGATCCCTTCCTTACACCTTATAGAAAAATTAATTCAAGATGGATTAAAGACTTAAATGTTAGACCTAAAACCATAAAAACCCTAGAAGAAAACTTAGGCAATACCATTCAGGACATAGGCATGGACAAAGACTTCATGACTAAAACACCAAAAGTAATGGCAACAAAAGCCAAAATAGACAAATGGGATCTCATTAAACTAAAGAGCTTCTGCACAGGAAAATCAAGTACCATCAGAGTGAACAGGCAACCTACAGGATGGGAAAAAATTTTTGCAATCTACCCATCTCACAAAGGGCTAATATCCAGAATCTACACAGAACTTAAATAAATTAACGAGAAAAAAAACAAACCCATCAAAAAGTGGGCAAATGATATGAACACACACTTCTTAAAAGAAGACATTTATGCAGCCCACAGACATATGAAAAAATGCTCATCATCACTGGTCATTAGAGAAATGCAAATCAAAACCAAAATGAGATACCTTCTCACTCCAGTTAGAATGGTGATCATTAAAAAGTCAGGAAACAACAAATGATGGAGATGATGTGGAGAAATAGGAACATTTTTACACCTTTGGTGGGAGTGTAAATTAGTTCAAGCATTGTGCAAGACAGTGTAGTGATTCCTCAAGGATCTAGAACTAGAAATACCATTTGACCCAGTGATCCCATTACTGGGTATATACCCAAAGGATTATAAATCATGCTACTATAAAGAGACATTCACACATATGTTTATTGCGGCATTATTCACAATAGGAAAGTCTTGGAACCAACCCAAATGTCCATCAATGATGGACTGGATTAAGAAATTGTGGCACATATACACCATGGAATACTATGCAGCCATAAAAAAGAATGAGTTCTTGTCCTTTGCAGGGAAACCATCATTCTCAGCAAACTATCACAAGGACAGAAAACAAAACACCACATGTTCTCACTCACAAGTGGGAATTGAACAATGAGAACACATGGACACAAGGCAGGGAACATCACACACTGGGGCCTGTCAGCAGGTGGAAGGCTGGAGGAGGGATAACATTAGGAGAAATACCTAATGTAAATGACGAGTTGATGGGTGCAGCAAACCAACATGGTATATGTATACCTATGTAAAAAACCTGCACGTTCTGCACATGTACCCTAGAACTTAAAGTATAATTAAAAAGAAAAGAAGAAGAAAAAAAATGACCTTCCGTTGTCCTCTAGATGTTTCTGTACAGGGCAGGATAGTAAACATTTTAGTCTTTGTGGACCATGTAGATTCTGCTGCAACTACACAACTCTGGAGTAGAACCATGAACATAGCCACAGAAAATAAATAAACAGACAGGTGTAGCTGTGTTCCCATAACATTTTATGTACAAAAGCAAGTGGTAAGCCATATTTGCCCCTTGAGGTATAGTTTTCTGACCCGTACTCTTGACCTCTACTCTGACTCCTGCTCCCATTCTCCTTTTGCTGGTTATGAAGATAGCTCCGGCAATACTCTTTCTCATTACTTCTTTAAAAGAAAGTGCATCATTCTTATCAGAATACAACAACGTTAGTGTTGTTTCATCTTAAAAAGACAATGCTTTGTTGTTGTGACTTGCCCTCAAATGACTTCTCCATTTCTCTTTTCATATATTCTACAGTTTCTTCTCATTTGTTCTTAATCTCATTCCAATAAGCTAGAGTTTTCTCATTCCAAAAAAAAAAAAAAAAATGGACCTACTTCAGTTTACCAGTGACCTTCACATGGTTAAATCCAATGGTAAATTTCAGTCCTCATTTTACCTGGCCTTTGGTACAGTGGATCATTTCTTCCTCCTTGAAATACTATTTTTATGTGGATTCCAAGACACCCAATGGTGTCCTAGTTCAGCATGCCGCAGCTCCAGAGAGTTGATTGTAAAATATTCTGGAAATTTGTGACATAGTTATTAAACTATTTGTATCCTGAAGTCAGCTTTGATGGGAGTGTTAATTGGATAGAAATAGGCAAACGTGAAAAAAAAATGAAAACTTTTTAAGGCACAAAAAGACAGACATCACTTAATCTAATCCATATGTGGAATCTGAAGAAGTTGACCTCAGAGAAGTAGGGAGTAGAATAGAGGCCACCAGAGGCTGGGGAGGAGAGATGGCTGGTGGGATGGAGAGAGGTAGTGAACAGGTAAAAAGTCACAGTTATACAGGAAGAGAAAATTCTGGTGTCTTATTACACAGTAGAGCAACCGTAGCTAATAATAAAGTATTGCATGTTTCAAGGGAGCTGGAAGAGAAGATTTTGAATCATCATAAAAAAATTACAAATGTTTAAAGTGATGGATATACTAATTACTCTGATTTGATCATTCTACAGTGTATACATGTATTGAAGCATCACACTGTACCCTATAAATATATACAGTTATTATATGCCAATTGTACATTTAAAAATATTAGGTCTGAAAAAAATAGCAACTTTTTCAGTATTCCACAGAGATTTTCCTTACATACTTGTATACACTGACATACCAAGTGTACTCTGATTTTCTTTGTACCATTCCAAATGCTTCCTCTCAGTCTCCTGTACTTTTTCCAGCTCATCTTCCTGACTGCTAATCAATATAAACCCCAATGCTTATAACTGAATATAACAAGTCTCTCTAATGTTTTTCCTGTACTTCACCCTGTTAGTGTCTATTCTTGACACAAACATCCAGAAAAATCTATTTTTTAATTAAAACATTTTTTAAATGGCAATGGGGCTTCATTATGTTGCTCGGGTTGGTCTGGAACTCCTGGGCTCAAGTAATCCTCCTGCCTCAGCCTCCCAAAGTGTTGGGATGTGAGCCACCACACCACTTCGGAGTAATCTATTTTTAAAAGAAATCAAATTACGTAATTTCTCTGAACAAAACTCCCTGTTGGCTTACCATCTCATTCTGAATAACCCAAATTTTTGACAAACATCTGGTCCCAGATAGATTTCATGTTCTCATTTCCTGATACTCATCCTTTCTAATACTCAAATACTCACTCCACCACAGAAACACTGTCTTCATGTTTTTCCTCAAATACATAAGGTATTTCTCCACCTTAGGAGTAAAAGCATGAAGACAGTCGGGGGACTGAAAAGTACTACAGGTAAAAATTACAGAAAGTGTAGAAGTTTTAAAGCATTAAGAAGGGACACTTTCTTTGATCTTAAGTATTAAGAAACGAAAAGCTTTCTGTGATCAGGTGGAGGTTGTATGACAAATTAAAAACCTTATAAACTCCAAATTAAAAGCTGCTTTTCCCGATGGGACAATTGCTGAATCCCTTGGACTCACTTGTTACATGAGTTAAAAACCCATTTTTGAAACAAAAACTAAAATGGAAATAACACAAAAGTGAATAATCATAACAAACAATGCCTTAAGAGATATAGAAGAGGCAACTGTGTGTGGGTACAAAGCATATTAGCATTTATTAAATGCCATATTCTAATTCTGTCATTCCCTATGTCTTGAGTAAGGAAGAGAGGAGACACAGGTGTAATGTAGAAAAGACTCAGCATAACACCTGAATATATTGTATCTCTGCCCATTGAAAAGGCCTAGAAAAAAAAATGACCGATCTGTGAGCATCCTTAGTGTCAGGCTTTTCCCATGAAATATAATTTCCCAATAAAGGAAATGAGGACTTCTTGGAAAAGCGGTGGAGTTTAGGGCACAAAATGTACAAGATGAGTGTGGAACATCTTAACATGCCAGATAAAAAGATAGTTATCAAAAATTATCAGGGTCATGTCAAAAGATTTTAGGAGCCAATTTGAAAGGACTCTATTGGTCAAAGGTGAGACAATTTAAGCTTCAATAAGGATCATATTTAGAATGGATTGATACTCATCAAATATATTTCAATTCATGAATTCATAACCATTTAAAAGGTCTAGTTAGTTCCCCTCTGAAGATGACTAGGAAAAATTTATTTTCTTAAAAATTAGTTAGATAAAAGGCAAGGATCTAACATATATCCTGTTTTTCTTATACAAACTAAAACACAGCAAAATTATAGATGATGGTGATGGTAAGTCTCTCTTTTAGAAATTATTTCAGCCAGTCTATTTAAAAACGTACAATTAGAATTTACAATTTTTTAACCCCCTAAGGAATTGATGAATTTAGGCAGCTAACATCATAAGGAATGGATACCAGACATTATGTGCCTTCTGTTTACAAGACTTTAGACTTGCCAAATGAGTAGAAAGTGAGCTTAATCAGTCCATTGAATCCAGAATCAATTTACAGAAAATACAGAGTTCACAGGAACATACTGAGCTACAACATGAGAGAGTCTGTAGGTCAGCGGAGCCCTAAAAGACGTTAAGTTTTTAAAAAATCAGTAAAACTAAGGATGGGTACTTGGGTGACAAGATCATAAAGTAAGGCAGGAAAAGGATTATTGAAAAAGCCAAAATCGAGGTTATTTTTGTGTGGATGGAGAGGTTTGTGACTTTGATGGGACACACATTGGGGGGCTTCTCAGACGGCTGGCTACATGCTATTTCTTGATCTAGGTTACATGGATGTTCTTGTAATTTTTCACTAAGTTATACATTTGTTTGTTTTCATTTTCTTTATATGCATTTTATTTTACAAACAATAGGTTTAAAATGCTACTCTGGTACTTTTAGTCGAATTACTGAAAAACAAATAAATAATCACTTTGTAATGAGAACACTGTCATTGCCACCATATTAAAAAATACAAATGTGACTGATAACAAAACTGCCAGAGTAATTTTTTTAGATATTTAAAAAAATGCTTCTTAGGGAAAACGATTCTATAGAGTCTGATTTTATCAGTGAAAACTGCAAGCAGGAGGTTCCCGCTTACCATTCTTTCTCTCTTTGTTCTTCTTTTTACCATAATAATGAGCTCTGAAAGACACTTGAAACTTACAGTAGATCACACTGGAAGGAATATTATTCAAGAAGATATAAGGCAGAAATGATATTTTAGAGGGAGCCCTAGCATGCCTCGAAATCCTGTCATCATTCTCAGCAGATAACGATTATTTGGCTGGAATACATTTGAAGGAGAAGCTTTACTCCAAAGTTGGATGAATGAAGGTAGTGAGTCAAGCATGATAAAAAACAGTAAGCGGTACAGGAGCAGTAACAACTATAAAGTCTTCATGATTCCTTTAATATTGCCAGGAAATGCATAAAAGGCTTCTAGAGCTGACTAGATACCATTAAAAAAATGTGTTTTTCTTGCTGTGAATTACAAGTCTTTCATACATGGAAAAATTTTAGTGGGCACACAAGGCAGGAAAATTAAATTAATTTTAATTCAAATGCTCTGTGACTCTCTGAAGTTTTTCCAATTACAAAGATATGTCTCATGATTTTAAGGAGCCAGGAGAGCATATAATACTTATGTAAAAAAAGTTGATTATTTCGTTGCAAGTAAGTCCTTAATGAGGGTTAAACTCATTATAGAAACTGTCTTAAGACAAATAAAACCAAGTCAAGTGAAGTTAATATGGGGTTACTTGTTTATTTGGTAAATTTCCCACAGGGAAAATTTTAAATCTTACAAGTTTAATGATGCTTTTAAAGAGGTATTATTTATGAAGTTAGTTTCATAATTATTGCATAGGCTAGTAAAATTGTACTGAATTTGAAGACAGAAGAACTGAAGTAAGATTCTGAGTCTGTCAATTACAAACGATGTGACTTAGGGCAGCTTATTCAACTTGTCTGAATCTCAGGTCACTTTCTGCAAAATGACCAGATTATACCACATAGATCTTAAGATTCCATCAGTATTTTCAAATTCAACAATGATTTGTTTTCAACTTGTTTCAGGGCAAAATAAATCCTCTAAAGACTGAATGAGAAAGAATTATAATGCCTGTATTAGTTATCTACCTGTGTGGCAAATTAAACTAAAACTTAGCAGCTAAATTAATACAACAAACATTTATGTTACATGGTTTCTGAGGGTTGGGAACCTGAAAGTGGTTTAGTTGACTGATTCTAATCAGGGTAACTCACAAGGGTACAGTCAAGCTGTTGGCTGACATTGAAGGCTGACTGTGGCTAATTCCCTTCTAACTTCACTTGCATGGCTGCTGGCAGGCCTTGATTCCTCCTCACTGGCTGTTGGCCACAGGTTTTGTTTCCTTACCTAGTCGGACTCTCCCTAAGCCAGCTGCCCCAGAGTGAGTGATCCAAGAGGAAAAGAGAGCATGTGTGAATGAGAAAGCACCCAAGATTGAAGACACAGTCTTTTATAAGCTAATTTAGAAAGCCCTATGTTATTGGCCACATGAACAATCCCTGATACATTATGGGAGGGGATTATAGAAAGACATAAATATCGCCACCATATGGGGATCTTTGGAGGTAATCTTGGAGACTGGCTAACCAAAGTGCCTTTGCTGAACACATAGATTAAGGCCCAGATTCCTCTCCCCAAACCCTCCATCTACCCAGTTCAATAAACTTCTCATGCAATGAATGATATGGATGTTGCTATGGATATTGCAGAAACATAGGGTTTTTACCCGTGTTCCTCCTAACCATGGGCATGGTTAGGTTACTGTTTTTCAAAGTAATTACCTTTGTCTTCAGCAATTGGCTTTATTTCAATTTACTGAAATGTGGTTGTTCAAAGTATCTTCGATTTGTTTCTTATATACTTTATTATTTCACTATACCTTTACTTTCTCTCTTCCTACATAGAATTTCCTGAAAAAAATCTATAATCTTGCATATTTCAATCTATTTGGTGACCTTAAATCTATTCCCCATTCCATAATCATACCTAATCAAGTAACTTTTCTTTATCTCAAATTCTCCATTTGCTCTCTTCTCTGTTTATTTGCATGACTTTCTCTCTACCTAACAGGTCTCAAATTCATTGCTAAACTTACAATAAGAATAGTCCCCACTTAAAAAAAATCATCGCCTTATCAGCCCTTTAAAATTTTCCAATCTAACTTTCTCAATTATTATTCTGAAATGACCAATTTCCCTACTTATCTAATCCAATGAAATGGAAATCTTCCTCAACTTCTGCAGTACTAACAATATCAGCTCCACTTTTCTTCTTAAAAATTCCTTTCTCTTCCATTATCATGCATATTCTTTCTTCCCTTTATCCTAAATTTTTGTTCTCTCCATGCACTTTTCTTTTAGATTCTTTTGTTTCTCTATTCTTTTTCCCTCAAAATTTGTATATCACCTCAACAGAAGACCAATGTTTACTTTTTGATCACTTCTGAAATTAAAATTCTAGTTTTTAATTTACTAAAGACTATCTCTTTCAGGATTTATAACTAATATTCCAAATTCAACATAAATTTTAAATATGCCCATATTTCTGTTTAGTGGATGAAAATAGGGCCTTTTATTTCTGTTAATAATATTTCCAGTCCTCAATTTATGCAAATTGTATCTTGAACTCATCACTTTATGTATGTATGCAGCTATATATCTATGTATTTATTTATTTACATTTATTGTTTTGGAACCTGTCATTTCAGATTGTGTAGCATTTAACTTTTTGATGTACTTGGATTAACCTGATCCCATTCTTTATTTGTATTTATTCACCTGGACATGGTCCTCTAATTCTCTCTGCCCATAACACCTATTGATGCCCCACCTTCATGGTCTTCAACTGCTCTGTACATTCTTCTCTTCAAAGTATTTGCTATTTGCTACTATTTACAATGACATCCTTTTGCTCTTAGATTAAGGCCAACATTCTTGACATGTCAACAAAGTCCTATAAAATTTGGCCTACGCCTACCACTTAAATTTCATCTAAAGCTACTCTTTCCTTTTCCATTTGCAAAGAGAAGCAGTAAGTGGTTACAGAACAAACTCTGCCTCCAGTCTGTGCTTTGATCCAAACCTAGCTCTGCAACTTAGTAGTTAATTTGGCTAAGTTTCTTATCCTTTCTGTGCCTCAGTTTTCTGACAGGTGATCAAAAATCTGATAGCAATGGTAGTTACTTATTGAATTAATCAGTATATGAGAACAATTCCCAGAAAATAATAGTTATAATATTGTTATGACAACTTGGAGATATTCCTGCAATCTTATATTTTATCTTCTATTCATTATGTTTTTTCTTTCTTTTTTTCCCTCCCTTTCTTAATCTTTTATTAATTCATCAAGTTTAACTTCCCTCTTCATCTTTTCCCTCAACTGGTCTTGAAGTTATTCATAAATTTTCTATTCATTTACTGGTTATTCTTATTTCTGTTTATTTATTGACTACTTTTAAAAGATGTATATCTGATTTAACGAAGTCTTAACTAAACAATATCTCTGACCTTCTCCTGAGAAAGAGAAGAATCTTTGAATGTCTTAACTCGATCATCACTCACTTTCCATATTGTTGTCATCCAGTGTGGTAGTCCCACTCTGATTTTACCACCTTGAACAAGTTGTTGTTACTGTTATTATTATTTGCAGTTATTGGATATACAATATTTACTCATTTAACGCATTACAATTAATTTCCTTGAATTCTAGTCCTTCACTTTTCTTCTAAGTAAGGACCATCTTTTATTACAGTTCCTTCTGCAAATCTATGTAAGTGGAAAACTTTGTAAAATAGAGTATTTATTTCACACTTGCTCTTGAATAACAAATTTCCTGGGAATGAAAATTTTAGTTTTATAGGCTTTTTTGTCAGCATGTTGAAGATATTATTCCAACGTTTTCTGATATGTATTCTTGCTAATGAGTCTGTGATATGTATTGAAAAGATGTGAGCTGTCAGTTGTCAGTCCTTTGTGGATAATCTCTTTTTTGTGGGAAGTAATTTGTGAGGTTGTTGTATTTTTGTTTGTTTATGTAATATGTAACTATTAAGTTTTGTTTTACTTTGTTCTTTCTGGGACTCAGTGAATATCTTTAATCTGAAGAGCCATGTACCTCTTTATCTTTGGAAAATTCTTAGCCATTATCTTTTAAAAAGTGTTTCTCAGGCATCACTTTCAGCCAACATACTCATGTGTTTTTTACTGTCTTTCTATCTTTAATGCCTTTTAATTGCTCTTTTATGTATTTTTTGACTCTATAGCTAATTCTTTTTATACTGACTTTTAAAATTTTTTATTAGTTATTTTTTAATTAAGGTATAGTTGAAAAATTGCATTGTACATTTTACAGTGTACAATGTGATGTTTTCATATATGTATAGATTGTAAAATGGTTAAATGCAGCTAATTACTGTATGCATTACCTCACCTACTTATCTGCCTTTGTTGTAAGAATATTTAACATCTACTCTCTCAGCAATTTTCATGTGTACATGTTATTATTAACTATAGTCATCATGCTGTATAATAGATCTCCTGACCTTATTACTTTCAATTTACCCTTTCATTTATTTCTGATATGCCCATTAATCTATCATACAGATTTTATTTTAATTACAATATTTTCATATCCAAACATTTGATTTGTTTTTTTAAAACATATGTATTTCATTCTCTCTTATTATCACTCCCTACTTCATCCTTCCTTATTTATCACTTTGGTTTTCTTCTTTAATTTTTATATTTCTGTCTAGGTTTTATGTATATTTTTGGTAATTTCTTTCTCTTTAATCCCTAAAGTAATATTAGATAAAGTTATGACCCATTCAAGATTGTTCCAATAACTCCAGGACTAGGGGTGCTCTGGCTTTTTAAAACTTCAGTTACTCACATAATGTTTCATTTGGTTGTGTTATTTGTACTCTTTTTTATGGCAATTTCTTTTCCGTGGGTGTCCTGTATGTCTTTAATTATGGGAGGTTCTCTATTGTGGTTATTTTTTTAAAAAATTCAATGATTTTATGATAATTCCTCAACTTGCTATTCATGCCTTATATAAGTAAATTTGTAATCCTTGTACCATACACACACACACATGCACATGCACACACACACACACGCACACACACACACACACACTGTGACTGTTTGCTTTACCATTGTATTCTCAGCAGCAGAGACTTTACGGCAGAGTATTTTTTTTTGGTAAATTTTGTTTGATGAAAGTTTGCATGGTTATTCTGTATATTCCATAAATAAATAATTAAATCTACTGTAGAAAATTGAGAGCTACCTTCTAGTCTAAAAAATGTTCTGTATTTTGCAATTGTCATGTCCTACTGAAACTGCTCACTCTCTCAATCTTGGCAACCTAAAATCTCTTAAGGGTTTACTCCAAAGAAAGACATTTTTTAAAAGAAGGCTTTGCTAACCTTAAATATATATGCTTTGTAAATAAATTAAATCTTTCTATTTAATACAAATTTTATTTAGAAATGGCCTGATTTTTCATTTTGACATACTCAGTCTTTAATTATTCCTTGCTCTCTGCATTTTCCTAGAACTTTGGGGATACACAGAGTAAGCCCCTTACTCTGACACTATGACATGATTTTGTTAGACATGTCATAGAAACTCCATGCAGAGGTTCAATTCATTGATCATGGATGAATTCAGGTGACATACATGTTAGTTTGGCACACAAGTTTTAAAAATTAACATGGAATTTGTTTCAAATATTTAAATATTCATCCATTGAAAATCCTAATATATATTACTTTGGGAGGGTGGATGTGAAAAAAACCAAATAATATAGCAGTGACAAGCCTGCATTTCTACCTTTTCACTGTTGCTGAAAACTGACTTGCAGCTGCCCTGTATGAATGGTTTATGTCCAATCAAGTTTGCCACAGTGTTCACCACTTCTTCATGAGTTAGACTATGTCATTCACTCACCTATAGTTCTGCCTGGCTCCTGTAATATTTAAAGTCTGAGGATGTGGATTTGGAACATTCTTCGCCACTCAATATTGACAATTATTATTGGCTTAAGCCACAGGATAAAATTTTTATGTACTGTATCCATTTGTAATCAGTTTATTGAGTATGTAAGAATTAATACACATTCAGTGCTAAATATAGCCATCTATATCTTAACTGAATTATATTGCTCATCTTGTATTAATTTTCTCTCCCAAAAAACAGAGTTATTATAGAAACATATGATTTTACACATACATTTAAGTCAACAACAATGCAAAATTTGCCTAATCTGCCTTGGGTATTACTAGATTCATTTGGTAACTTAGTAAATATCTGTGTACTATAACCAAATATGATAAATTCTATGGAGAGATGAGAATTGTAATGAAAACTGAATGTCTGACAACTGATTAGATAATTGCATATTCTACTAAAAACTGACAAAATAATACATCTGAAATGTTGTTAGAGTTGTCGCCTAAATAAAGGCATGGAGCCAATTGCACAGCAAGATAACATTTGGATTCTAAACAAGTAGTGTCATTACTAGTTTTGTTTGTTATAAAGGAAAAGAGCCCACCTGGTTTTAAAATACATTTAAACATATTAGTGCTTATATTCTTAGCGTCTCCCATTTTAGTAAAAGCAAAGTTATAGAAATTAATGCATAAGATATTAGAAAAGATATACATTACTTTTTCTCAGTAAGTCTTTAATTCCTTAGTTGCATGAGGCCATACTATTTGTAGAGGATGAGTGACAGAAGGGTTGCTAAGACTAAGATCTGTGGGAGTGCTCTAAATGGATATGGGAACCATCAAGAATAATAATAAATGAAATCTTAAAATGCCAGTCTCAGGGTCTCTGTAGTTATATTTCCCAATTATCCCAAGACAGTGCCTGTTTCTTAGGACAGTGCCATAGGGAGCCTTTCACCTACCATGCAGTCTTTGATAGAGGATGAGATTATGGACAGTACTGAAAGAACATAATCAATATTCAGCCAGGACATAGATTTAAAAAATATATATATGATCTCAGTTCATGCTACCACTTTGCAGAGAGCTCAATAAAAGATGGAACAAATAATCTGTTTCTTAGCATTCAAAAAGAGAGTTCGCTTTATGCCGTCTAACCTTGTCTGAACACATTTGTGCTTTTAATGTTTTGCAAAGATAGATCATCGGAAAATGGCAGAGATACAGTGAATGTGACAGTATGTTTGCTCCCTGGTTGGAACCTTGATTATACTCAACAAGGGTCTGCTGCAAGCGCTATTTTGCCATCCAGCTCTTTTTATTTTCTACAGCAGGATACTAGATATATAACAGCAATAAACATGAAAGATAATGCTAATATTTCTCTTCCCTGAAATGAATGCAAAAGAGTTCTGTGAAAATGCTTCCACAGTAATTCATAGATACCCTTATTTAACAATTACTTTTCAAATATAATCTCATTGTTCTTTAATTGATTGTATTATTTTTTATCTATTAGACTAGAAAAAATAAACACAGAATTATATTTCTTGGGATCCCTTTCAGATTTGGAAACAACAAAAAAATCCTACCCTTTTTATTTTCCTCAAGCCTTGGATAACTTCCAAGTCAAGCACCTTGGAGTTAAAGGCGCTCTCCATTGCTTCACCTATCTATGATTTTTCCCTTTGTTTCAGGGTATTCTGGTTCTCAGCACTGATACTGGTAAAGACAAAGTATATATAAATAGAGAAGTTTATTTTATATCATGAATGTCTTTTGAATGAAGCGAGGTTAATAAGTTTGGTTTATCAAGTTCAAACACATGTTGTTTTTAAATTTTTATTTATTTGTTTGTTTTTGAGATGGGGTTTCTGTTGCCTAGCTTGGAGTTCAATGGTGATCATAGCTCACTGTAGCCTTGACCTCCTGGGCTTAAGTGATCCTCCCACCTCAGCCCCTGAGTAGCTGAGACCACAGACGCATGCCACCATGTTCAGCTCATTATTATTATTATTATTATTATATTGAAGAGACAGGGTCTCCCTACATTGCCCAGGCTGGTCTCCAACCCCTAGGCTCAACTAATCCTCCTGCTTTGGTCTCCCAAAACATTGGGATTACAGGGATGGGCCATTGCACCTGGGAACATATGCTTTTTTATTTTAAGCTGACCTTGACAAAAATGTGTGCTTTTTTAGTCCATGTTTGGACTAAAAAATGTGTGCTAATTTAGTAATTACCTACTAAATACTACATAAATCTGTAGCACAAATAAACTTTTTTCCTAATATAAAAATACAAAATATCAATAGTTTAAAACATTTCATTTTCTGTTTTATAATAAATTGTGTTAAAAGTAACAATGCATATGATAAAACAGAAACCTTTAATTGTGAATTTTCTCCTTCAAGCACAAGATAGAGGATATTAATATGGAATAACTATCCACAGAAACTTTCATAACATTTTAAGTTTGCTAGTAACCAAGGAAGAAGTTAGTCTAGGTTGCCATGATTCCTCATCATGGCTTTTTTTTAAGGGATTTTTATAAGATGTCTCATCAACTTTACATTTGGTAACATCATCATTCTTAATATCACCATCATGCCTTGTCAAATATTTATATAGAAAAACCTACCAGGGTGAAGAGGTGAACTGAAAACGTGCCAAGGATTAATTGAGGTGTCCTAACCTTCAGAGTACTGATGTAAACATATAGCTTCCTACATAGGTATGAATTTGAAAGAAAATAATCACTCTTCCTTCTAGAAATATAGGTCTGTAATCACCTTTTCAAGTCAATTTTGCTGTATTTCAGGGACGGCTTGGAGAAATTTGATTACATGCAAAGTAGTAACAAAATATGTATTTTCTATCTATGTTAGGGTACATACAATCACTCAAGTGTAGGAGGTTTTCTGGGGTCACACAAGTAATGGTGTTTAGAGTAGGTAGATAAACTTGCATCCTGTCATAGTTAACACAGGATTTTATAGTGGCACCAAGGAACAGAGTTGTGCATTCACTAGGAGTGGAGGCGGTGTGCTAGAAGAAATAGTCTCTATGTTTAAAGACTATTTTAGATCAACCTGGAACACAATTTCAGAGCCCAAAGTCAGGTCCAGAGGAATTCTGAGGTTATCTAGAAATACATTAGAGGAATTAGTAGCTTTAGCTCCATTGTGTTTCACTGGGCACTATAGTATTTGGAATAAGGCACTAGCTATGTATAGTATAACATATATAATTATAGTATAATTTATATTGTCTAGTATAACAACATAAATTCATTATAATAAAAATGAAAAGGGGTATTTGGACAATTGATATTACTGGAAACATTGTGTGATTTATATCTAACAAGAGGCAGCATAGTATAAAGACTAAGAACTCTAACTTTGAAATCAGATGGCCACAAGCCAGAGCTGCCATTGCTATTTATGTGGATGTGAGCAAGTAATATAATCCCTTTATGCCTTAGTTTTCCATTTGTAAAAATTCAATTATAACAACACCTATCTTATAAGATTGTTATGAAAACAAATGAGTTTATACTTACAAAGAACTTAGAATTGTGCATGGACTATACATATGTTAATTATGTAAAACAAATAATCACAAGACCATATATAGGCATATATGTTACTTATATATAAATATAAGTATATATATATATAAACTATATATATAAATATATAAATATACATATATAAAATGCACTATTATTTATATTGTTTCTATTATTTTATATGTAATTGAAGAAATTACCATTAAATACAAACTATTTTCTCATGACAGAAAAAAAGAGACTTAAATATAATAAACTCAAACCCAGTAGTGTATTAGTTATCTTCATTAATTCAATAAGAATGGGGAAACTAAATTTTATAATGAAATACTGTAAGTCGGTAAGTTGCAGGTATAAAATAGTAATTACATTGGTGGGATATCTGGAGAATAGTATGATACTTTGTCTCATATTTTTTCATGATTTTTCAGGGGATTTATTGAAAAAATAGAAGTACTACATTGTAACACCTCCTAGAGTGACTTGCTGATAGTATGTGTTACACTTGATGGAAAAATGAGAGTCAAATGGTAGAATTTCTAGGGAGGAAGAATTTGTAAAATACATGTGAGACCATTCAAAGGAATGTTTCAATTAGAACATGCTCAAATAAGAGACAGTGATTCCCTTGTCTGAGGGACAAGCAGAGGTTGGAGGCCTTTTATTATTAATAGATAACGTTGTAGAGGGAAATTCAAGTTTTGTATAGAGTGTTTGTTAGAATAGACAATTTTTCATATTTAACTTAGTCATATTTCACTTAGTGAATGGATATGGTGACTACACTATAAGGCATGTAGTGAAGTTTTTTGTTCGTTTTATTTCTTGTTCTTATATTTTTAAATATTTAATTGACACATAAAGATGGACTATATTCAAGGTGTACAATGTGGTGACTTGGTATATGTATTCATTGTGTAATGATTACCACAGTCAAATTAATCAACACATCCATCAGCACTCATGCTGTACGTGAGATATCCAGAACTTGTTCATCTTATAACGGAACGTTTTTACTCTTTGAGCAACATCTCCCCATTTCTTCCACATTCCGTCTCCAGCCCCTGACAACCACTGTTCTACTTTCTACTTCTATGTATACAATATTTTTAGTGTTCTTCCTAAGACAGAATTCCTAGAACTATATGAGGATGGAAAAAAATTGTCAAAATAAAATTGAAAATGTGGAAGATTAATTATCCTATGATGCATATAGTTAAAACAATCTCACATGGACACAAACATATACATAAGAACACATACATGTATACATCTATATACACAGACATGTATGTAGATATACGGAATGATCTATGTGTGTATATATACATATCATTAGCAATAAATACAGTGTTTGCTATCAGAGAAATATAATTTTAGTAATTGAAATGCACATATTTTGTCACATTACTATTTTGTAAAGGAAATTTGAAATTCTTATATGCATTATTATATTGTCAGGCAAGAAATAATTCAGCTATGTTAACTGAGCAACCACCTTGAATGCAAATGTTTCTTAAATTTCAGGAGAAAAATATAATAAGTCATGTTTCATTTGATATTTCTAGTAGGCTTACAATTTAAAGGTTGAATTTGGAGAGTCCAAAAAGTCATAAAAAGAGAAGTTAAAAAGACATGCCAAATGCTGAAAGCCAAATCTTTTTTCCATAGTCCTAAAATTTTTGTTGTCTTGTGCTATTTACTTCTCTAAGTACTCACGTTTTAAGATTGCTTAAGAAGCAGGTGAGAAGAACTATATTCTTACAGTTTAGTGTATGACAAATAGTAAGTGTTCAGTGCTAGTTATTATGAGTGATGAACTTGCGTTGTAAATACTGGGTCATGGCATATAGGTTAGTCTGTGATTTCTGTGATTAATCTGTGGACTCAAAGAAGACTACTTATCTTTGTGATTCTAATATATATGTGACTGCTTTTTGAAACCACAAAGGAAAGAAGGAAAATAAAATGAAGAAAAAGTGAATTTTCTAATTTTCTGTCATAATCAGCTTGTATTATACACTTGTGATAGAGCAACATATTTTATCTAAACATATTAACTCTAAACATTAATTTCTCAACTTAAAATATTGATTCTGGATGCATGTGAATGGGATTAAATAATTGAGGGGCTACTAAACTGTTAAAAGAATTATTCTTGGATATAAGATAGGCCTGTTCAATATATGTAGGTTGTACCCTCTAGTGACTACCACATACTCTGTACTTTAAGTAGAGTTGAAATATAAGATGGGTATTTTTTTGGGGGTCAATCTGCACATTCTGGTGACTTCAGTGGTTGAGTATCAAAATATTCTTATTTCAGATGATTAAGAACAAAAGCTCCAGAATTGCATACTATTTTTACACTTTCCAACCAACAGAGGGTGATGGGATGTCCCATATATGCTAGATTTCCAAGCCATAATAGTTCTTGTAGTCAACAATTAAACAATCATTAGAAAACATGGATCACTCGAAAAGTAGGAGTGAAAATACTGTGGTAAAACGTCATCTCAAAGAAAAATAACAGCACACACTTTTAGAACATGTATGGAACAGTTTATAAAGCACTTTCCATATATCACTACATTTAAGCCTAAGAGCAAACCTGAGACAGTAGACAGAGGTGAAATCATTATCTTACCAAAGGGAACCAAATAATTAGTGAAGCTAGATTCAAGATCAATCATTTAAGACATAACTAAACCTATAATCCAGGTGTTTTGGTTTGTAGTTCACATTTTGCCCTCTCATATTGTCTTTCTTCTTACATGACTCTATTATATTGAATTCACACTATCATCAAAGTGCAGGCTCTTTAAGATAGAAATCATCTTAGAAATTATGGGTATAAATGTACATACATGCTCTGAATAAAATTGTGCACTCACATTATCATATAAGTTGGAGACTATGTACACACGAAACTAATATTTAGTAGAGAAATTGGAAAAATGACATTTGATCTGGAGATAATTAATACTTAACTCTTGTCAAATAACACCATATTGAAGCATGGAATAAAAGTATTTATTAGAAATATGTGAAGCTTATTCAGACTTTTAAAAAAATCACGTTTTCTTTAAAAGGCATCTATATATAACTCATGGTAATTCTCAGACCTAAATTCTAGAACTTAAAGTTCCAAAAATAAAATTAATTATCTGAATAGACTATGTAGACATAAAGTTATTGAATTTTAAATAGGAATAAGTTATTTCAGCAAGAATATTTTCTAAAGAAATGATAATTGCAAACTCTATCTCATAAGGCCATTATAAAACTTTTAATGAATGAATTAAAAACAGTTACGAGTGAAAAGAAGTGGGCCGAGAGACTGCTGTAATGTCAAAATTGAACAAGTACTGGTTCTGCTTTGTCTACAGTAGGGCAAATGGAGAACAAAATTCATCAATAATTTCCTGTAGGAATTGCATTATTTTGATAAAATGTGTTCAATATCCACTTCATTATTTTCTGATCTGGTATAAAATTAAACATCACCAGTGAAAGTAAACAAAAATTTAAATCAAACGACTAATGTTATACAGAAAGAAAACCCATAGTGCCTGCTCATCTCAATGTATCCACACCATAAGACAGGGTGAGAAAAAAAATAAAATAAAAAACATAATAATCTCAATGTAATTTTGTAAAGAAACTCACATTTATAGAAGCGATAGTCCATTTTTAAAAGTACCAGAGTATTTTGCTTAAAGAATGGTCAGAACTGTACATCAGAGTCTATATTTTAAATAAAAATGAACACTTGAAAAATGTCAGTGTCAAATGTTTTTTATTAAAAAACATTCAGAAACAAAGCTTCAGATGATGATAATTTTTAATGGCATATGTTCTTGTTTCAAAAGTTTATATATATTATTAAAAAGAACAAGAATATAAACAAGATGATAATGTTAGTGGTGTGTTCATAAAAGTGTTACAGGGTTGATACTAAGTACATGTTTAAAAATGAAAAATTAATTGCTAATTCTTGATATGCATTATACATATTATTTAAACCATCATATAAATCATTATTTTTAAGAAAAATTTCCAAAACCTCCTTTTCCTTTCTTAATATTAACTTTCAGTTACGTTGTTTTGGTACCGGTAGTTTATTAGTCATTTAGTAATTCACTACTCATAGTACTGAGAAATTGAGAGCTGTCTTCTCATTGTCCATGAAAATATGTGTTTCTAGCCACTCACATAATAAAGCATTTTACTACATGTTCATAATTTGTATCAAGTTTAAGTATACTAACATACACTATAAAGTCCCCAAAGATAAAATGACATTAGATTCTTTCAATTAAAAAAAACTAGACTATCTTTCAGTTTCTACTTTAGTTTCTCAATATTTAAAATCCTGCCTTAAATTATAGGGATATAAACTAAAGTTTAAGCATAAAAATGCATAAAAATGGACAAGATATATGAAAAACAGTATTTGCATAAAGCATTATTACTATTAATGCCTATTAAAACATGTTTGATCCTTCAATGAAATGAGTAAGTAATATGTAAATTTTAGGAAAGGTCATGGCCGCTCTAATTCATGCAGCCTTCATGTTTTCCAGGTGGTATATTAAAAAGGTTCAGATGAAACATTCTCTGACCAAAATAAGTCCAGTATCTCCCCAGTTGGATAGAGTAATTAAGAATCTCTGTTTATTTAAATATTCAACTTTTTCTTAACCTTTTCTAGACTATTGACCATGAACTGGCAGTTTATCTTGGGATATATTTTAGTTTACTACCTCCAAAGAAAAACCTTTCTGAATAGAGCCAAGCAAATCAGGGCCCAGAGTTGAGGGTGCGTATCTAAATTTTAGAATTGAAGAGTTATGCCTCACCTTACATGAAAATGCTGAAACCATAGAAGAAAATTTCCATAGAAGAAAATCGACTTATAGTGTGCCCAAACGCTTTGCCTGAAAACCCATTCTTTTTTTATAATTAAATAGCCATATACTACCCTGTAATAGAGCTTTTAAATGACACATTTTTTTCCGATAGGATTTTTTTTTTTGCTTTCCTTAAATTCTTGTGAAAAAGAAGCTTGCTATAGATATTGATGCAAACTTCTCCAGTCCTCCCCCTCCTGCTAAGATGCTGCCATTGCATTAATACGATAGGTCAATCATTTGATGGGCATCATGACTTTAAAAAAAATTCCCACACTCAGATGGCTGTCAGTGGTGGTGCCAGTGAACCGTTATGCAAAGCCCCCAAACACTTTGTAAACTCGAATCTTTGAGCACAATAGTAAAGTTCAGTTCTGGAAAAAGATAGTGTACTGAATACACAATACCGAGCTTTGTCTGTTCGGGGCTTCTGTTGAGGGAGAAGGTTACTTAATCTCCACATTTGCCCTGGGGATTCTAACAGTTTTAATGTGTCCTTTTTGAGATTCTGTGAACTGTAGAATATATGCTGGTAACAACTTTCTTTGGGGCTTTCCTCGGAAAAGCCCAAAGCTGCCAACACAAGAAAGCTGACATAGTGGTGCTAACAAACACAATAGAGACCTTTAGCTGTTTTTGCAAACTGCCTGGCTAAAGTTTCATGTCATGTCTTGATGAAGGATCTCATTCTTTGGCTCATTTCGTAGAATCTAGCTTTTGTGACAGTTTGGAAAGGATGGCTTCTTCATCAATTTGGGAAAGTATAGGAAAATTTGATGCAACGTCAAGAAAATTTATAATACTTAAAGGATTAAATGATATAATTAACAATAGTGACATTTAATGCTATATTACCATTTGCCTACATTGGTCTTTTAGCCAAGACTATTTTTAGAGTCTATTAATATCATTTTCTTAAATGGGATGTTTTGGTGAAATGGCAATATTATTTTTCTATTATCATTCACTATTAGAAATATACAAAAGAAAATATTACCTAGAAAGCTAACTTTAAAGTGTCCTTATAAATTCAAAGACTTTTAAGCAATTGTAATTATTACTTAACCATTTGGAAAATGATGTATTTCATTCAAATGTATACTTCTAAGATGCTAAAAAGAAATTCCATAGCTAGAAGAAATAACTGTTCTAACTGTATAAACAGCAATCCTATTCCTGGCTTGACTAAATTTACATGAGTCAATCCATCTATATACTGGAAATTTGCCATCCAGAAAAGTCATATATTGTCTATACTTATTATGCATTTATGATACTCATTAAAGGTTGAGCAAATCATATATATGTGTGTGTGCAAAGTAGAAATTTTAAGAGGGAAGTAAAGATGCATTTTTACAAGCATAACACCTAATAAATCTCATAATATTGGATGCATTATAAGTTCAATATATGATAATCACCACATAGATGAAAATGAATTTTCTTAAAATAAGAAAATAAATATTTACAAGAGTGTGGATTAATGAAGTGAGATAGAAGAGACCAAATGTAGAAATGTTCATAGTGGATAAGGGAAAATGCTCCAGAGCCTCAAGTGTGGTTCAAAATCCCAAATTCCAGTTCATACTGGGGAGAAATCCCAGTTAGTTGTCTCTATGCCTGCCCCACCCAGTGTCTTACTATGTTACCCTCAAATCTCTCCCCAACACCTTCTCACTCCCATGCCTCTTGGCTCACTGTGTACTCACTTGTATGGTATGGAGAGAGGCAGGTTGAACCTCACTTGTATGGTATGGAGAGAGGCAGGTTGATGGTGTGGAGAGAGGCAGGTTGATGGTGTGGAGGGAGGCAGGTTGAACTTATTTTTAGCTCCCTAGGAACGAAACTGTCCTTATCTCAGATAGTATATTGATCTGCTATCATGCAGTTGATTTCTAATGAGGCCTTTAGGAACGCCTTATACACAAATTGGGAAATGGCTCTAGTTTACTCTGAGTGACTAAAGAAATATTTATTTGTAAATTAGCAGGGTGTGGTGGTGCATGCCTGTAGTCCCAGCTAGTCGGGAGGCTGAGGTGAGAGAATCACTTGGGCCAAAGAGGTTGAAGCTGCAGGAGCTGAGACCATGCCGCTGCACTTCAACCTGAGCCACAGAGTGAGACTCTGTCTCAAACAAACAAACAAAAGTATATTTGCGAAGAGTTACCAGGAAAGAGTTGATAATGGACATGAAGAAAAAAACAAAAGGGTTTCAGATATCTAGCTCTTAGGCAGGAAATAAAAATGTTAGAGGGGAAAATATTAAATATTTTGATATTATTTTCAAATGTAGTGGTTTGTGAAGATATTTGAAAATAATTCATTGTTGTGCTATATATAGATACCTATTTGTCTATCTATCTGATGGTAAAATCCACATTTATCTATTTATAACCTATCATGTTTTCCTACTTGGGAATTGCAAATAAACTGGCTGGAAAGCAGTTTATGTTTGAAATAATAACAAACCAGGGCCAAACAGAAATAAACATTCAACCACAATATTTTTAGCAGTATGCTCAAAATTTTATTCTTAACTGAAATATTTGTCACTGGGAAATGGTAGGAAACTGTCGTCCTATCCAAGTTAACCTTAGCCCTTGAATTTCTTCTACGTTGGCCAATCAAGGGCAAAGTAATCTACTGTAAATGAAAAGAAGACTTCAACTGTGAACTGAAGTACTTTTTAATTGAGAAGTATTACCCTATTCTATGCTAAAAGACAATTCTCTCAGGGTTCTTATCTAGAGTGGCAGATATCTTCGGAGAAAATCTACTAAACAAAGATTTTCATGAAGGGAATTTCAATTATGGTTCTGAACCAAACTTCTTCCAGAAAAGTATTTTGTTGCCATAAGTCACTCCTTAGCTTATTCTAGTCTCAACATTAGTCTGTAGAATTACAGTGTTTTTCACCTTGAAAGCTTGAGATTTAAGCCACGATTAATTTTATTGTACTGCCTGACTCTGGAAGAAAAACAGAATGCCTTTAACATTTCTAGATTATAAAGTCATCTAGTTTATTGCCTGCAAGCATAGTTTAGACAGTTGCTAGATTTGAATTCTGACTTTATCAATTTAGTTTTTTTCTGTGTGTGGCAATAGGCAAGTCATTTAATCTTAAGTTTTCTCATCTGTTTAAAGAGGATAATAAAGGCCGGCGGTGGCTCACGCCTGTAATCCCAGCACTTCGGGAGGCTGAGGTGGGCGGATCACCTGAGGTCAGGAGTTCGAGATCAGCCTGACCAACATGGAGAAACCCCGTCTCTACTAAAAATACAAAATTAGCCGGGCTTGGTGGCACATGCCTGTAATCCCCGCTACTCAGGAGGCTGAGGCAGGAGAATAGCATGAACCCAGGAGGCAGAGGTTGCAGTGAGCCGAGATCGCCCATTGCACTCCAGCCTGGGCAACAAGAGCGAAACTCCATCTCAAAAAAAGAGAATAATAAAACAGATCGGATTGTTGTGAATGTAAACATTAGCTAAAATTTAGTGAGTGTTTTCTATTGCCAGGAATTTCCTCAAATGCTTTTTATATATTCTCACAACAAATGTATTTACATGCTCTATTATTATCGTTTAGCTATATTAAATAATTTGTCAAAATTCACATGATTATTAAATTGTGGAATTGAATCTTGGGTCCAAGAATTTGATTTCCAGAATCCACGCTCTTACCCACTACATCAGAGATTCTGCAGAAGAAAACATGTTCAGGTCCCAAGACAGTGTCCAGCACACAAGAGGATTCAGTAAAATTTAGTTATTGAGATTCTGATCAGAAAGGTGTAAAAAATCTGAAATCTTGCTGAGATGAGATAGAAAATTTATTTTCTAATAAGAGAAAAAAGTCAATGTTGAAAAATATAAAATTATAAATTAATTTAAACAATATAAAACTGTACATAGCATAAAAATATTGATTTATTTATAGCAAGCAATATTAGTTACTAACATTTTTATATCTCTACTTAGAAACATGATTTCAAGACATATATTTTTGCACAAAATGAAGAGACACTGTTTGAGAAATGTACCTTTGGAGAGTTTTTTAATAACATAGTACTAACAAAAGCATAAACACTAGTAATTTAATAAAACCTTCCAAAATTCAATATCCTATTAGTTGTATATTTGAACAAAGTGAGCCCTTAAATCACTGATATAATTTGAGGGCTTAGAATTAAACAATTTCTTTACTTATTTAATTTTAGTTATTCTGGACACTTCTGTTTAAGGCATTTGCCCTGATGTCATCATTGCAAGCTATCCTAATCCACAAAAATTTAGAAACACTAACATGTGTGATTGGAACATGTTGAGTCATGTTGATTTAATTTTTGTTATTTGGGCATAGTTAACTGTCAGTTTCCCTTGACTTCATGAAAGAGACCTGATTGAAGATGCAGTTTAAAGGGCGGATAGGCAAGGTTAGGCATGAGAAAACATTTTTCTTCTTTCTGGGCAAGTAGAATCAAAATGAGAGAACAGGGAGGAGCTCCTGATAAAGTGCTGCTGTACATAAGAGAGTGATGAGCTTGTGGGGCCTGTCACTGCCACAATTTTTGTGTCAATAGCACTAAAACAGTGGATAGCACCTTTTCCTTCATTCAGAGAATGATGGCAATTCTACTTTTGTGTCTAGGAAGTAGCAAAATATGATAGTTTTAATCAGATGGAAGAAGACAAGAGAAACTCTGCTTAGTCAAGTGCTAAGGAAGTGTGTTTAAAGATAAAAGTTTAGATCTCCTGTAGTCTAGCCTCAGGACGTAACTTCATTACTATAAATTTCAGCAAATTGATTAATTAATCTTAAGGGAATTAAGTATATATTCTCTATAAGCAAAGCCATGTCTATAATTTTAACCAATGTGATAAAGAAGAAAACCTTAATAACTTCTCTGTTTGTTAATGTATTATTATTACAAACAGCTGATAAGAGCCTATTAACGGCCAGCTAATGCGATAGACATTGAAAGTAAAAAGATCAATAGAATACCTCTGTAAACATTTAGTGGCTCACAATTAGGTAATTAACAAATGGAGTTTTTTTTTTTTTAGGTGTTATGTGGAATTTTATCTAGGTACAGAGGACAATAATATTGTATCCAAAGAAGTCCCTCAAAAGCTTCCGTGTAGTAAAGAATTAAAGGTAGTAATGCTAATGTGGGCAACCAGATGGGGAGGTGACCATACCACAGTTCTGCAAGATAAAGGTTTTATTCAGTTAAAAATCTCTTTCATGTAAAAAAAAAAGAAATGTTAAATATTTAAAAGCTCTTGTCTTTTTAAAAAGTTTAACACACTGGCATAATGAATGTACACGAGTGTACAATTATATTAAAACCAGCTGTTTGATGATTACTAGAGTATATATTTTGCATTTCTACTCCAGTACAATAAGTAGATTAAGCTGACCTTACACAAAAAGCTTGACAATTGGTACAAGACATATCACATTATCTATAAGAATACCTGAGAAAAGATAAGCTGCCCAGACAGCTGAAGAAAATGTGCTCCTTACACAGCTTTATGTGCAAACTACAGGGTCTCCACAAGAGGGCGATCATTAGGAAATGCAGCGATATTTTCCCGCATGTCAGTGAAAAACAGTATGCAGACACCTCAATTCTATAGAATCAGACTCCCCCGCTCCCCTGCCCTGCCCCGCTTACTAATATATATTCTACGGAAGAGACAATCTTTTATTTTTTTTACTAATATATCAAAACATATTTAAGGATGAATTATTATGCAATAATCAACAATGTTATGTAATTATGGATATTTATAAAACTCCTTTATGAGGTCTTAATTTTCTCTACCTTTTATAGGAGCATTTTGGGAAATGGTGTCCTAACATATTTTCTATAGGTTTGCAAGAATTTAAAGAGAAATGTGATGAATAGTTCACTAAATTAAGGAACATTTTGATATGTACCTTTAATAATTACTGCAGCTGCTAGTGATGTTATTAAAAATTATAAAAATAATCATATTTAATTAATATGCAATATTTTTATTGAAAAGTGTAGTTAGTAATTTTGAGTAACAGAAGACAGGATGCATATTAAAACATAGAGGGAATTCCAGGCATTTGTTTGCATCAGAACTTAGATACACAACTCTAGAAAAACTGAAAAATAAATTAAAAAACAGTCAAAGGATTTTCCTTAATTTTAAGCATAAGCCTTTCATTTTAGAAATTATAATGTCTTGATATAAACCTAAAGTGCATCGACTTAATATAAATAGCACTGTTTCTAGATTATTTCCCGTTCATTATTTCAAAATTGTTAAAATTTCTTAATGAAATAGAGGCAGGTTTCCAAACCTTTAATGATGTGATTAGTAAAAGATGATACTCCTAACCAATTTTTCTTTCTCTCAAATAAAGTGACATGAATTACTTCAGTATCCTTCTTTTCCAGCTTCTTTCTCTTCCTTCCTTCCTTCCTTTCCTTCCTTCCTTCTTTCCTTCCTTCTTCCTTCCTTCATTTCTTTGTTCCTTCCTTCTTTTCTTCCCCGCTTTCTCTCTCCATCCCTGCTTTCCTTATTTCTTCCTTCCCCCACCTTGTTTCTTTTCTCTAATTATCAAGTAGAAATGGATGCTAAGCTAAGCTTGTGATTTTTGAAATTTGAAAGACTAATAATAATAAAATAAGGAGTGAATCAAGGAAAAATTTAGAAAAAAAGTCTTTTGTTGGAGAAACAAAAGGTGTAATAAAGACAACTTGAGTAGCCTAACTCATGTTAATCTACCCCAAACAATATTGATAACTGTTTATCAAGTGCTGATATACTGCTGAAACACGTCTTTCTAAAGACTTGTTAATTAAGTGGACATTTTTGTGATTTCCTGGTACCAAGGGTATCCCAATTTACATATGATTAAAACTTATTTACTTCGATTGTTGGTGGGAGTTCAACAATTTTGGAAAGGAAAAAGGTTCTTTCTGTCGCCTTCTGTCATGGTGAACAATAGCATCACAATACTAAACTCAACTAGTGTTGATGACGGTTGTGTTCAATTTCACAGTAAATTTGATCTGTTTCTCATGGGGCAAGACTTTAATTCTGCTGATTATTCGATATGGGAAAGCACTCTGTCACTATAATATCTGCTATGTGATCCATGTATAACAGAATGACTTCTAAATTGATTTAGAATTATTCATTATAAACATCCACTATCTTGTTAAACTGGATGGATTAATTTTACTCATAAAAGTGATGTAGCGTTTATGCTACTGTCCAGGCTACTTTGCCTGTAACTCTGGTGAGAGAAAATATCAGAATGTAGAATGATTTAAAGCTTGTTTTATTTAGTAAGCCATGTAGAAGTTAAATTGTAGTTCTTCGAGTCACATTTTCCAAAATATACAAAGTCTTAACAATGTTGTAAAAATATGCAAGTTTAAATTGTATATACCGGATTGTTATATTTAATTACTTTGAAAATAAACACAGTGAGCACATTGTAAAGAGAGTAACAGGAAAGGTAAGAAGCACATCTTTAACTCTGATTAACTTTCTTTACTTAACAACAAAAGGATCTTTCTTTCACCAACAGGGGAACACTCAGTATTCTAAGTAAGACTAGTGATATTTAATGGCTATAAATTTTAACATCCTTTCTTTGTGAAGAAGAATTATCTGGCTTGTAATTAATAATAACCAAATGTTAACAAAAGCTAATTATCTCTAAGCTTATTTTGGGAATGCTTATGATAGGAAACTATTATTTTGATTCCATTAGATCACTGTGTGTGTGCATGTATTTGTGTTTTGCAATGACATATTTTACCCATATTTTAATAAACCTTATGGGAACAAAATTGAGAAGTTAATTTGGCAATATTGGGAAAAACTAGAGTAAAATAATTAAATGTACAGTTGGATACAAATGATAGGATGACTCATTTGTTTTCCAAAATAAAATTCTAGAAAACTTGTATTCCTCGCTTTTAGTAAAGTCATTTTTATTTTTAACATACTTAGTTTCTTTCATAAAAGGCAAAATGTATTAATTCCCAGTTAACAAAAGAAAATACATCTCATAATGAAGAAATCTACAACCTTATCTGAATTTCCTTATACATTTTGAGAAATTATTATTTAAATCATATACCTCAGGTTATTCATATAGAAAATGCAACCAATAGAGAAAAGTATAAGATACAAAGTTGTCACTTAGAATTCCTAACCCCAGTGGTCCCCATTGTTAGCATTAGATGAACAAGTACTAACCTTGCTTTTATTTTTCCTCTAAAAATTGGCACTTTCCAGGTCAATGACTAAAAATAAACGTCATCATTTTTAATAGCCGACTAGTCAATTTTATTGATATGCCATTATTTATTTAACTAACTTTACACTTACAGAAATTTAGTTTGTTTCTAGTTTGTCACTATTACAAACAACGTTTTAATGAACAATATTGTACATTTGTTCACTGAATTATCATGCTGTTGAGATTAAGTTCTAGAAACAAAATTTGCTGAATCAAAGAGAACACACATTTCATAACTTGATAATTATCAGCCTGTTTACCTAAAAATTGTCTCCAATACATACTCTCACTAACAGTTACCACATTCTCAGGAAGATTACATACTATAATTCACAGAAAAATTTTCCAATCTAGAAGATAAGAATATTCATGATTGTATTTATTCTCATTTATTTGGTTGTGAAATAGATGAACGCATTTGCATGTGTTTGCTTGATACATTTGCTTTTCATAAATTTTCTGTTCCAATCATCTGCCTATTTTTCTATTGGCGTTGTGTATTCTTTTTCTAGTCAATTTACGACAGTTGTTTGCATTTTGGAGAAATAAACATTGATATATATCATCCAGTTATTCTTTCTTTTTTTTTTTTTTTTTTAAGACGGAGTCTTCCTCTGTTGCCCAGGCTGGAGTGCAGTGGTGCAATCTTGGCTCACTGCAACCTCCATCTCCCAGGTTCGAGCAATTCTCCTGCCTCAGCCTCCTGAGTAGCTAGGACTACAGGCATGCACCACCATGCCCAGCTAATTTTTCTATTTTCAGTAGAGACGGGGTTTCAGCATATTGGCCAGGCTGGTCTCGAACTCCTGACCTCGTGATCCACCCGCCTCAGCCTCCCAAAGTGCTGGGATTACAGGCATGAGCCACCGCTCCTGGCCCATTTATTCATTTTTTTAAAACAGGTTGTTTTTACGTGGAAAGGCAAGCCAATTAATCTTTCTATTTATTTGTTTTTGGCTATAAATCATAATTAGAAAGACCTTCATGTCTTAAATAGTGTCTAAAATACATCATGCAAGATTCTTCCATTACTTTTGTTGTTTTAGAAGTGAACTTCCTTTCCCTTCCCTTCCCTCCTCTTCCATTCCCTCCCCTCCCCTCCCCCCGCTTCCCTCCTGTTCCTTTCCCTTCCCTTTCTTTTGTTTTTTGATGTAAGAACTGTGACAGAAATTCCAGTATAATTTTTGTTCCTCAAATTGCAGTATGTGTTTGCAGTTAAAAGTTTGGGCTTTGGATGCAGATATACTTCAGTTCAAATCTTGGTTCTATCACTTGTTACTACCTCTATGAGTTTGGGCCTAACCTCTCTATACCTCTATTTTCTTATCGGTAAAATGAGCCTAATGTGTATAATACCTAGTTCACATGGTTGTTGAGATTGTTGAATAAAGCACAGTGACTGGCACATTGTAAGCACTCAGTAAATGATGATTCCAGTCATCACTGATAGTATTGGGAGCCATTTAACAAAAAGTCTTTTTTTCTCATTGATTCATAATATTAGCTTTATCATGTTTAAATTCTGCTTTACATTTCTTTTTATTTCTAGATTATAGTATGTTTTATTTTTCTATTTGTCTATTATAATAAGAATAATCATAGTTTTAATAGATAGTTTTATGCTAAGTTTAGATTTCAGAAAGAGTGCGTTCTCTTTTATGCTTTCAGAAATTATCTGGAATTTGGAATTTAAATCAGCTGCAGGTCTTCAGATTTCGAGTACAGTATGCCGTTACATAACACCTCCACTTACTCATCTCTGTTCATTCTTCAGTAACATAACCCCCAACAAAATTTTGCTGGGAAAAAATGCATACTTTTCAGGGAAAATACACAGTTCAATATAACTTTTTAAAAAATTGTGAAAACATCAAAATGTAGATGAATCAAGTTTTAATATACTGTATGATGGGTGGATGAGACTGTCCATTGCACTATTTGTTTGAATTTTCAGGCATGGTTTGGCAGTGCAAGAACTCTGTAACATTAACAAATTCAATAAAAAGTAAATATATGGAGAAAAAAAAGAAATGATCTGTACGTTAGTCTTGCATTACATTCTAGATAAAGTATAAAATAATTCCATCAGATCTTACTACCTTCATTCCTTAAACACATACAGTAAGTGTAGTAAATGTTCCAGACAATATTCTAGGTGTGGGAAATAGGCCAAAAAGTAAAACAAGCAAAAATTCCTACTTTTATGATGCTCGAATTTTAATAGGGAGACAGAAACAAGCGAAAGAAAAATAGTATGCTATACAGTGATAAGGACTATGGAAAAAACAAAGTAGGGAAAGAGTAGCTTGCATTTTAATTAGACCTTACTTAGAGCGCGACATTTCGGCTAAGACCTGGCAAACTTGAGGGAACAAACCATGTGAGTTTGTGGGAAGAACATTCTGGGAAAATGCAACTGTGAGTGCTGAGGACCCCAGAAGAGAACATGACTGGAGTGTTGGAGGGACGTTAGGAATTTCACTGTGAAGAAAACCAAGGGTAAAAATAATAGTAGAAGAGATCAAATGATAGAGTAGAATAGGTCAGGTCCACCTCAGGTATCAGAGGGTAAGTAAACTGAGAAGGCATTGGAGAGTTCTGGGCAAAGTGATGTAATCTGATTTAAGATGAAAGGGCTCAGCTTGTTTGCTTGGTTGAGAATAGACTGTAGGGGGCAAATGCCAATAGAGGTAGAATAATTAAAAGTGAATTGCAATCACCTACATGAGAGATGACAACGATGGCTTGAATCAGTGAGGCAGAGACGGGAAACATAGTTGGATTGTTAATACACGTATTTGAAGGTAGAGCCAACAGGACTTGCTTTCAGATGGGATGTAGGGAGAGTGAAAGATATTTGAATCAACAACGATTTCAGAGATCTTGTCCCGAAGATCGCAAAAGCTGGGTTGCCATTTAATGAGACGGAGGAACACTCAGAAGAACAGGCTAATTGAGAAACAGAAGTTCAGAAAGTTTTTTTACTAGATGTTTAATTTTGAGAAGCCTTAGATGTCTAAAAAGGCTATGCTGGTCTGTATTTAAGTGATGTTGGATATACTGGTCTGTGTTTAAGTGAAGAAGTCTAGGAAAAAGATATAAAATTGAGAATTGCCAGACAGAGATGTCATTGAAGGAATTAGTCTTTGTTATTTGAATAAATAAAATTTCATTTCTGAAGTGTCAGAGGATTTTGCAACTATCTTATGCTATGAATTTCTATCCAACTCCATTTAAACCTTTTTCTCCTCAATTCCTTCCATTTAAATTCCTTTCGTTATAATAACGGTAGCCACAATTACATAGCAATAGCTATATGTCAAGGATAGAGAAGTTGAGAAAATTATGAAAAGATATGCAGGAAGTCAATATTGTTTGGCTGTGGGAGGTAGTAATGGAGAAGCAGAAATCAATTATCAGTGACTACCCAGGATATTTGAAACCCAGAGTCAATCATTTTTTGACCTCATTCTCCTCTATCTGACCAGATTATCTTATGTCATAATTAGAATAATCAGTAATTATCATTATTTTCTTGATTCATTCTTTAGCTGTAAAACAAAATTTAACAATTAAAAAGAATTAATTTCAAATTTAAGATGTTAAATTCAATAAATATTTTGTGTGTAAACTAACATTTGCTTTTACCAAACAAAGTTACATGTTACAGTTAATTTTCTTTTGCTGTTTTGAATTTTACATACACACATGTGTACTAATACATGCATTCACACAGACTGAGAACTGAGTCCACTGAGCTTCTGTTTTTTGCCTTTTTGGTCAACATGGTATCAGTGGCCTAAATCTATGCTTAAATGTAAGAATATGGGGTAACACCAGGTTTGGAATGACAAGTTTCATTGTAAGAGAGCTTCAGTGATTCTGAACTTTAAGAGTTTACTGTGGAACTGAATGTGTGTCACTGGGTCCACATGGCTTAGTATAACTAATAGCTGGTTGTATAACTTGGGAGTTCCTTGAGTTAATTTTCATATAAAACACACTGTTTACTAAAATGTAAGTTAAAAATATGTGCTGATTTGAAGATTTTATTAGGGCTTGTCAATAAGCACAATTATCTACAACTTACACCAACAAAAGATTATTTAGAAGAAAATATTATAGCATTGACAGTACATGACGAAAACAAAAGCAGACTAAATTTTAAATTGATTTTATCATTATTTAAAAAAATTAAAGATGCTGTATCTCCTTATTGCTTACCCTCAGGACAGATACTCCTACTACCATGCCCTTAATATATCATTGTCAGGATGACATCCCTGGTTATGTTCTAGGCAGTTGTTTTTAAGACAGTATCACTTTAATAAAATATAGAATACAGAATATTTCACTAAATGAAATATAGAATACAGAAGTTGTACCCATTAATGGGTACATTAATGAATTCTGCTCATTTAACATGCTCCCCAGATGAACTCAATGCACAGTAAAGTCTTGAGATCCACCAGATTTAAGAAGTGGACAGAAAAGAACAAAGCAGAGATGGAAGGATCAGAGAAACAGGGGGAGAGCTAGAAGAATCCTAAGGGGAATGACCCTACTTCCTGTGCCCTTGAAATTAGAGTTGACTCTGATTTCTGCCTACTAAAATGTAAATGAAAGAGAGATGGGTCACTTTTGGGCAGTAGCTTCAAGGGCACCATATGTGTAACCAAATTCTCTTTTCCCTTTGCCATAATGAAAGGTAATAAAACTCAAAGAGGTTATTCTATTAGCCTGGAGCCTGGAGTGCAAAGATGTTGAGAAGAACCAAGATTACGTAAGTAAGAAATAAACAATCCTGTTATAAGCTAAAGAGTTATGGGAGTTGCTTATTACAGCAGTATGACCGAACATCTTCTGATATGTCTAAATTATTTTAAGAAGCATAGAGTAAGAAAAAACTTAAAATGTTGAATAAAGATCAAATAAGGTAAGGAAGATAGAAGAATGTCTAATGAATTTATCAGTGAGAAGGTCAATGGTTCACTAACAAGAACAGTTTCAGCAGAGTGGTGAGAGTATAAGTCAGAAAGATTAATTATCCTGCAAATCATAAGTACTGCATGGACATCCTTTGATATGCAAACAGAAAAGGACCTCCAGGTCTCATCTTTTTCACTGCACATGGCAGGTCAAATTAGAAGTCTATGAATTTGAATTATCAAGCTTCATCTTCCAATGAAGATTAAAAAATAATGAGATTGCCGAAGGCATTACTTAAATGCTCAAGGATAAGTAGTCAGGTTTTATTTTTTTCAACTTTATGAAGAATATTTAGTTTTAAATACTAATGTTCTTTAAAAATATTTATCTCTGAATTTGTTAAACTATGAAACAAATTATGAAAACCACAAACTATGAAAACTCTGACTTTTGTGAGGGGGTGTGGCTGAGGGATTCTAGACTTGGGAAATATGATGACATGAGCATTGCTGAGGGATCCCCAAGTTACTCTTTTTGAAATGAGGAGCCATAGAGAAGTCTCTCTTCCTCCCTCCCTCCCTCCCTCTCTCCCTTCCTTCCCCTCACCCTTCCTTCCCTCCCTTCCCCTCCCTCCCTCTCTCCCTCTCTCCCTCCTCTCTCCCTCCTTCCTTTCTTCCTTCCTTCCACAATTATGAAGTACCTACTATGACTACCATGAATCAGACATCCTGAGATGCACTGAGGTATTCAATGGAGAATGATCATAAGCACTCCCTCAACCTTCATAGGGCTCACAGGCAAGTGAATTTCATTGAAAATTAATACTAACATTTTAAAGTTCAAAGTGCAAAATTTCAATATGTCTTCTATTTTCTACATGTGATCATTTAAATAGGTATGCAAATTTTTTGATATTCCTTCATTCAAGAGGTGTTGCTCAATTTTCTCCCCCTTGAGTGGGAGTTGAAGTAGTGACATATTTCTTACAAATAAAATACAGAGGAAATGATCATATGTGACTTTAGAGACTACTTGGATTAAAAGACATTGTAGCTTCTTGCTTTATCTCTCTTGGATTATTCACACTGGGGAAAGCTGGCTGCCATGTTGCAAAGGTACTCCTGCAGTCCTATGGAGATTTCCATGTTTCAAAAAACTGAGACGACCAGCCACTGGTGACTAGCTATGTGAGTGAGTCTTCCTGGAAGATGAACCTCCAGCTTGAGCCAAGCCACCAGGTGATTGAAGCCCCTACTGACTTTTTTACTGCAATCTCAGGTAAAACCCTGGGCTAGAACCATCTTGCTAAGTTACTCCTGGATTCTTTACCTTTGGAGACTATGTAAGATAATAAATAATTGTTGTTTTAAGCTGCTAAATTTGGGGTTAATTTTTTGCACAGCAATAGAAAACTAATGTACTTCTGTTGTACAAGATGAGTTCTCTCTCTTACTTTTTTTTCTGTCTTGCACAAACACTGTATTAATACCCACACAGCATAATTAAATCCCCATTATTCCAAAAATACCACATTTTTTCACTTTATGTGACTCTTGGAGGTTTCCCTAATTAATGCATGTAGATGTGCCTCATTTTTTTAAATATCTGCACAGTATTAGGCATAAACTGGAAATATACTTTGTGAATGTACCATGTTTTATTCAGTAGTTGTTAACCATTTATCTTAGGCATACTTTCTGTTTTTGTTTTCTTTTATTATTTCCAAAAATATTATAGTGAACATTCATGTATAAATATATTTACACACTTGGATAATGCATCTGTAGTATGAATCCTTAAAAGAAGGAATTTTAGGTCAAAGTTGTATTCATTTTATATTTGGATAAATAATGCAATGTTCTTGTCCAAAGAGGCTCTGTTAATTTACACTCAAGCAGCAATGTAGAAGATCCTATTTTGCCACACCTTTATTAAGATGCCGTCATTTCCCTTCAAATCTAAACTGTGCATCTGCTTCTGATTTATGTAGGCATATGGTCTTAGATTTGAGTAGATAATCTCAGAAGATCTCTAGATTTCTTTAGAATGTAGAAAATACAAGTTTTACCAAAAGTAAATAAATAGAGATGACAAGAAATTTATATGCAGGTTTGATAACGATTAGGTATAGTCTGAAAAACATATATGAATATGCATTTCAACTGTGCTCCCCTTCATGATTTTACCCAAATATGTAATCTGGTGGAATAACTCAGCATGTAACCTTAGTATTCTAACAAAAGAATTACAACTCTCATTTCAGGCAAACTGAAGGTTTTGGGGAAGGTAAACATGGACTCCATAGGAAGACTAGGCAATAATATGTGTGTGTGTGTATGTGCATGTATACACATAGGAAGACTAGACAATCATATATGTGTATATATATGTGTGTATACGTACACACATATTTATATATGTATATATACATATATAAATATGTATATATGTGTGTGTGTGTATGTATATGTATATGTATATGTCCAAAGAAGTTGGAAAACAGCAAGGGAGCTGTCTTACCCTGGAGTAAGAAAGGAGCATCTTTTGCAGACAAAAGAGACTAAAAAAACCACTCAATAAAAGGATTGAGTTTGACATTGTAAAATGCAAAGGACTTAGGCAGAGCAATAGTAAGTTTGGCAGGAGGCATAGAATTTTGACTGCTTACTTCCCTTATTTCTTTTCAAAATACAATGGTTAGATATGGAAATACTTTATTTTAGTTTTAAAAATGAAGGTCAATTTCTCATTATTAGCCTTAAAACAATCTTAATTAACAAATCTTCCCCTAAATAGCTGAAATATGGATGTAAATAGACACAGCGAATACTAAAAGCATGGCATAAGGTAGAAATCTGCTGTCAGAGTCTACACATGGAACCACTTGTGAACATATATTGTATACAAACATATTTCATACGAATTTCAAAAAGTGAAGCAAACTTTCAAGTAGATTATTTCTAAATTACTGATTTACTTTTAGAGACAAGCTTTGCATTTGTAAATTATAGGCATTATCTGAGTCAAAATCTACATTCTTTATGAATTTTTAACTTCAAAAACTGTTGTTCTGATTCAGAAAATAGAATTAGAATGCTGGGTTTTTCAATGAAAGGTGGAAGTGTGCTTTGTTTCAAGTAATATAATTCATGTGTTCATTGAAAACAAAATAAGAAAGTCTGAACTCATTACTGATTTGAAATGATTGTGTGATATGTGGTGTTTTGTGTATGGAAAACTAAATTTATTTGCACTTGCATTTTTTTGTATTATATAATCAAATTGGCTTTATGTCAAGTCAGTTCAAAACTACATTTCAGAGATAAAAGACTAGCACATTAATCCACTAAGAATCAAGAAGTGAATGAATGTTTTCAGTGTTTTTAAAAAATGTATTGCCTGAAACCTGTGGAAAAAAAGCATCATTAAGCAAGAATGTACCTTTAAATCTACTTCTAATTCATTTTAAGAAATTTTCTTTCTCATATCCTTCTAAATCCTAATATTCTATTATATATGTTATTTTATAACCACCACTTTTAGAAGAGATAAATTACCTACATGCAGTTTTTTTTTAATCCTGTTCAACCTGTGGAAAAAGAATAGTTCTAATCTCCTAGAGATTATATAAAATAATTTTTCCTGATTTATATATGAATTCTAAATCAAGCATGATATATGAATTTGTACACTATCCAGAAAGCAGACACCAGTTTCTTTCCCTCAGTATACTTATAAGAGTTACTCATCATAGAGAAGTGAAGACAAGAAAGTTAGAAAAAAAGTGGTTTGATGACTGAGAACCAAAAAAGAATGCCTGTTCATTCTCGTATTCTTTTGTGTCTACACAGATGAGATTTATAGGCTGAGGAATGACCCATATGTCTGCTCACTTTCCAATTGTACACACTGTTATCATTGTGGACAGATCAATATGTAAATTGCTTACTTTTCTTTGTCCTTATGTTTAACTGGGGTTCCTGATGTGGCTTTACTAGAGACAGTAATCCTCATGCAGAATTTTAATAGCTAGACAGTAGTCTTGTATTCTAGAAGGAATTTTAGGAGCAATATGTCCAATCCTGGGTTCTCATTGCCATTGTCTTGCTGTGACCACACTGATGACATGATGTATTAGGCATGCTGAAAAAAGAACCATGATATTGACATATGGGAGGAATATTCTCAGGGGCTGTCTGTCTCAGTGTAGATTATTTACCCTTAAAGCAAAACACACATGGTTCTGGCCTATGCCTGTTAAGCATTTACTGAATCTAGATGACAAAGGTTACACCCAATGGGAATAAACTTCTAAACTATGTAGCATGACTATATATAAGAAACAGATGAAATATTTTATGTAGTCTTAAAAATAGATTATACAGTGTTTCACATAGTTGTTAATACACAGTAAACCAGAAAAAGAGTACATTTCAAAGAATACCTTTCTCTTTAGAAGGCCATAGAAGAGGCTTTTTTTGGCTTCTTTTAGAATTAACTAATTAATTTTTTCAGATTTATTTCTGTATCATACTTTTTCATATTGTCACTGTCGAAGATGGCCGACAGATGAATGAAGATGAACAAAAGGTCTGGTCTTACAATTTTCTGCCTCCATAAACGTTTCCTAACAATCACTATGAAATTTCCCATTGATAATGGGTGATCAATGTATTATATTTTCTCTCCATAGATGATTATGCAACCCAGGAAAAGAATGAAAAAAATTCCTTATAGTATGTGACTAATTTTTTTATATGACAAAAAGAAAACTCAGATATTCAAAAATTCTTGTTTTCTCTTCTAAGCCCTAATCTTTTTCATAACTGAACTTTAAAAAATATTACTTGACATTTTTATTAAAAATGGAAAGGAAACATACTTTTTCTGCCTCTAGATTGGCTTGCTTTTTCAAAACACACTTGTATTTTTTTAACAGAAAATCCTATCAAATAATTAAAGCACTCAGCACCAAACACTGTGCTTACATATTGGGCACACAAAAAATGAATAATACTTAACTATCCCAGAGGTGCAAACAGTCTAGGAAATGGGAAGGAGACAGATAGATAAATTAACAATTACTTGATGTGTAGTATAAACAAGAACCACCTAAGTGCCAGTAGAAGACAAAATAAGACCTTTTGGAGCAAGTCAGGTCAAGCCTCAGAAGAGGTGACACTGAGATAGACTTGAAGGTAAGGGCCATTTTTGAGAAGCAACCAGAGGACAAAAAGGATGGAAGTTTGAAAATGTGTGATCAAATTTTTGCCTTGGTTTGTAGCTCAATGGAAAAAAATCCACAACTTTGGATTTGTGTAGATCACCATATTATAGTTATCTTTGAAAAATATAGATATATTTCCATCATTTAAAAATAAGAATTCACAATTTTGTCATCAGAGATTATAAGCATATTTTATGCAGAGAAGTGTTGTAATTTAATGGAGATAATACTGAAATGGGAGTATATATTGCCTTGTTTGTATATATGTCAACTGGCCATTCATGGTTCTGTAACTCAATTACCACCCTAACTCCCAAAAGATCTTTTTAACTGGGTATGATGTGTTTTGAGAGGAGGAAATAACTCAGTCGTATGTATTATATCCTCTGCAGAGGCCAGGGAATGAATTGGAAGGAGACCAGTAAATTTGACAGCAGGTGGACTAGGTCCTATTCTCTATTCTGGGCTGCTGGGTAGCTGTATGAAGTCCAGGGTTAGCGGGGAAAGAAATACCATGAAATTTAAAAAGTCTTAAGGAGGTAACAAATATATGGCCAAGACAAAACTTCCTCTATGTTACCCAGCTTTTGTTGTTTCATTATTGAGGAATGGCCACTACAGTTGGGGAAACACAGAAATCAAATAATGATACCAAACACATCTGGGCACCATCATTCTTTTTAATCTGAAAGTGATGGATATAAATTAATGTTTATGAAATGTCTATTAACTGCCAGTCACTGTACTGTAATGTGATGGTAGTTTACATTTTGAGATAGTTATTTCTCTCTTTCATGGAGAAGTAGTGTTTCCAATGTCATTTATTGGCTAGCAACATAATCAATTTGGATGGAAGTCTTCCTTACCCAAACCTTATTCTTTTTTTCCCTAAACCATATTACTATTTATTTATACTGCTTTCATTAGCATGAAGAGAAGAGTGAGCAGGTTAGGAAGCTGAATTTAAAGACACAATAGCCAGCCCAAGAGCACGGGAATCAATTAAAAAAAACTGCAAAGAATGAATTAGTCTCCTGCAGAAGAACAATAGTATGAATTCACGTGATCCTATCATCCTATCTAAATTCGGCCTGACTTTGGGTCAGAACGCTGAAATAATTTATGTTAAGTGACAAATAATAAGTTTCCACTAAGTCTTCAAACATCCATTTGAAAGCATGTTCAGGGGATTGTGGGCTTTTGTGCTCATCTGATCCTTATGTATTCTAGGAAGGTCTCTAATAAAGATATTTCCCAGATTTAAGCAGAAGGGCGGTTTGAAGGGAAGACTTCAAGATAAGACTATTTGAACTCTTAATTAACAGATGGGTCCCTTTGAAAAGAAGCTTGAGGCACCACTGTTTTGTTCTTTAACAGAAGAGAGATTTCTTCCAGGATAATCTATAATTTACAGGATTTTGAAAGCTGGTTGGCTAAACTGAATGTTATTAGTACCTATGGCAAAGAAGAGAGGTGGTGTTTTTTTCCTTAATCAGGGCTATGCCAATCTAGCAGATGGTCAGAGGTATATATTGAAGGTATTTGTGTATTATGCAGATAGAGTAGCTTCCAGGGGCAATGGGAGAAACAGCTTCACCATGATTGAAGAGCAGAAATCATTTTTAAAAAACACAGATATAGCTACTCTGGCACCTGAGAACGCTTTGGAGAATTGAGATCAATACAGCACATAAGACAGAAGCCTAATGATATTCATGAGTTAAAAGACAAATTTGGTGGCCAAGCCATGTTTGAGAACAAATGTAGCCACAAATGAGCTTTGCCAAATCTCATGGGTGGACAGCGCAAACTCTTATTAACAATTTGTGATTCAAACCTCAGTTGTTAATGTGAGTCACTGTAAACAAAATTTTACATTTATAAGAATGATGCCATATAACAGTAATTTGAGGACGTTACTGAACAAGGGCATGATCCGTTTTGGATGAATTAATAATGAATGTGACACCTGCCTAGCGGTTGCCTCTCCGCCCAGAGTCTCTGAGTTCCTGTTTCTCACCCTGGAGCTTCATATTATCTCACTTGCTTCTGCTGAAGGCTCTCATCCTCACCGTTTTCTTTGGGGTTTTACTCTTGGCAGAGCTCTGCTAATCTGAGAATTACAAGAACCTGAAAGGAGAGAAATAGCTTCCGCATGTGTGTATTTTGAAGTTGGATAGCTATAAATAGTTTAACATCAAGAATGGTAATTATTTCCACAATGTTGTGAAGGCTGTACAAATACAAAAAATATTTAAAGATTTTACCAGGATTTCTTTGTAAGATTTACTTGTTTGAATCTAAACATTTTAGAGGAGCACAGATAGTTGTGATGGGATTTAATTTTAAAGCACAATTGGACAAAATGTCAATAAATGCAAACAAGTTTTGTCAAACAAGTTTCATGTGAACCAATATATTGCTCAGCTCACACAGTTTTCATTTAATTGAAGCTGATCTCATTATACTCTGGAGGATGTAGTCAGAGCTTTGACCTACCTAATTTCCACACCATTATTCTTTTTTTAGTAATAATGTTGATCAGTATTTGTACATATGTAGATCCATTTTTATTAAAATTATCTATAAAAGTGCACATAAAATATATACTATTTCAACATTTACTTCTCAGGAAATAATACCTTTCATATAATAGCATACGATGTTTATTGTAAAAATAGATTCCATTTTCAGATTCAAAGGATGTATAATTTTGTACCATAGATAGTATTCTTCTTTTTTATTTCCAAACCTATTTATTTTCAGTTAAGGGAATGTGTTTTACCTGAACGACTACAGATACAAGGCTATGGTCCTTATCATAGCATCATGATTATGTAATGTAACAAGAGGCCAAACCATCAGCAAGAAGTTCTGAGAGTCCAAGGTTTTCAATCATAAGAGAGGAATTAAGCTTATTAAACATCATAAATTGCAGCCATAAAACACATAGATGAGGCCAAGACATGATTTAGCACTTCTAGGAAGTAATCACTAGATATCCAAAACTTCCTGTTTGCCAATTTACATGAATCACTTTTATATGTATCACTTTTAAGATTAAGAAACAAAGTATTGGAAGCATGGCAGTTATAAGTTGTGGCCATGGTTGGTTGACAAAATAATTTAAAGAAGGAGTTGGCAAGGTCCTTAGCAAATTATTTTTACTTCACTTGGACAGAACTTGACTATGCTTGGGACTCATTACTGAATAAAAGTCACTAAAGCAGATGTGTATGTCCAAAGAGAGAAGCACATAAAAGTTATTGGTGCTTTTTTGCTTTTAATAAATTATTAGAAGTGTTTCATTATTTATGATGGTCATTATTTTTAGATTTTCTTTCAAGGAGCTTTTTATGATTCTTCTAATTAAGAATAGTTAACTAGATTATGTATAGAATTGATAGCTAGAAATTCCTAGTGGCCTGGGATAAAAATGTTGTATGTATTTGACGATAAAATAAAAGAAAAACTGAAAAGGAAACAATCGAAGAGTTCGTCTAATATGATTCTAAAATCAGAAGATAGAAAGTAAAAGATTCAATCACATTATTTGATATGTTGTGAAACCAATACATGTGTTTAACTGAATTCCACTTAAAACAAGCACATCTAATTAAATCTAATTATATTAGCATATTGTTTGCATGAACTAGATGCAATTTATTAGACTTACCAATGTTAAACATTCATATGGGAGTATGCATATTTTAATTGAAAAACAACAAAAACAAAAAGTAAGACATAGCTAAAAAGTGAATATGGACTAATGCATACAAACAGGAATGAGCTACTGGTACATTCGTAAACAGAACTAAGACACCGGTTTTCGGTCAGCTTTTGCATTATTGACTGAGGCTTACTGACTCTTAGGAGATAGGTTTCACATATACTTGAGACACTAAGCATATTATCTCCAGTGGAACAGAAGTAATTACTGTAATAAACAAAGGCTAACCTTAGTTTAAACAAATGGATGTTTTTTGTTGAGTAAGCAGTTTACAAGAGCAAAACGGCCCTATGCATTTGCTAATGTTCTTCTATCTTTAAAAATTTTTGTCGACATCTAACAAAAAGCAAATAGCTAACTCAGACTACACCTTTATGATTTCTCCTAATAGTGTGAAATATCTAAGGTTATTAAATATAAATTTTATCACATCTAAAGTCTCTTTAACAACACTTTGACTAAGAAAAAATAAACACACATGCATATACAGACACAAACATATATACATATATATGCTAATTGTTTAATTAAAAATTACAGTTAGTAAATATGAGGATTAAGCTTTCTCTGACTTTGCTATCATCAAAGAAAATTATTTGTTGATTTTATATAAGGCATTTGGCCTCAACTAAAGTCACTGCAGGATATGAATAAAAAATTGCATTTCAATTTAGCAAATATTATATTTGGTCAGGGATTGACAATGGTTGGGAGCCTATGATAGGAAAGGGAGGAGGAATATGGCCCGAACCTCTGCTAAATGGACTGGCTCTCTACTCTGACAACACATTAAAATCATCTGATAGAGACTTTAAGACAAAACACCAGTGTTTTATCTCCGACCTAGGGATTTTGATTTGTTGGCCGGAAGTAGGAGCTGGATGTTGAAGCCGGGTAAAGTATCACTAGTTTGAAAATAAGAGTAAACATAGTGCAAGTTTGTGGAATTCTTTTAGTATTTCAAGGAGTCATGAACGCTTTCATAGTCGTGTTACTACACAGATTATGTAATAGGCAATTTAAAAATGTGTTTCAAGTTAGTGTTGGTTAAGTTGTGAAGCTGAATTAGTAGAAACTACCTTACTTGAAGTTAGGCTATTTCCTGAAATAATAAGTCATGATAGAACAGCATGTGAACATTTATTTTTTCAAATAATTACTCGCTGATAAATATGCCTGATGTTGTACTGAATATTACTACAGTAAAATAGATGTGTAATCACAATGCTGTATAGATTGTCTCTGTTCTTTAACAAGAGCAGACACCTGGTTTAGCACCTTCTGATTTTTTTTATTATTAGTTCTTATTGAGTTACTGCTTATTGCATATTTAAGATGCATGAGTCACTTGTCCAGCGATAGGCTTGCATTATCACTCTTCAGTTCTCACACAGCCATACGAGTTCGGTACTATTCATATCATCCTGAGCATAAAGAGGTTACTTAGCCCAAGACTACTTTACTAGATTATTGTAATTAATGTAAACATAGTCCATGCTCCTTGATAGCAAGAGTGAGAGAGACAACTGTCCCCTCGCCCTATCTTAATTGAAGAGCTACAACAAAGCCATAGCAATGGAAACAGTTTGTATTAATACAAGAATGGACATATAGTTTAATGTAACAGAAAAGAGAGCTTAGAGACAGACCCATACATATATGATGATATAATCCATGAGAAGTTGCTACCAATGGAAAACGGCAGGTGTTTTTGGTAGATGGCATGGAGAAACTGACTTACATGAATGCAAATTTAAAGACACATAAAAAGTAGCTTAAGATGTATTAAAAACTGAAATGTAAAAAGTCCACCTATCAAGTTAATACAAAAAAATCTAGGAGACCATCTTTGTGAGTAAATTCAAAAGAAAACCATAAAGCAAAATATGATGGTATAATTTGTATGAGAATGAAAGATTTCTGTTTAACACACGTGGGGAAAGATGTAAGTTAAACTACTAACGGAAAAAGATAGTTACAGCATGTAAAAATTGACAAAGAATTCCTGAGAATCAACAGAAAAAGAACCATGAGTGTAAGGGCAAGATGAACAAAGTGCATAATCAGGCAATTTAGAGAAGAGGAATCACAAAAGATCATTGCATTCAAAGGGAAACTGCAACTTGCTGAAGATCACAGAAATGAAAATTAAGTGATATAATACGATTGTACACCTGTTAGTCTGACAGTCTGATGAACTACTGATGGGAGTATCGAGTGGTGTAGCAATTTGGAGAGCCAGCTAGCAATTTGGTAAGTTTACTTAACCTATAGGTGAAAAAAAAGTAAGTATTCCAAGATTTAATTTGGATTTCACATATTAATTTTATCTTATGAATTTCATGCCTGTGGTGAATAGTAATAGAGAAAGGAAGCATGCTATCTAAATTTATATTTATATTGACATTGTTAAAATGTTTAAAGTTATGCATTGTTGCAAACAAAGATATTGTGGGAGAAAGAGGAAACTGCATTGAAAAAATCCTTAGTGTCATCATGTGTATGTAATGAAAAGAGTATACCACAAAGCTACATGCTATCAGCCTGAAAGATGTGTTAACCAATTTCAGCGTAGTGTTGGTTTTGGCTACCAGTTGGTGTTTATGAAGCTCCTGCTGTGTATATAGGTTTGGGAAATATTTATTTTTGTAGAATGGATTGTCTTTGTAAGTTGCCGGAGGTCCCCAAAGATCTTGGCTTGGATTCTAATTTCTACCCATTTGGTTTCTGTTAAATTTAAAGTAAGGTAATGTATATATTGAAAGTCCTTGTGAATCCTGGAAAATCTAACAAATTTAGTATGGTAACAGAATTGCTATTCACAGAGCTGGATATCTTGCTTAAAATCAAAGCAACTTGACTAGCTGAAACAATATAGTCTTTTAACAATGATTTCTTTTTAAACAAGCAAATTGTCTGCTTTAAAAATAAAAGAAGTGTACCATATGAATGAAAACATATTATTGTTTTGCTAGTTAAGAGGTTTCTAAAAGCCTATAAATCAGAGTTTTACCCAATGAGTTCCCTCTGGGAAGCAAAAAGCTACATGTTTTATTAGAATATACTAGTGCGGCTCATTTTTTTATTATTGTGATATCACATTCTCCGGGGTTCATTAAATTAACAACATTTTTAATGAGCCTTAATTGTTACAAATGGTTTCTCTTTCAGAACATAACATTGCCTGAAAAAACAAGACAAATAATTCTATTTTTGATATTATGGAACAGGCTCTGAACTATAGAAATACCTGGATTTCTATTAGCACTTTCCTCATGTATTATATTAATATAAATAAACAATTGACTGTGCTTAGTGCATTTATTATGTTAAGAATGAATTATTTTTGCAAACACCTAAAGTTTCAAGTAAGTGCTAAATCCTAGACCTACATTAAAATTTAAGTCTACTTCTGAGTTAACACGAGTGTGAATGACATAGTACATCAGGTTGCAAGCAATACAGACACTAAAAAAAAAATGTAAGTTAAAAATATATACACATCAAAGCACAATAATGATAAATGGCAAGTAATTATTGTCCTCATATTCATTATCTGAGTATCCAAAGCAGTGAAGTTGCACAGGAAAGTGAAAGTTGTTATTACAGGAATACATTCACAAAGTCACAAGCTATAAATGTGTCCCCTTCAAATATTCCTCCCTACTTATGTATAGAATCTATCTCCGCTCATTGTGTCAGTCTTTGTTGCTCTGCTCAGCTAATCCAATAATCTGAAGTCAACACAAAATATATCATTTATAAGGTAAAATTGCAAAGCTTACCATAGATACAGGATTTCACAAAATAAGATGCCTATGAAAGTGTTGTTGGAAAACTGCTTATCTATACCTCTCTCTTTCTCTCTCTCTCTCTCTCTCTCACACACACACACACACACACACACACACACACACCACTTGGCAAAGGATAATTACAGTAGTTAGATGAGTTAAAGTTTAAAGAAAAAAATTCATAAGCATAACAAAATAGGTGCTACGCAAAGAGTGTTCAGGTAATTTTTAAACACATGACCCTTTTGTGATAATATTGGCATCACATGTGAAGTGATGCGTTTCATATCATTTTATCACACAAGGATTATCTGATAAATTGTGTTAAAATTAATGCTCAATTCATTGTTTCATTATAAGAGTTATAGCAGAGTTGCAAACATAAAATACATTTTACTGAGCATCATATAAATTACTTTTTGTATGTTGTTTCATTTAAAAATAAAATCCTAGTTACTTTTACAATCTTGATGAAATTTTACACTTGCCTTTTTATGTGTGTGAATTCTTTTTAAGTAGAATTTGCTCGCTGTGATTATAGGTGGCTGAAAAGGACTGCTTGCATATTAAAATGTTGGGTGTTGATAATTTTGTATTTTATGCTTTTCTTTATTTTCTAAATTACCTGTATTGAGAGTGATTACTTATGTAATCAGTAAAACTCTCAATACAGGTAATTTACAAACATTGGTTGATATTGTTGAATTGATTAAGTAAATGAAGCTTATTAATTGACATATTTCTAGCATGTTTGAGAAGTCTTAACTGTTAGAGCTCATTTAAATTATCACTTGGAACACTGAAATAAAGAGTTAAGATAATATTAATATCAACAAGTACAATTTTCCCTTGAACCTGATAAAACAAATTGTGTTAGTTGCAGTAGAATACAGATGCTCAATGTATAAGCAATGTAACTTATTCTTAATAAAATAATCAAATGATTTCTTACGTATGTCAGAATGCTGTTAATACCAGTAATACACCATAGGTCTTTTATTTCATGATCTGTTTAAGCAATCACTAATGTTTTGCTTTTAATTGAAGTTGTTGATTCTGACAGTAGCCTGCAAAATAAATTTAAGTGAATATAGTATGTGTGTTTTGGAAAGTTACTGATTTTGATCAACTCTCTCTTTTTCTTCCTTGATACATAGAAAGTACCCCAAGATACATCGACATAAATGTCTCATTCATGTAAGACAGCAGAAGCAACAGGGAAGTTACAGTTACTCGTATAAAAATGCATTTCTGTCATTGAAAGGTGACTCTATATTAACTTTTTCTCATAATTCACTTGTTCACCTATTTAGTCACTTTAAAGATAAATAAAAAAAAACTAATGTCCATTCAACTACTTTTTATAAAGTTAGCACATTCATACCAGTACTTCCATTTGAATTAAGTTCTAGAGAAATGTATTATATTAAAATATAATGTTAATAACAATTTTTGTCTAGAAGCATCCCTTTTTAGTGTAAAGACAACCATTATTTAATTGTTGAATACAATTCTGAATATTTCTGTGTATCACTACTGTTAGTAGAAATTTAAGATAGAAACAAATACAAGAGCAATAGGTTAAAATTTAAAGAAACTATATGCATATTAAAGGCTGGGTGAATAAGGGTGCCCTAACTCTGGTTGTCTTAGAGTAACGTCTTGATTAAATTATAGAGTGAATAGACAAAGTCTCTTCAGAACATATTTATTAATGAGGATTTCTGTGGCAAACCCCTATTCTAGGAATGGTAATTTGGCTCAGTACAGTTCTTTGTGAAAGGATTTTGTGCATCTCCACCAGTTCTTTTTAAATTGAAAACATCTAAATTGCATTTGAAAAGAAATAATGAACAAGCATATTTAGTCACAAAAACTATATGTTGTATATATTTTGAAGCATAAATCAAATAATAAGTATTTTATGCAGCTCTTTATAGCTTAAGGTTAAGGTATATCACAGTGCCTCTTTCTTTTTTTTTAAAACAGAAAAAATTAGTTACAGGCATTTGTTTGTGGACTGTATCTTTAAAACTAAGGTCATGTCTGATCTGAATGGATGTTTAAAATCCCAACACATCAAAAGCATGTTTTACAAGATTTGGGTCTTAAAGTTTTTTTTTTCTTTAGGTTTTATTTTAACATAGCTGTGTCAATTGGGGGTACTTATTCAAAGTTCTGTTATATAGTAGCTTTAAAAATGCAGATGCTAGCATAAAACATTTGACATACACAGTATGCTGTATTATATAATGGAATCTAATAGAACTGTAATAATTCTTAAGAATTAATGTTAATGTCTCAAAACTCTTTTATCTCAAGTTGTGAAATATTTCACACATGCAAAAATGACACAAATGTAATAGACACTCATTTACATACCACATAAATGAAGCATTATTAAATTTTTTCTGTTTGTTTTAAATTCTCTTTAAAATAATTACAGATATTGCTATAGCTGTTTCCTCATTGCTTTCTACTTCTGCTTTCTCAAAGATAGCTAGCACCTTGATGTTGCTATAAATCATTCCCATGCATGTTTTTACACTTTTATTACTTACGCATGGTTCTCTTATATCATCTGTAAATCTAAAGCGTTACACTTAAGAAATTGATATATCTTTATTATTAGTTTTTAAACATTTTATTAGAACTAACCGAATAGCACTAGAATTAAAATTGACTAGGAGGCTACTGAGACGTCAATCTTTAAAATTGATTTTGGGGGAATAAAAAGCCCTTTATGTAACAGTTATTATGAGGTGTTCCATTTTTTCATGACCTTTGTTTCCTACTTGTATAATCATTTATACTGAAATTCATTAGTCTGCTCCTGGAAAGAAGCACTAAAGGCTACATAAGTAACTATGGGTTAATTGGATAACTGTGGTAATTTGAAAGCTTATACATGCTGACTTGGCAATTATTAATAATACATGAAGCTTACTGCAGATGACCCCTACATTGGTATGAGAAGCAACTGAGAATAGAAGCGAGATTTCCTGGATTTGATAGTGTGTCAAATTAGGAAAATTGCTTTAATCTCTTTCTCACTCGGTCCCTTCAGGTACAAAATGGGGACAATAAAACCTACTTTGCCAAGCTGCTGTGAGGATTATATGAGATGATGCCAAATAATCAGTGCTGTGTGCCCACTAAATGTAAGTTATTACAGTGAGTGTGAATTGGGCACATTTTACACTTTCAGAAATAATATTTATATAATACTATATAATATACATATATCATACAATACTAGTTCACTGACAACTTGGAAGCTCAGACTTGAAGAATTTTCATTTCTGTGTGGCCTCTTGTTACCTGATTTCTTGACTGTTTCTCTGGTGGACTACTTGTGCTGACTTATTCTAGACATTATTTTAGAGGCCTAAGTTCTTTTCTTTCTCCAGCGATTTTGTAAACACCCAATTGACCGAGTAAATCTTCTTAAAATACCTCCTGTCATTTCTGGAGGCCCACCATGCAGCAGATGCTAGTTGTTGGCCACAGGATCTCAAGAATGAGAATCTCGTATCTGTTAACTCACCTGCTTGATTATTGATTTGAAGTGAGGGAAATAACTTTTTTTTTTTTTTTTTTTGGAGTCAGGGTCTTGCTCTGTGCCCAGGCTGGGGTGCAGTGGCAAGATCATGGGTCACTGCAGCCTTGAACTCCTGGACTCAAGCAATCCTCTCACTGCAGCCTCCCAAGTAGCTAGGACTACAAGTGTGCACCACCACACCTGGCTAATTTTAAATTTTTGTAGATGGAGTCTCGCTATGTTGCCCAAGCTGTGCTTAAACTCCTGGCTTCAAGTGATCCTACTACCTTGGCCTCCCAAGTCCTGAGATCACAGGTGTGAGCTACCATGCCCACACTTGAAGTGAATGAAATCTGAATGCAATTTGAAAATGAGACATTGGCAGTGACACTACAGTGTCATAATATATCACTTGTGGCCACCTTTAATGAAGAGCCAATTACTACAAGCCTCTAGAAAACTCAGTGATTTCTACAATAGACTATTATGACTTTAGTAAAGAATACAAGGTCTGTTGGGTGGGCTACCTGCTTCTGATCGCTCTGACTCATTTATAGAAACAATATACCCAGGTTTTAACTTCTTGGTTCAGGCATAATCAGGAACACAGAGAATCTCTTTTGTCTAATAGCCATAGGGCTATTGTAGCCGAAATGTGACAGCATTGCTGGATTGAGGCTGCCAAATTACATTATAGAATGACTTTTTACCTTAACCAGGCCTCTTGTGTGAAAGTTTAGAGGATCGATTGGGGAATGCGCAGGGCTCTGAAAACTAGAAAGGAATTAGCTGGATGGGTTCAGACAAAACTGAATACCTGATCTCCCAAATTACACTACTTTTCCCTTGCCAGCAGGAAGAGCCCTTTCTTCTTATTGTATGGTGCTGGACCTGCCTCGCTTTGGGAACTGGAGGTAGTTATCACATTAAAAATTACTCATTCACTTTGTATCCCATTCCATCGCTGCTCATTACCTTTAGAGCAAAGATCATATTCATTTCCCAACACGTCACAGCTGTAACTATTCAACCCAGGGAGAGAAGGCTTACTAGCCTTCTAATAACTTATATCAACAGAAACCTGGACAATATCTACAGGATATTATTCTAATTGTGCTAGACCAGAAAAGAAGAAAATAATTTTAAAGTAGCTGAATTTATTGTTATGGTTGCATTTAATGGAGATACTGGATACAAGGGCTAGTTCAAGCAGCTGGAAATGGTTCCAGCTGTGTGCTTGGTATTGACTAATAAAACTTAGACACAAATGATGTTTTAGTAAATAAGGTTTAGATACCAGGAATTCTTTGGCAGAATGGAGAGAGAGGAATTCATGTGGTTATCAAGCACTTGACATGTGGCTAGTCCAAAGCAAGATGTTTTTCTAAGTGTAACATAGTGCAAAAAATGTGAAGTACCTCAATAATACCTTTTGTATTGATTACATGTTGAAACAATAATATCTTGGCTATATTGGGTGAAACAAAATGTAAGTTTTAAAAATTATTTTACCCATTTCTTATTACTTTGTTTTGAAATATGGCTACTAGAAAATTTAAAATGACACATGCGGCTTGCATCTGTGGCATGGATTATATTTTTATTGGGCAGCTCTGATGTAGAAGAATATGAATATTTGAATTGATTTTTCATATGTGACATACTTACTCCTCTTCCAGCTTTGTCTCCTGAAGGGTCCAGAGTCATTCCCTTGAACAAGGCATTTGCACTCCAGAGAAGTGCTCCTGCACATCTGAAAGGCTTTGTCGTGTTTGTTCTTTGTTGGCTAGGGTGAGTTAGGAAGTAACCGCCACTGAAATCAGTCCTTGATTTCAGGAGGGATGACAGGGTCATGGAGTGGTCAATCCAAAATGGTCGTAGCTAACGATCAGAGACAAAGCAAACATAGTTTTCATAGTAGTTGATGAACTCCCAAGTTTATTTTGCTGTGGTTTAGAGATTATTACTTCCTAGAATTCAAATACCTGTGATTTACCAAGGTCCAAATGAGTTCATGTCCTTTGTAGAGACGTGGATGAAGCTGGAAACCATCATTCTCAGCAAACTATCACAAGGACAAAAAACCAAACACCGCATGTTCTCACTCATAGGTGGGAATTGAACAATGAGAACACATGGACATAGGAAGGGGAACATCACACACCCACACTGGGGCCTGTTGTGGGGTGCGGGGAGGGGGGAGGGATAGCATTAGGAGATATACCTAATGGTAAATGATGGGTTAATGGGTGCAGCACACCAACATGGCATATGTATACATATGTAACTAACCTGCACGTTGTGCACATGTACCCTAAAACTTAAAGTATAATAAAAAAATAAGTTTTAAATAGAAAAAAATTGAGATGTGGTTAAAAAAAAAAGACCTAACTTGATTCATAAATTGGAAAGTCATGTTTTATCACCAAATGGAGAGCTCATGAGCCCTCACTCAATGCAGAAGCTTGAAAGAGACTCTTAACTGAGGGAGAAGCCAGGTGGTTGTGAAAAGGACCACAAAATATCAAATTTATGTGCTTTGATTTTCTCTCTGAGCTTCTTTAAAGAAAGCCCATTTATCAGCATGTCTGTTTTGAAGAAAGAGAAACACAGGCTAGTTGATATTGCTAATACCTAGAGATCCAAAACACTAATGTTCCATCAGTCAAAAGATAGAATTTTATCCTAAGTACCTCTGCCCATGTGCCCAGAAATCCATCTTGCGACAGTCTGCCAGTTTTCGATTACATAATTGAATCAGCAATTGGCAAAATAACACATTGTCTTCCTGGCCCATTGAGTGAGGTTTTTTTTTTTAATAGAAAGAAGCTTTTAGAATTGTCACTCTATAGTAAATATAAAAATCAAATGAAAGAACACATCCCTGTAAAAAAATGAAATTATTGGCAAGGTGCAGTGGCTCACGCTTGTAATCCCAGCACTTTGGGAGGCCGACGTGGGTGGATCACCTGAGGTCAGGAGTTCGAGTCCAGCCTGACCAACATGGAGAAACCCTGTCTCTACTAAAAATACAAAATTAGCCAGGCACAGTGATGCAAGCCTGTAACCCGAGCTACTTGGGAGGCTGAGGCAGGATAATCGCTTGAACCTGGGAGGTGGAGGTTGCAGTGAGCCGAGATCCTGCCATTACACTCCAGCCTGGGCAACAAAAGTGAAACTCTGCCTCAAAAAAAAGTCAATTTTAAAGACTTGAAATATACAATAGGCCTTTATCCTGAACTTACTTCCCATTAAGCTTAACTCTTTGGCTTTTAGATCTCAGATAATGATGATTATTGCACACATAACTTATATGGTTTGGCTGCGTCCCCACCTAAATCTCACCTTCAATTGCAATAATCCGCATGTGTCAAGGGCTGGGCCAGGTGGACATGATTGAATCATAGGGGTGTTTCACCCATACTGTTCTCATGGTAGTGACTAAGTCTCATGAAATCTGATAAATGGTTTTATAAATGGGAGTTCCCCTGCACAAGCTGTCTTTCCTGCCTTCATGTAAGACTTGCCTTGCCTCCCTTTATCCTTCTGCTATGATTATGAGGCCTCCCAGCCACGTAGAACTGAGTCCATTAAACCTCTCTCCTGTATAAATCACCCAGTCTTGGGTATGTCTTTATTAGCAACATAAGAACAGACTATTACAATAACCCAGTGGAGATTTAAATGTTAAAGACTCTTCCAGACATTGTCCCTTTATTAGGGAAAATCAACAGAGACCTTGGCACATGAAATGCAGCTACTTTTCAGGCAAATGCACACTTCTCTCTCCAGTAAATGAACAATACTAAAAACATTTTGCTTTCGCTTTGCAGATATAGTAGCATATATTCACTATGTTACCTAAGAGCTACATCAACTCTCTGTTCTTTATTCCTCTGGGATGTTGATTATCTCTGTCCCCAGCTTATCATCCTGGTCAGCTTTTTTTGGTGAACTTAGGCTCATAGATCTTGGTGAGCAGTAAGCAACCATTACTCTATATGCATTTATAAGGCATCGACATTTCCATGGATAAGAGATAAATCCCACAAAAATTTAGGATTCTACCTACTATTCTTGTGAATTTTGTGGGGTCTAGTCATATCAGGACATTCTCTCCAAAGTGAAAGACAAGTGGCTGCTTTTTGGCTCACATTTTTCATTATATACATTGTGTATGTAGTATTTTTGGATTTTGGAAGAAACATATTCCACATCTGGGTGAGCCAATCCTCTATTCACCAAGGGACCCATCATGCTACCACTTTTGAGTGTGATGCAGAACAAGAGAAGGCTGTCCTACTATTTGGGGAATATGCCTCAGGAAATATAATTGTTCAGTGTTGGGATGTGGTATGGTGCTTCTGGCAAGATCTAATTGTAGAGTCATAGCATAGACCACCTAGGACTTTTTAAAAAAGCAGTGACCTCTTTGGAAAATAATCAATAATTAATCTTCCTTTGAAATCCATCTTCTATCTTGTGACTTGGGTCTAGGAATGATTGAGCCTCTGATCAGGGAAACCCAAATTTTCCCCAAATCATACAACCATCATGAACTGGGTGATGGTTGATCTTTCAAATCACAAATGTGCACTGAAGTATTCTATCATCAAGTGGAGTTAGCATCGGCAAAGCTCAAGTAGTTACTAAGAACACAAAAATGTGCTTTGATTGATTCAGGGATAGTGGCTAAAGGGCTGAATGAATGTTTGGGGTGTTTAGAGGGGAGAACTTTGAAGGATATGTAACAACAAAGTCTGGGTAAGAGATACGAGATGGATCCTTTGAATGATTTCAAAATATAAAGATATCACTGTCCTGGTGAACACTTACAAATAAATATTTAGCACGGTAAACAATCAGTAATAGTTACTTGGAGTCCCTCAGCGTCTTCCTCCAGCATCCCACTGCTTGCAAAATTGGCTCATAAACAGTGTTTCCAGGGTAGCAGGGATACAGGTTATATATGGGCTTAATCACATGGTATTACTCTCAACAAAACTGAATGACCACCAATACTGCCTATAGCCCAGTCTGCTCATTGCATAAAGCAATGTTGAGCCATCAATATGATGCAATATTATATCAGGTCTACCAAGCCAAGTTTGTGGCCAAATAATTATATTGAACTCCTTTCACCATGGAAAAGAAACAAGTAAATTTTGTCCTTAGTTGGGGTAGACGTTCTATGAATGTATTTTCTTTCCTTCTTACCATACTTCCGTGCGTAGCAGACCCACCATCTGTGCATTTACTAAATGCATTGTTCTATATGTGGTTATCATGCACAACATTGCTTCCAACAAAAAAATTATTTTCCAATGATAAAGTGAAGAAAGGACTGAAGATAGGCTGCTATAACAGTATAATGACCAGCCAAAATATTCAGTAGATTCAGTTATGGCACCATAACTGCCTTATGAGGTTAAAGTTCTTTCCTTAAGGAAGTAGTGTATGTTTTGAACTAATGACAAATTTCTTGTTTCTTACATTGCTTGTCTAGTAGTGATTAGTGCTATTTACCAATTTCAGTTGTTCCTCCATACCTGTGGGTGATTGGTTCCAGGATCCCCTGCAGATACCAAAATCCATAGGTGCTTAATTTCCATACATAAAATGGCTTAGTATTTGCATATAACCCACAAGCCTCTTCCTGTATAATTTAATCTCTTTCTTTCCCTTCCTTCCTTCCTTTCTTTTCTTTCTTTCTCTTTCTTTCTTTCCTTCCTTCCTTTTCTTTTTCTTTTCTTTTCCTTTCTTTCTTTTTCTTTCTTATTTTTTTCGTTCTTTTCTTTCTTTCTCTCTCCTTCCTTCCTTGCTTCCTTCCTTCCTTCTCTATTTTCTTTTCCTTTCCTTTCCTTTCCCTTTCCCTTTCTTTCTTTGTTTCTTTCTCTCTTTCTCTCCTTCTCTCTCTCTTTCTTTCTTTTCTTTCTCTCTTTCTTCTTTTTTTTTTTTTTTGACAGTCTCACTTTGTCACCCAGGCTGGAAGGCAGTGGTGCAATCTTTGCTCATTGCAACCTGTCTCCTGGGTTCAAGCGATTCCCCTGCTTCAGCCTCTCAAGTAGTTGGGATTACAGACACCCACCACCACGCCCAGCTAATTTTTGTATTTTTAGTAGAGACGGGGCTTCACCATGTTGCCCAGGTTGGTCTCTAACTCCTGACCGTAAGTGATCCGCCCACCTTGGCCTCCCAAATTGCTGGGATTAGAGGCATGAGCTACCAGGTCGGGCCAATTTAAATTACCTCTAGATTACTTATATTACTACTACAATGTAAATGCCATGTAAATGGTTGGTATACTGTACTATTATAAAGTTTGTATAAATGTTATTGTTGCATTACTATTTTTAATTGCTTTTTAAAAGAGATTTTGAATCCATGGATGCAGAAGTGGTGAATACAAAAGGCCGACTGTATTTTTAGTTTTTCCTCTTCTAAGAGCCATAGTAGGATTATATGTCCCTATGCTGTTGTAGTTAGGTATGTCCACAAGGCTGTCTTTGGATAAATAAAAGAGCAGAAGTAATCCCAGCATTTTGGGGGGCCAAGGTGGGCGGATTGCCCGTAGCTCAGGAGTTCGTGACCAGCCTGGGCAAAACGGTGAAACCCCATCTCTACTAAAATAAAAAAAAAATTAGCTGGGCATGGTGGCACGCACCTGTAGTCCCAGCTACTTGGGAGGATGAGGCAGGAAAATTGCTTGAACCTTGGGGGTGGAGGTTGCAGTGAGTCAAGATCGCACCACTGCACTCCAGCCTGGGCGACAGAGAGAGACTCCATCTCAAAACAAAAACAAAAAAAAAAAGAGCAGGAGTTACTTCTCTGCTGAAGCCTGTAAAGCCAGTTCATCATTGTACTTGTTGCAGTCACAGAATCCTGTGTCAAGATGGGACATCTCTTGGCCTCAGGAATCTGAGTGACCATGTTGAATAGAGTGCGCCTGACCTGGGAGGCCTAAGTGAGGAAGAAACTTCCATTTCTTTGCCTGGGAACACTTAAGTTGTGTTGTCATGGAAATCTTACTTTTGCTTGTTACTGTGGCATAACCTACTGTAATACCCACGTATATCACTGCAATACCAACCTGTAGCTGACTAAATAGTTTCTTTCAAGCAATGTAAAGTAACAGTAAAATGTTTTACTTTTATTTAGACACATACGTACTTTTCACTTAGCCCTCCAAATATTAACTTTTTGAAATAAATGGAAGGTGGACTGATGTCTATGATAGTGAAAAAAATATTTACAGGAATAAGTACAAGGAGAAAAATTCATCATTGTCCAAAATTCTCTCTAAGAATTAGAGATTAGGAAGGGTTAGCCAATTGTCTTCTGGTTTTCAAGAAAAATTTGTAGACTGCCAAATATTTCCTTTCTGTGAATTGAAAAACTAAAACAAACATGAAGACAATAATTGCCATAGGGCCACAACAGTAATATAAAGAAGTGCAGAGATGAGACTGTACCCATGGCTTGTGCTCACTGGAAGGTGAGCATCATGATATCGGCATGTACTACTTTGAAGGCTTTTGAGACAGGTACGAGTCTTACTAGGTTAGTAGAGTCATTTCCAAAGCCAGTCGTCCGCAGTCAACCTGAAGAATAGTTCAGCTAAAAATATTAGGCTGGTACAAAAGTAATTGTGTGGGTTTTTTTTTTTTTTTGCAATTTTTAATGGCAAAACCTCAATTACTTTTGCACCCAGCAAATATTAATTTTCTTGCATAAATTGCTGGGTAAACAAAGATTCTTACTGAATTATCCAAATAATTAGCCAGTCACTACTGTAGCTGCTACAACCCAAGTATTATTTGTTTCTTTAAATTTCCCTAAAATTTCTTAATAAAACTTTAAATCTGAATTCTTCATAAATTCTACCTTATGGATGTTGGCATACCTAATGAACACCTGTATATTTTATGTATATTTTGTGTTTCTGAGTGTGTTTACTTACCTAGGCATCCCTAAAATTTGTAGCTTTTGCTTATATTTTAAAAATTGGGCTGGGCGCGGTGGCTCACGCCTGTAATCCCAGCACTTTGGGAGGCTGAGGCAGGTGGATCATGAGGTCAGGAGATGGAGACCATACTGGCCAACATGGTGAAACTCCATCTCTACTAAAAATTCAAAAATTAGCTGGGCATGGTGGTGCGTCCCTGTAGTCCCAGCTACTTAGGAGGCTGAGGCAGAATTGCTTGAACCCGGGAGGTGGAGGTTGCATTGAGCCGAGACCCCACCACTGTACTCCAGCCTGGTGACAGAGCAAGACTCCAACTCAAAAAAAAAAAAAAAAAATTTGAAGCAATCTCTCCACAGTTAAAACTATTTATCAAAAGTAATTAAATGAAAATTTTCTATCAAAATCAAGATTTAAAATATTTTATTTAAGTTCAGATACTGCTTTTCCTTCCCCACTATAAAAACTCAAAATGTTCAGCTCCCAAGTTTTCCACACGGAAAATATTATCAAATTACTAACGAGAAATATCTACATATATATTTGTTCACTTGGAAAGGTTTAAGTCTCCAAAGTGCTAATGAGAAACTTTAGTGTTAGAAATAGTGTTAATAAATGTGTGGAAAACACACAATTAACCTTTAATTTTTAAGAAATAATTAAGATAAACTGCTTTAAACTGTTCTTCACAGACTCCAATTATTGTTAGAGCTTAATTTACTTTTTAATGCTCAAATCCACTTGAAGCTCCCATGTCCTGTGTTCTTCAGGAGGATAGAATTACGCATGTCTACTACCTATTGTCCATTATTATGAAAATTAAACCATTTTTCTTTTTCTCTGAATTCTAGGGAAAAGACTTTTGGAGTATGAGACATGAATTTAACCCACGATGCTAATTTCTGTCTCATTTGCTTGCTTGCATATTTTCCAAGAATTGGCAAAATTTCTTAATAATTGAGGTCACCCAAAACAAATCACAAATTTGACACATTTATATTTATTTCCCAGAACTATTGAAAGACTAAACCAATTGATTAAATTGATGTGAGTTGATAACTTTATTTCCAATATAGATTTGTACCAAGTAGAGATGGTTTAATTTATCTTCATTTTAAGAAATGTTTATTAATTTCCTGTTATGCATAAATTAGTAATCCATAAGGTTATAAAGAGAAGCTAATGATGGGGCCACCAGATTGATCCACAGATGAGTGATTCATGGATTTTTTTTTTTTTCTTGTTGAGAAAGATTCTAACTCTCTTGACCAGGCTGGAGTGCAGTGACATGATCTCAGCTCACTACAACCTCTACCTCCTGGGTTCCAGTGATTCTCCTGCCTCAGCCTCCTGAGTAGCTGGGACTACAGGCACATGCCACCATGCCTGGCTAAGTTTTTGTATTTTTAGTAGACATGGGGTTTCACTATGTTGGCCAGGCTGGTCTCAAACTCCTGACCCAATGTAATCCATCCACCTTGGCTTCCCAAACTGCTGGGATTACAGGTGTGAGCCACCATGCCCGGCTGTGATTCATGGTTTTGATCTTAAAAGATAGTATACCTCATATACCCCCATGTACTAAGCACAGTGATAAAAGTATTTGTGGACAATAAACATAAAGGTTGTTTCCCAGGAAGTTGGAGAAAAAAACAAAGAGTTAGAAATTAGGAGAGAAAAACAAGAGGCTAATGGATCAGTCCAAGAGGCCCACTGCCTGACTAGTAGCAATTCCGAAGGATAGCAGAGAAACTAGAGATGAAAAAAATTATTATAAAAATATTAAGAAAATTTTCCATAGCTGAAATAAATAGTTCTCCAGGTTGAATGGGCCCATCTAGTGTCCTATGTTGAAGGAAAACAAATCAACAACAAGCAAGCGTGGACAGAATATCACAAGCACATCCTAGTAAAACTTTTTTGATTTTGATATTCTCCAAGCTTTTCTTGAATATGCTTTCTGGAGGACAGGCTTCTTTTAATTAGTGAAGAAACCAGGAAAGAGAAAGTAATTAGATCTAAGAAACAGGAGATCCAACAGAAAAGAGTGATGTAAGAAAGTCTTGGGTCTGAAGAGAAACCAGTGGGTTTGGGACAAAAATATGAAGGGTTTAATGAGGGAGGTGTCAGAGAAAATCACAGATTGATGGAATACTGGACATAATTGAGCATCTAGAATGTTAAAAAAATGCAACTATTGACTCCAAAAAATAATCAATTGTATACAGAAAAGGAAAGGTACTTACAGTGTCATACTTAGCTCTGAAGCAGACTCATCTAAGGATAGTTTGCTTAGTAAAACTAATGTAAACTCTCACTATTAATTTAACAAATAAAGTGACAGTAAGATAATGGGAAAAATGATTAACTATATAATGTTTAATATTTCTGACAAATCTGACATGGTGGATCTGTTCAATTTCTAACTACATGCCCAAATGTAGCTTATAGACACAACTCATTTAAACTCAAGACTATGTGAGATTAGGAAGATGTGATTAATTTTGAACTATTTATCTTTTAGAATATTGAAGCAGACCCCAGGCCCTGTCTCTATTAATAATAGCACTGTCTTAGAGGGTTGTTGTAAGGATTAAATGAGTTGTTGCAGGTAAAGTGCTCAGAAAATGGCCTTGCATGCGTGTAGTAATAATGAACACTGGTTATTAGATTCAGTACATACACGTTAAAAATTCACATACCAAAATGGTGTTTTTGCTTAGTTTGAATGGTGAAGCAATACAATGAAGAATGTAGGGAGACACAAGAATCAGTGTCATCATCAATTGTTTCTTGTTGAAATTTCTAAGCATGAGACAAAACAAGGTTTTGGGATTGGATTCAAGTTTATATGGGCAAACATACTCATTTGTCAATGCTTTTCTTTCTTTCTCTTTTGTTTTTTTTAATAAGAGAATATATTTTGTTTCCTTCTAAACAATCATTACCAAACTTTACTTGGAGGTAGTGTTGAGTGGTAGAAGCCCTAAATACCCCTATTTGAAATTACTATGAAACCTCTGACATTTCATGGCTAGATTTTACTTAAATTGACAGTGACAAAACTCTGATAATCTTTTAGTTTTAAGATTTTAAATTTGCATATCACATTTCTTCCAATATTCTATTGTAAATATAGGCACCTATTCCTTAAAACAGACCTGTGGAGATGGAAGACATTTTCTTATTTTAGTATGTAAAATTAGGGACAAAGGGTATATTTTAGACATTTCAAGTCAAATTTACAGACTTTTTTTGTTACTCAGAAAAAGGAATAATGTTAAATTCCTTTCCTGATTACTGCTTTGTAAAAAGATTAAGAATGTTAGTAGGATTTCATTAGCACCCACTTATTCCCTGAATTTTTAATGTATCAATAAATTTTTCTTTAAATTTTGTGTCCTTGTCTAAAGTTTTTGACAGAAATCTATACATAAATTATACGTATATTTCAGAAATTTCAATATTCTTAGATTTATTACTTAATTTTTTTATATTTGTGAAACACTATATGCACTTCCAGCAGTCAATAAACACTCTGTTCCTTTCAAAAGCCTCTTCAAAAAATCATTGATTATTACATATTCAGACTCTTTTGGATGTATGTTTGACCCAATAAAGTGCTGATTTGAAACCTCTTCTTACTTGTTCTTGCAACAAAGGCTATATGCCGCGAACTGTTAAATAACCCCCAATATTTATGACACGCGTGGTTAAACAAGAAATGGGCCACTTCACTGTAAATAATGCCCAAGTCCACTTTAATAACATACCACAGTGCTACCTTAGAAATTGTGTTGCATTCATTGATTTGTAAGAGTGAAACTGAAATATTTCAAAACCTTACATGGCTTTATAGCATTGTTTCTAGAGATGGTAAGGAGAAAAGGAATCAATATGTTTCTTCCCTGATACTCTATTTCCATTTTAAAAATTTGATCCCAACTAAATCACTTACAAAATTTAGATTAGAATGGTATATGATATAAGCAGCAACTACTATTATGAGAGATTATCATTTGTTCACTAGATCATTAGTGGATATATAGATTTTAAGATATGTGTATGATATGAGATCCATGCACTCTCGTTAAATGGGTCAGTTTGATAGTGATGCTCCCAAATGGCTTAAGTATCAGAACAGATGTTGTAGTAACAAATTAGCTTGCAGTGGAAATTATACTGTTTTTAGTATTGAAAAAAAGGATAATTAGGGGAATGTAAATGGGAATTTTAGTGAAATAATGATCTTCTTCTTTTGGGATTATTTCATGTTCCCCCCAAAAATGTTTTCCAGGACTATACAGGTTTATTTTCTTTTTTATATATACTAAATGTTAGGGTGAGGGAGAAAAGTCTCACATGTTACCTCAATGAAATGAAGCAACATGTAGTAAAAAAATAAACATCTGATGTATAAAATCTGCACAGTCCATTTTGAGATATTGTGTAAATATAGATGCCACAAACAATACCTAATATACTTGCTTGTTAACATCGTTTTGTAACTAACTCATATCAATGACTTACGTGAAAATTGCATTGCACATTCTCTAAGTTGCTTAATATGTATATTTTATTTCTTAAAACTTCTTGCTGCTATGCCCAGGGTTATTAAACTCCAGATATACCAAACTCTAGACAACTTACATTAAATATATAAAAGTGTTCCTGGACAGATAGGCCATCTCACTTTCCTCTGAACTCAATTTTCTCTAATATAAAGGTTCTATCTACTCAATTATCTGTGACTCTAGTACAGGGAATTCATACATTCAGACATTCACACACATGCATGTGCACACAAAAGAAAACAATATCTGTAGGTAATTTTAACTAATATTTTTAACTATTACTCCTCAACTATATAGCCAATTGGTATCTTTCTTTACAGTTGTCATGATGCAGTCAACATTATTTTTTCTACTTTATTGTTCTTATCACTTGCAATGGAAGTTATAATGAATATAAGTATGGTTAACATGCAAACAAAAGAGACAAATAACATTTTTTGATTTGTATAGCAGAAGAGAGGTTTCTGAGTAATCAAGAATTTTCCAAAACAAAATATACAGAATAGACTTCCTTTAGCACTAGGTTGTTAAAGACAGTTACAGTCTCAGGAACAAGATTATTCAGAAGATTGTCTTTCAGTCACTTTGCATTAAATTGTAATACTTTAAGTTAGTTCCATTATAGACTATAAAGATAATTTTATAAGTTTATTTCCTCATGTTAATTTATCTAATGATATGTTTAATAGGACAAATCTGACACCTGATTAACCTGAAGGGAAAAAATAAAAATGAAAAACATTAATGCTATATTTAATCTGAAATGCATTGTTATTTAAATTCTCTTAATTCAAGACTCCAACATGATTTATTCATTACTTATACATAATTTTTGGGAAATCCACAAAAGATAAAGAGCAAACTCTATTATTGTATCAAAACAATGCAGTTGTTTAGACTGGGTGAGTACAAGGGAATAGAACTAAGAAGCACTGGCAAATTAGGATACCCCTGAGAAAGAATACTACCTTGGATTCCTCCTTTCACAAATATGAACTTCTTTGGTATTGACGGTATTAAGGGATAACATTTACAACTTTTTTGTAGCTAAGTTTCTGGGAAAGTATCACACAAACTCCCTCACCATCCCACCCCCATAGACTTTCATTTGTTGGTCTTTGAATCCTCATTCTTATGTTGGAAGACAGGAAAAATGCAAATGAGTTATTTATAAGAGCAAAACAAATATACCAATATTAAAGTTGTTTATAAAGGTCTTATTAACTGTACTACTTATTTCAAGTGTTTAAAACCTACAATTATGTAGGCAAGGAACAAAACTGGAGAATGATATTTATGAAGACTGTGAGGATGCTTCAAAAGTAAAATATCAAGTCTATTATTTTATCTAAAGTGAAATGTGCCTATTGAATTATGTTTTTCTTTTAACACCATCATCTATATGATTGTTATGATACAGAAGAGGACTCTATCATCTCTAACCCTAACTACCCCACCTCATACACACACAACCTATCCACACAGCTCACAACTTAGCAAAGTCTATGGAGAACTGTGTTAACAAGGACCAATGAAGAGAACATTACAAATAGCTGATCTTACAACAAGACCACTGTTACAACATTATCTAATTCAATGGGTTATAAGTGATGTCTTGTATTCCTTCTCCTTACCTAAAGTTTTAGTCAAATTATCTCAGAGTTAGAGATATAAATTATACAATTATATTTAGAACAAAAAATTCCATGTGACACATATATTTCCAGGGTGATCATTCTTAAACATTTATATATCAATTATTTCTAATACAATTAGTTAATTTGTTACTATTATGCTGGTGTACACATGCATCTATTTCAGAAGTCGTTGGTGTATAAGGTAACAATAAGTCATGCAAACACAATCCAAAGATGTAAGTTGGTGGTTATGAATTACATCGCTCTAAGAGTTTTGCTTTCTTTTGTTTTTAAGACTACAAGTGTAAAAAAAAAAAAGTACAGATAAATTTGAATCCAAATTACTTGCAGGTAGTGTTTTTTTCCTTTATGATAAAAACTTAGTCAAATATTAAATTTCTAAGAAAATATCATTCTAAAAATACTAGCAGTATCAAAGTTTCAGATTGATAAGCATTCTTTTGTATTAAACATAGTAAAACAATAAGAATGATTACAGTTTCCATGTACATTTCTGTTCTTAAAAGTGTTTACTTTAGCAATATGATCTGATATGAACAGAATGAAGTTTGAAAAATGAGAAATTGTGGTTGTTAGCTGGAAGCAGGGATGATTCGATTAATTTTATACAGGTGGTTGATGGTTGATGGAGGTGGAGGCATTTCAGGAGGAAGTTAGTATTTGGGAAAGAGACACTCTACCTGTATAGCCCAGCGAATTGTCATCGTTATCAGAGGTGGGGATTGGCGTCCCGTGGTCGTTCCCCCTCTCTACATCTTCAGGGTCTGTCGGAAACAACACCAGAGCTGCTGATGGGGTCACAGTAGTAACAGTAGTTGCCATTTCGATCACAGCATGTCCAGACACAAGTAAATCCACATGTGACAGAAAAACACACAAGGACAACACACAGCACGCTTCATCCTTGCCCCTCCTGCGGCACACTAAGCCCTGCGAAGGTCTCAGCATCATGGTTTTTACAGTTTCTACTTTTTCTCCTTAATTTCCCTAATTCTCTGCCCTGCCTGCACCTTTGCTACACTTCAAAGCTGGCGAAGGGCTCCGACTGCCCTCTGTGAGGCCGCCAGCACGGACTGAGAGAGCATATGGAGGAGGGAGAGGGCAGGGTGGCTGAATGCTAGCATTGCTAATTTTCTACCTTATTGTTAATCAAAGCTATTGACTGTGATCACTCCCCATCATCGCTTCATCTCCTGGCAATTACAGACTCCAGAGATTGTACCTCATATGAGGCAGGGAGGATGTGGGGAAAAACAGGTCTTGTCAAATAAGAGGGAGGATGATAAAAATGTCATACTTTTTTCTGAGAAACACGGAAGAAAACGGTGCAACATCACGTCTTTCAGAAGGCAACAATCTCTCATCTTAAAGGACTGATATAAATTTACTGCAATGAATGCATGACTGAAACACATCTAACTTTGGATATTTTGGGTTGGATATTTTAAAACATTCCAAAGTATTGGATATTTTAAAAGATTCCAAATTCCGTATAAGTATTTTCATTCATCTATGCTTATTTTTCTTAAATAAAAAATGCATTTTTTCTGTTTTTCTTAAATTGCACATTAATTTTCCCACGCAGAATTTTAGAGTGGAGGCTAAGCACAACAACACTCCAGTTTCCATATCCAGACTCAGAGTAGCAGAGGAGCAGTATGTGTGTATATAGAAGCTCAATGACACTACCAAATTTCCCTGGTGCACACTCTACCTGTCATCTATATGTAAGATAAGTATGAGCAGTGTTTATAGGTCTGCTACTGAGAAGCAGACACAGACACAATAAAAAACAAGAGTGTACCTCCTAAATCGAATAATGTAGAGCCATAGGTCATTCAAGTTCTGATGTTCTGCGGGCTTTCAAGAGAATCACCTTTAACATTATCTACAGAGGAAGGATTTCTTGTTCTGAGCAGTGAAGAAGCGCAGATGTTTACTTGGGGAACAGTGTGTCACTTATGGCTGAGCCAGTGAGTACATGCAGGTACTGCCCCTCTAGAAACATCACAGAGGTCATTAATTTTGTGTCTCCACTAGCTAGGTCAACATATTTTGTCTTAGACACAGCTATTCAGGGATGATTTGGAAATTCTTAAAAAAGGAATACAAAGACTAACATGAGTCCACTTGGTTTTTTCATGCGGCATATTTCCCCCCCTAATCTCCCTGCTTTCCCTCCTCCTTCCCGTAAGTGTCGCGTAATTATAATAACCTGATGTGGCTAAAACGAAAAAAAAAAAAAAAGTTAAGATCTGTGCAGACAAAAGAGAAAAGATACTCATTCTTGCTTTATTCATCCTTGCCTCTCTAGTGATGGCTGTTGTCATTTTACCCTTAAAATAGATGCTGCAAGTGATAAGGCAGAAAAAGCGTCCACTTTACCTTTCCGGCCCGTGAACTTATTACACGCACACGTTGTTTAGGTCAAACTTTTAAGCCACATCAGTGAGAAAGAATGGGGAGCAGGCATTTTTGTGTGTTTTGAGGCAGTGTTCACAATGTTCTGTCACAAGTCATCTTGCTCATGCAAACTAACCAAATATAAGAGGCTGTTGTAGGAAGATCATCAGAAATTGCTTGGTCAAATGCATGAAACGGCTTTTAAGAAAACCACCCTGCTTACCTACAATCTTGTTTTAAATGATAGAATGTGTTTAGAATCACTTTAATTTTATGAATTATTTTTTAGTAACACAATGCAGACTTTTAAGGGAAGTTCTACTTTTAATTTACAAGCAATCAGTTATTTAATGTGGACGCACACATTTCTAATCACTCTGTTACAAATACTATACAGATTCATCCAAATCCACAATATAAATTAAATCAGCGTGTCTACACAATATTACAAGACTTTTGGGATGAGGTTTGTGTACTTTTGTTATTGAATTCTTCCTGAGAATGGGGATATTATTATGAAAGCAAGAGATGAGGAAAATAAATTTACTGTCATTTGAAATGAGATACCTAAATCATATAAAACAGATTTCCACCTGCATGTAACCTATCTTAAGTGGCTTATAAATTTGCTTCTCTGTTCCTACTCATCACCTTTCTGGCCCCTTCTTAGGCTCAGGAAAGAATAGATCTTTGCATTAATCAATGAATCTTACCATATCTCTAAAGTCCATTCAATCTACCTTGTTCTGCCTTTAATTAATGATATGCTAGACCTAAAGGAAACAAAAGGTGCTATTTTTAGCTGCTTTGCTAATTTTTTTCTTTCTTCTCCTTCCTGTCAAAAGATAACAATAACATGAAATAGCCACTTGACTCACTGCGACAGAGCTGGAGGACTAATTTAAGACCAGTCCAAAGACATTTACTTAAATTTTTGGTTAAATAGCATTGATTATGCGAGCTATGGACTAGAAGATAGCAAGGAAGAGACTATTGTGTGTTTACCATATCTAAAGGAGGTCCTATATTCCAGCTCTGAATTTAGGGCTACCCAGGCCTGAATTGAAACAGGTTCAGCTGCAATTGGTGAAAGCTGTCATCCCATCTAGAAACACACTGTCACTAGAGGTGCTGGGTTTTATGTGTCTGTCACCCCCATTATAATCTAAATTCCTGAGGATCAGGTATTCTGTCTGCTTCTCATTTGTGTACCTACCCATTTTACATTGAATCCAAAATAATAGATAAATTAGTAAAGAGATGGTAACCAAGAATGCAAACCTTACTTAAGTGATAGATGCTCAATCTGAAACAATTGAAAAGGATGTAAATTGTATTTTCTGCACCAGTATTCTATGCAAAGCGGGGATAAAAAGCTTGCTACAAATAAACTCAAATGCTATTGTACATCCTATGTCCTCAAATCCATACAAACCAATAAGGCATCTTTCAATATAAAAAGGAAGTCTTGAATCATAACATCATAGTCATTCAGGGTTGGAAATGGGTCAGATGGACCCCCATAACAATCTTCGATGAGACGTATACACTCTTGTGAATTTAGTGGCCATTGGACCTTCACTGCTTTTCAGGGTGATCAATTCCAATTTTATAATTAAGTCTTGTTTTTTAAATTTGTTTTAAAAAATCTTTTTTCTAGATTTTCTATCCATTGACTCCAAGTCTGGAGGAATGTATAGAACTAATGCCTCATCCATGACAGCTTGTTTCCCTCCCCATACTCCTTAAATACTTGTGTTTCACACAGCTCCAGATTTCATCCTGTTCTTTTCAAAATGCTGTCTGTAGATATCTTCATCTGAGTCCAAGGCTTCGATTATTTTTCATAACATATGCAACTTGTACATTTCTCAATTGGATGCTCTACCAACAACCAAATTTATTTCCATTGGTGATTCAACTTCATGTAAATTCAAAGAAGCTTCACACTTTTTCTCACTCAACACTAAACTGATCGGCTTGTTTTCAACCTACTTCTTTCCTATAGTCCCTACCTATGTTACATATTTTACATAAATATTAAATATTTTAAGTATTTTACAATTCAGTAAAAAGTTAGCATCTGGGGTTAAAACTGAAATCTGATCTATAGGCTTATGGTTTATAAATATTTTGCGATATGGCTTTATATATTTTTGTGTAGGGGTTGTATGCCATACTTAAACTTACAATATATAAGGTTATATGTGTGTGTGTATATATGTACATACATAAATTAGTAATTACATACATACATATATACATACACACAAACAGTATATAAGTGGACAATCTTAAAACAGTCTTTCACATATATAATAACAGCAACAACTATAAAAGGAAATAAACACCTATATCTTCCTTTACAGTATAAATTATGTCCTCAAGGAAACTTTGTCTTTAAATATAATAATTCATTAAATGTTTGGGTTTTTAAACATTAATTATTTTTTAATTGACAAATTTAAATTAAGTACAACATGATGTTTTGAAATATGTATGCATACATTGTAGAATGGCTTAATACAGCTACCTAACATATGCATTACCTTACACACCCATCATTTCTTGTAGTGAGAACACTTAAAATTGAGTGTCTTGCCTAGGTTTTCTTCTAGGGTTTTTATGGTTTTAGGTCTAACGTTTAAATCTTTAATCCATCTTGAATTGATTTTTGTATAAGGTGTAAGGAAGGGATCCAGTTTCAGCTTTCTACATATGGCTAGCCAGTTTTCCCAGCACCATTTATTAAATAGGGAATCCTTTCCCCATTGCTTGTTTTTCTCAGGTTTGTCAAAGATCAGATAGTTGTAGATATGCGGCATTATTTCTGAGGGCTCTGTTCTGTTCCATTGATCTATATCTCTGTTTTGGTACCAGTACCATGCTGTTTTGGTTACTGTAGCCTTGTAGTATAGTTTGAAGTCAGGTAGTGTGATGCCTCCAGCTTTGTTCTTTTGGCTTAGGATTGACTTGGCGATGCGGGCTCTTTTTTGGTTCCATATGAACTTTAAAGTAGTTTTTTCCAATTCTGTGAAGAAAGTCATTGGTAGCTTGATGGGGATGGCATTGAATCTGTAAATTACCTTGGGCAGTATGGCCATTTTCACGATATTGATTCTTCCTACCCATGAGCATGGAATGTTCTTCCATTTGTTTGTGTCCTCTTTTATTTCCTTGAGCAGTGGTTTGTAGTTCTCCTTGAAGAGGTCCTTCACATCCCTTGTAAGTTGGATTCCTAGGTATTTTATTCTCTTTGAAGCAATTGTGAATGGGAGTTCACTCATGATTTGGCTCTCTGTTTGTCTGTTGTTGGTGTATAAGAATGCTTGTGATTTTTGTACATTGATTTTGTATCCTGAGACTTTGCTGAAGTTGCTTATCAGCTTAAGGAGATTTTGGGCTGAGACGATGGGGTTTTCTAGATAAACAATCATGTCGTCTGCAAACAGGGACAATTTGACTTCCTCTTTTCCTAATTGAATACCCTTTATTTCCTTCTCCTGCCTGATTGCCCTGGCCAGAACTTCCAACACTATGTTGAATAGGAGCGGTGAGAGAGGGCATCCCTGTCTTGTGCCAGTTTTCAAAGGGAATGCTTCCAGTTTTTGCCCATTCAGTATGATATTGGCTGTGGGTTTGTCATAGATAGCTCTTATTATTTTGAAATACGTCCCATCAATACCTAATTTATTGAGAGTTTTTAGCATGAAGGGTTGTTGAATTTTGTCAAAGGCTTTTTCTGCATCTATTGAGATAATCATGTGGTTTTTGTCTTTGGCTCTGTTTATATGCTGGATTACATTTATTGATTTGCGTATATTGAACCAGCCTTGCATCCCAGGGATGAAGCCCACTTGATCATGGTGGATAAGCTTTTTGATGTGCTGCTGGATTCGGTTTGCCAGTATTTTATTGAGGATTTTTGCATCAATGTTCATCAAGGATATTGGTCTAAAATTCTCTTTTTTGGTTGTGTCTCTGCCCGGCTTTGGTATCAGAATGATGCTGGCCTCATAAAATGAGTTAGGGAGGATTCCCTCTTTTTCTATTGATTGGAATAGTTTCAGAAGGAATGGTACCAGTTCCTCCTTGTACCTCTGGTAGAATTCGGCTGTGAATCCATCTGGTCCTGGACTCTTTTTGGTTGGTAAACTATTGATTATTGCCACAATTTCAGAGCCTGTTATTGGTCTATTCAGAGATTCAACTTCTTCCTGGTTTAGTCTTGGGAGAGTGTATGTGTCCAGGAATGTATCCATTTCTTCTAGATTTTCTAGTTTTTTTGTGTAGAGGTGTTTGTAGTATTCTCTGATGGTAGTTTGTATTTCTGTGGGATCGGTGGTGATATCCCCTTTATCATTTTTTATTGTGTCTATTTGATTCTTCTCTCTTTTTTTCTTTATTAGTCTTGCTAGCGGTCTATCAATTTTGTTGATCCTTTCAAAAAACCAGCTCCTGGATTCATTGATTTTTTGAAGGGTTTTTTGTGTCTCTATTTCCTTCAGTTCTGCTCTGATTTTAGTTATTTCTTGCCTTCTGCTAGCTTTTGAATGTGTTTGCTCTTGCTTTTCTAGTTCTTTTAATTGTGATGTTAGGGTGTCAATTTTGGATCTTTCCTGCTTTCTCTTGTAGGCATTTAGTGCTATAAATTTCCCTCTACACACTGCTTTGAATGCGTCCCAGAGATTCTGGTATGTGGTGTCTTTGTTCTCGTTGGTTTCAAAGAACATCTTTATTTCTGCCTTCATTTCGTTATGTACCCAGTAGTCATTCAGGAACAGGTTGTTCAGTTTCCATGTAGTTGAGCAGCTTTGAGTGAGATTCTTAATCCTGAGTTCTAGTTTGATTGCACTGTGGTCTGAGAGATAGTTTGTTATAATTTCTGTTCTTTTACATTTGCTGAGGAGAGCTTTACTTCCAACTATGTGGTCAATTTTGGAATAGGTGTGGTGTGGTGCTGAAAAAAATGTATATTCTGTTGATTTGGGGTGGAGAGTTCTGTAGATGTCTATTAGGTCCGCTTGGTGCAGAGCTGAGTTCAATTCCTGGGTATCCTTGTTGACTTTCTGTCTCGTTGATCTGTCTAATGTTGACAGTGGGGTGTTAAAGTCTCCCATTATTAATGTGTGGGAGTCTAAGTCTCTTTGTAGGTCACTCAGGACTTGCTTTATGAATCTGGGTGCTCCTGTATTGGGTGCATAAATATTTAGGATAGTTAGCTCCTCTTGTTGAATTGATCCCTTTACCATTATGTAATGGCCTTCTTTGTCTCTTTTGATCTTTGTTGGTTTAAAGTCTGTTTTATCAGAGAGTAGGATTGCAACCCCTGCCTTTTTTTGTTTTCCATTGGCTTGGTAGATCTTCCTCCATCCTTTTATTTTGAGCCTATGTGTGTCTCTGCACGTGAGATGGGTTTCCTGAATACAGCACACTGATGGGTCTTGACTCTTTATCCAACTTGCCAGTCTGTGTCTTTTAATTGCAGAATTTAGTCCATTTATATTTAAAGTTAATATTGTTATGTGTGAATTTGATCCTGTCATTATGATGTTAGCTGGTTATTTTGCTCATTAGTTGATGCAGTTTCTTCCTAGTCTCAATGGTCTTTACATTTTGGCATGATTTTGCAGCGGCTGGTACCGGTTGTTCCTTTCCATGTTTAGTGCTTCCTTCAGGAGCTCTTTTAGGGCAGGCCTGGTGGTGACAAAATCTCTCAGCATTTGCTTGTCTATAAAGTATTTTATTTCTCCTTCACTTATGAAGCTTAGTTTGGCTGGATATGAAATTCTGGGTTGAAAATTCTTTTCTTTAAGAATGTTGAATATTGGCCCCCACTCTCTTCTGGCTTGTAGGGTTTCTGCCGAGAGATCCGCTGTTAGTCTGATGGGCTTTCCTTTGAGGGTAACCCGACCTTTCTCTCTGGCTGCCCTTAACATTTTTTCCTTCATTTCAACTTTGGTGAATCTGACAATTATGTGTCTTGGAGTTGCTCTTCTCGAGGAGTATCTTTGTGGCGTTCTCTGTATTTCCTGAATCTGAACATTGGCCTGCCTTGCTAGATTGGGGAAGTTCTCCTGGATAATATCCTGCAGAGTGTTTTCCAACTTGGTTCCATTCTCCACATCACTTTCAGGTACACCAATCAGATGTAGATTTGGTCTTTTCACATAGTCCCATATTTCTTGGAGGCTTTGCTCATTTCTTTTTATTCTTTTTTCTCTAAACTTCTCTTCTCGCTTCATTTCATTCATTTCATCTTCCATTGCTGATACCCTTTCTTCCAGTTGATCGCATCGGCTCCTGAGGCTTCTGCATTCTTCACATAGTTCTCGAGCCTTGGTTTTCAGCTCCATCAGCTCCTTTAAGCACTTCTCTGTATTGGTTATTCTAGTTATACATTCTTCTAAATTTTTTTCAAAGTTTTCAACTTCTTTGCCTTTGGTTTGAATGTCCTCCCGTAGCTCAGAGTAATTTGATCGTCTGAAGCCTTCTTCTCTCAGCTCGTCAAAATCATTCTCCATCCAGCTTTGTTCCGTTGCTGGTGAGGAACTGCGTTCCTTTGGAGGAGGAGAGGCGCTCTGCGTTTTAGAGTTTCCAGTTTTTCTGTTCTGTTTTTTCCCCATCTTTGTGGTTTTATCTACTTTTGGTCTTTGATGATGGTGATGTACAGATGGGTTTTCGGTGTAGATGTCCTTTCTGGTTGTTAGTTTTCCTTCTAACAGACAGGACCCTCAGCTGCAGGTCTGTTGGAATACCCTGCCGTGTGAGGTGTCACCATTCAGGACATAGGCGTGGGCAAGGACTTCATGTCCAAAACACCAAAAGCAATGGCAACAAAAGCCAAAATTGACAAATGGGATCTAATTAAACTAAAGAGCTTCTGCACAGCAAAAGAAACTACCATCAGAGTGAACAGGCAACCTACAACATGGGAGAAAATTTTCGCAACCTACTCATCTGACAAAGGGCTAATATCCGGAATCTACAATGAACTCAAACAAATTTACAAGAAAAAAACAAACAACCCCATCAAAAAGTGGGCGAAGGACATGAACAGACACTTCTCAAAAGAAGACATTTATGCAGCCAAAAAACACATGAAGAAATGCTCATCATTACTGGCCATCAGAGAAATGCAAATCAAAACCACTATGAGATATCATCTCACACCAGTTAGAATGGCAATCATTAAAAAGTCAGGAAACAACAGGTGCTGGAGAGGATGTGGAGAAATAGGAACACTTTTACACTGTTGGTGGGACTGTAAACTAGTTCAACCATTGTGGAAGTCAGTGTGGCGATTCCTCAGGGATCTAGAACTAGAAATACCATTTGACCCAGCCATCCCATTACTGGGTATATACCCAAATGACTATAAATCATGCTGCTATAAAGACACATGCACACGTATGTTTATTGTGGCACTATTCACAATAGCAAAGACTTGGAACCAACCCAAATGTCCAACAATGATAGACTGGATGAAGAAAATGTGGCACATATACACCATGGAATACTATGCAGCCATAAAAAATGATGAGTTCATGTCCTTTGTAGGGACATGGATGAAATTGGAAACCATCATTCTCAGTAAACTATCGCAAGAACAAAAAACCAAACACCGCATATTCTCACTCATAGGTGGGAATTGAACAATGAGATCACATGGACACAGGAAGGGGAATATCATACTCTGGGGACTGTGGTGGGGTCGGGGGAGGGGGGAGGGATAGCATTGGGAGATATACCTAATGCTAGATGACACGTTAGTGGGTGCAGCGCACCAGCATGGCACATGTATACATATGTAACTAACCTGCACAATGTGCACATGTACCCTAAAACTTAGAGTATAATAAAAAAAAACATTAAAAAAAAAATTGAGTGTCTTAGAGAAGGTCAAGACTATAATACGTTCTTATTAAACATAGTCATCATGTTGTATAATGGGTCTCTTGAACTTATTCCTCCTAACTGAAATTTTATGTCCTTTGGCCAGCATCTCCCCAAACCCCCACATCTATTAAGTGAAAAATTGTTGGAAGATAGCATATTTTACACTGCAAAAGTATCACCCCAGAGGGTATTTGCTAACTTGGAAGTAAAAAATACACTTTGATAATTGATAGATCAGACAGTCATATCTGTAACTCAGTAATCAAACTTACTATCACCAATAGCAGGCAACTAAGAGTGAGAAGTCCATTCTATAATACAGTATACAATATCAGCTATGAAGCCTTTCTGAAAAAAAAATTGTTGATTGTTCAATGAAGACTTGAGATCCAGCTTAAAGTTTCCAGAAAAAATAACATACTTAGTTTTTAGGATACACACGTGGAATAATTAAGGCATGAGATATCATATCTCTAAGTGATATTCAAATGGTTGAATAAAAACTATCTTGGGAGAAAGAGATACAGCAAATATGACATAACATTAGCAATCATTCAATCTTCTTTTTTTTTTTTTTGAGACGGAGTTTCACTTTTGTTGCCCAAGCTAGAGTGCAATGGTGCGACCTCAGCTCACCGCAACTTTCGCCTCCTGGGTTCAAGCGATTCTCCCGCCTCAGCCTCCTGAGTAGCTGGGACTGCAGGCATGTGGCACCACGCCCGGCTAATTTTGTATTTTTAGTAGAGAGGGGGTTTCTCCATGTTGGTCAGGCTGTTATCGAACTCCAGGCCTCAGGTGATCCACCCGCCTTGGCCTCCCAAAGTGCTGGGATTTACAGGCGTGAGCCACCTCACCCAGCCCAATCACTCAATCTTTTATGAAAAACATTTAAAAAGTTTAAAGGATGGTGGATGAAAATTTAATGATCTAAAGCCTTCTCCATAATGTGCAGCAGACATTCATGCAATGGCATTTCTCTTTCACCAGTGGTATTAAAATAGGTAATATTGGTTTTGTAGTACAAAGACTCATATTTGCAGTAGCATTCAATCCATAGTAATTTAAATTGTTTATCATCCCATGGTAGCCAGTATTATATTGTGGAAATGTAGAGGCCTAAGAGAAAAGCCTGTTGGTTTAAATTCAGAATTTTATTTATTTATTTTTAATTTTTAAATTGGGTTTGCAATCACAGCTCAAAACATTAGGGTTTCCAACCTTCTTCTTTCCTTCTGTCATATTCAGTTATGTATAATAAAAACATAAAAGCTTCTTCCTTTTGCCCTACTTACTATAAAGTGTCAAGCTAGTTTCTTTATAGATTTGCATTATCACAGTGCAGAGCTTTGGCATTAATTGACATTTTAAAGATGACCATTAATAAAAGATTAGGGAAAAGCAAATGAATATAAACTACTATCAATATGAGAATTGTGTTCTACAAATTGGATCAATTCTCATCGATTCTTTCCTACTAATCAAGAGGAATGCATGGAAAGGGTACTTTAAATGGAGTACTGAGAACATTTAATTAGAAACGTAGGCAATGAATTATAAAATCAAATACAAGAAACCCCTATATTTGTGAAGCTTTAAATTTGCATCAAAATTCTATAAGATCAAATTTAAGTTAAACTCAAACTTCTGCTTTAATCATGTATGGCCCAAATAATTGTTGAATGTACTTTATTATCTGTCCCATTTTTTTGAACTGGGAATAAGGGAGAAATATAAGTTATGTTATAGAGATTGAGAGGAAAAAAAATCAGTAGGTGCTTTTAGGTGGTGCCTCCTTAGAAATATTTAGTAAGTGATGCAAATAAAGAAATATATTTACAATAGCTGAAGAAATCTATGTACTGTAGAACATTAGAGATAATATGTATGAAGTTAAAAAATTGCCACTAAATATTGAATAAATTATTTTTAAAGCAGCAATATGAGAACAGAAAACAATGTGTTACAATCATCTCCAATGTTGCTGCTATAAGAAAAATCAAGGTTGTTTCTTTACGTTTCTTTCAAAGATAGAAGAACCATGATTACAATGATCCAAGTGGACAATACTTGTTAGAAATTGTGTTTTGGTAAAATAAACAAAAACGTTAGCCTTGATGTAAAATCTGTTTTCAAACAAAATGTTTAGTGACTGGATGGTTCTTTCAAAATTTGAAAACGTTGTCTTCCAATAGTTTTGGGAAAAGAAAAAAAGTCAGAGTAGTTTATTATTTGGATAAGCTGAAATAATCTTAATGGAGAGTAGGTAATTTTAACCTGTGGCCTGAGATGCCAGGACGTTACTAAATAAAAAAAAAACAGATTTCACACAATGATCTCAAAATACATGTTACTGTTTTTTTTCTCATTTTCTGGTTTAGGTGATTAGATAACTGAATGAATCAAATGTGAAAAAAAGGAAGTAAAACCTGCACTGATTATAATCACAAGTAATGTTTATATAATGCTTTGGTCTGTTTAATAGAACACATCATTTTATATGCATATATGTGTTCTTATGTAATGCTTACAGTTCTATCATGATCCTAGCCATCATCATCATGATTCTCATCAGTATTTCCGTTTTCAAGATACTGAAACCGAATCTCAGAGTACTTTTGCTTCTGTCATGCAACTAGTAAACAGTGGATCTGAAATTTGATTCCAAATTATTTCTGACTCCAAAGCACTCCACTTTTCACTACACACCATGACCTCCTTTTATTCATCAATCTAACTCTGGGAACTAGATGGAATTTCAATAGCATACAAACAATGGGACACCAGGTTAGTGATTCTTTTCTAGTCACTGAACAATAAGATTGGATAATTTCACAAATCTATTTCTGAGGTCCATTAAGCATATCACCAGAACTTCTTCATGTGTCCTTTTACAGACAGAATAAAATAAAGTATTTAATAAGGTAGTCAGTTGTATTGAAGCAAGAAATACACAATAAAAAATTATTAAAATGGGGTTCCAAAGCATAAGGCTTTGCCCACAATGTTTTAAAATATATTGATTTGGGGATCAAACTACTGACTGAAATCAAGATACATTGAGATTTTTTTGATAATTATTTCTAAAAATTATTCTTCAACAACAAAGATGAATCTTTTGGTGTAAGTTGAAGGGTGATTAAGACAGGGTCATGTCTTACTCATCATCCTATGCCTAGCCTTAACACAGTGCTTAAGAACAGAGTACACAATCAATACTTTTTTTGTTGAATGACTAGATGAAACACTGGGCCATAGTTTTGTTGGAATGAAGAGTTTAAGATGGAAGTAACTTTTCTCAATGAATGAACATGAATTATTTCCTTATTTGGACATGAATGTTCATGGAATGAATATGAATTACCTCCTTATGTTGTCATATACTTATCTATCTAAAATATTATAGTCACCATAAATCCAATTCAGAACTACAGTATGGTAAATTACTATTTCTAATAGAATAACATATTACTTCCTTTTTCTCCCCTGTAAGTGTTATGCACACATTTGGAAATAGAATCTTATTTAACTTAATTCAGGTAAGGGTCTTACTGGTAAGAGTTTTTTTTCTTGTTAAAGGGGATGATTAACAAACTGGATATAAAATGTAATAAATTGTGGTAATACTAAAAACTGAAAAAAATTATAGTATGAATAAACAAGGAAGGTTTTTAAATATTGCCAGGTAGATGAATTATATTTAAGTTTTACAAATTCCCTCTGATTTTAGGAAATTCTGATATAGATATATAGATATAGACATAAATATAAGTATAGATATATTCTGATTTGAATGAATGGAGTGCATTTTTCTGAGAGGCTGCTCTTGAAATTAAAGTGATATTATAACAAGTTGGAATTAATATTTCATTTGCTTATGTTATATTCTATTTTTGAATCTCCAAAAGTGTTACAATTCTCAAAAAAAGTAGAATAACTATACAAAAATTGTCAAGTAGAGTTTGGTTTAAGTTAATTTGGGGTACATCTAGCTACACCAGACTGATGAAATCTGACTAAATAAAAGATACCTAATATATATTTAAGCAAGAACATCAATAACATATATATATATTTTATGCTATTATATATGTATATATAAAACAATTCTATTAACATAAAATACACTATTGCAATATTAGGAAGGTAAATTCGTTAATGGATAAGCCTGTGACCCAGAAGAATATAAATGCCACGAAGAAGCTATTAATTCATTTCAATTCAACTTAATTTGACTAAACAAGATAGAGTGCCTCCTGTATGGAAATCATTCTATTGATGGAGAAATGTTCATAATTTTAAAACCATTTGTTTCCAGATCTCTCCTAGTGGAAACACTGACAAAGTAGATCTCTTAAAGTAATTGGGGAAATTATGCATCAGTATGACACAACATGTTTTTTTCTTGATGTCTAAACGTTTGGTTTAAGAAAGTCATGGAGGTTGTCATAGAAATAATGTGATGACTACCCCTTTATAGAATTAAAAACTGAGCCAATTGTCCGGTTGAGGTCTGCATTTATTCAAAATCCTCAAATCAAATCCTCAATAATATCTGATGTGACAGATACCTTGCTGGGTTGGAATTTAATCTGCAGAGATTTGCTGCCTTGAACTTTATCTGTGAGAGTTAATTTCCGGTCCATTTTACTAATACTTCTGGCTCTCTCCGTCTGTTGACTTTTTTTGTTATTCTCTCCACCCACTTTGCCCTGGTATTCAAAGGCGTTTCTTTTATTGTGCTTAGCATCTGCTACTGTTCCACTCCCTTCCAGTCAAAGCATACGGTAACTTCAACACAGGCTAATTAAATGGTGCTTGAAGTTAGTTAACAGGTGGTGTCCCAGCTGCCCTTATAGTATGAACAAATACATCCTACATTTTCAGGCACAAAAATGGCACAATAGCAATACCTAAATGAACGGAGTACTCTTTTTATAGCATTTAAATGATGGATGGGGAATCAGGAAGAAATAGAATCCCTTTTGTAGATGTAGCTACCTGGGTTTGAGGTACGATGATCACATCTGAGATCTTAAGTAAAAACTGAGATCTCCTTATCCTTTACCCAGTGCTCTTTTATCATCGTAGTATATGTAAATTTATTGCCACTTCCCTTAAGTATGTTAATAATCCATGTTCATAAACACTGCTACTGGTTACTGTGTAGAATGATATTCAAGTAAGATTCACATGTTTTGTTAAATTCAGTCAAAATATCAAATTATTTACTTGATATTTTGGAATCACTACAGCTAAATATATGTTATCATTTATTTAGATAATCAATATAGTGTAATGTTTAGGAGCCACTAGCTAACCCTGTGACTTTGGGCAAGTTACATTCATTTATTTATATATTATTTATTGATTGGCCTCAGTTTCTTCAACTATAAAATGTGAAATAATACTATCTATTTCACAGGAGTCTGTGAGCATTAAATAAGTACTTATTTATAAAATCTTATGATAATCCTATATACCTAATAAGAAGTTAGTAAAAGTTTGCTATTATTATAATTAATTCAAATTACAAACCAATTTAAATGGATCATCTATATTTTTTAACAAGCAAAATCCTACATATTTGCCTCCTGCAATGAGAAAACACACACTCTGTCTCTATGTAATTTGCCAATTGGGAGTTTATAGAAGAGAAAAAGTGAATAATGCATCAGTTAAAATTCAAGAGAAAAGTGAATTTTGAAAATGTCATTTTTGTCTAACTGTGTTTCTTCACATCTTCACCATTGCATTTCCTTAGCACTCGTTTACACGGAATACCCCACTGAATCATTCAGGAAGTATCTCCACATAGACAGCATGTCATCCTTATGGCAGACTACTTGAACTGCAGAACTTAGTTGCCTAATTGCCTGGTTGCTTTGTGCTGATAAAGATGAATTCACTGAATTTTATTTCCTAAGAAAAATAAAACACAGTTGATATTGAAATTACCCCGCAGATTTCTTCACTGTTAGGATGAAACATTTTTTTTCCTTGCCCAGTGATATTTCAACATCTGTCCAATTTCTTTTACTGTCTCCTGTAGAGAGATAGAAACTATGCTTGATGCATTGGAGGGTGGTGGGGGACATCTGAAGCATCTGCAGTTTGGGCCCAGATCATGTGACGACTGCGATTCCTCCCCACCTGCCCTCCCTCGTGTGTCCTGTATTTTGTGGCTGCCATCCATCTGTGACCATTAAAGGCACCTCTAAGGTTGCATTCACTCAACTGCTAAAGGGACAAATTTCCTCTATCGTCTCCTCATTGTCTGCCTTTCTTAACCACAGTCACGGTTTTGCACTCTTCATTCTAATTGTGCTTTTGATTATTGGGGTCATTTTATTCCTTCAGGTTTTTTAAAGGTCACAGGGATTAGCTGTGTCCAATCGAGGACCAGAAAGCGCAGTCGAGGCTTACCCCCGATTCATTCATTTCCATTGATTTCCTCTCAGTGTGAGAGTGGCAATGGTGGTTGCTGTTGTTGTTTTTTTTTTTTTTCTTTTCTCTAGCTCTCATTTGATTGCACATTGCACCCTCCCCCACTTCTCCATAGAGGGAGGCTGTTTGTAGCAATGGTTATGGCATAAGGGGTTTCACTGCGCAAATTCACACAGGTAGGGCACTGGTGATCAAATAAACTTGCACTTGATTCTTCTTCTCTTTATTATTTCAGTTTATTTGGCTCACAGCCTTTGGACATTTCTATTTTATAACATAAAGCTGAATTTTAAAATGACATTCCCATTTCTCGCTAATTCAGTCTTATTACACACATACTACATATACACTATTTATTATAATTATACATACCACATATAACATGTTTTTATTTTTGTTTTCCTGCGTATTATTTGTTTTTACTCTGTGGATTCTCAGACTGACATTTGTGGTTTTTTTTGTGGGGATATCTGCCAGCCTTTATTCTCACAAGGAATTTTATAGTGAGATGATATGTTTCACTTACAAATATTTTTCCAAAAGAGACATTCTTATTGTAAATTAATGGAAATTGGCGAAACTTAAGAAAATAAAATAGCTATTTTTAAGAAATGTGTTTATTTGTGTGCATGCAGAAGGAGTGAGGATTATGAACAAAAAACATACAAAATAACCCCAAATATCTTAAAAGATATTAGGCTATTTATGTATTTATTCATATTCAAGTGATAGTGGGGACAGTTTATATGTAAAAGTATTTTATGGGCACCAATGTTTTTGGCTGAAGAAGTCTATTAATTACTGGTGGTCAACAGTATAAAACACAGTAGGAGGCAGTCCTCTATAAATGTTCCTTCTTCTGGGAGTCAAGTGAGATGTGACTAAAGTTGTTGAGATTATCAGAAGGAAGAAGATTTGAAGGTATTTGAAGATACTGCACCAACTAATTCCTTCCTTCTGCACCCTCTGCTTTATAATTCATAATACACTTAATTGTATTATATGCAGTATATGCTCCTCTGTAGATTCAGTAGCCTCTGCACATGTTTAGAGTGGACACAGCCTAGGTGACTAGCAAATATAAGACTTTTTGTTCTAATGATGCGGCTCCTGTGTGAATACATTGATTAGCACATGTGTGGGAAATGTGGGAAATGGATGAAAAGTTTACTATAGTAACTAATACTCTTTCCATTGGCCTTTGGTTACCACTTTTTAAGCGAGGTCAGAAGTTTTAAAGCATTCCCATTTTCCTGCAAAATGGGAAAGGAAACTGAAGTTTATAGACAGGGAATAAAAATCTGCTGAGTTCTATATATTGACAGAATTATGATAACTATGTATGAACATTTTAAGGAAATATTATAGAAATCATAAATAAATATTTGCAACCCTTGTAAATGGAGAAGACTCACAAAAGCAAGTCTCTGTAATCTGTAATCTGCAACATTTGGCATTTGAAAATGCCTTACGTCTTCAACATAAACCGTAAAAGTGTAATACGGGAGTCAGAAATGGCCATAAGATTGACAGTATTTTTAACAAATGAATGGTCAGAGTTGCACTAGTAGTAATTGGTATAAATAAATCAAACACCTAAGAATGTGTTCCTCTTTTCTTAGATTATCTGGAATAAGACTAAACTATTTGTTAATGTTAAACCTTTATTTTTGGAATGGCTATTTGGGTGCTTAAATATGATTCTAAAAATAACCCGACAGCCTAACACCTGGTAACCAAATTTGCCAAAAAAATATAAATCTTCCATTGCTGGTAAAACTGCTTGCTTACCTATGATTCTGTAGCTTCTAGGTAAAAAATTCTCTCTAATTATACATAATTCTGGCAAAAACATATAGGTATAAAACATGATAGTGAATGAAATAACACAGGAAATAAAAAATGTGCCAGAGTACTTACCCAATGCAGGGAGTTGACTGGTCATTACAAACATGATAACAGCACATTTTATTTCACAAGAGAATAAAGATATTGTTGTCAAACTTTGCATCAATCACATGTGTATTTAATTGACTATGCCATTAAGTATTCTGCTGTTTATTCTACTTGCAAATATACTATATGCATCATGAAATTTATCCTGAATCCTACCATAAAAACTTTTCAAATTTTGAGATAATAGCAGGTTCATGTGCATAATATAGGAATATTTATTATACATTTTACCTCGTTTCCTCCAGTGGTAACATCTTGCAAAACTATAGTACAGTATCGCAAACAGGATATTAACATTGATAATAGCAAGATAAAGGGTCTTGCCACCATTAAATGGGTCATTCACGCTGCCCTTTCATGGTCCCACACACTTTCCTCCCACTCAACCCCTTCCTATACTCTGAACTACTAATCTATTATCCATATCCACATTTTTGAGAATGTTCTATAAATGAAATCATACAGTACGTAACTTTTTTGAGAATGACTTTTTTTTTTCCACTCAGCTTAATTCTCCAAAGATTTTCGCAGTTTTTTGCGTGACTCAAGAGTTCATTCCTTTTTATTGCTATGGCAATGTAGAGTTCCATGATATGGATGTACTAGAGTTTATTTAGCCATTGACCTGTTGAGGAAATGTGGGTAGTTTCCAGTTTTGCCTGTTATGAATAAAGCTGCTATAAATATGTACAGTTTTAGTATTAAATATACATTTTCATTTCTCTGAGATAAATGCCAAGGGCATTTGGTAATCAATATTTAGTATTTAAAAGAACTGCCAAAATTGTTTTCCAGAGTGTCTCACAATCAGCCAATCAGATTTTAAAAGCCACACATATATTCACATGAAAGAAATGTCTCTGCAGCATTAGGATTAGGTTAAAGTTAAACCTCTGAGAGCTCGTTCCTTTTCTCCCTCTTTTCCCCTTGCTTCCTTTTTCCCCTACTGTCTACTCCCTTCCACTTTTTTCCTCTTTCCCCTTCTCCTCTCCTTTCCTTCTTCTAAATCTTTCTTTTCTTCCTTCCTTTTTTTAAATCCTTCTTTTCTTTATTCATATGTGCATAGGAAATTTTGATAGATGGAATGGAGTACGTGAACCTAATCTGAGATGAAGAGGAATGAAGAATACTAGAGCTTTGTAGGTCCTTTAGAAACACTGAAATTAGTTTTATAGGCTTTTTAACATTTAATAATGTCATCTCATTCTCCTTATATTAAAAGGAAAAATATATAGTTGATATTACAAACAAAATGTAGAATCACCTTTATGATTCCCTTTTTCCATTAATGGTAGCAAACTAAAAGCCAAAAATAATAATCATTTAAGTATGCAAGATCCATCAGACGGAAATCTGTTACGTTGCCACTGTGAATAGCAATGTATCTTGTTAGAGAAAAAAATAATATTTTGTAGGTTATTATGCAGTGCAGAATAAAGTGTGTTTTGGACTATATAGTTGCAACTAAATGATGTATGTTCTACTCTAGTGTACAACTATAAAGACCTGGACAGAATTGCCTACATAAAATTGTTCTACAAAAAAGATTATTGCTCTTGTACATCCTATTTTTATATACCTTCAAATCTTTTATGTCATTTGACTATAAATGGTCAAGTTGGTTTGGTTTGTCATCATGAAGCTATAACTATCAGTTGTTGATATCCTCCAAAAAATAAATTGAGGAAATATATAGGTAACTTTGCATTTACAAGGAGAATAATAAAACCTCAGGTAATTTACTATAAACACCATAAAACTATAAATATCAGAGTAATAGGTAGTCTTCAAAAATAGATAAAAATCATTTATAATCTCAACTTTTTAGATTTATAGACTCTGGAATCAATGAGAGATGAAAGAAAATTTCTGATGCCAGAAATACACACACACATACACACACACACACACACACACACACACACACAGACATAAATAACAGTCATCCTATTTTAAAAACTTTATTATTTAATCTTTAAATGTGAAAACTATAAAGAACATAGAATTACTTACCATACTAAAGGTGGTCATTTGAAATAAATATATTTACTATACTTGAAAATCTTGTCATAAGACTTTGTAACAAACCTTATGTAAGCTAAAAAATTGATTATGAAGCTACCACTGTAAGATATGACATAAGGAAAAAAAATGTTGCCCGACTGACCTGATCAATTTCTGTGAAAGAGACTGAAAGACTATTGATGGGGGTCAGACAGTGGATTGTCCTGAATTTAAACCACAACCTTTTATTCAATAAACTCTGACAGCTTGGGAGATAAAGTTCAGGTCACACTGGCATTATTTCCTTCACAGCTTGATAAAGTAAAAAACAGCACAGTAAAATAACACGAATTAAATAAAATAAAATGATCATCTTTACAGTGTTCTTTGAGTGAAATAGATGGTGACTGAGATAAAGCTATTGGATAATTCTACTGTAGATGATGTGATTAGAGATTACTTAATTGGTAGAAATAATAGTTGGTGTGCTTGGCTCAACCCCTTAAACCTTTGAGAATAGTTCAAGTGGGTAACTTCATATTAAAGATAAAGAAAGCAAAAAAAAAAAGTCTACTTAAATCTACTTAAATTGCCTGAGAAATTTTCATAGGCTATTTCTATTTATAAAATAATGGACATTTATTTCAAATACCAATAAAAGTGTCTGCTTTAAAAGCAATCCTAAATATACAAAGGCAATTACGTCACAGAGCTTGGAATTGGCCCCACCCACACTTCTGAGGTTCACCTGTCATCACTCACCGTGCAAAGGAGGCCTGTGAATGAATGTTTAGGGCATCAGAGTAGTTCCTCAGGGAATAAAGATGTAGAAGAATATACCACTTAAAACTTTTAGGAAAAGAAATGGTCCGTAAAAATAGAGCCCATCAATTCTATCAGCTATATTGATTCTTTTGTCATTTTTGTGAACATAACTGCAGAAAAATATGTTTATTATACTTTTGTAGGGCTAAATATAGTGTGACAGATATAGATCATAGAATATATATATATCTCTAATGTGTATGTATATACATGTATACATGTGTGTCTGTGCATGTATATATAACATACATATATACATACATATGCATATATCCTGGACTTATGTGAAGTATGCAGATATCTGTGGTAAATAACATTTTAAGATTGATTTTTCATTGTTACCATTTTTGCATTATTATTTGGGACTGCAAAGAATTAAATGTATGCTACTTTATAGAACTAAAATCAAAATTAAAGACAGTGTTGAAAGAAAAAAGCACATAGGACAAAATAGAAAATGCTCAGTATCCAGTATCTAGAAAAATTAACATAGATCTTAGTTGAATCTGATTATTTAACAGGAGAAAAAGCAAAGAAGTGGCCAGTTTTCTTGAATGTAGGGAAAGTTTAGATTTTCTAAGCAGAAGGAAATGGTGAAAATATCTTTCCAATAGTTGCTTTAGCTATATATTGTCAGAGTGTAATGGATATTTCTAAAAGGTAGGAAGAAATACTGAAATTGGTTTTAGAAAGATATGCAAATAAGTATTAACATATCCAAGGTAAACAGTGTAAAAGCGTCTCTGATCTAAACTAGATAGCTGCATAACATAAATGTTCTGAATTTTCTTTTCAAATAGGAAGTAAAGGTAGTAATGGAAAATTTTGATTTAAATTCTAATTTTATACCACCTGTCCAGTAGCAACTTAAAATGAATATAGTCAACGCAATTGGTTCAAGCATGGTTTAAAGCCTGATTTTACTCTATCTTGAATTTCCATTTGTGCCTGCCTGAGAGATACTTTGCCAATCACAAAATTCAGAAGGTACTTTCTGTTTGACGAAAGCCAAGAAGCATGGCCTACAAAACTGGCCACTTTTTCATTAAAATGAAATGTAAGAACACTGAGCAGGTGAGTTTTCTTTTTAGTAAATGAATCATTTCAAGAGATCAAAGAGGCCAAAAATGAGATACCCAATATTTAGGCGATGTTCCCGAGGCAATGATATTCCTTACACAGCTGTTGTCCCAAGCTGAAATTAGTTGCTTAGAATTTGAGTTAAATAATCCCATCCTTCAAATGACTTTAGGAAATTGGGTGTTAGGGAGACCAGCCAGCATCATTTTGTTAAGTGGTCCTTGAACAGAAAAGTACTTGTCTTTGAATAGGAGGAAAAGTTTGATCACATTTAAGCTAATCTATCATTTATTATACACAGTGGGTGAGATAGTTAATGACTCTATTGATTTCTTTTGGTGCTTAGTTTCATATACAGCATTTAACCAATGTCAAACTGAACACGGAATTTGTTTTACACTTGTTATTGATGCACTTAAATTTTTTTATTTATGCTAATACATGTTGATTTCAATAGAGAATTTCAAAACAGCTATACGTAAAACCAGATTTTAATTCTCAGATTTTTTTGTTGTTGTTGTTGTAACTTTAGGTATCTTTCCATGCCTGCTTATAGTTAGCTTCAGAGCTCCTGTTACTTTTACTAGGAAGGAAAAAGAACATTGAAACTTTGTCAACAATGTTGGTCACAGACATTTCAGAAATAGCTTTTTTCTTTCTTTCCTCTTTCTCTTTTCTTATCTGCCTCTGTCATATCCCCACTGTTCATTTATGTAGGCCGCAATAATTATTCTTTGATTCCTCCCTCTTCTTTGAGAGTCATATGGGGCATTCCTAGAAGGCTATCTGTCTTTACTAAAAGACAAAGAAAGAAATGGAAGCACAATAGGAACACAAGGGCTGCAAATGGTTTCAAACAGCACCACGATGGTAAACGGGATTCACAGTAAGAATGAGAAGAAAGACTGAAAGACTATATACAGAATGAATATTATAAAAAGTATACCATTTAAAAATTAAAGGAGCTGGGAGAGGTGATGTGCATCTCATATACTCAGGAGGCTGATGGGTCTCCTGAGCCTAGAGTTCGAGGCCAGCCTAGGACAGATCTCTTAAAAAATTTTAAATGAAAAAAGTACTAGCAGTAAGATATAAGCCTGGGAACAGGAGCAAGGTCTAAAATAGCATGACATGGGAAGAACAAAGCAAAATCAAATGATTTAGGCATGATAGGAGAAATAGACAAAGCCAATTTTTGAGTTGAGTTCAATAGTCTATATTGAGTGGGAACATTCACGTAAGGTCTAATGGATTAGACCTGTACATGATCATAAAGTAAGTTGTTAAATTCTGAAGCTGTCTGAAATCATCATTAAATTTAAAAAGCTTAAGAATACAAATGAGACCTCAAAATCAATTCTTAACATTCATACTCATTCCTAACATGGATTCACTGAAATACTGAATTCCTAATATATTGTCTAATAAGAATGATCAATTAGATTAGCTGTATTTTGCTGATGTGATCAATAATTAAAATTTAGACATAGCATAAACATAATTTTAGAATGCAGGTGCTCAGAACAGCAAAATCTAAGATGTGTTCAGGCAATGAAGTGCTGGAGTCTCACATACTGGCGCCAAGTGAGTCATTGTTTCCCAGCAATTGGGACTTAACACTTGTTGGAACACAACAAATGTTCTCAGCAATCTGTTCCCAGTTCCATATTTGTGCTGATACATTGGTAGCCTCAATGTTGAGAGTACTTAAATGAAAATCAGTAAATATTATAAATCAGGGCCTTTGCCCCAGAGAACCAGTTGTTAACTACTTACCAGCATACTTCTGCGTTCAGATAATTATATCACGTTTATTATAAACTGTCCATTTAAACTACTCAGTGAGAATCTAAGCAAACTAGTTATCAGTTTCCTTAATTTTCCAATATCCCAAGGCTCAAAGAGCATTTTTAAATTTGATATTTGCATAATAGCCTTTTTGATACTTTCTTAGAATTTCTATCTCTCTGCTTATATTATCTATCTATTTTTGCATGTTGTGTGCTTCTTCTATTACAGCCCATAGTGTATTAATCATAGTTGTTTTATATTCCTGGTCTAATAATTCCACATCCTAGCAATATCTGTCTCTGGTTCTGACGCTTATTCAGTCTCTTCGAACTGTGTTTGTTGTTGTTGTTGTTGTTGTTGTTGTTGTTTTTGTCTTTCAGTATGTTTTTTGTTGAAAATGGATATAATGTATTAGGTGAAAGGGACTCAGGTAAATCGGCCTCAGTGGTTTGGTGGCAAGGTGTGTGAGGAGGGGAAGCATTCTATACTCCTATAATTAGGTTTCAGTGTTTTGGCGAGTCTGTGCCTCTGGACTGTGAACTTCACCAGTGCTTCTTAATCTTTTTAATTTTTTTTCCACCTTTAAGTGGGCCAGAAGGGTCTGAAGTTAGGCATGTCCATCGCCCAAGTTCAGTTAGGCTCTGATGAAACCCCAGTACGTTAGGCCCTTATAAAAGAGTTACTCCTGATGGCAGGCCTTGTTAAGAGGAACAGAATGCTCTGGCACATTTCAAAATGGTTACTTTTCTCTTCCCCTTGTCAGAAGCACAAGGGGAATTTCCTATAGTGAGGACCTGGTAAAGCTCCTGGAGGTAAAAATCATAAAAGGTGAAGGTCCGTTATCACTGGGTCCTTGTGGAGTGTTTAACTCTCAGACATGCACACTGAGCCTCCAGTAATTTGTCAGTTGCAGTTCAGATTTTCCCATCTAGACACTGGTTCCCCACTGAGGTTTTTGCTCCAATTAGTTGTTTCTCTCTGTATCTGCCTATGTATGTCTCTAATTTTGGGGGTGGTGGTTTGCCTTGTGACCTCACTTCTGTGACAGATCTACAAAGAGTTGTTGATTTTTCTTTTTTTTTTTCAGTTTTTACTTGTTATTAGGATATAATGGCAACTTCTAAGTTACTCACATGCCAGACCAGAAATCACAAGTCCATCCTTTTATTTTTCAGTGTGGCACACAGTGAATGTGAAGTAATATTTTTTCTAAATGTGTGTTTTGAATTTTGCAGGCAAGCTTATTATGTTGGGTTGTGTTTCAGCTACATGTAATAAATGCCATTGGAGGTATTTAAAAGACAATATTATGGCAGGTAGGAAATGCACTTATTCTGATATTTAATATTCAATAAATAAGGATTGTAAGTTATAAAATTAAATACTTATCTTTACTAAAAAAGGATATTCTTAGAGGATTTAGACAATTCAGCATACAGGCCCCCAAATTCATGTTTAAACATTAAAAATTCCTAAGACCTTTAAATAAAATAAAAAGTAAAGTATAAATATTTGCATTCTATTTCAGAAAGAGCTACAGGTTTACACATAAATATTTACTATATGCATTTTTATGCATAGTGTCTCAAGTTTACATGTCCATAAAAGGATATCTTGACTTCCATGCCCACCACCAATACACATACACACCAAATCTCACTGAAGGATAGAATCCTCTACCTTATCTTGCAAACCAAAAGTTTAGGAGTCATCCTTAATTCCCTGCCCCAGCCCCTCTAATATGGTGTGGCTGTGTCCCCATCCAAATCTCACCTTGAATGGTAATAATCCCCATGTGTCAAGGGCAGGGCCAGGTGGAGATAATTGAATCATGGGGGTGGTTTCTCCGTACTGTTCACGTGGTAATGAATAGGTCTCATGAGATCTGATGGTTTTATAAATGGGAGTTCCCCTGCACAAGCTCTCTCTTGACTGCCGCCATGTAAGACATGATTTTGCTCCTCCTTGCCTTCCATCATGATTGCAAGGCCTCTCCAGCCATGTGGAACTGGGAGTCAATTAAACCTCTTTCCTTTGTAAATTACCCAGTCTCAGGTGTGTCTTTATTAGCAGCATGAGAATGGACTAATAATACATACATGCCAAATCTCACCAAAGAATGCAATCCTCTACCTCATCTTGCAAACCAAAAATTTAGGAGTCATCCTTGATTCTTTGTCCCAACCTCTCCTTTCTGCATTTCACACATCATTTCAATCACCAAGTATTCTTGGCTCAGCCAACAAAATATACCACTACTTCTCTATCTGCCACTATCTATCACTTCTTAATCGCCCCTCGTCTCTCACCTGGACCATGTCAATAGCCCTCTAACCAGCCTCTATGCTCCTCTTTCTCTATAATCTGTCCTTCAGAGAACAACCAGAGTGATTTCTATTTTGCTTTAAAATAGAAATCGGACTTAGTTTTCTGCTTATAACTTTAAATGACTTTCTAATATATTGAGAATAAAATGAAATTTTCTTCTCCTGGCCTGCAACATCTTTCACACCTTTGTCTTACAGTACAATTTGGGCCAGTTTCCCGTTTGATCACTACACTGAAGTGCTGGTTTTTCTCTTCAAATTATAGGCCAAGCTCATCCTTGTCTCTGCAAATAGCATTCTCTTTTGTCTGGAACTCACCACTCTTGTCTCTGCTGAACTGGCTCCTGCTCATCTTTCGGTCTCAACAAAAATGTCACTATACCACAAAGTTCCTCCCTAACATTGATATCTGATTCCATCTAATGATGACAGCCTTGGTCCCTGAGTAATTTTACTGACATTTTCTTTTTTAATCTAGCACATTTCAAAATCTGAACTCACGTTGTACATTTATACGAATACATATTAAGTGATGTCTCCTTTCACTGGAATATAAACTTCGTAAGAACAAGGCTTGTTACCTCATCATTAAAAAAATTCCGATTATCTAGGGCAGTGCTAAGTGTACCATTCAACAGATGTTCAATAAATGTGTTTAATTATGTAGAAATATGTTACATGTGCAACAAATAAGCAAGTAGCACAAATATACCTTGAAACAGAAATAGTACAGCTGTTTATGTTTAAGGTGATCTCTTCATGTAATAAAGCTTCTATTATCCAGAAGATAATATTTCTAATAAGTTTTGTTTCCTCCATATCAGGAAATTGAGTGAATGAGAAAGAAAACAGAAAGAAAGAGAAAAAAGAATGTGGAGGTAGAGTGTGGGGACAGAGAAAAGACTAAGGTGGTACAAGAATATGTGCGTTGACCCTTCACTGCATTTCTACTTTAAGACAAAGAAAGTGTGCCCTCATTTTTAATTGAACTGTTCAAAGAAGGAAAATAACACTGCTTTAGGTATCTGTCAAATGCTAGGAAAATCATGTTTATTATATGCATATTGTATAATAATCATTCATTATACGCAATGACTATTTATTGTACTTCTATTACAAAGTCAAATCACAAAAACGAATAATATGATCTTTAGCTTGATGAAGCTGACAGTCAAATGGGAGGAATCTGACAAGAAACCGAAATAACAGAAAAACAGAATAATTGCAGATTGGGCCAGAAACAAACAAGACACACAATCATGCAACAAGGGATTCATTTGGAGGGGTAGTGTCAGGAAATAAAGGCTTTTCTGAGATGGTCATATTTAAGCTGAAATCTGAGAAATGAAGAAACAGCTATCTGCATATTTCAGCAGAAGACACAGCATGTTCAAAGGTCCTGAGTTGGAAAAGACTTTGGCGTTTTCAAAGACGTTAAAACAAAAACAATAGCCCATTTTGAAAAGCGAAAGAGGTTCAAGTCTGGCAAAGGTCAAATGATGTAGAACCTCACAGGTAATGGAGGACATTCAGTGGGACACAATCCAACTTATATTTAAAAAATACTACCTTGCCTGTTGTGTGGAGGACGGATGTGTGTGCATTGAGGGTGAGCGGGTGGTAGTAGTGATGGGCATTTTGAAATGTACATTTAAAAATTTTGGAAAGCAAAGTTTAGGGAAAAGTATAATTCAAGCTGAAGACTTCCACGTAGAAGAACCATGCTGCACCAAGTAGCTAAGGCTTAGTCGCTTAACCCTATCTTTATCAGAGAGCAGAGGATTGGGTCTCCACTAATAAAATCTTCAACAATAGCAACAAAACCAAGGACAATTAATTTTATTTAGTGCTAATTTTGAGTATCACAGTAATTTGAAAGCTAGCTCCATGTTCCAAGCAATTTAAAAATTGAAATTAAAAGAATCTTCCAATTACTTCACAGAGAGGTTAACATACCTAAGGATCCACAGATAATAATCAGCAAAGCTTTGAGTTCAAACTGTGTTCTCTGAATCCAGAGCTCACATTTTTATCAAGATTAGAGAAGGAATATTGCTATGTTATTGTTAACACGGTGGTCTAAAAGCTTATTACAGAAAATAGCAAAAGAAATAATAATCTGACAAAGTAAATCCAGCTCCTCCTCTGCAAATATACTCGTCTGCTTAATAGTACTGTGATTTATTTCTATAGCTCTTTATATATTTATTTATTTGAATATATATTAAATAATATAGTATTTATATATAATATAAATATTGTTTATATGTAATATAAATAATATATTACTCAGATATACTGAACTAGGTTTTAACATATATCATTACATTTTATCCTTAAAAATATTCCATGTGGTATACGTGACAATTGCTGTTTCATCCATTTTACTCCTTAAGAAGTAGTCTCAGTGAGCTAAGTGATGTATTCAAGGACATAACCAAGTATCTGCTCCTTAGTGAGGCTGTCGCTAAATACCCACTCTTAGTAGCACCGACTAGTCATTCTTTACTTTCTGCACAGTATTTGTCACTATCTGAAATTATTTTGACTTTAACAATTTCTTTCTCTACTTCCCTCATTAAAATTTAAGGACAGTGAGATAGACACTGTAATTGTCTTGTAATCTAGCATCTAAAACCTGCCCATACATAATGGGTTCAGAGTAAACATTTGTTGAGTGAATACTGCTTTAAAACATGTAATATTAATAAAAAATGACAAGCCCAAGATTACAATTAAAGTCTTTACAATCTTGGTTAATGCTCATTCCATCACACGATACCATCATCTCAGATCATGTTCACTTGAGGCCATGTAAGGTCACCAATAACTGAAATGACATTTTGCATTTCAAAAGCAACTTCAAATAGATAAATTTTTCTTCAGATTGACCACAGTTATACATCTTTGCAATGAAGTTTTTTTCCCCTTTGTTTTCTGTATTGCATTTCATATGAGAGAGATGAGCTCAGTCAACATAGTCACTTGAGACTGATCAAAGTCTAAAGTATGGCATGAAACAACTCACATTTAACCTTTGCAAATGAATAAGTAAAGGGAAATTCATGAATTCTTAAAATACTGTCCCTCGATGCAGATATCAGCCTCTTTCTGGTTTTAGCATAAATTCACATGGGCATCTTTTCCACAGGCACTTTTATTTTTCCTAAGCAACTGGTATTCCCACTGAATTTTGTAAAAAATGAAAAAAAAGGCAAGTTTTAAAATAACATACTACTTATCAATCCTGTAAGGAGGCTGAATAACATTTAGAAAATAAATTTCCTTTTAGCTTTCCGAAGTAAGCTTTTGAAAGTAAATTCCTTGAGCACTTATGTTAGGGCGGAAATTTGTTTTACCTGCAACAATTGATATTTGCAATCAGTTTATTTAGCACAAAAGCATGTAGAAGAATAAAATAATAACCACCTCCCATTTTTTATTTGTTCCCTATTTTCTGTGGTTGAATTCTGTGACAGCTGCTCCAAAGGCAAGGATGAAAATAGACTTAACTACAGCTCTGCTCGGGTATACACATGAGTGCCTCTCAAAGGACACATTGACTCCTATTGCCAACGATGCATGTGGCTCACAAACAAAGATAGCAGGCTACATCTATGTCTCAAACACTGAGTAGCACCAGGTCACTCTGCACAATGAATAAGGCAGATTTGAAAAGATCTACCCTTTTTTTTTTTCTGGATTGCTATATTGCTTGCTAAGTCATATTCTACAAAAAAGAGAAAGGGCATGTTCTGTAGAGTATAGAGAGAGGGATAAACAGTCTGTATAAAAGTTGATGTAGCTATTTGGGAAGTAAAGTAATTGTCCTTGTATTGAATTGTATTTACTTCCTTGAATTAAAATAAACAGCAAACAAATACAAAAACATGAAAAGTCAAGCACATTAATATCTACAAAGAAAAACTTTTTCCAAAAATAAGACCTTTTTTCTTTGCCTAAAATTATTTAGTGACTCAAATATTTTTTTCATATATGGCAAAAGTATACTTTTCTGGGCTGATAGTTTGTCTTTCCCCATTACTAGTAATGCTAGAGGAAAACAATCTCTCTTCTCTGCTTCAGTACAGTCCATAGTACATGTGGCAAGAACTGTGCCTCACATTTCCCGTGGATTATTTCTTTTATTCCTAACAGTACCCTAAAAGGCAGGTCCAGACATTACTCCTGTTTTTTGAGTGAAGAGACAAAGGATTCAGCAATTAGAAACCTGTCCAGTTTGCACAACTGGAAAGTGATAGAGTCAGAACTTGAATCAGAGTCCCAGGTCTTAACCAAATTGTCTTGCAAAAATGACTTACAAAAATAATTTACTTTAAAGCCATGAATAAAGTCAGCTCTTCATTTTCAACACTGACTCCAACATTCTTACTACAATTCATCATTCACTGTGCTCCAAGAATTAACAAGTGCCCACCAAATAATTCACTTCCCAACTTACAATCCTGAATGCCTTCAACAGTAATTTACAGTTTCTCTGCAAAATCTGAAAGGTTCTTGATCATTTAGCTACAGCCAGCTTTTCCAGAGGGTCGTTCACTCCTAAACACCCTTAGTCCTAGCCATGCTATTCATACTTCACTTAAAATGCCTTTCAACTTCTGTCCCTGATGGAATTCCGTTTATTCTGCCCATCTCTGCTTAACTGGGACTTCCTTTCCTAACCCCTCTTGGAACTGTTTGTCCTTTTCATAGTCAATCCAATGCACGGTGTACCTACAGCAATAGTAAAAATGACACACTAGATCAGAAGGTTTTGGTAATATTTATTGGCTATAAATTAAATTCTATAGTGAAAATGACATACTGGATTATAAGTTTTTGGTAAGTATTTATTGGCTATAGATTAAACTCTTCAAGTGCAGAAATACATTTATTCTGGTACCCCTTTCATTTTTCACATTGTTACATAATAAATGACCAATAAATGATTATTGATTAAAATAGCATTCTATTTGAAATATATAGTTACAAAGGAAAACGATTCGTTTTTCATGTTTTCACTTCAGTTAGTACAATTTAGCTATCTGGCAGCAATTCAGTTTGGTTATGGGGTAGACAATTCATCTATCAAATCAGAAAAAATATTCTAATTGCCTTTTGAGCAATACTTTAAGGGGGATGATCTGGACAAAAGGTCCAATGATGAAATGATTTAAAACACGCACAAAAAATCTAAATAAATATGCTACTAAAATTATAAGTTAAAAATGACATTATTTCCATATTTTAGTAAAGTATAATCTAGTTCAGTTACACATAACTTTCCTTGATAAATAAGGAAAGTAAACTATTGAGGTTGGTAAGGAGAATATGAATTAGGGCGTCTACAGATTCCTTTACTTTGTAAGCCTCTTATAATTGTGTTTTACTAATAGTTCCATGTTCATATACTTAGAAAGTATCATCTAGTTATGGATTCTTTCAGAGAGCACACTTCAGACTTTGGTTTGTTCTGTTCACTCTCATCGGGTGGGGAAGTGCAGCAAACTGCACACAGAACTGTAAACATTCATTTTCATGACCACCATTTAAAACTATATGTATATTTTTATATTCACATGTTAGCCTGTGTTCTCTCTCTGTCTCTCTCTCTCTGTTTGTCTCTCTCTTTGCTTATTTTGTTGCTGCCTTTACATTAGAAATAGTCCTCTGGGGAAATGTTTGGGGGGCTTTTTCCCTGGACTTTCTCTGCAATGATTTGGTGAGCACATATAATTTTTTAGTGTCTACCATCATTGACAGGTTGGCCTCAAGGCACAGTGTTCTGCATAGCACATCATGGTTTATTGATGAGCAATGGGAACTGAAGCAGAGTGGTGGAAGCTGGCACACCAGTTACAGATCCTTGTTTAGAAACCAACTGGGCATTCAGTAATGAGACCATGTGGTCTTGTTTGCAGGCCTCAGCTCAGGCCAGAGAGCTGTCTAAGGATGTGTTGGAAGGAAAAAAACACAAACACCCATATATTTTAAGTAGCTTCTGCCATCAGCAGTTTAAACCTAACATCATATACTTATCACACTTTCAGAATTCTTCAAAGAAATGTTTAGGATGGAACTAAGAGTAAACTAGGTTCTTGGTCCAGAGTTTGAAGTGTACAATAAAAGGAATATGAGTTCATTTTTTCCCCAGAATAATTTGTTCTAAAAATTAAAAGTAGTTCTACTTAGCTGAAGAAGTAATATGTGCATAAAGTAAAAATTTTAAAATTCAAACATTATGAACAAATAATCTAGGTAACCACAGATATATTAGCTGCTGCCAGTTGTGGAACTCCTTTCAGAAATATTCTATATTCATTTACTTTTGAAAGACAGGAAGTACATGGAAGCACATTCTCTAAATTTAATTAACAATACATGTGGATTATGCTCCTTATCAGCCCACGCATTTTCTTTATTTTTATAGTGGTCCATCATATGCAGATAGCAGTTTATTTAAGTGATCCTTGTTTTCAGTTAATAGACAATGCCAGAATAAACGTTTTTATATGTAAGTATTATGGTGAGTATATTTGTAATTTTAATTTCATAAAAGAAAAGAGTACATCTCTTTTACATTTCTACCAAGACTTTAGGGCTTCATCTCAACACTCCTGCCAAAAACAATAAAATTTTAGTCACATAATAGTTGAAAAATGGAATCTCACTGATGCAATTTTCTTGATTATGAGTAGAGTACCTTTCAACATTTTTCTGTAATCTATCTGTTCTTGTATTTGTAAAATGTCCCATTGAAGTTTTAGTTTTAAAATATATTCATTTATATATTAATGATAAAATATATCATATATTTTTATGATATTTACATACAATAGTATGTAACACATATTTTCTGTAATGTATGTCTCAAATATTTTTCTAATTCATCTTTTAATTTTCTTAATTCTATTTTTATGTAGAAATTATTATGTCATATATTATCACATATATTAGTAATTTCCTTTAATACTTCTTTTTTTTAAATTTGTTTCAGGTACATATTCCCTACTCCAAGTTGTTAGCCATTCTCTTGTATTTTGGCTAGATATCTGTTTCCTTGTATTGTTTAAGTTTTTGTCCACTTGAAATGTATTTTGTATTTTGTTGTAAGGAGTGAAGCAAGGGTTAGCTTAATTTTTTTCAAGATAATAAACACCTGTCCCAACATTATGTGACATATATCTTTTCACCATGTTTCAAATTCTGTCTTTACCTTAGCCTCTATTTCATTGTGTTATTCTGTTTATTCATGAACCAGCTTCACTCTATGTTCATACCATATTTAATATGGGTTTTTGTATTTACTTATAATATAAATTTCTTCTGATATTCTACTATGTAAGCCTGCTGTTTTGGGTTGTGAAGATTATACAGAAAGTAGTCTCCACATTTAAAACAAATTTATACATTCCTATATTTAAAATAGTTATAAATATAGATTAGGTGCCATTCACTTCTTTGGAAAGAAGATAAGATATTAATGCATGACTAAAGTGGAATTGAAAATGAATGTTTTTGGAAGAAATAATATCCCCCATATTATTCAAGTAAAATTTGCATTATTGTGAAAGACAAAGTAGGGTATCTGCAAAAATACTTGATTTAGCATGAGAAGACATAGCTTACTCTGCAAGAGCTAACGCATCTTAGCTACACAATCTTAGTAAGTGATTTGGCCTCTATCAACCCTGGATTACTCTTGAATAGGGAAAATGTTCTCAGTCTACCTCATGAAATTGCTGTCAGGACAACATGCAATACTATAATATCAATTTTATTTCCAAAGGGTAAATTATTATCTAAATCATATCAATCATTCTTATAATACTAATTCTAAATTGTATGACCTATCATTTAATAAAGTTTGTATCAATAGTGTTGTGTATCCAAATCTTCATTAAATCTTTATTACCCAGGTTTGATTGTGCTCCTGAGGAACTTGGGCATCAAAGGCCACTTTCACTTTTGACAATTAAATAGTACAGGTGACCACTACATAATATGTTGGTCTAATTAGAAACGTTTAAATTCAAATCAAGTATTTGAAGAGAGCAACCATTTGATGTTTGGTACTGAGGGAGTACAGTTGTATAATTGATTGAGTCTCCAATTGTCAACTTGCAAATTGGCAAATTAATAGCCCTCATATTCAATTTATGTCAAGTCCTTCAAGTGACCTGAACAAATTACTCCTACTCTGATAATTTGTACCACATCCATTTATCCTATATACTATAATGATTCTTATGTTTCTGAGCCCAGGGTTGGATGCTTGATTTCGGTCTGGCCATCAGATTTGCATTCCCTGGCCACAGTGAGAAGTTCACAGATGGGTATGGTGCCAGTCAAAGCCAATGAGGCATGATGAGGCTTTTACTAAGCTTTCTGGAAAAGAAACTGCTTCTTGTTGTACTTGAATCTGAGTGCATGCAAAGGCTAGAGCTAACGTAGCAACTCTATATGTCTGAGAAAAAATCACACAGAAGGATGTCAACAGATAGAAAGATAGAGATGTCCTTCCTGAGGACATATTTTAGTTCAGATTCTAGACATATGTGATGCAAAATATTCCACTTGAGTTGAAATCAGTTTAAGGCCATTTTTACTTACAGAATCCAATGAAGAATTTAAGGTTATTTAACGCTATTGTAAATTATACCATAATAATTGATTTCTCAAGCGTTGATGTTCACAATATTATTCTGTTCATTGCCTTTAAAAAAATGTGTGTGTGTGTGTGTGTGTGTGTGTTGTAGCATGACTATCAAACAAACTTTTTTTTCAATAAGGTCTGTTAATTGAGTTATAGTTGATCAAAGACAATTTTAAAGTTAGGCTTTCTTTAAAAATCCTTTAAAATAAAGAATGCCAAATTTTGCAAATATTTTCATTGGAATCCAATGATTATTAGCTCATAAATTTATCTTTAGTATGGCAGTGTCTTCATATAGAACTGTTCAAAAATTGGGTGTTAACTGAGGGCATATTGTAGGTTCTATCAACATTTCCGGAACATTGTTAGAGCAGCTTGTAAAGGGAACTGCTTTCTGACTCTAATTGTAGATGTAGTGAGATATAAACTTGTAAAATTTAAAGTCAACACCCTAGCATCTTGCTAGTTTTCACATGATTGACTGGTCTAATATGTCATTCAACTAGTTGTCCAAAAAAACTGTGGTTTTATTTAGAAACCTCATGTGATCACAGTGTGGATTCACAGGATGAACAGTGAGAAACATTAAAAGAATGATCATATAGCACATGCTCCAAACAAATGGAAAAATTAAGAGCACTCAGTAACAACAAAATTTCTAAACAGCTTCTAGTTTGTAACTGGGGCTAAGCCTCACCCCCCCAACCTCAAGTAGGTAATATTAACGTTACACAAAGTCATTTTTTACTATGCACGTAAAGAGAATTAATGAAAACATACATTAAATATATTTCCCTCATGAGATAATTTTCCGAGTTTAATAATCATATGTCATTCTGATAGATATGCTTTCCTTTAAACCTCCTCATTAGAATGATAAAAAGTCAAGGTATTTTGGTAATCAAAATAGGAAAATGGCATGAAACTATAATAAAGGAAAGCCAGCTGAGGAGCCTGCTACAAAACAATACCATGTATAATTGGTACTTAATTATGCAGATTTAGCAAATGGCAGAAGGACAGTTGTATTCCTTGACCAAGGCTGCCTGCCAAGTCAAGCTGACATAAATGTAGGAAGGATCCCACTCTATGATCCTGACTGCTGCATCTCTTCTACAATGACAAAATATTTTTGAGTAAGAAAGAAATCCATGGATTTGCTTAAACAAGTCAAGTTGATGTATTTGATATAAGTGACAATTCCCAATAACATCATTAACAAAGTTTTATTAAACATATCAATTTTTTTAAATCAAGGTTTTAAGGGGACCAGAAGAAAACCAAATAATAGCCTATGCACTTGAGTAGAGGATAAGTTTACTGCATGGTTCTTTGCAAAAATAATTTCTACACATAGACGAGGGTCTTTGAAAAAAAGAAATGTCATTGAAAAAGTAAATATAAGTTGTCTTTTACTATATCCATAAGAAACAAGCTATAGAAAAAGTTGATTATTGTTGCATTTCACATTTACACCATAACTTTGTATACCTGTTAAAATAACTTAAAATGCTATTTGTAAACAAACAAGTACTTTAAAAATCATTTGTGCAGGTGCTTTATTGGCACTGCCATAGCCAGAGCTAGCCTCTAGTACCATCGCTCTCCTTCTTGACCTCTGAGTACACACTCATTGTTAGATAGAAGGACCGTCTATCCCTAGCTTGGTACCCATGGGCACTTACTGATTTCCTGAGATGGTAGAAAATACCTGGGCAGAATCCATAATTTCAAAATAATACATACCATAATTTCAAATTAATAGATTCAGCCTCTGATGAGCTGCAGTTATACATATTTTCCAATCAGTCACCATGGAGGTGACTTTAATGGAGGAAAAATAAATTTAGTTGAGTAATTTCTTTCCTTCCTCCTCTCAAGTTCATTTTTTTTTCTACTGTTTTGAATCAGGAAGAGAAGTAGCATGTGTCAGCAATGTCTTGCCAATAAAATTTATTTCTCAGTGTATGGTAATAGGCACTAGCGTCATTTCCTGCTTCTTGGACAGTAAAATTGGAAAGGAGTTCCTTGACTATTTGTCAGGGCTTGAGATGCCACACAGGATCCCAGTAAAAATGTATTTCACTAGGTCAGAGAAAATCTCTGAATAGCTTAGAAGATATAGCATCCAAAATATTGCCAAGAATTTAATAGGAGGAAAGAAGGGATAGAAACATGAGGTAGAAGTGATTTAGAATGAAACTGAAAGCTAAATTAAGGTGGAACCTACATGTGGTAAGGAAATATGGTTTGAGGGATATTTTTGCCTTTATCATTATATGTTCATATGATATTCTCTACTTTAAATAACATCATGTGAAATGGAAGAAAATACATGTGTCTTTTTTCTGGATGGGTGCTAGTTTGCATCAAACGTTAGCCAATCATCTATCAATCCAAAATCTCAGTGTTCACAGTAACTTGTTAAGGGTTTTAGATTTCTGTAATAAAATACAGCAATACTTTCAGTGGGAAAAAGTGAAAAGTTGGGCAAACTTACGTTTGCACCAACATAATACTTTATGCATTCATAATAGGATTAGCCCAGAATAGTTTTAGTATCTGTGAAACATTGTCTTACTGTAAAGCCTATTCATATTTCCATGTTATCAGGTGTACATTCTTAGCAGCAAGCATGAGATTCTGCAAAATAAAATAAGAGAAATTGGGTACTGCTCTGCATCCTGTGTACATCATGAATCACTGGTAAGAAACTGAATATGACCTCAGTTCCTGGAATGAACTAAAAAATCATATGTTTAAATTGGTAATTCCGAGCCCTTTTAAAGCATTTTTGTCTCCATTATCTTGTTTTGTGGCCTCACTTTTTAAATATTATTTTTACTATGGTAAACACACATAACATAAAATTTACCATCTTACCCATTTTTAAGCGTACAGTTCAGTGGAGTTAGATACATTCCTAATGTGCCACCATCATGATCATCCAATCCACAAAACTCTGTTCATCTTAAAGACTGAAATTCTGTACCCACTAAACAAGAACTCTCCATTGCTGCCTCCCCACAGTTCCTGGCAACCACAATTCTACTCTCTGTTTCAATGGCTTTGACTATTCTACCTACCTATCTCATGTAAGTGGAATCATACAGTATTTATCTTTGTGTGACTGGCTTATTTTTACTTAGTATAATGTTTTCAAGGTTCATCCATGTTGCAGCATGTGTCAGAATCCCCTTCCTTTTTAAGGCTGAATGATATTTCACTGTAATAAGTGCCACATTTTGCTGGTTCATTCATCTGCTGATGGACATTTGGATTGCTTCCATATTTCAGCTGTTGTGAATAACGCAGCTATGAACATGGGTGTATAAATATCTCTTTGAGATACTGCCTTCTATTCTTTTGGGTCTATACCCAAAAGTGGAATTGGTGCATCATATGGTAATTCTATTTTTAATTTTTTGTGGAACTGCCATACTGTTTTTTACAGCAGTTGTATCATTTTACATTTTGAACAGTGCACAAGGGTTCCAATTTCTCTGCATCCTTGCCAACACTTGTTTTCAGGTTTTGTTGTTGTTGTTGTTGTTTTTTATAGAAGCCATTCTGCAGCCTCAAATTTTGAGAGGCTTTTACTCATCTTGAAACAAAGAAAAGGATCCTATTTAGAAAAGTACAATCCTCACTTATTTGTGTACTTTAGACAGATAAACAAATGTCATTATAAGATGACTTCTTCCAGCATCCCCTGATTCTAAATCTTAGGAATATTGAAGGTGCGATTTTCAGATTTCCACATTTTTACAAATGGCATTAGTATGGTAATGACATTGATGATTATATTGTAAAAATGTACCAGTAAGATCTCACCCTGCAATTAAAATAATCCTTGGAAGACACTGTGTGGAATTGTTTTATAAGGGGAGATCACAGTGAAATCCTCCAAAGGTCTCATTTTGTTGTGCCAAATTTGATATTTAAAATGGTCCAAGGGTGGGGGAACTAAAACAAAGAACCAGTGAGTCCTCAACATTACACAGTGTAAATTATTAAAGAAGCAGCTAATAACATAAATGTGGTCCAATTCCTTCAACAAACTCAACAAGAGTCCCTACATAGTCTCTAATATCTGCAGACTATATCAGGCAGTGAAAAATTAGAGTACTAATATGTGGTTTCAAAAGTATATAGCACAGTTGCTTGAGAAGGAAATCTATCAGAAGGACACATATTTGTAAGACTTTTACAGCAGAGATTCATGTCATTTGACAACAGGTAACCTGTCAAATAATCATATGATGAAAATACAAAATCATATTGCACCACCTTTATAATGTAACCAGAATATAAGTACGTCTCTCCTCCTCTACCATCACTCTCATCTTGATCCAGCCCACCATCCTCATTTGCCTGCTTTATTGCAATAGCTTGAAATTATTTTCTCATTTACTCTTTTGCACCTTAGTATTCTTTTAAAATAACATCCTTAATCATTTCATTAAAATAGAATTCAGGTCCTGGTACCATTCTGTTCAAAACTGTCCAATCTCCTCTATTATGTCAGAATTAAAGAAGTAATTTTTGTAGCAGCCTACAAGGACTTTCACGGGCTGCCTATTGCCTCTCTGATCTCATTCCCGACTCCTCTCCCCTTGCTCTATCTGTTGTGGCCTAATGGTTTCTTGCTGTTTATCAAACACACTACAAGTAGTCTTAGCTAGAAGCACTTTCTCCAAATAACTGCATGGCTTATTTATTGAATCCTCTGCATTTTTCTCAAATATTACCTTGGCAAATCTGACTACTGCATTTAAAATTACAATAGATCCTGTCACACTGCACACCCCTAACCTTATCATTTTTTTTCCTGATACTTAACACATTTTAACTTGCTTTAAAATCTAGTTGGTATACTTATTGTTTATGTTACATCACTGCCAGCCTACATTACTGGAATGTAAGCGCCATAAGGTCAGGAATTCTTGATATTTGTTTACTCATCAATGCATCCTGAGAGCCTAGAATAGTGCCTGGCACACAGGAAGATGTTCAATAAATATTTATCATTCACGCTAACAGTGGAGCTCAATAACTTTATTAGAGTCAGCATGTTTTGATCAGAAGACCTTACTCTACCATAGTGTTTGTAGTAGTTCTGTACATGTAGATATCAGGCATAGATGTGGCATTATAAGTAATCAGCTGAGCACTTCAACATTATTTTCCTATGAGACATTTTGCAAGGTTGAGTTCTTTCAGCATTAGAATAATTTACCTGTTTGAGATTCTTAGGAATGTGCTGAGTGAACTCAGTATCCCCTCCAAGAGACTTTTCCATTATTTGTCAGAAGGAGATTGTCTACAAAGTCTTTTGGAAAAAAGCTGATTCGAAGATCAGAAATCAGTGTCAAAACGTCTGTACTATTTTCCAATAATGGGGAGCAATGGGTTCCCTAAGGATTTCCACAAATTTTAAAGCCTGAAAGAACGGAATTTCCCCTGGATTTATAAACTGCAAAAATTCAAGTTTTACCCTAAAGAAATAGCCTACAGAATTTGGGTATCTATAATGGCACGATGTGCACCAGACCAGATACACATATCACATAATCTATCGTGATGGTTCTTTTGATATGTCAGCTTGGATAGGCTTCAATCCCCAGATAGCCAACCCAATACTAATCTGGGAGTTGCTGGGAAGATATTTTATTGATGTGATTAAGTCCATAATCAATTGACTTTAATTAAGTGGAATTGTCCCGGATAATGTGAGTGGGCCTGATTCAATCAGTTGAAAGACCTTAAAAATAGGTCTGAAGCTTCCCTGATGGAAGAATAAATTCCACCTGTGGAGAGCAACTTCAGCCCATGCAGGAGAGTTCCACTCTACCCTTCCTGATGGCCTGTCCTACAGATTACAGACTTGCCTAGCCACCCCCAACAATAGCGCAAACCAACTCATTGCAATAGGTCTCTACTATTGCAATGTGTCTTCTACTGGTTCTCTCTCTTTGACTGAACCCTGACTAATACAGTTATTAATGCCCCAAAGTAATGTAAGACTTGATGAAGATCATAAAGGCACAGAAAATTACATACTTAATCTAATGCCTATAGCCAATTCACTTCTGTTAGAAAAAAATAGAAATTGGAGAATCTTTACAAACTTGCCCTTGACTAAATTTTGGACAGCTGTATTATTTATGATGGTTATGATGGTACTGCAGATACTGAATATTCATTACTCATCTTATACCTTCAATTGGATTTTTTATTCTTGTAGAATTATCTCCTGCACTTAAGAAATCCTCTTTTTAGAAATAATTTAGAGACAAATACATTATATATATTTCAATTATGTGATCAACAACTTTCATAAAATCTTCCCACTAGAATGTAAGTTGCAGGATGGAAGGCAAGTTTTCTATTTTTCTTTTTTTTTTTTTTTTTATTTTTGAGATGGAGTCTAGCTCTGTCGCACAGGCTGGAGTGCAGTGGTGCAATCTCGGCTCACTGCAAGCTCCGCCTCCCGGGTTCGCGCCATTCTCCTGCCTCAGCCTCCCGACCAGCTGGGTCTATAGGCGCCCGCCACCACGCCTGGCTAATTTTTTTTGTATTTTTAGTAGAGACGGGGTTTCACCAAGTTAGCCAGGATGGTCTCGATCTCCTGACCTCGTTGATCCGCTATTTTTCTTAATTTGTTCACTAATGTATTATCAGTGCCTAAATCAGTAAAGGATTCATAATATTTGTTGAATTAATGAATCACTTAACAGTTTTATGGATAGAGGAATAATATTCCAAAGACATCTTCTTAGGCTTCTGAATTAATGCTACTGCTATTCACTATGCCTGAGGCGATGTGCACATATCCACGTGTCTCCAATGTTAAGAACAAAGACTGTCAGAATTCTGGCTACTCAATTTCAAATCATGTCCTAATCATGTTTCCTAAAAGACACAACCAGTGCCAAACACTTCATTTTTCCCAGGTCAAGATACTGCTGATAATATTGATTATAAAATTGAAGAAAGGTCTTTTAGGTTTGAAAATTAATAGCACAAAAGCATTTCCTAATTCATCCAGAGCATCTAAACTCACGCTAGTAAATTTTCTTGCAGTTAAAATTTTTGTGTTTTTTTGTTTACTCTTCACTATTTTTGTTTGCTTGTGCCAACAAAATTCCAGAAGTTGCAAGGCAGCAATTTCTTCCTTAGCAAGAGGAACACAGAGAATTTAGCCTTCTGTTCTAGTAAAACTTCTTTGTGTACATCCACATTGTATTTTTGTCATGAAATCAATGTCACTGTTCCTTTCTTCTAAATTCCTATAACTTATATCTTTATAACACCTGTAATGACTGTCATCATTTTGGGGCTACTGTCTTCATATAAATGATAAAACTATGCAATTGCCTTCTAAGAGGGCACTTTCCTTTTTATCTGTCCCAACTAGTTACTTCCCTTCACACCACTGCTTTATCAATTAAAAAGAAAAGCAAAAATAAAAACAAAAATATCCTCTCTTCATCTCACATCTTTGTTCCAGATCTTACAATGACTAGTAATCTTTCTGCTAATCCAATCTGAGCATTCTGCCTTGGTAATTAAGATGTTTGAAGAACTTGGGATCAGAAGTCAGAATACTTGGGTTTGAATTTTTGGTTTTGAGGTTTATTATCTGCATGACTCAGGCAAGTTATTTGAATGCATTGTACTTAATCATCCTCATCTGTAAAATGGAGATACAAATAGCATCCATTTCATGAGAGAGGTTAGGAGGATTGAGGCAGTTAATATATGCATGGGAAGAATTTAGAATGGTCACTGTCAGATGATAACTACAGACTTTTAGCTATCATCATCATCAGTATTAAAATAATTATTTTTAACTTGTACCACATGTTGGTCAAGCATTATTTGCTATTTTGGGGAATGTATACTTTAATATAGATTCAGGCAATCTGCACAGCCAGGAACGGAAAGAAACTGGACTTAACAGTATTCTTTAGATTTGCTGGCACAACCCTATCGGCCTGTGTGTGATTTGGCTAATTGCGTATTCGGAGAAGAGCCAACAGTGACAGTTTACCCAATGAGAGGAAACATTCAGCTTTAGTCATCGCCCTGCTAAAAGAAATACTTTGATGCTGAGTCAGGAACTTTGGCTTTATTTAAATAAATACTGTTTCTTCCAGGGAGATTTTTTTTTTCCAGAAATCCTTAAGAGAGTTTTTCTTTTTAAAAAAATCAGTGATGAAAATATCATAATTCAAAGCTAAAGTTGGCAGAAACTCCTTGGCTTTCTGAAAATGACCTTTGACCCAACATGGTAAAATGCATACCCATTTTATCTTTCTTCCACTAAACCCTAATATCACCACTCTGGCTAGTTCATTTTACTGTTTCCAAACTCTCCTAGTATAATGTTTGCCCCTACTATTTTGCTTATATTGCTTTTTCCTTTGTAGAAGTCTCTCTCTAATGTTTGGAGGTTAAAGTCATGTTTTCTGTGTCCCAAACTCTTCAATATCTCTAGTCACTTCAACGTTTCCATTTATTTACTTAGTTAGGCAACATTGACTCCATGCCCCCTGTATTTCAGGCACTGTTTTAGGAGCTTAAAATACAGGAGTAGATAATATATCAAGGGTTCCGGTCCTCAGAGGAGCTTGCATTAAAGTGAGGAAAATGCATCACTATTATTTATACAAATAATTAATTATAGATGTTATGAAAGAATGCTAGAACATTGAAATAGACTGTTGCTAGGAAAATCCTAAATGAGAAAGTGACATTTAAAGTTGAAAACTTGAAGAATTAAGATGAATTATTTGAGCAAAATTCTAAAGATAAAGGGGAAAGAGAATGTTTGCAGCAATGAAAAGAATGATTTATGTAGAAGCAACAAGTTTTGAAGACCATAAGATGGGAAGAATAATGGAACTATTAAAGAACTGAAAGAAATCCAGTGTAGCTACAGCTTAGATAACCAAAGAATAGCAAGGCTATGAAAGTGGACTATTGATGACTGGGATCTCTTCAAGAGTACATATTAGTGCACATTTGGATTCAAGATCTTGACATATAATAGTAGTACATATTCATTTTATTATGTTATAATCTACATTAATTTTATATTCCTCCAAACAGTTAATGCAGATTCCATACAAAGGCTTTAAGATGGAAGCACAGATTTCTTGTCGTTTTTTTCTTTTGCTTGCCGCACAGGCATATCATAGCCAATAAATAATTACTTGTTGAGATTATTCTATAGGATTCCACTTTATCCTATTCAGCCTTGCTTGTTTTGTCTGTAGAAATGCACACACACACACACGTTTCTTAATATTACAAGGGCAGAAGAATTTTCAAATGAAATCCAGATAGCTGAGTAATTACTTGGACTACTTGATTTTAATCAATGTAAAATATAGTAATATTCCATGACTGAAGATTATTGTTGAAACCTGAAATAAAATCCTCTGATGTAGGCATTATAATAAGATCCCTTAGGGTGGTTAAATTGTGTAAGTACTTAACGATAAAATAAAACCACATAATAAAAATGGTTCAGCTTTGGTGTTACCATTTTAGGATCACAGCTGTTATAAGTGACTGGTGAAAAATAAATAACCTATGCCCATTTTGTTATCTCAATTCAAAATTTCACAAGTTTAGGTCTTAATACCAAAAGCATAATAAAAGGAATGCTCTCAATTTATGGACATGGAGTATATAAAAATAAGAATAGGGCCTACAAAACTCTTAACTTAAAGAGGTAAATTTTATAAACATTTGAACATTGAAATTATTCAGAGCTTTGAAGTACAAAAATGTAAATACATGTTTAGGTTAAAAATCCTAAAATGTAAACGTTTATAGTCAAAGAGAGAGAGCGAGAGAGAGAAAACACACTCTTGGTCTTTAACAACAAAGGAAACAATAAGTGCAAGGCCTGGGTCTTAGCTATCTGCATATCCTAGTGTAGGGCTCTTTCATGAAATATTCTCACTAGATTAGAGCTCAGGGCCATTGTGCCAATCAAGAGTAAAGGGGCAAATGGAACCTTCAAGCTTTCATCCCAGGGCCTCATTTACCTACTAATTACTGATGAAATCATTATAAGGACTCCATCAGTTAACACACCACTCATTTCTGTTAACACATGAATGCTGTCAGAGGCCATGGTGTGCTACTTAGGTTGCTATTTATCAGAAAATTTAAATGTGTTTCCAGTTCAGTTAACAATCAAAGGTCACTCTTCTTAAATTAGTCCAAGTAAAGTAAAGCAAACATACCAACATAATCCACCAATCTGTTCCATTACCTAGATATCTAAGAATTTTAAAATATTTTGCATTTAAGATAGGAAAATATGTGAAATGTTCAAATAGCCTTGCCCCTAAATTTAAAATTATTATCTTCTTTGTACATGAAACTCAATTTCCTTTCCTTGTCTAAACTAAGGCAATACAAATTTTTGTAAATTTGCTGTAAATCTATTTTAGAGGTAAAAAATGTTGCCTCACACATATATTTGGTTACAGATGTTATTATTACCAGTGAATTAGACAAGTTATTTTTTTTTCTCTTAGGAATTTAAATACATGTTAAATAAGCCTGCCAGTAAATGGTCAAAGAAGGCTAAGGGATAAATCAGTTAGGAGGTGAACAGAGTTGACTCTTCATCAACTTTATTTGCATGTTGAATACTTGCATCAATCTGAAGTAATTTATTTTTCATACTTGTGTTCATTTCTTTTTAACAGAGTAATTTACTTTATATATACCTTTCCTTCATTCAGAAATGAAGAAAATATCACGTAGCCATGTGCTGGATTCAGATGTACTAGTTCAAAAGAGCCAACTGATAGATTTTTCAGGGATATTTTGAGTTAGTTCTTAAATTCGTTGAAGTTACTTTATATAATAATGACTTTCTATAAAATTATTATTTTATATAATTTCATTCACAATAATGAATTTACTTAAATTCATTATTTAAATAATATAAATGTATAATTAAATATCTTATGTTAAAAACAAAGCTTATAAATTAATAATTACACATATTATGTTAAAAAAGCTTATGAAAGTAACAATTTTGTAATTGTTTTACTTCATCGTTAGTATCATCTATGTCCTTGATATTGTTTTAGTATATTTTATTCATGTGCTAGAAACACTATGCAGGAGTGTGCTGCCAAGCATCTCTTCTCAACTTGACATTTGATGATGTCACATTAGTAGCCATGGTGCAAGTATATATGCCATGAAAATTGCAAAAAAAAAAAAAAAAAAGCCATAACAAAATCTGGGCTTAATTTTTTCTTTTGTTGATATTCTAGATTTAAGAAAGTGATGAAGAAAATATTTATAAAACAGATTAAACTTAAAATTGTGTTGCATCAGTACAGATTACATTGTAAACAGCACACACATACATAAAGGGATAAAATATTCTTCCTTAAACAACTATTAACCATTTAAATAAACAAGTCATTCACGTGATTGAAAAACAAGTGAAGTTCTGGCATATATCTTTAGTTGTACACTTTTGTCTTACTTGTTACATAAAAAAAATCAACTAACTTTCATGTTAAAACTGGAAATACCTTCATAGGGTGGTTATGGATACAAAAGTCAGGAAAAATTAACAAAAATATTCTCTGAAAGTCAATTGACTATATGAAATCTATAATAAAATTATGATATGTAACATTATTACTTATAAGTTATGTTGTACACATCTTCATATCAGTATTATACTAAACACACACAAACAGCTTTCCTTTGGAGAGTCCATTATCAAAACATTTACAACCATAAAACTGATTATATGAATATATAAAATATAACACTACAATATATAAATTTAAAGTATGTGATAAAGTAAAACAAAAGTAGAGGCATAAAAATCAAGCCAAAAGGGAGACTTCAACAATAACAAGAACAACAGCAAAAATGATCAAAACCTATTAAATTTCTATAGGTACCTCAATTTGCTCTAAGCCTCCCTCTAATCACTTTGATGAATAAGATCCTGTGGTCTACTCATTCAAAATATTTATCAGATGAAAGCATTTCAGTTACTTAGGAGAAACTATTTTTGATTCTAAATGTGTTTTAGCCAGTTGGGTCAAATTCCTATCATTGCAGGTTATTATGAGTGACTATAAATGCATACAAACAAATACATTGAAAAATATTTCCTTCTATCTCTAAAAGTAAAACATTTTTATTGTATTAACTAAATCTCTAAAAATTTTTGTCTCAATTTTCTGTACTTCATCATCCCCTTGGGAGAATTCCTGGAAAGTTGCTCTTCCTGGATTGCCCGTGTAAGGAAGAGCACACTTCACAGGGACAGTTGATTTCAAAGTCCTTCAAAGATGGATTATCACAGATTGTCTTCAGCTTTGTTAATTTGGAACAATCCTAGAAACTTTACATAAAGTTGTATTAAAATTAAAGTACAAACTACATTTTTTTTCCAATTATATGTGTGTATACCATTATTTTCAATTTTTTTTTTTTGGATCCTGAATTATCTTTCCAACTATTCCCTTCTACTGTGTCTACCCTGAGCACTGCATTATTGACTAAACTGAAATGCTCACCAGTTCTAGGATATGTCATACATTTAAGCACATTTTATTTTGCTTACGACATTTGTTCTTTTAGTTTAGAATACCTTTATACCCTTATCTGTGATCAAGGAATTTCTGTTTACATTTAATACTTAGGGTTAAGTGCTAACTCTTGATCCTCCCAGGAAAAGTTAATACCATTTTCTTCTCTGCTCCTAGAAGATACTTCTTATATATCTATTTTTAAGCATCTTTTAAACTCAGTATTTCAGTTGTGTTCATATCTGCCTCTATAACACTGAAGGCTCTTTAAGTTGAGGTCTAGGTCTTTGTCTCAACCAATGAGAGTAACAGAAGTGCTTTACATGGGTTCAATGGTCACAAATAAATACCAGTCCACATCAATGCACAGTGATGAATGGAGACAATCACTACTGAGAGGTGACAGCGTGCTGGCAGCCCTCACAGCCCTCACTCGCTCTCGGTGCCTCCTCTACCTGGGCTCCCACTTTGGTGGCACTTGAGGAGCCCTTCAGCCCACCGCTGCACTGTGGGAGCCCCTTCCTGGGCTGACCGAGGCTGGAGCCAGCTCCCTCAGCTTGCGGGGAGGTGTGGAGGGAGAGGCGCGAGTGGGAACCAGGGCTGCGCGCGGTGCTTGCAGGCCAGCGCGAGTTCCAGGTGGGTGTGGGCTCGGCGGGCCCGCACTCCGAGCAGCTGGCCAGCCCTGCCTCCCTGGGCAATGAGGAGCTTAGCACCCAGGCCAGTGGCTGCAGAGGGTGTGCTGGGGCCCCCAGCAGTGCCGGCCCACCGGGTTCTCACTGGGCCTTATCTGCCTTCCCACAGGGCAGGGCTGGGGACCTGCAGCCCGCCATGCCTGAGCCTCCCCCACTCCATGGGCTCCGGCTCAGCCCGAGCCTCCCGGATGAGCACGGCCCCCTGCTCCACGGTGCCCAGTCCCACCGACCACCCAAGGGCTGAGGAGTGCGGGCACAGGGTGCAGGACCGGCAGGCAGCTCCACCTGTGGCCCCAGTGCGGGATCCACTGGGTAAAGTCAGCTGGGCTCCTGAGTCTGGTGGAGACTTGGAGAACCTTTACGTCTAGCCAAGGGATTGTAAATACACCAATCGGCACTCTGTATCTAGCTCAAGGTTTGTAAACACACCAATCAGCACCCTGTGTCTAGCTCAGGGTTTGTGAATGCACCAATTGACACTCTGTATCTAGCTACTCTGGTGGGGACTTGGAGAACCTTTGTGTCTGGCTCAGGGATTGCAAACGCACCAATCAGTGCCCTGTCAAAACAGACCACTTGGCTGTCTGTAAAATGGACCAATCAGCAGGATGTGGGTGGTGCCAGATAAGAGAATAAAAGTAGGCTGCCTGAGCCAGCAGTGGCAACCTGCTCAGGTCCCCTTCCACACTGTGGAAGCTTTGTTCTTTCGCTCTTTGCAATAAATCTTGCTGCTGCTCACTCTTTGGGTCCACACTGCCTTTATAAGCTGTAACACTCACTGCGAAGGTCTGCAGCTTCACTCCTGAAGCCAGCGAGCCCACGAGCCCACTGAGACGAAGGAACAACTCCAGACGTGCCGCCTTAAGAGCTGTAACACTCACCGCAAAGGTCCGCAGCTTTACTCCTGAGCCAGCGAAACCACGAACCCACCACAAGGAAGAAACTCCGAACACATCCGAACATTGGAAAGAACAAACTCCGGACATGCGGCCTTTAAGAACTGTAACACTCACCGCGAGGGTCTGCAGCGTCATTCTTGAAGTCAGTGAGACCAAGAACCCACCAATTCCGGACACATTACCTTTAAAATAGCTTAGAATTTTACTTCATAGTCCGTAATTGTCAACTATAATAGTATAGACAAATAGGAACACGTGGGTTCATTTTCCTCACAGTGATAGCAAACGGTGAATACATTTGCTAATAATCAGCTATAAGAAACCTTACTGAAACCCCGTCTCTACTAAAAATACAAAAAAAAAAACTGGTCGGTCATGTGTGGTCGCAGCTACTCAAGAGGCTGAGGTAGGAGAATGGTGGCAACCTGGGAGGCGGAGCTTGCAGTGAATGGAGATTGCGCCACTGCACTTCAGTCTGGGGGAGGGAGCAAGACTCCGCCTCAAAAAAAAAAAAAAAGAAACCTTACCAATTTAGAAAAATCCTAAGTTTTATGCAGAATTTTTTAATTGATGATTTTAAGGTAAAGCTTTGGATAAGGGCTAGATATTAATAATCAAATGATAAAACCAAGGTAGAAAAAAGTTATTTTTTAGAAAAAATGTCAGGAAAAACTAAATGCCAGTTAGATTTTGGCATTTAACTATACTGTTAATATTTATTTTTCATTTTAAATTGAAAATGTTTTTTCAGGTAATAGTAATTTACCATTAGCTGGATAGTTTATTTTAGGGTTCTCTCCTATCCCTAGTAGAAACCCCAATGGGCTTAAACATCTTTACTTCTCAAACTTATAATAAAATTAGTATAGCATTTATTGATAATTTTTATACCCAGTTGCACTTATTTTACTTTAATTCAGTTAGCACCTATTTGCAGTAATCCTCAGTTACTTTTACTTTATTTTATTTTTTAATAGAAATGGGGTCTTACTGTGTTTCCCAGGCTGGTCTGGGACTTCTGGGTTCAAGCAATCCTCCTGCCTTGGCCTCCCCAAATACTGGGATTATAGGCATGAGCCACTCTGCCTGGCCCCACCCTGCATAAATCATAATTTATCTACTTGGATCAAATTAACCTTAGCAGTATTATTGTTCTTCCTTCCTAACACTGGAAAACTTTCCTTGAGTTTATCTAGGCCACATTGTCCACAAACATAAGCTAAATAGCGCCTAAGATACTTGCTTATTACAATTCTTACTGTAATACTCAGAAAAAATTATCCTACAATAAATGCAACAGAAATTGTGGCTTTTGTCTTTCTTCCAGGTGACTGCATATATTCTTCTAAGACACACACTTCATATTTGGCCATGTGACATATTTGGCCATGTGGCTGAATAATTTTCAGCCACAATGATTAATTTCACTAACTTTATAAACATTATTGGCACGTGGTTCTTATTTGACCCACTCTTATTTGCCTTTCCAAACAACAGATGAAATGTTACAATGCTATATACATGTTGTATGAATTGTATAACTGAGAAAAATAAAAATTACAATTTTCCAAAATAATAAACAAAGGAAGTTCTGGCAATGTTCTGGTTATCTTCTACTTTCCCTTCCTCCACTTTCATACTCAACCCCTTGAAGGTTACGCTGATCAACTGGCTACCCTGGGGGTGGGGCCAATCTGGTTTATATCTAAAGAACAGTGAAAAAAGGGAACTGAGCCAGATCCCTAAGCCCAAGGGACTTCTGGCTGCCTGAAGTCTTCCAGGCTATGGAGTGTCAAAAAAGTTTCTGAAATGCAAGAGTGTGTTCAAAGGACACACTTTTACAAGGCACACACATATTTTGCATTAGTGTTCCCTGATGTGTATTTGTCACTGCTTATATCTAAAGGTAAAGCTTCAGAAGATGTCTTCTCTCTCTGCTTAATGTCATGACTTAAAAGAAAAATTATCCATTTTGTTCAGCTTTCTAAATAATATTAAGAAACAGCTAGTGTATCATATTTTGTCATCAAAATCATCCAAATTAGTGATTCCTTACAATTATTTATTTAAAATAATTTGTAGGCTTGTATATATCTGAAGATTATTATTACTATTATTATTTGAGATGGAATCTCTCTCTGTCACCCAGGCTGGGGTGCAGTGGCATGATCTCAGCTCACTGCAGCCTCTGCTTCCTGGGTTCAAGTGATTCTCTTGTCTTAGCCTCCCAAGTAGCTGGGACTACAGGCAAGTGCCATTACATCTGGCTAATTTTTCTATTTTTAGTAGTGTTGAAATTTCACCATTTTAGCCAGGCTGGTCTCAAACTCCTGACCTCAAGTGATCTGCCCCCAGCTCGGCCCCCCAAAGGGCTGGGGTTAGAGGTGTGAGCTGCCGCGCCTAGCCTGAAGATTATTATTTTAACCAGTATTATCTTCCTCCCTATTCAGAATGCTACAATATATGTTTTAAGATTCACCTAAAAATGGTATTATATTGTCAATGGATAGAATATGAAGTCTTATTATTAAATGTAAACCTCATATTCTACAAAATATATTAGCTCATAGTGCCAGTTATTACCTGTCTAATTAGATAATACATAGTAAGTGTCTCTGTCTCAATACAAAATAACGGCAAGACAATCTATATTCTTGAAGACAATGTAGCAGATAATTTGGAAAAGTTTGAATGAGATATTTTATAGAATTCTGATTTTCCTCAGAAATAATTAGCTCTAAAAAATTTCAGTACTTTTTTTAAAATTTTTCATTTCTTGATTGCTATCCTAGCCACTCCTAGCATCTCTAGGCAGGGCACTGAACTGAAAGGGAAACTTAGATTCTTCTTTCAAACCAGCAGAATAATAAACTTACGTTTCAAAGACAGTGCAAATACAGGGTTGTGTCCACTATGAAATTGTTGAACTTGGTACTTCTATTGATCTTTATTAGTTGCTACCATTTTGGAGTCAGAATTCTCAGTGCTTTGCCAACAAGTGCATTGCCTCAGATGGAGTGCTGTTCCAGCACAGACCAGACCCCTTTCTAGTAACCTTCTCCTCCCTACAAGGTCAAGGGGCTAGGGATATATAGGATGGGCGGACCCTCCTACCCCAACCTTTCCCCTGCCACCCTTCACTTCTGTCACTCATGGGTCCCAATCCACTCCTCCCCCACTTTAAAAGGCTACAGAGAATGATTTCCTCTCATGGACTGAAGGACAACATTACAGAGCTATCTTATCTTACACTCAGAAGAAATCTAAGCCATTTGAGGAAGTTAAGAATGGCTTTGATTACTGAAGCTATTTCTTTCCCATAAATTGAACATGGCATAAGAGCATTCTTGAACTTGCTCAGAGAATCTGCCCTCACCTTTGCCCTTCTTGGTTTTCTAGAAAGGATTACTGGCTTCTGCTGCCTAGGGTCCTCCCTGAATTACCTTTTTAATCATTACAACTTGATGCTTATTCTTAAAGGTTATATATAAACATAAAAACTCTATTTTACTTTAGTTCTGAACTCACTTATAATTTAAGAAATTATATCTTCAATTTCCTTTTCAGAATTAAGATTCTTTTTGAGAAACATTTGTCTTACTGTGTACAAGATCATGTGGCCAATTAACAAGCTCTCTTTTACCTGCAAAGGTGAGAAACATTTTAAAGTAGAAAAATAAATCATTACTAAAAATTGCAATGGAAGTTATTAGCTTTTACCTCGATTTTTGACAATTTGACTTTAGTTGCCTGCTCATATGTATATCTATCTATCTAAAGAAAAACATTGGCTGGTAAAAGATGCTTACTCAATAACACTGTACATGTTTTGTTCCTTTTTCAAGAGTTCCTATTTGTTTATTTAGAATATGAAAATGTAATGAACAAAACTAGTGTTGAGAGTAATCCATTTTAGAGAATCTGAAGTATGTTTGAAAAATAGCAGTAAATGAAGAAATTATTAGGAATTTATTCTGTAAAAGCCTTATAAGAAATTAATTGTATACGTTTCTACAAATTCTCCCAATGTGCATAAACATCCGCATAAGGAAATAGGAATTAGTACCCTGGGCTCTTTTTCCTCATTTGATTAACATGCTTATTTTAGGGAAAAATAAAAAAAACACACACTGGTGAAAGATATGGCTTTTGAATGAAACAGAGGGGAAAAGAAACCCACAGTGTCACAGATGGCTGTCAGAATAAAATGAAGCATGAGTCTGCTGAGAAAATCAAGCATCAGTGTGAAATCCGAACAGAAAGGCACGGAGCAGAAGGCAACATTTCAAAAGGCATTTGGCGCCAAGTGGCATTGTGAGGGTTAATTTACTGCCAGGAGCTGCTGGGCCTTTCATTCTCCAAAGACACACAATAGACAGATCCCCAAAGTGCCCATCATAATCACAGATGCTGGGGGATTAATGCTAAGATGAAAGCTTCATGAATATTAAAAATATCAAAACTGATAATGATGTAGCAGAGTTTGAAATAACGTTCAATCTCAAAATCTAAGACTATGGCATGCAGGCATAGTAAGACACTGTCTTTTAAAAACTGATTAAAACCTACTCAGTTTGTAACAGAAAGAAGCTTATGCATATTAGGACCTGAATTGGCTGCCAAACTTTACAAATTGCACAGACTAATTACCATAATTAAGCCTTGGATTGAAGAAGAAAATTCCATTTATCTCAGCCTGACTCAGTGGAACTTCAACAAAGAAAACACTGACATCAGATGGGCTTTTCCCTCAAACGATGTTTCAAAGACCACTAAAAATAAACAAACAAACAAAAGAGGCCCCATCCTCTTAGAAGCAGGAATAGTAACCATTCAGTTTAAAATGGAGTTGAAGGAAAGAATTGTTCAATGTTACAGATACTAGTTTAGGTCAATTTAGTCTACTGCACATGAGAAGCTCCATTTAAAAATAAAAGGAATTCCTTAATTAAAAAATCTGAATTATAAATATTTAGCTAAGAGAATTGACAAAAACTGAGTGGATTTCAATTTATTTAATTGACTTAATAAATAGTTCTGTGATTTAACTGTGATTTAGAACTTAGTTGGCTTACTTTCCGGTAAGGATGAAGTTAGAATAACTTGCTAAATATCTTAACTGCCTCCTATTGCAGACATCAGTAATAACAGAAGTAAACCAGGTTAGATCACATTTTGTTTATTTTTAGACTTTCTTAAAACATTTATAAAAAGCCATGTCAGTGAATATAATGGGTATTTTCATGTGTTGACTAGCCTGAATTCAGTTAGTTTGTTAGTGAATCAGTGAACTTTGGGGAAAAAAATTATAATCATGAAAGCTGAGTAATAAAGTTGCTAGAATAATGAATACTTTTGAAGCTTGTTTCAGACACTGAATACCCAGAATAAAGGATTTAAAACAATTACATCTGATTATGGGAAACATTAAGAGTAAACTAATTTTTAATCAGTGTTGAACATTTGGTTTATATTTTGAAATGAGTTGATCTTGAATTGGAGTAAAGCATTTGCACCGTTAGTTTACAATAGTTGCTTGCAGAGATTGTAAAACTGGCCATATGTTGATTTTATTGGTTGACATGTGGAAATGTTTTTGGTGTGCTTTCTCCTATATTTTAATAGTTTTAAAAATTCTGGTAACCACAGTTTTAACTTGTCCCCTTTCTTTTATCCAATAGTATCTTCTAATCTCAATTTACCCACTGCCTTGAGTCGTGACTTCTAGTAACCTGTTCTTCAGAGTTATTTAAGATACAAATATGATCACACTGTTTATCTTCCCTTCCTCAATGATCAGTCTTTAGGATGAAGCCCAAATTCCTTAGCACAGCATACAAGGTCGTTGTATCTGGCCATAGTCTACTCCTCATTCTTCATTTCTTGTTAACTCTTTCTCATTTATTAATTTATTTCCCAAAATTAATTTATATTTCCTGAAGTTTTGAAGACCTTTATTTCAGGCACTGCCATAGCCACTGGGGATAAATACTAACAAAACAAATATGACTCCCTGCCTCAATGAAGATTATAGTTAGGGGAAGGAGAAATAAATTTTTTAAAAATCTGTCTCTTTCTCCTTTCTCTCCCCCACCACCAAAGACATGTGCATAGGCATATGTACTTTTCCACTTTCCAACTGCCAATCGAGGTGATAGAGCACAGTGGCTAAGGACATAAACTCTGAAGCCTTGTTCAAATCTTGGCTCCACTGCTTAATGACATTGACCTTGGGCAAATTACCCCACCATACCTATATACCATTTCTCAAGGGTTGTTGTGAGGATTAAATAAGCAAGTACATTTAACTACCTGAAATGGCCTGGCACATAGTAATAAAAGCCATTATGATTATAAGTGTAGACAATGCTATAAAGGAAAAAAGTCAGTGTTATGATGGGTCATGACTGGGTGATGGGCCCTAAGTTGGTCTGAGGAGTCAACAACAGCTTCTCCAGGGAAGTAACTATGGCCTGATTTCAGAAGGATGTGCAGTTGGAGGGGGTGGGAGTGGATGAGGATCAGTGATTTCCATTCAGAACGCACTTTCCTGAGAACATCTTGAAGGAGCCAACATCCCGGGGTGTCCTATGGTCTGAAAGAAGGCTGGTGAGATTGTAGCACAGAAGCAAGTGTGTTAAATTGAGACCGCCACTTTAATTTATATTTGTGAAAGTGCTGTATTTCCTCTTATTTCTAATTTTCCTAGACTTTCTCTTTCCAAGCCATCTGTCTCTCATAGTCTTCTCCTATCCCTACTTGTTGTCCAGAATATAAATATGTTTAGCATCTCCTTCAGGGAACCCACGGACTGCACTATCCTCACACCCTCTCTTCTCTCTGTTCTAGACTGGGCACTTTCACTCTGTGTGAACCCACATCAGATCATTTATTTCTCTGCATTTTCCTCATGTACTACTAGATGGTAAGCTACCTAATCACAGAGCTTTTGCATTATTTAGCTTTGAATTGTTACTGGCCTGGCATATAACATGTACTAAGGTATAAAGGTTTGCCAACTCAGTGAATTAAAATATGCACCCTCAGTGCATACCCTAAACTTTGAGACTTGTACAGTCTATATATCATATTGAACTTAGATGCTCACAAATTCAAAGTGGGAGGCATCAAAACTTACTTATCCTGTGAAATCTAGGATTTCTCTGGTGTGTAGTGTTGACGTTCATTTTAAACTCTTACACTAACTCTTTTATTTTTAAATGCAAGACAGAGTTGACAATCCTATTGTAAATTATTTTTAGTGAGGAATATGATAATTGTAATATTTTACCTTAATGTAAGAAATTTTCATCAGATTCATATTTCATCTCTTATTATCACTCAGCCTACCTAGACAAACACAGATTTAAATAAAGATTTAAGAGACATAGGGAGACCCCATCTCTACTAAAACATTTGAAAAATTAGCCAGGCATACTGGTGGTGACAGTAGTCCCAGCTACTTGGGAGGCTGAGATGGAAGGATTGTTTGTGCCTGGGAGGTGGAGGCTGCACTGAGATGTTGTCATGCCAATGCATTCCAATCTGGGAGAAAGAGCGAGATCTTGTGCCAAAAAAAAAAAAAAAAAAATTAAGAAAATGGATTTTATTCACATATATATTATATATATTTTATTCACTTTTATATATATTTATAATGTGGTATTGGAAATCAAGGTCAGTTGTATAATTTCTTCCTGTATGCTAGGATATATTAATTTTTTGTTTGTATTTATCTTTGCTTTTTCCTTCTTCCATGTGGACTTAAAATTATTAAGTCGCAGTTGATATTCACTATTTTCATATGATGCAACAATAAATTTGCGAACCTAGAATTGTAGACAAATTGCTCTTTAGCATCTATAGCTCTGTCCTTTCCTTCACTTTCCTCCCATCTTTTCTTCTCTTTAGTGTCAAATGCATTTTGGGTGGAGACAGATTCCACAGCTGATTGCCACTGACTGACTGCCAAGCTCCAGAAACTAAAAATGCCTTTTCCCCTCTTAGCATTTGTCTTGTGAGCCTAAGTGCAGAGGACCGTGTCAAGACACCATCTTTTCAGTTATTTCAGCCTATAAATACAAATGAAGCATCTACACTCCCCTAAATAGGGATTCACGATTCAGAGAAAAATGTTGGGCTATGATACATAATGAAATAGGTCTGCCTTCATCAGCACTGGGGCACAGGTGTGTGTGTGTGTGTGTGTGTGTGTGTGCGTGCGTGCATGCACGCACTGGAGTGGGGATGGGTAGGAGATAAGGCTGAAAATGTAAGTTTAGGGGTGTAAAGGGGCTAAATCCTAGAGGACATATAAAGAGGAGCAGACTTTCTCAACAGGGGTTAAGTGAGAAATGTAGGTCCTAAAAGAGAAAAAGTTTCAAGTGACTATTTTCCCACTTCTCCCACGAATGGTACCTAACTGGTACCAGTTAAGATACATAGGCCGGGTGTAGTGGCTCATGCCTGTAATCCCAGCACTTTGGGAAGCTGAGGCAGGCGGATCACGAGGTCAGGAGAGGAGGTTCACCATCTTGGCCAACATGGTGAAACCCTGTCTTTACTAAAATACAAAAAATTAGCCAGGTGTGGTGGCACGTGCCTGTAGTCCCAGCTACTCGGGAGGCTGAGGCAGGAGAATCGCTTGAACCCAGGACGCGGAGTTTGCAGTGAGCCGAGATCGCGCCGCTGCACTCTAGCCTGGGTGACAGAGAGAGACTCCAACTCAAAAAAAAAAAAAAAAAGATACATAGAGAGAAATTAATTCCTTACACACAATTGCTTTTTGCTTTTTAATTTTAATTCACTAAGGCACATTTTATTTTATGATTTTAATTTCCTTTTTAGAAATAAGGTTCCACAAATTTTATAAGATTTGTGTCATCAAACACTGGATCCCTCATGCAAATGGGGTAAAATAGAATGGTTTTGACTTAGGTCCAGTTCTCTCTTTGAAACACCTGAAAGAGGGAACTCTGGCAGTAGATGGATGAATGTGAAGAAAGAGAAACTACAAGTTGAGGGCAAGTTTATCTGCAGAAATCAAGACTGTCAGAAGTGACTCAGTGGATTTAAGAAACTCTCCAGGTTTGGAACAGCCTCTTGAGGAATGGAAAATGTAGCTGGCTGGAAACATGTAGTTGAATTAATAAATTCTGGTAAAAGCCCACATGGGTAAGGAAACAAGAAATAGATCTGTCTCCTTGCTAAGAAACATTCTCCAGGTTTGCTGGGAAGCAGTAGAAGAAAAAAATAGAAAAGCTGAATTAATGTGTGGTCCTTGGGGATGGTTGGGTTACAAAGATAGGACAAGAAAGGACCTGCTTAAGGTAATGCAGTCGGTTAGTGGCAGAGTCTGGATTGGGTCCAATATTGCCCCCAGGGCTATCCAGGAACAGAAAGGAGACACATAGCCAAACTGATAATGGGAATTCCCTGTAGCTATCAGATGATTTCAGTTATTAGAGATATAACATTAGTGAATTATCTGAATTTTTATTGTCTATGAAGGAAAACAGCAACATAACCATGAATGTAATGACTTAAGAAGAACAAGGGAAGTTGTCAATAAATACATGCATTTTTGTTATTTCAGTCAATGCAAACTTGTTATTCAATTATTATTATTAATATGTCAGCTAATGCTTTTCTATGCTTCAAGTTAAATAAAATGTGTTGTTTAAATCCTGTAATCTTTTTGTTTCCTCCAGAATTTGGCTCTTTTAATATTTTCTGGTCTTACCCAATCACCAGTGATGTCAAGGGGAAAAAATAAAAGTAAAAGTATCGGCAGGATGCAGTGAACAGAGTAAACATATGACTTTTAAATACCCCAAATGAGAAAGCTTAGGCTGCACATTATTGAAAGGATATTCTACTGATCGTTAATGCTCTTCTGTTTGCTCACATTTGTTCCCTCAATCGGGCCTCTTTTTAAAAAGACAATAATCCTATCAACAGAAACTTGAAATGTAGGTCTTTCCGGGCTTTGAAAACAGAGCTCTGCTCTCATTTAAGACTATGTATAGATTTCCAGTGCAGCAGACAGCAACATGCTGTCAACTGAACTAGTACAATAAATTCTGAGAATTTTATAGGGAGTCACCACACAACCTAAAGCTTGTGCTTTAGAGAAGCAAGAAAGCACTACTCAATGACAGAAATTCCATCTGGGTGAAAAGGCTCCTATTTCTCTTGGTCAGTGTGGACAATGGAGTTGGTTCAGGGCCAGGACTTACGGTAGGTGGGTCAGCTTGGGTTTTTCCTTCAAAATGACCAAGATTGGGGAAGAGCTGTATTAATGGTAAAAGGATTTTGTGCTCAAGTTGTTGCATTAAGGAAAGGAATCTCTCTGGTCTTGTGAAGTTTCCAGACAGTTGGAGCTCTGGAAAGGATCCCTGAAAAGTGGGGGAAATTGCTGGAGCCTTTCGATTGTATGTATTCCTATCAAGAGTTTCCTTCTACAATATCCTTCAATGTATAGTCTTTGAGCTCCATGAGCCAGACTGATTATCAACACAACCCACAGCATCTCTCAGCTTACCCAGAACAAAAGTCAGGTCCCTTTTCCTTCTTTCCTTGAGTAGTGGAGAAGCATAGGTTTGATAATCAGCCAGACTCTTCCATGTCCACATTCTAGCTGTGGATATTTGCACAAGCTACACAACTTCAAAAAGCTCGGTTTCTTTCTCTGTAGAATGTGGTTGATGACTTCTATGTCACAGTGTTACTCTGAGAATCACAGTGTCTATCAGAGGAAGCACACGTACAACAACACTACTAACTGGACAACTAATGTTGAAAAAATAACTACTAACCCGATCTAGATAACTGTCTGAGAAGGGAAAGATCTTTTTGGTGCTCAACTCTTTCTCTGGTCTCTATCTCTCCAGGTGTCTTTGAGTTTTATGCTGTGGTAGTAACTGATTTTTTTTATAGAAACATTTCCTTTTATAAGGAGATGGTCATAGAGGTTAAGGGTTTATTCTAATGGAATTTCAGCCAGTCAGTAGAGAGATTTAGGACAAAAAGTTTCATTTTCACTCTTTTACTTACAAGTGTTTCCCTATAGTGTAAATACATAGAGATACTATTTATGTCGTTTGATGATTCTTACCATCTTTAATCTTCAATGTCACTTCCTAATCATAAACTTTATTCATCATATTTTGATTTCCTATTAGGTATTCATCTTAGAAAATAACTGAGCTAAACAGTTGAGATTAGAAATAGTCACATTTCTAATCTGTCTCCAGGGTACTTGTTTAAATCCTGTTAGATCAGTGATGACAGGAAGTCAATAAAGACCTATGTAACTTGATTGTAAAACTTGAAATTAATTTGTTGTTGTCGTTCAGTATCTAGTTCCATTTAAAACCATCTGGCCTTTTAGGTTGGCCATCTTGGAGAAGCCACATATTAAATGTTTCATCTTGTGACATGAGCACAGCTTGCTTTCCTTTTCTCATATAGGACTTATTAAAATGAATTTCAGATTATAGAATTCATAATAAAATTCTCTATATCTCTGTGTATTTATATATAATGTGTAAATTTTATGTCACCAGATATGCTAAATACTTTTCACCTGACCTCCAAGTTTCATTAAACATTACGTGGAATGAAGAATATATTCAACCTGGAGTCTTGAAGTGTTTAAGTTCCCCAAGCCCTTTATTTTAATGATGAGGAATACAAGAGCCAAAGACAGTGAGTGACCTGTGTTCAAAGTGACCCTGCTACTTAGTGACAGTTTTTGTGTTATTATTCTGTAGCCCAAGCTCTGTATTCTATCCACATGTAAATCTTGGCTAAAGAATGATACCCAAGTTAACTTTATTTGCTCTTGCACATGTATGAGCATATGCGATTTTCATTACACATACATATGTTCAACTGTCCTTCTTTAATCAATGAATCCGGTTCTTCCTGATTTATGTATATCTACACACACATGCACAAGTATATCTACACACACATATTTATAAACACACGTGTTTTATATTTACACATAAATATATTTGTAGACATGTATATATACATGTCTACAAACACACACATTCATGCACACACACACATATGTGGCTAATCCTCTTCTCCATGTCCCTCTCCAATATGTCCATCTTCACTATTGCATAGTTGTGCCATTTAGGTGACACGTTTCTCAATCTGGGCCCTGCCACTTGCATCTTTATGCCCAATTTGGTAATCACTGGGGTCATTCACCACATATTCTGCTGACTGCCTTTTGACACGTTATAGGATTAGACTCTTTCACCCTTCTTGTAAGTGAGGTATGACCATGTGGTTCACTTTCAGTGAAATGTGAGCAGAAGATTGAAGGGCTAGTCCATGATTTACCATCCCCCTTCCTACCACTGCAATAGTCATAGACACATTTTGAGATGAGATCTCTCTCATTCTGGGTTTCTGGATGGCAACAGTGGGACAACTGTAAAATAAACTACCCTAGGTAGCCTCTAATTAGGAATATCGCATAGGAAATGTTGAGATTTCCTCGGACTGACTGCTCAAATACAGGACTGGGAGTGTAAGTGATAACGATGATTTATCTGGGAAAGCTTTACTGCAGAAATGCATTATGACCCATGTTCTGACATATGTGTAAAATGGTGAAAACATAAAGCATAAAGCCTTCTGATGTGAGTGGGAAGATGGATAATTCACATCAGCATTCTGCTAGTTTGAGAAGAATGCTGTCTTCAGATTAGAAGAGATCCAAAGGTATCTAGTTATCCTTTAAATATCTTTTTAAAACTTCCATTAAACACCAATTCTCATAGGAAAATATGTAATGTATTCCAGAGAGGTCAGAAGAAGAGGTAATATATGGAAAAACTTTCTGAGCATTAGATCTGTCCCCATATGGAACTGGCACTCTTGTAAAAGGCCAGATGACCATCTGGAAGAGATACCAAATAGGAGTTTCTACATTGTCTCTAAATTTCCTCCAAGTGCCAAGAGTCTGCCATCATCTCTCTCTACTGTGACGATTCTGGATTTTCTCTGGAGCTGCATGGATCACAATCATATGTGCATTTCTGAAATACTACTTGATAGTGAGAATCGCCCTCTAAAGCATGATCATTTCTAATTGGATATATTTTCTCAATCAATTACTGTACTAATTTAAATGTGGAACTGTGAATAAATTTTGTCCAACACTGAATAATTCAGTCACTCGAGGGGGAGTCATTGAAATGCAAAGTGTTGACAGAACTCTTTTGAACGAAAGTTCCAAAACCGATCCAGAAAACAGATGGCCCCAGGATTAGCTCACTCTGCCAGAATTTCTGGGACACATTTTAATCTGGCTCGTATATAATCTGATCTGTAAAATAAAAACCTGGTTTCAGGCACAGCTATAGTCAATTCTATACAATTAATTAAAATTTCTTCCAGCATATTCACAGAAACAAACCTGAATTTATTTTAAGCTGTCCTAATACACCATATTCAACTCTATTTAGTTTATGTGATTGAAATGAGCTGGTAAAAAAGAAAACTGCCTGAGGAGGCAGGAAACCTAGTCTGTAATTGTGGTTTTGCTCCTAACTCCCTGTGTGATCTCAGGCAGGTCAGGATCCTCACTGAGCTAAAGGTCTATTCAAATATCAACATTCTATGAGTGTGCTATTTCTCTGATAAAAACAAAAGTTTATCTTCCTATTTTTATACTGAGTGCAGAATGCTCACAGATTGCAGTAGAAATCAGCCAGTCCTAAATTCCTGCTGCTCTGTAACAGGTGTGATGGATAAAGAGTGACAAAATGTGTACATAAACAAGTGTTAGGAAATTGTGTTTGGCTTCGTAGAGACATTTTTACTGTTTTTATAACTATATTTGTAATACTTTTACATGAAAATATCTTTAAGTATATGTGTGAGTCCTTAATGTGGAGAGGAAAGGCTGTTGCTTCTTTGATTGACTGCATAAACACACAAAAAAGCAGTAGTTACATTAAATAATTTTGGGGGGCACAGGATACTTTTTTATTTTTTGTTACTATAATAGTAATATATCATCAGGACAGAAAAATAAGAGAATACAGAAAACAACAGCAGTTTGTTAATGTCTTTGTATATATTAACCTAGAACCTTTAAGATATGTACATATACTGTACATGTTTGATCACTTCTACTGTTTGGATGTATACATGCACCTTTGCACACGCACACACACACACACATATACGTCGTCTTTCTGTTTGTAAAAAGGGAGTTGTTTCTTTCACTCATTCTTTTACACTTGGATTTTTTGAAAATATGAAGATGCCCTTTCATTGAACCAATACATTTCATGGAAGCTGAGCACGTGTTTTGGCCAATGTGTTTGAGTACTATCTTCTATGAGAGCAGAGATCTTGTCTGCCTTGTTCTTTACTGTATTCCTCAAACCAGCAGCGTCCATAGTGGTTTACTCACTGTCTGAATGTTTTTGTGTCCCCTCAAAATTCATATTAGGTAACGTAATATTCAAGGTAATGGTATTAGGAGTTGATGCCTTTGGGGTATGATTAGGTCATGAGGGCAGATCTCTCATGAATGAGACTACTGCCTTTATAAAAGAGGACCAAGGGAGCTTGTTTGCCCCTTCTGCCATGTGAGAAGATGCCTTCTGTGAACCTGAAAGTGCAACACCGTATATCTAGTGGCATTGTGATCTTGAATTTCCCAGCCTCAAGAACTAAACACATACATTTCTGTTTTTATAAGCTGCCCAGTTTATAGTATTTGTTGTAGCAGCTGGAATACACTAAGTAATTCACTAAATATTTACTGATTAGATATATGAAATTGAAAAATGCATTTATGAACACTCATCTATTAACATCAGGAATACAGTTGCACAGAGATGCTTTAAGGCCACTTAATAGATATCTCAAGTAAATTTTAAAATATTAATAAGAGGAATTTATTAAATACATAAAATAATTTAGAATAGATACCCACCCACACACCAATTCTGGATGATAATTTTCTTTGAACTAAATAAATGTAAATATAAAAAAGGAGTAAGTATAAGCAGAACAGAGAGAATGAGAAAATTAGCACTAAGTCCATGTTATGTTTGTCTATGCTGCTGCTCCTAAGAAAAGGTGAGGGGGATGTGTATCTGTGTGTACATCTGTGTATTTCTGCATAGCTATAAAATGCTAGCATTAACAGAGAAAGTCTGAGTCTTTGAGTTAAGGAATATTTACCCATATTCCCAAAAAAGAAAATATATTAGGCCAATAAATCTGTACTTTTGGTGTAAAAATATTATACCATGAAATGCAGTCAAAATAAAGTGGCACTCTGATGCATTAAGCAGTTCACCATATTGCTTCAGGAGAATGATAAGAAAAGTAATATAGTACACTTGTAACCTATTTTAACTTGAAATCTGAGTTTTAAGTTTAATTTGAGATCTTAGTTTAAGATGAAACAGTTTAAAGAAACATAAATAGAGCAATTTTTATTTCAAAAGAGCAAATACATGATATAGAATTTATAAATTGAACAGGTACATTAGAACGTTAAGAGAATACACTAAATGGATTTACAGTAGCCCTTTACAATTTAATGATACTGAAGCCAAAATTGGAACCACAGATTTCTATACTATACATCCCAAGTTTACAAATGAGTTGTGTTACAGAATTTTATACATTCATTGTTTTACTTGGTGTATTTTCTGTAAAGAAATGCCTTAAACAATGGTTCTAATTTAAAGCATCTGTAACATTTCTAATGTATCCTATCACACTACAAATAATTATATAATATATTTTAACTAAAATTTACCCTGCTTATATATTGTTCAGAAATGCATTCTGATTCCACATAGAATTCTAGAAATGCCTCTCTTTGGGCTACAGAAATGAGGATCCCTTAATGGAATGTTGTCTAGGAGAACTTTCTGTGTTGGCAAAAATATTCTATAAATCCATGTGTGTTTGGCTATTGAGTACTTGGGATGTGGCTAGTATAGAGAAGAACTGAATTATTAATTTTATATAACTTTGATTTAATTTTGAATAACTGCATGTGAATAGTGGCTATCTTATTGAACAGTACACAGGTAGTTCATATCTCTAAGACTTTTTCACAAATTGAGTATTGGAGAGTCGGGCAGAAGGGTAGATTACTCTTACTCGTTTCTGATGACGACAGGGTTGTGTAATTTGGTTTTAGGCATCTTACAAACTCACTGTCTACAAATAAATCAGTGTTGTTGCATTGTTTTCCATTTCTGTTTTGCATTTTTCTCTTTCCTCCCCTGAAGACCTTCTCTGTCTTCAAGATCCAACTTGGATATTTCCTTTGTAAGGTCCCCCTTGACTCAATTACTATATTATATGAATACATAAAAATTAAAACTTATCAAATGTCTCGCATCTCTAAGCTTTTTAAAAAAATGTTTGTTCCACAAACCATCTCATGCGGATTATGTTCTTCAATAATACCATTGTTTCTAGTGAAACTGTGATTAATGACTATGTGAAGGAATGAATGCAAAAAAATCAAACTTAAATCTTCCCTTTAAGCTGTTTATAACAGAGATACATATAAATATATTTCCCAGTTCTCTCTGTGATGCATTCATTGAGATATTTTTAGGACAGACACATTAGGTCATACAGTGAACTATACGATGTAAAACTATAAAGAAGACATGAGGAAACTCGTATTTGCTGATAATAATTTTAAAATATGTAGAAAATATTAATTAAATGTTGGTTAATTCTCGTGATTTTTGAGTGTGAGGGGCAAGTCATCTTATTTTACTTATCTTTACTGAAGATTTATTGCTCTTTTCCTGAAAAATTGTTTGCCTTGTGATAACTCATTTTTTCTAAAGTTTTACTATTATTATGATAAAATTTAATATGATTTATGCATTGATTTTTACATAAGGCATACCATCATATTATGTAGTATGTAAATTATCAGAGAAGTGAAGAAGACATGAATAACTCACTGTTTTAATATCAATGCACTGTGACATCAAGATCAGACAATACATACAAGTGAGTTCTTAAGGGGGAAATGTGCTCACCCACTACAACACAATTTACAAGCTTCTAAAACTCTTTGTATTATTTAGATTATATTTCACTTATAAGAACAGATTTGCAGTAGGTAATTAACTGTGTGAAGTGCACATTAAGGATTCAAACAATAAAATATTAATATAAAATATAAATTATTAATATACCACACATATTGTATGAGTGAGCTTTAAACATAAGGATATGTATTTAGTAATTTCTCATGGAAATTAATGTATGAAATAACAATTTGCTCCAAACTTGCTTCACATGGGCCCATCTCCAGGGAGGAATCTGATTAATGGGAGCAGTTATAACATGTATTATGCTTTAATTAATGTACTTTAATTTTTCTAAAAAAATCAAAGGGTATCTTTTTTGCACATTTAACAATAAAATGTTTATATTCTCCAAAACATCACATTATTTTAGTTTTAAGGTCTCTTGGTACAAGAATTTCTGTAATCTGGGACAAGGACTTACATTCAGTAAAGTTTCACTAGTTGATAACTACTTTATTTTTAAAGAGGTTTCAATAATATAATATTTTATTGTGCAGAGGGACTTCTTTAGTAAAGGAAATCAAATAGTAGTTTCAATATCTGTACCAGGAGAATATATAGTTATTTAAAATTTATCTTGTTTCCTTATTTTTAGGTTAATAGATTGGTAGTACATTATTTTTAGAGTTATTTGTCCAAAAGTTAAACTTAGAAATATATCCCCACATTTGAACAAAATTCATTCTCAATTCTATTAGTAGTAATCTTTATGCTGCTAAATGGCTTTGGATTGTATTTCTCATTCTGGTCAACCAATTTAAAAATGTTCTGTTGTTCACTAATTAAGTTCACTCATTTATATAACAGATATAAACTGAGTCCATACTATGTGTCAGAAACTATGCTAAGTATTGCTATATAGTGGTTCCTGCTTTCACTGATACTACATTCTACAGTAAGTGACTGATATTAAATCAACATGCAGGTAATATGTGACTAATAATTGTAATAAGTCATACAAGGGGAAGAAAATTAGGGGTAATTTAGATTGATGAAGAATTCATCAGAAAAGTCTGCTCTAAGGAAATGAGGTATGAGCTGAGATACAAACAATTAGCAGGAGGCTTTCATAGGAATTATCTGTGGAGAACATGGGTGATGTGTTTTAGGCGGTGGGTGTGAAAGAACAGCAGTGGGAATGGCAGGTCTAAAAGCCGTATGGATAAGACAAATCTTCTCATGTTGAAGAAATTCTCAGAGGCCTGTGGTTGGAATATAATGAATGACAAGACGAGGTAGAAGTAGGAATCTGCTGAAACACCCAAGATGATCTAGGCCAAGAGAAAAAATAATCTTTTACTTAAGAGGAATAGAGAGCTACCTGAGTGTTTTTAACCAAGTTATCTACACTTTGAAAAATGTGCACTCTGTTTATTTAGGAGGGGAAGGATTTTTGGGGTAGGAGTTCACCTAGAGTTCAGAATATTAGTTTATTACAGGTAAGACATGATGGAGTCTTGGACCAGAGAGGCGGTAGCAGAGATGGAAAAAAGAAGTGAATTGATTCAAAATACACATGGTTACATGTGGAAAGTGAGAGAAACGAAGTTTTAAGAATGATTACAGTGTTCTGGCTTGCAGATGTTGGTCGCCATAGGTGACATTTACAGAAATAGGAAAGACTAGGAGTTTCAGGTTTGAGGAAGTTGTTCAGAGCTGAATGGATATAGCAAGAAGTGGAGACATGTTAAACTTGAAATGTCTGTGAGACATAAAAGTAGATTCCTCAAGTAGGCATCTAGGTATTGAAATGTGAAGTTCAGATGAGAGTCTTGGTTGGATACAAAAGTTTGTGAGTCTTTGAATGTGTGGATGACGTGATTATAACAACGAATTCAGGACATACTTTTCCAATCACCATCTAAAACAATTTACATATATTATCTTATTTAATGGTCAAAATGACCTCATGAAATAGTCATTATTATTCTCATGTTAAAGGAGGGAAAGCTGAGGCTCAAAAATCACCAGCTAGTCAGTGCAGAGCCAGAGGTAGAACAATGGCAGTCAGGATTCAGAGTCCATGCTCCCCTCTACTGCATTCTGGTCTATTTCAAGAAAGCCTAGATATATTTACCTTGTATTTTACGCCAAGGATGTGGTTTTGCTTTTTTTTTTTTTTTTTTTTTTTGTATCAGAAAAGTAGAAATCGGTCAGTAAGTAATAAAAAGCAGAAATTATTCCCTACCTTTCTCTGATTTTAGGATACATTTCTAATCCCAATTATCATTCTTACATATGATGATAATTAATGTGGACTTGATATCAATGAATTACAGAGACAGGAAAGAAGACACTCCAGGACTGAGCCCTAGGGAGTGTCAAACTAGTTTGCTAGAGAAGAGACATTAGCCAACAAACAGAAAAGTTTAGCCAGAAACATAAAAAACACAAGAGTCTACAATTATAGAAACCAAGAGAAAAGAGCTTCAAAAGAGAAAAAGAGGTCAAATGTGTACACCGATGTTAAGAGACCTAGTTAGGGTAATCATAAAATGCAAGTTTTCAATAAATCAGTACCAACTTGAAGGAAATATATTGGAATGGCTGTGAGCAGTAGCCATCCAGTTTTAACTCCAGCCCTGCCATTTCCTAAATAAATACGTAGAGTGGATCCCCTGATTTGTTGAGATTATAGAATCCTAATCTGGAAAGTAAATATAAATAAAATTGTCTCCATGGACCTATCCTTCTCTTGAATGTTATTTTCTTATTTATAGCCTATCAATGTTTTACAATAATGGTAAAGCGCTTTGTTTTTCCTAGGTAAAAAGTAACCTCTCTTGTTAGCAAACATTGTATGTACTGTTGCTCACATTCACAAGATGACTTGCTACAGGCAGCACACTTCCAGTGTGGGCAGTCAGCTTACACGGAGATGTCACGCAAAAAAGTCATTTTTATTGGTGGTGAAAGTTACATTGTGATTAGGTCACAATAGCATAGGTTCAAATTTCTTTATACGACGTCACTTTTTAATGCTATTACAATACATAATTCCCACTACCTACACAAAAAATACTTGGACACGAGGGAGCCCTGAAGGTTCTCAAGTGCCTGGCTTTCAACCTTCAAGAGTTGTTAAATTTGGTGAATTTCTATGTACTTGTATGCTTGACGTTGGCATATATATAGACGTATAAATGCCGCACTTGCTAAAGAATGGGCACCCATCTGAAATTCCAAATGGCATTCACATTTAATTATATCCTTCTGTCTTTATGACCTTTCACTTACTCTTTTATTGTAGTAGAATGGTGAAAACAAAGATCATCTTATTCTTTACAGGTATGTAGGGGACTGGTTGCCATTCAAGTAAATGAGAAAAAATACCCAGTATTTTATGTGGCCCCATAAAATTGGAAGTGTAACGTCATTCTTCTGATATGGACAAATGTTCTGCCTCAATAATAAGTGGGTTTAATATGCTGAGTTATGAATAACAAGTAGGTTTGATATTTCTACTTATAAATATTCTGACTTAGAGGGCAATGCAGTGCTAAAGGATTAGCTGGAGATAAAGAAACAGGTAGCCCATGGAGTCTCTGTTAACACATCAAAACAGTTTTTCTAAGTTTTATCTACTGATAGAGAACACATATAGTGATTATGACTTCAGGTGGCTTTGGGTTTAAGTTCCTGGGTCTATCAGGTGCTAATTGTTTGATCTGTGGCTGGTCATTTGACTACTCCAAAGATCAGTACTGTCATAAGAAAAATGGGAATAATAATAATACCTCCCTCAAAGGTCTGTTCAGAGAATTAAGCAAGATAATGTACATAAAACTGTAAATAGAATGCTGGGCATATAGTAAGTATTCAGTTATCAGTAGCTGTTTTTATTATGATTTTACAATTCCTGTTACTAGGGTTGTCTAAAATTGCAGAGTGATATTATAAGGAATGAGCAACCAGAAACTTTAAGTGGCAATTGGCAAATATATGTTATAAATAAAAAATTAATACAGATTGATGTCAAAAGCAGGGAACCACTTACTGATATCTTACCACACCACTACTTCCTTTTCATAGAACTTTTTACTTTTTGAAAATTATCAGATAAAAAAGATATCTGATGAGTTTGTTCTTGATTATAAAAAAGAAGGACTTGTATAATGAAAAATATTTTCAATAAGCTATATCTGGAAACCAAAGACAATTTTGTATTGATAACAAAATATAAACAGAAATTCAGTTAATAAAATTGCTTGTACTTCCTATGGTCAATAAAACCCTGTTTCAACATTTGAAACTATTGTATTGAGAATTTACTTCTTTGTTTTTTTCAGAAAACCCAAAGGCCAACTCAGAAACACTATACTGCAAACTAGATGCTAATGTCTCTTTTTAAATAAATTCAGATTACCTTCCCTTATAGTTTATTTATTAATGCATATCTTTTCTATTAATTGTGAGCTCCAAATGTCAGGAAAAGGAGGTTATAAAACATTTTTTACATCTCTAGAATATTAAACAGGTTGTTAGTTAATTAACAGACACATTAATTTAATTATTTATTAAATAAGGACTTATTGAGCACCTACTTCATGCCAGGCATTGAATAAAGTATAGTGGACAAAAAGATGAAAAGTCATAGTCTTTCCCTGAAAGAATTTCAGTTTAATTAGAAACCTAAATATGTATGCCAGCAATAATGGTATAAGCCAGACTGCAATAACGTAAGTGATGGATAAGGATACATTGTGGAAAAGGTTTCTATCTTTCCAAGAGACTTGGTGGTTTTCTCAGAAAAGATGGCATCTATCACTTCACGTAGAGCTAGAAGGATGAGAAGAGTTTCTTTTTTTTTTTTTTTTTCAGTTGGAGAGAAGGTAAGAAAAAGATGAGGTGAGAAGAAGACTATTCCTAGAAAATTAATCCATCACACACACATGCACACGCACCAAGAGAGAGAGGGAGGGAGAGAGAAAGAAAGAAAGAAAGAGAGAGAAAATAAAGAGCATGGAAACAAAAGAGCGAGTGATTGAGAATAAAAACATTTTCACAATCCAAATTAGTGCAGCTAACTATATGGAGGGCTCACAGAGTTCTTCTCAAGACTTGCTAGTGAGTTAACTTATAGTGACTACAATGGCTACCCAATTTTAGTCATATTGATTGTCGAAAGCAAATGGAATGAAATTTTTAAAAGAAAAACATAAATACATGAAGCTGAGCCTCATAGGAGAAGAGTTTGGAATGTGTAACTGCTAACGATCAATCTGCTTTTTACCTTGTCTCTCCGTGGTTTTAAATCCAACACTTGCAGACTATCAACTGGTAGGATCCATGGAAATGTACTTGCTGCTCCAGGTTAACCCTTTATCTTTTTAGAATACAAAATATTCAAATATGTGATATCTGGATAGAAAAAATATTTCAAACTATTCCTAGTCTTTGAATGCTTCAGATAAGGCTTTTCTCTCTCTGAGTTTGCATTAATTGGATGATATCATGTTTTTAAATATCCTTAATCTGGTGTTTTGTTTTTTAGTGGTGTGACTACCTACATAGTTTACTTAAATTATACTGCTTTTCCCTATTCCTGTATGATAACTAGTAAATATATACCTATCTTGTTTTTCGTATTATTATACTTTAAGTTCTGCACAACATTCAGATTTGTTACATAGGTATACACATGCCATGTTGGTTTGCTGCACCCATCAACTCATCATTTACCTTAGGTATTTCTCCTAATGCTATCTCTCTCCCAGCACCCCACCCCTGATAGACCCTGGTGTGTGATGTTCCCCTCCCTGTGTCCATGTGTTCTCATTGTTCAACTCCCACTTATGAGTGACAACATGAAGGGTTTGGTTTTCTGTCCTTGTGATAATTTGCTTAGAATGAAGGTTTCCAGCTTCATCCATGTCCCTGCAAAGGACATGAACTCATCCTTTTTTATGGCTGCATAGTATTCCATGGTGTATATGTGCCACATTTTCTTTATCCAGTCTATCATTAATGGACATTTTGATTGGTTCCAAGACTTTGCCATTGTGAACGGTGCCACAATAAACATACGTGTGCATGTGTCTTTATAGTAGAATGATTTATAATCCTTTGGATATATACCCAGTAATGGGATTGCTGGGTCAAATGGAATTTCTAGTTCTAGATCCTTGAGGAATCACCACACTGTCTTCCACAATGGTTGACCTAGTTTACACTCACACCAACAATGTACAAGTGTTCCTATTTCTCCACATCCTCTCCAGCATCTGTTGTTTCCTGACTTTTTAGTGATTGCCACTGTAACTGGAGTGAGATGATATCTTATTGTGGTTTTGATTTGCATTTCTCTAATGACCAGTGATGATGAGCATTTTTTCATAAGTTTGTTGGCTGCATAAATGTCTTCTTTTGAGAAGTGTCTGTTCATATCCTTCGCCCATTTTTTTGATGGGTTTTTTTTTTTTCTTGTAAATTTGTTTAAGTACTTTGTAGATTCTGGATATTAGCCCTTTGTCAGATGGGTAGATTGCAAAAATGTTCTCCAAATCTGTAGGGCGCCTGTTCACTCTGATAGTACTTTCTTTTGCTGTGGAGAAGCTCTTTAGTTTAATTAAATCCCATTTGTCAATTTTGGCTTTTGTTGCCATTGCTTTTGGTGTTTCAGTCATGAAGTCTTTGCCCATGCCTATGTCCTGAATGGTATTGCCTAGGTTTTCTTCTAGGGTTTTTATGGTTTTAGGTCTTACATTAAAGTCTTTAATTCTTCTTGAGTTAATTTTTGTATAAGGTGTAAGGAAGGGATCCAGTTTCAGCTTTCTGCATATGGCTAGCTAGTTTTCCCAGCACCATTTATTAAATAGGGAATCCTTTCTCCATTTTTTGTTTTTGTCAAATTTGTCAAAGATAAGATGGTTGTAGAAGTGTGGTGTTATTTCTGAGGCCTCTTTTCTGTTCCATTGGTCTATATATCTGTTTTGGTACCAGTACCATGATGTTTTGGTTACTGTAGCCTTATAGTATAGTTTGAAGTCAGGTAGCATGATGCCTCCAGCTTTGTTCTTTTTGCTTAGGATTGTCTTGGCTATGAGGGGTCTTTTTTGGTTCCACATGAACTTTAAAGTAGTTTTTTCCAATTCTGTGAAGAAAGTCAGTGGTAGCTTCATGGGGATAGCATTGAATCTATAAATTACTTTGGGCAGTATGGTCATTTTCACGATATTGATTCTTCCTATCCATGAGCATGGAAAGTTCTTCCATTTGTTTGTGTCCTCTTTTATTTCCTTGAGCAGTGGTTTGTAGTTCTCCTTGAAGAGGTCCTTCACATCCCTTGTAAGTTGGATTCCTAGGTATTTTGTTCTCTTTGCAGCAATTGTGAATGGGAGTTCACTCATGATTTGGCTCTCTGTTATTGGTGTATAGGAATGCTTGTGATTTTTGCACATTGATTTTATCCTGAGATTTTGCTGAAGTTGCTTATCAGCTGAAGGAGATTTTGGGCTGAGATGATGGGGTTTTCTAAGTATACAATCAAGTCATCTGCAAACAGAGACAATTTGACTTCCTCTTTTCCTAATTGAATACCCTTTATTTATTTCTCTTGCCTGATTGCCCTGGCCAGAGCTTCCAATACTATGTTGAACAGGAGTGGTGAGAGAGGGCATCCTTGTCTTGTGCCGGTTTTTATATACCTATCTTTTACATAGATATGTGACAATCAAAAGAATGGAAGTTAATAAATGAAGTAGTCCTTGAATGGCTTATAAAAAATCCATGCAAAATTAAAGTTGTTTTGTATTCCACTCACTGGTTAGATTTAAAGCATTGAGATATTACAACATGCTCAAATATAGGAAATTTATAGTTTATTTTAAAATATTTGTAATGACTAGAAGACTCAAGACATTTCTAAGAAGAGAAATGACCAAACTAGGCACTTCAAACCATCTGTAATTTTTAATCATTGTAACCACTGGGATGTTTGGGAGAACTGACTATCACTCCTTAATACTGCTAAAATGGCTCCAACTGGAATTTTACAAATTGTCTCTCATTCAGGTAGGTGTATTAATTCACCTTCTTTAACGTGTTCCTGATGATTTATCTTCGTATGAGTGGCTCAATCTTTGATGTGTATTTGGATCAAGGGTTACATAACTTTAAAACCCAATTACCATTTTTTTTTTGTTTGTCTGTTTCTATCCTTTCTTCCTGGATGCCACAGTAGTTAAAATAACATTTCCATGAGACACATATTTTTAGAATGTTACTGTAATCTAATGAGATATACATTTTTAGGATGGGACACATTTTTCTATGTGGCTTGAGGATTCAATCGTAGTACATTATTGTCACAATCAGTATAAAATTTTAGTTAAAACTTAGCTACTTGTTTTACTTATATAAACTTTTTTATGGCGATGGTAAAGTGTTCTTGCCCTGTACTGAATAAAGTGAGGGTGAATAATGCAATATTTTCTACATTTCTTTAAAGTCTAAGAGCTATTTAAATTAAATTCGAATGGTTATTCTGACTATAAGGATGGAACAGAAGGGAAGAATAGAGTAAAAACAAGTATCAAAGGAGAGATAAAAAATAAGGAGGACCATCAAAGCTGTAACTGTAGGAAGACAAAAAGCAGAGCCATTTATATAAAGCAAAGCAGAGAAATAATCATGTAAAGGGTCAAAGCAGGTGAAGGCAAGAAGTGAAAAGTATTGTAATGAGTGGAAACAGAAAAGGATTAGTCACCATTTAAATTCAAATTTAACGCAGTCTTGTGGTTAGCAATTTTTGTGTGTGTCAAGGAAGATGAGAAAGGTCACTTAAATTCACACAATGTAATTCTGAATTTAAGGACCACCCTTGACATACTTTATTACATAAAAATGTATTTGCAAAAAATAGGTATTTATTTATTTATTTTTGTTTTTGTTAGCTATTGATAGAAAACAGTAACATTTAGAGAATTTCATTTCAGGATTAAAAAATATACATATATTTTATATATATGATTCTCGGTACCTTAATTTTGCTAACTCTTATAACATCAATCTAGATGTATTAGACAATGGGTGATAGGCATGAAAGAAGGAAAGTTAAATATTACATACTGTAATAAGAAAACACAGCCTGGACAGTGTTACAAAGAAGTGCCAATTAAGTAGAAACTTTGAGAGTGAGTAGGAGTGAGCAAAGAGGTTTCCAGAAGCAACAAAAGCACACAAAAATGTGGATGTGCAATTTTTGGCCAGAGAATGGCACGTACTCTAATGTAGCATGAAAAGTCCATTAACTGTGAGATAACCAAACAATGTTTAGTCATATTCTCAAATGTGTAAAATAAAGAGAAAAACACATTTTAGACAAGCTTAGTTCAAAAACATTTTTTTAAAAAATCTTTTGTAGTTATAGTTAAATGCTTAGCTCTCAGGAAAATGACTGTGCTTTGCATTTTATGAATCACTTTGACATATTTGTTTTTGTTAAATTATGTCTTTGCTATATAAAATGGCTCATGTGCTAATGGTTCTGAATAGGTGAAATTTTCTTGTGAATGAAAACAGCAAATTCCGGATCCTGTAGGAAATATTTTACATTGAATATATGTCTAATTCCTACATTGTTAATATGGCCACAGAGGATATCCTTTACTTATTCTTCTCATCCTCATTCTTAATAGCCTATTCTGGACATTATCATCATAGGCCTGGATGCCTGTAAAAACCATCTAATAGTTTTCTGTTTATAGCCAAGATGTTATTTTAAAATGCTTTACTAATTTTTAATTCTACTGTTTAAAACCTCAGTGAACTACCATAGTTCTCATAATAAAACTGCAAACCTTTCAGATAGTCCTGGTCTTATCATTTGACACTGTCACCTTTGCAGTTTATTTTTCTGTCAGTAGAGAGAATATGTTTCTAAGGTTTAATACAAATAGAACAATAACAAGTACTTTTATAGTGCTCATGTAAAGCACATATTCTATTAAATATGTTATGTGTATTAGCTCATTTAGTCCTCACAACAATTCTATGGGGAAGGTAGTATCACAAATGCTATCTACTAATGGGGAAACTGAGGCAAACAAAGGCCAAGAAAGATTTTCAATTTTACACAGCGAGAAAGCTGCTTAAGCAGTATCTCCACATTTGTTCTCTGAACCACATCTGGGGCTTTGGAGTTGGCCAGACCAAGTCTTAAATGTCAGATCTTCCTGTTTTCTGGATTGTAACATTGGACAAATTATGAATAAATCTAGTCCTCATCTTCCTCAACTGAAAAATCAAAATAACCTTTTACACAGGGCTATTGTGAGGAGAATTGGAGATAGTTTTTTAAGTACAAACTACAGCACTTAGCACCTAATAAATATTCACATACTAGGTATTATTGTTGTAGTAATAATTATTCATTGCATAGTATTATATAATATCTACATCTATTGATAATTATATATTATATAATATATAATTATTATTTATCAGGTTGGCTCTTTTATATAATAATTGTGAAACTTTACAAATGTTCTCCTTGCTAGTAGTATTCCATCCCTCAATTTCCCTTCTTTGCCTGATAACTCTTATTTGCCCTTCAGGTTTCATTGTAGACGTCCATTCTTCTGTGAAACCATCCATGATCCTTCAAGTCTGGGCGGCAGCCCTCCTAAATTCGTAGAATGCCATATTATTTTCATTTACTCTACTTTAATTAGCTGTTTCCTTGCCTGAATCCTCCAATACCGATAACTGATTTTATTTTTACAGGATTGTTTCTCATTCACTTTTGATACCTTTAGTTTTTGAACACTGGTTAAAATACAGTAAGTTCAGTAAATATTTATTAGTAGAATAAATGAGTGACCTAGATGATACTTAAAGATCACCTACAAACATCCCTGGATTTTACACATGAAGCCTAAAAATCATCTAATGGAATCTAACAGAATCTACATGAATCTGGATCAAATATAAATTCACAGAAAAGGGTTATCAATGAATGAGAAAAATTCACTCTTTGATTTTTATATTATCACTTCCACAATTCATCAGCGATCGTGAACAAACTGCCCATGAACAATGGGGAACATTCTATTAATCTACATAAAAAATCAGAAATGGAGTTGAGATCAACTATGAAATTAAAAAGAAACAGAAGCAAAAAGTCACTCATTTCAAAAAAAAAAAAAAAGAGAAATACTTTCAAAGAAGTTGTTATACATCCAAGCTACAGGTACCAGCATGGCCCATATGCTTTCAAGCTTTCATTTCAAAATTTTGGTGTTTACTTGTAGTCTTACTTATTAAACCCAACAAATTGGAATATGCAGAATATTTAAGAAACAGAGTTTCTTAAACAAAACTTTTTAGTTCCTTAAGCCTTAATTTTGGTTTCCAAAACCTTGTTTTTCATTCACAAGCTATAAAATTTCCTTTAAAATGTGCTTAATGGTAGCGTCAAATGAGTTCACAATTTAATAGGATTCGCTTTTCTCCTAACTGCAAAGGAATGTCCTCTACCCTCTCATCCAGCTGCCTGGCCTTGTGTAATTCTCATTTGCATTCTCAATTGCTTTAGTTCCTCGAGGGGAAAAAAAAATATCTACCTACCTCCTATAGGTGTTGCAAGGATTAATAAATTGCAAAGCACACTGAAAATTTGGATAAAATATCCTGTGACAGACTGGAATATTACCAGAACTACAAGTATCATTTCCAGATGCAGCAGCTACAAGGACAAGAAAGCAGATCTGGAAATCGCATCCAAGCCTCCCACATGGAGGGTTATTGCCCGGCCAAAGAGTTACATTTTGATATTTAAATATCAGTGGTTCTATATCAAAGCCATCTTGCTGAGAGCGGTTTGTCTGGGAGCATAAAGTGCCTGAATTGGCACAACAAAAGGCAACAGCCCTGAATCATTAAGACTTTATAACCACAAGCAATAGTATTCCCAGGATAGGGTTTATCTCTATTAGAAATCAAAGAGAACTTTCCTTTCTGTTAAACAGATAACTCAAAATTATAAATAGCCAGCTTCAGTAGACTGGCTCTTTATGGAGTCAAGTGGGTTGCAAACTCCTTGAAATTTGAGAAGTCCCTCGGAAAGGGATACTGAACTTAGGTTAATGTTCCCAAGTGAATCTTGGCATGGATTTTTGTCTGGGAATTTAGATTTTAGATATGAGCAGGCTTACTGTTTCAAGGAATTCAATTTAACTCATATATAGAAGTGTATATGGTGAACAATTTGAAAATCAGTGAAACTGGTTTTCTTCTATTTGAACCACTATGTACGTAACAGTTCACGATTTGCATTGTTTTGTTTTTGCACCAGAGGTGCAGAGGATTAGGTGAATTACACTCCGTAGTTACCGGAATATCATAGTAACATCATCGGTGGTGTGAAGCCCATCTTATACTGAGTTTATTTATTTTTTTCTTTCTATTCCCATTCTGCATTCCCTTTTGCCAATGCCACCCGCTACTCAGGATGTCATCCTAATGTGTGCAATTGGTATCCTTTTATTTTCATTTCTTATTTTAAAATGCTGTGATATTGAGTGCATGTGTTTTAATAGGCAGAAATATTTGTTATGGATTTGATATTTTTCCTATTCTTTTTCACTCAGCACTGTGTTTTAGAACTCTTGTATTTATGTACGATAGTTGTACATATTTTTGAGGTAGATATGATATTTTGATACCTGTATACAATGTGTAGTGATCAAATCAGAGTAACTGTGATATTCATCACTTCAAACCTCTATTTTTCCTTGTTTTGGGAACATTACAATTTTTCTCTTACAGTTATTTTGAAATATCTTATAAGTTATTGTTAACTATAGTTTCCCGACTGAACTATCAAATATCAGAACTTATTTCTTTTATCTAACTGTACAGATAAAAGTATGCCCATGTATAACCATGGCTGTATGAGTATCTAGTGTGTTGCCTCTAGCTCTAATGAGGTATTCTTTAGTGTGTAACCTCCATTCTTTATTTATCTATTCCCCAGTGGCGGCTGACTACATGGTCTCTAACCCCTTGTTAGTACAAATAACATGATGAAGAACATTGCTATATGTGTTCCGTCATAGCCTGTGTGAGGATTTTTCCGAGACATGCTTTGTAGTGGGTTGTGGGAATATAGCAGGTATGTGAACTTAATTGGATTAAGACCTGCCACAGATTGCTTTTCAGGATGACTGCACAACTCTACACTCTGTGCTGGAGGTTTCCCATTTCCTATGACTCCTTCCAACATTTGGCATTGTCCAGCTTTCTAAATTTTGCTAATCTCATGAGTGTAAAGTGATATGCTATTGTTGTTTTAATTAGCATGTCTTTAATTCCTAATGGGTTTGAGCATATTTCATGTTTGTTAGTCTTTGGAGTTTCCTACACTGCAAATTGCTTTTTTCTAACTTTGCACATACTTTTCTTGCGGTTACGTCTTTTTTTGTTTTTGTTTTTGTTTTTGTTTTGTTTGTTTGTTTTTTAACTTTATTTTTCTCGCTTCCTTTCTTTTTGACTTGGAGAATTAGTTAGTTAGTTAGTTAGTTAGTTAGTTAGTTTTTAGAGAGAGTCTCACTCTGTCGCCTAGGCTGGACTGCAGTGGCGTGATCATGGCTCACAGCAACCTCTACCTCCCAGGTTCAAGCTATTTTGGCGCAGCAGCCTCTGGAGTAGTTGGGATTACAGGCGCGCACCACCATATCCGGTTAATTTTTTCTATTTTTAGTAGTGATGGAGTTTTGTTATGTTTGCCAGGCTGGTCTCAAACCCCTGTCCTCAAGTGATCTGCCTTCCTCGGCCTCCCAAAGTGCTAGGACTACAGGTGTGAGCCACCATGTCCGGCCTCTAGAGGATAAATGATTGGATTAGGGAATTGTAAAAGTGAGACTCAATTCCTAGCATTTTTACTTATAAACTGTAAGATTTTGGATCAAATAATTAACTTATCTATGTGTCCATTTAATCACCCAGATAACATGGAGATAATGTTATCTACCTTTTCTCCATGCATAAGAAATATACAATATTGGGCCTGAATAAGATGGGGCTAACTAAATAATGATTATCATTGTTGAATAGATACCCAGAAGTAGACTCTATTTCTTTTTTCTGGTTATAGCCCTAAATTTGTTTGAACAACTACCACTCTTGCATTCTCTTGGCATGTATTTTGCAGGGCACTACCTGCTCAGAAGTGGAGTTTATGAATTATACTCTGGGGAAATCAGTCATCCCCTGTGCACAGTAATTGATTCAAAGTTGAATATAAGACCCAGTTGAGATCCACTGAAGTCTACAAAACTGATTTCTGGAACATTAGTTAGTACCATCAGGAAAGCAGATGTAAAGATGGGGTATAGCTCCTATCTTCCAACATGATAACTTATTTGAGAAAGTTAAAAAAAAGAAGTTGGGTCCTTGTGACAAGTTTCAGTCTAAATTAGACCTCAATCTGAAGTCACCTAAAGGATGATTTCTAGGTAGGTATGTGAACTAGTAAATTCCTTTTTAGATTATGGTAGTCCCAGTTACTCAAAGCTTCACTTTCCTAGGTTTCAGTTACCTGTGGCCAATTGTGGTCTGAAAATATTAAGTGGAAAATTCCAGAAATAAACAATTCATACATTATTGATTGTGTGCCATTCTGCGTAGCATGATGAGATCTCATGCTGTCCTACTCAATCCCAGCTGGCATGTGAATCATCCCTTTGTCCAGAGTAACCACATGGTATATGCTACCCACCAGGTATTCACTTAGTAGCCATCTTGGTTATCAGATTGACTGTCATGGGATTGTAGTACTTGTTTTCAAGTAATCATTATTTTACTTAATAAAAATAAGGCTCTATTTGGCATATCCAAATTGCCAGCGTAATAGTCTCAAAGCACAAGACTACTGTGCTGGCAATTTAGATATGCCAATGAGAGCCATACAGTGTTTCTTTGAAGCGAAAAAGTGAAAGTTCTTGACTTAAAGAGAAAAAATATTGTATGCTGAAGTCACTAAGATCTATGGCAAGAACGAATCCATATGTGAAATTATGAAGAAAGAAAAAGAAATTAAGGCATACTACATATAGAGTTCAGTACAATCTGTAGTTTCAGGCATCTACTGGGGGTCTTGAAACATATCCCCTGAGGACAAGGAGAGATCATTGTATATTCATTCAGATGGTGTTCCCTGTTGCTTGCAGCTGAAAGAGGCCTTAAGACACTATCAAGCAGAAAATTTTAAAATATATCACTTCCACTAAAAAATAGTTAAAATAATTTTGATTATTTTGGGAATAAATGACAATGGAAATAAATGATCAGATTCTTGAAAGAAAAGGCAGTCTTCCTAGGAATGTTGAATAAATAAATTTGTTTTGAGAAAATAATTTAATTTTAACCATGTTATAAAACTATTTTAGAGATAATTTCATTAGCTGCATATTTAAAATACTTGATTCATAAAATATGTTACAATTTGAAGCTATCAACTATAAGCAGATAAATTTCTCAAAATGACACACCTACATGAGCTCAATTTGCAAAAACATATAAAGATTTCAAATGAATTTATGTGAAGTGCATTTGCATGACGATGTTCAGTAAGATTGAATCAGAGTCACTTTTAACTTTAGATTATTGCATTACATTAAATCTCATTTAAAGTAAATGAACAATGAGAAAAAAAAGTGTAAAATTGTTGTTAAGTATAGAATCTTGGGCCAGAGGGTGGGAGGTGGGGAAAACATTGATCAAACAGTTGATTTAATTGGAATAAATAAATTGTCTCTTGCAAACCATTTGAAAAGAAAAATCCCATTTTCCAAAATCATTAGTAGAAGAACTTCTACATGTCATAAAACAATGCCTCTTATTTGTCAACCTTTTTTGAAGGAGGTCAATCATGGCCAGCTAACCTATAAATTCTTTCAAGTTAATCCATTGCAGAAAGGGCAAGTTTTATGTTCCTCAATATTCTACCATCACCAAACTCCATCTACTTTCCAGTCGTAATCGATTGGACTGGAGCTGAGTGCATGGCCTAAGTTAAATGACTCACATTCTTTCTTCCAAAAAGTTGAGATTTCTATAATGAGAGACTAAACCAGTGTAATAATAGTGAGAGCTTGATTTTTAGGTTGGATAGAATCTGGTCTGGTGTTAGGTGGATGAAAAGCCAATGCTATCCCTCTATTTTTTTGTTATAAACCATGTTTATTTCAGCTGTTTGAATTGTTTTCTGCTTCTAACAACCAGGAAATCCCTGTGAAATCCTTCCAAAGAATCCCCCTAATTTCTTTTACATGGAGAGTCATATAAGATTGAATTGGTGACCTTTAAAACTGAAAAAAAAAAAAAAAATCCATCGACTTCGGTTCATATCTAATTTTGAGTGTCTAAATCACTAGTAATCAGATAGAATTTGATGTACTTATGGCATTCTGGGGCTTGAACATACCTTGAGACATCAAGTAATTTATTTAGCTAAATCATCTCTTAATAATTCAGGAGGTGAAAATATCTGACATATTTTTCGGAACATTAGTAAAAGAAATTCTCTAAAAAAAGTTTTATTTGTAAAAAATTAAATTACCTTGATGTCAAAAATTGATGATAACAAATCTAAGTTCCCCATGCTCAAATCTAAGTAGATCTTTCTGGAGTTTGAATATGGTTATCCATGATATTTAGAATAGTTTTCAAAACTCTGATAATTGCCTGTGCCATCTCTCAGCCTTCTCTCCAGTATCACTCATGACTAGGTTACGTGTCCTCCCCACTCATAAGTTTTATTTACTTATTTGTCTCACTTGACACCAAATGCCTGGTAGACCTCATTTTACTTTCCCCCTTTGCTTCCTTCCATCCTTTTTATTCTTGTAAAAGTTATTAATTTAATGTTTACTATGCCATATGCATCTGTGAACACAGTGGTGAACAAGCAGTGGGCACTGCCATCAAGGGCTTATTTGGCAGAGTCAGATAAACAAATAGGTATTTAAAATGGTTGGATAGGCTTGAAGATAAGATAATTTGGGTGTCATTAAAAGGACACATGACTTGAGAGAGAGTATAAGAAGGATTTCCACAGACGGTGAATATTCACCTGGACCTAAAAGAGGTAGAGTGAGAGAAGGATAGGATAGCAGAGATGCATTTATGCAAAGGCTAAAAGCAAAAGTGAACATGTAAGCAAGGGTTTGCAAGAAAGTTAATATAGTTGTTGTTGGTCGTGGTGGTGGGGCATGTGTGTGTGTGTGTGTGTGTGTGTGTGTGTGTGCGCCTGCATGCATGTGTGTTGTGTATGTGTGGTTGGCGGGGGCATGGTGTGGGTTAGGGAGGAGGTGAGAGATGTGAGAAATGAGGTTTAGAGTGAAGCCAGAGCTAGATCTTGAATGACTGCAACCTTTCCGAGAAATTTCTGCCATACTCGGAGGGCAAGGGGCATACTGAAGAGTTTCTAGCAAAAGAGTCACAATGAAGTCAGCTTACTCTCTGTTTATGTGGGGAAGAGATGGGCTTCAAATTGGCACAATACTTTATATATTGTTCTTTTTACAATTATTTTTTATTTTATTTCAATAGTTTTGGGGGGAACAGGTGGTTTTGTTTTGGTTACATGAATAAGTTCTTTAGTGGTGATTTCTGAGATTTTGGTGCACCTGTCACCCAAACAGTGTACACTGTACCCAATATGTAGTCTTTTATTCCTCACCCCCATCTTGTCCTTCCACACCAAGTCCCCAAAGTCCAATATATCCACATAGCTTAGCTTCCACTTACAAGTGAGAACATGTGATATTTGGTTTTCCATTGTTGAGTTACTTCAACTAGAATAATGCCTCCAACTCCATCCAAGTTGCTGCAAAGGCCATTATTTCATTCCTTTTTATGCCTGAGTAGTATTCCATGGTGTATGTAACCACATTTTCTTAATCCATTCTTTGGTTGATAGACATTTAGGTTGGTTCCATATTTTTGCAATTGTGAATCATGCTTCTATAAACATGCATGTGCAAGTGTTTTTTTTATTTTTTTATATTATATAATGACTTCTTTTCCTTTGGGTAGCTACCCAGCAGTGGGGTTGCTGAATCAAATGATAGTTCTACTTTTAGTTCTTTAAGGAAACTCCATACTGTTTTCCATAGTGGTTGTACTAGTTTACATTCTCATCAGCAGTGTAGAAGAGCTCCCTTTTTACCACATCCATGCCAACATTGTTTTATTTTTTAATTTTTTTAAATTATAAGCAATCAAATGAGAGAAATAAAGAGCATCAAAACTGGAAAAGAGGAAGTCAAATGGTTGCTGTTTGCCCATGATATGATTATATGTCTAGAAAACACTAAAGACTCATCCGAAAAGCTCCTAGATCTGATAAATGAATTCAGTAAAGTTTCAGGATACAAAATCAATGCACACAAATTAGTAGCACTGCCATACACCAAAAGTGACCAAACTGATTATCAAATTAAGAATTCAATCCCCTTTTTTAACAGCTGCAAAACAAAAACAAATACAAACAAACAAACAAAACCTCAGGAATATACTTAACCAAGGAGGCAAAAGATCTCTACAAGGAAAACTACAAAACTGCTAAAAGAAATCATAGATGACACAAACAAATGGAAACACATCCCATGCTCATGGATGAGTAGAATCTACAGATTCAATGCAATTCCCATCAAAATACCATCATCGTTCTTCACAGGATTGGAAAAAAATTCTAAAATTCATATGGAACCACGGAAGAGCCCACATAGCCAAAGCAATACTAAGCAAAAGAACAAATCTGGAAGCATCATATTACCTGACTTCAAATTATACTACAAGGCTATAGTTACCAAAACAGCATGGTGCTGGCATCAACATAGGCACACAGACCAATGGAACAGAATCGAGAACCCAGAAATAAAGCCAAATATTTACAGCCAACTTATCTTCAACAAAGCATATAAGATTAAAGTGGGGAAAGGACACCCTATTCAGTAAATGGTGCTCAGATAACTGGCAAGCCATATATATGTTGTTTTTCTAAGGTACCTTATATCTATCCATCTCCAAGTCTTTCTGGGTAACATAGTTGAAGAACTACAATTTTCAGAGACACAATCTAATGGAGTGACCATCTTTTCATATGAGAAAAGGAAGTCTCAAGGACTAAAGGACACACAGCAAGTAGCCCACCAAGTTAGCATGAAGGATAGGAGCAAAAGGACACCTTCTGATTGATCTTTGGTGTGAACTAGTAAGCTAAGATTTTTTTTTTGAAGACCTAGTATCTGAAGAACAAAAATTCACTGTTATCAATGTCTTATTACCTTAAAATCCTATATTAGATGGTTTATGAATATTGTTGAAAATGAATTATTTCTGTGTATGGAACGATTAGCTTGTAAACATAATATATAAGAGCATACAGACAGCAGGTCTAAATCAGACGTCCTAATTTCATTTCCATTTCTGGTCCCTGTGATTTCATGAAAAAGATTTCAAGCATAGTATCTCTGGAATTAAATTGTGCTTTATTAACTATAAAATAGGCATATAATATTAATACATAAAAACATTTCAAACTATGTAATAGGAAAATCTTTATAAGAGAAAATTTGAGTATCTTGGTTAATAATAGAAAATGGGGAAAATGTTCTGCTACGGGAGGTTGCAATTAATACTAAACATAATAATTAAAGAATTTTTTTAGTTTTTCTTTATACAAGTTTTTTTATTATTATGTTTGCTTTTATTTCTGAATGAGACAGTCAATCAAGTCAAGTGGTACTGAAATCCATATCATTAGGCTGTCTGGTTGTTATTTTTCAAAGTTTTAGAATCAGTTTTTAGACTTGAATATATATTGGTTGCCTATATGTTCTATCAGCTAGGATATAATTGTATTATTTACAATTTAATGAGATAAATTTTAATTTAAGATAAATATATTTAAAAACTCATGTTCTCCATAGGTAAGCACTAATCAAAACTTCTTTTCCTGCTCAGAGTTGTAAGAGAAGAGCTCTCTGCATGACCCAGCTCTCACCCCCAATGTAGGGAAAGGTGACTATAAACTTGAACAGCAGAGTAGGTAATTTGAGACATTTTCTCTCAAACTCTACTAAGAGGGAAAACATTATTGTCTTCCAATTTGGAAATCAGCAGTTCTTTAAAGGAGGAATGCCTGGGGGATGGACGTGTCAGGTAAGGAAATGAGATAGGAGGACAGTTTTGAAAAATAACTTTACCAAAGGCATTTTGAGTTGCTTCAGAGAGCTCCAGAGCTATTCTGTTTGGTTCTGGATCAGAACAGCTGCTTCCTTTTCTTGCTTGACTGATTGCCGAGACCAGCTTGGTAGGGGAGACCCTAACCTAGCTGCGCTGGAGGAATTAAAGACACACACACACAGAAATATAGCGGTGTGGAGTGGGAAACCAGGTGTCTCACAGCCTTCAGAGCTGAGAGCCTGGAACAGAGATTTACCCACATATTTATTGACAGCAAGCTAGTGATAAGCATTGTTTCTATAGATTATAGATTAACTAAAAGTATTCCTTACGGGAAACAAAGGGATGGGCCAAAATAAAGGGATGGGCTCTGGCTAGTTATCCACAGCAGGAGCATGTCCTTAAGGCACAGATCGCTCCTGCTATTGTTTGTGGTTTAAGAACGCCTTTAAGCAGTTTTCCCGCCCTGGGTGGGCCAGGTGTTCCTTGCTCTCATTCCGGTAAACCCACAAACTTCAGCGTGGGCGTCATGGCCATCACGAACTTGTCACAGTGCTGCAGAGATTTAGTTTATGGCCAGTCTTGGGGCCAGTTTGTGGCCAGATCTGGGGGCAGTTTGTGGCCAGATTTGGGGGCTTATTCTCAACAACTGATAAGAAAATACTCAGCCTCTCTTGACTAGATCTTGTTCATGTTTTTCATTTATGCAGAAACGGAGTTCTATGTATGCATTTAATTAGATACACAACAATGCAGGCTATCCTTAGGGAGCAATTTGAAAAATATTTTTCTAAAATCTGAAATCAAACCGACTGTCTTTTTTAGTGAATAACAGTGAAATATTTAAACTGTTGACCATAAACATGGATCCTAGGCTGGGCGTGGTGGCTACACCTACAATCCCAGCACTTTGGGAGACTGAGGGCGCAGATCACTTGAGGCCAGGAGTTCAAGACCAGCCTGGGTAACACGGTGAAACCCGTCTCTACTAAAAATACAAAATATTAGCCAGGCATGGTGGCAGACACCTGCAGTCCCAGCTACTTGGGAGGCTGAGGCATGAGAATTGCTTGAACCCCAGAGGCAGAGGCTGCAATGACCTAAGATCTCACCACTGCACTCTAGCCTGGACATCAGAGTAAGACTCTGTCTCAGAAAAAATAAAATAAAATAAATAAAATAAAATAAAATAAAATAAAATAAAATAACCCATTCTGGGTCTAGCTCTGGGTGTAGACTTTAGCAAATTCTTTTCTTACTTGCAGTCTGAACGCCAATTTAATTCCTCCAGTCTCATTAAATCCTAAAGAAAAATTATTTTAAAATGTCTATGACTTGGGAGGCTGAGGCAGGTGGATCACAAGCTCAGGGGTTCAAGACCAGCCTGGCCAATATAGTGAAACCCCATCTCTACTAAAAATACAAAAATTAGCCGGGCATGGTGGCACATACCTGTAGTCCCAGCTACACTGGAGGCTGAGGCAGGAGGAATCACTTGAACCTTGGAGGTGGAGGTTGCAGTGAGCTGAGATCATGCCACTGCACTCCAGCCTGTATGACAGAGAGAGACTCCGTCTTGGAAAAAAAAAAAAATCTATGACAGCTAAAGCTCACCAAGTTAGATCATGGCATATTGTGAACATATCCACATATTATTTTATTTGAACTTAAATTGTATCTAAGTTGTAAAATATAAATATTTAGCACATTTATTTTTACAATAAAATTGCAGAAGTTTAGTGTCAAATTCATGATCCAATGTTCACAATTAGGTAATTTCCTCTTCTATTGTTTTGTCCCTAATGACTGATGTTGTTGTTTATGTTTAATTTTGTATGCTGTCTCTAACCACTTTGAAGGTAGAAATAATATAAATAAATCTTCAATAAATAAAAATATACTAAAGCAAGTCAATCAGCTGGCTGTGAAGACCTGACAAGAAAGCTTTACATTTTTCTGATGCCTTCAGAAATCCAAGAGATTTAATTTCTCCCTGAGAAATCAATTTCTCTCTCTTTCTGGTAGTTTCTGTAACAATTAGCATCTTAACATTCTCCCACCCACTGCTTTCCTGGGGTATAAAATATTTGTAAGCTTTATTTTTGCCCAGTAAAAATCCAGTAAGAAGAGAGAAATAACTCTCCCCTTTCTTTTTTTTTTTTTTTTTTTTTTTGTGAGAGAGAGAGTCTCATTCTGTCACCCAGGCTGAAGTGCAGTGGCACAATCTCGGCTCACTGCAACCTCTGCCTCCCGGGTTCAAGAGATTCTCCTGCCTCAGCCTCCCTAGCAGCTGGGATTACGGGTGCGCACCACCACGCCCTGCTAAGTTTTATATTTTTAGTAGAGACGGGATTTCACCATGTTGGCCTGGCTGGTCTCGAATTCCTGACCTCAAGTGATCCACCTGCCAAGGTCTCCCAAAGTGCTGGGATTACTCTCCACTTCTTATATTGTCACAGGACTCAATGTGAGATGCTGTGTTCCAGGTGAGACCATGGCAAATTGTTGTTGTTATGGTAGAAAATTCTTGATTCAGATTTTTTCAATTCACCCACATTACAGTAATAAACAATAAACTACAGTAATAAACAGCAAACAGTTTATTACCGTAAATAATAGTAATAAATTAATAAAGAAAAGGCAAGTGTAGAAGTATGAATTCCCAATATAGGTGTTTTTCGCTTCTCTGTAACCAAATGTTGGGTCACATAACCTAAGGGCTAAAGGTGGAATGTGGACTCATTTGGATATTGCTGTCCTCCCTTGCATGACTTTGATCAAGTTATTTAACCTCCTTGTAATTACCTGGACATCAGGCAAGATGAAATTACTGACCTTATAGTATTGTAAGGCGAATTCAACGTGCTAATGCATATAAAGTTTTTCACACAATGCCTGGCACAGATGAAGTGTGCTCAACCAATGTTAACTTAGGGAAAAGAAAAAACAAAAAACAAAAACACTTAGGAGGTGGTTCATATATGCCAGGAGGCATGAAGGTCCAGTGCTGGTGCTTTTATTTCTGATTACCGTTTCTGTTAGTAATTGCTATATATATATATTTGCTATATATATATATAGCATGTATATATATAGCATATATTATAGCATATATATATATATACACCATACCACAAAACTGCAAATATATATATATATATTTTTTTTTTTTTTGAGGTACAGTTTGAGGTTTAGTCTCTTCCCTAACCGCCCTCAACTCCAGTCTCCATCAAAAAACGTCATTTTGTTTGTGAATGCTGTACAAGTTTTTTGTTCAACCAACATGGTGATATTTCAACTCATCATGTTCAAAACCCCATTTGTTAGAAGACGGTGATAACATCTGTAAAAAGTTTTGCCAAACGCAAGCTCCCTTTGCTAAAATGCATGTGTATATTCCTTTATCCCGGCCTGACCAGGTATCTGGACCATCTGTAGGTGGGTCATTGAGTGCTAATGAATCAGAGCAAAAACACAGTATCAAGTAATCCACGAGTCTTTCTTGGAACAAGGATATATTAGCTCTGATGACTTGTACACTTACGCCAAAATAGCAATAAGTCTCAGTGTTAAATCATGTCTCTCATTATGTGTAGAAATAGATCACGTGTGACCAGTGTTCTTCTTGCTGATGCTCATGTCCCACATGTGGGAAAATAGAGATCTTCCATCTATAACCTTTTTACCCCTACACCACTTATTTGCTGAAAACACACCCCACAGGCAAGCAGACAGCATAAACTAATCGGAGGAAGGAGTTTGTGATATATCTTCACTTTCTGCCTCCCCTACTCCGACCCAACAAACGATTTATATGTAAATACACACAGAGCTAAGGCAGACACTAAGTTGCCTAAATTAAATGACAGTCAGTCCCTGAGGACCAGCAAACATTCTCCAGGACATCAAGGATTATGGTCGTTCTCCTCAAGGGCCTGACAAGACAAAGGGCTGTTTGGATAATAAGACATACAGTCTCAGTTCATCTATTTGCATACATAGAAATTAAAGTCTGATTGGTGAGCATGTGGGTGTATGATTACTGTATGTACAGAGTTCCTTCCATTCTTTCTGCCTGTTTTGGTAACACTTATTACAATATTTTCCCCCTTAAAGGGGGCTCAATTTGCATTAACTCCATATCTTAAATGCCATAAATGGGAAAGACATGGATGGGTTTTAGATCTTTATTTATGCCATATTCACACAATAAGAACATTACATTAAATAAATCAAATCCTCATCCTTGTTAGGGAGAAAGTGCTGTTTTGGATGTTAAGGGAAAATAAAATACACACTAATCTATCACTAGAAATTCAGAAAAAAAAATTTAATATAAAGATTAATTTTAACTGTTGATTATTTTCTCTTATCCTATACCTCGTCAGGCAAAGACCTCATCACAAATTCTCCTTTAGGTATTTGTTAATTTTATGATTCTTTTAAAATAAAATAAGCAATGGTTTTGGCATATATAAACTTTTAAAAATATTTTCATCAAATAATTTTTTTAAGGAAACTTATTTTAAAGATTTAGACAACTTATAGTAGATAGTTATTTAGAAAGCTAATTATCAGAATGGAAATGACACGTATCTATCTGAGGGGCAATTTAGATCACAGATATGCTTCAGGGCTAGGAAGAAGGGAACAATCTCTTGTTTTTTAAATTTCTGAGTCTTGCTTAATGTTCTCTTATAGTAATATGAATTATGCATGCATGATTTATTCTTGGATTTTCATAAAAAATTGGATGATTATGTGTTTTGTTTAAAGAAATGATGTTCAAGGTTTAAAGTGAAGTTAAGCACATTACTTTACTATAGGACTATTGATTCTAATGTTTGGTAATGTTACGTTGAGTTTCCAAACTTATTTGACCAAGGGATCCTTTTCCCTTCCTGTGGAGTACCTCCGAACAGTAATATTTTATAGAATCTGTTAACATACCATCTACACTACAAACTGGAATTTTGCATTTATTGTATTACATGATTTAGCTATTTTTTTGAAGTCTCTCTAAAGTTCCCTTCTCAAGATGCATTTAAAATAATCATTCACCACTTTAATAGTGAGTTAGAAGAAAATAATAATTTTAAAACAACTGCCCATTATATTCAGCTGGAATAAGGTAAAAATATGGGGACATTTTATCTGCCTTATATCCCTTTCTGAAAGAAACCCACTGATAGAAACCCATCTTGGTGATACAAAAGCTACTAAAAAGATAATTTCAAAGGGAATTGTGTCGAATGGTTCTGCCCTGTATTTTTTAAGATATCATTAAAGTAAGTCAATGCTAACCACATTAACCAGTAATAATCACAAATTTTAGCTAATAAATTATTAATGTAATGTAGACCATTTGTCAGCAGGAAACACTTTATCCAATCTTTTCATTCTCTTCATTACCACTCTGTGAATAGTCTGATTAACTGTCAGTTACATACATAATTCTTGTTACAGTTTGTTTATTGCTTTTCAGCAACCTGGTAATCCTAGTGGATGAAAATATTTTTCATTTGTCACAGTGACACGTGCTATGAAATGAAAATATGAACAGCTGCAGGATTGCCTAAACTGATAAAACATATTTATTTAAGATTCCACTCCATTTTTTAAAACTTCCAATTTAACTAAAATTAACCACAGGATTAGACTTTGGTTTCAGATATGCCTTTATTGTAAGACAGATACAATTTCAGAAAAAAAAATCAGCAAAGTCTTTGACTGTCATATCTCAAGCTTGACATTTTAACGTATTTTTTTCCCTAAGGAACTTATTCTGCAACAGATTATTTGATCAGCTTTGCTGCCTTGCCTAACTCATGGCTCTTAAATAGTTCTCAATTCTTCTACTTAGTCCAGTACACACGCCATTTTCATCAACTTCCTATAGACTGGCATCTTGGGTCGTGGGTTATGTTGCTTTTTTCTTAGACTATTTCTGCATGTCTACATTTTTTCTTGAGCCATGGATCACTATTGTAGAAGTAGCAACATAGATAAAACATAAGTATATAAAAAACATTTAAAAAGAGAGTTTTGATGGATGAGGGAGGGTATCTTATTTTTATTTCTTCTGAGAAATTTGGAGCTTAAAATAAATGTCATTTCTACCATATTAAGTTTTTGCTATATATTTAAGAAACTATTTTATACAAATATCTTATTAAACAATCATATTTGATAGAATTCCAAGCAAAATTTACTCTAAAGTATAGATAATAAATCCATGGTTCTATTGGTAGCAAAGTATACATACCCTGGTAATAAAAATTTACTTAAAATCTTATTTAGAAGACTTTTATTACACAGGAGATAGACATAAAAATGGAAGATGGGAAATATTAGGAAATCTTATATTTTAGAAGATTATATAAATAATAAAGTAACAAAAACAGAAAAATGCTATGTAGATACTAAAATCTTATATAGACAATTTAAGTTTTATCTTGTGAAACTTTCCCAAGTGAATGTAAACTGGCATCTTGCATATCCTCCCTAAATGTATTTATTTGTCTTACATGATGAGTGATAAAAATAATCCACTATCTAAAAATTAGGAAATTTGAAATGTAAACTTTGCATCCTATTGTCATTTGAGAAAGTCAAAGCTCTGGCAGCAATATGCTAGGATTCCCCTATGGAAGGAATTGGCTTTAGGGAACATGTGCTCCCAAACCATCCCCATCACTTCCTATTTTCTTATACCCAGGCCATTTCATGCATGTATAGTACCTGCCTGGACCCTGTAGGCATTAGTGTTTGAAACTGGTACTAACTACCACAAATAAATTCTTTTGGATAGAGTCCAAAATGCATCTCTCTTATACTGAATCCTATTTTATTGCAAAGAGGGTTATAATAAATTTATAGTATATAATTAAATATTCATGTTCTAAAATGATTGCAAATAAAGTATTGCATGAAAGAGTATCAAGATAAAACTGAGTATACAATATTAGCTTTTAAGTGTTACAGTTGAAGGTTTTTCTAAATAATAATGAATCTTTTATTTGTATAATGTAATAGACAAAGAGACTCCCTCGAGTCCCAAGGAATACTTCCAAGTGGTATTGTCTTCATATTACTAAAAGAAACTTATTGATCAATGCAAATTTACACAGACACTTCTATTTATTTCTATTGGTGAAAAGGCCCAAATCTATTTCATTTTTTTCCTGTAGATATCAGAAACAAGGTAGGTAAAAGAATATTATTCATTTATAGATCAAGAATTGTCTAATTGAATAGGATATTTGAGATAGTTTGTTTCCCAGGTGAGGGTTTGCCCAATCCATAATCCATAAACTATATTAAACTGCTCCAAAATAATGAAGATATGACATATATTATTGACAAAATGTTTTCAGTTAAATTATTAAATAGCTTCTGACTAATGTATGTTTCTTGAAAGTATTATATTCCTCTTAACATAGTTATTTTTTAATTTAAATATTCATTTGAGATACTATATTTAAGAATGCCTAGAAATTTCAGCATTAAGGGACAGATCAGTATCTGTTCTTACTTTTCAATTGTTTGTTTTTTGGGGAAAATGTGCTAAGTATTACCTGTGTGATGGGTATACAAAGTTACATAAATATTACACGAAGCTGACATCATCATAGACATTGAAAAATATGTCAAGTGATATCTAACATAATTATGATATATTAGTTGCATACCGAGGAAGTAAATAAAAGTAGGCAAGGACTTTTTAATGGACATGTTAGCTTGTACCATGTAAATGTGAATCTTCGGCTATCTCCTGTCCCATTGTGTATGTTAACAGGATTAGCTAGTATTAGCCCCCATCCACAAGAAGTGTGATATGCAGTATGACCCGTAAACCTCTCCTGGGATTCAAAAGGGCTAAGTTGAACCATGCATGATTTCAAAGTAATTCTCAGCACAATTATCTGCTTGACCTGCAAGATGAACAAGCATATCATTTAATTAATTGCCAAGCTCTTGTGAACAGTGCTGTTCATTTTTCTAGTAATTGCATGATGATCTGCCCTTGCTGATTCTTATGGGAATGACCAAAATTGCACATTAACTGGTTTGACGGCCACTGTCCACATTGTCATCAAACACTACTTTCAATCTTGACATGAATGATTCTTTCTTAGGAATATCATAAAAGCATCCAAAAGACAATGTTTCCTTACAGCAGTGATAAATATGTTTTGATCATCTAAAGTCATAATACAAAAACATTTCCTTCCCCACTTACTTATGAGGTACAAATGTAAGCCATATCTCTAAAACTGTAAAGGTATACAGTAATTTATCAGTTAGTGATATATATGGTATGGTGAAGACTAATCTAGAAAGAATAGAAATGATGCAACAATTATATTAATTTATTCAGCCATAATAAAGGTGAAATATTTCAATTTCACATAGGTGTGTGATGAGAAGAAGGAAAGGGAATGTATGCTTTTCTCTTAGAGAAAATATAATACAAATCTGGCATTATTCTGATATGTAAGTTGCCATCTATTATTGTAGGTATTTATTCTAGATGCTCAATGAAGAATTTATTTTATGAACAAACAAATTAAGGAACAACAACTCAGGCAGGGCAAAAAAGAAAAAAGAAATCCCAAAATATTTCACTCTGGAATTTGTCTACTGAATGTTTTTTCTCTCTCTGTCTCTAATTTTCTTAGTGTTTATATGTCTGTTTGCCAGTTTGAGACTCTGTTGTGTTCTCCACAATCAGATCAGATTCTAGAGTGTAATAAATAAACAAAAAATCAATGAGTTAAACAGCTGAAATATCCATTTCTATTTCCAATTCATTGTGATACTCAATTATTTATCGCCTGAATTTCCTCATACAGCATAAAGAGATGAAGTCAATGTCACAGTGTGTGGAATCAGTCTTTAACCCAATATAGGCTTCTAATTGCAATGATGTGTGTGTGTGTGGTGGGTGAGGGGGTTATTCTCTCCAGGAAGGAGCCCAGTTTTGTATGATGGAGTAAGATTGGGTGACTGTGTATCTTCAGAGGAAAAAGAGAAAGAATCCCTTATTAAATAAATCATGACATAAAATAGATTCTCCTTTGCCTCCTTATGTGACATTTTTCTAGGTAAAACTAGGTAATTGACAAATTTTCAAATGATCTCCTCAGGTTTTGTTCACTGCGGATCAGGATTTCTGAGTCTCAGCCTTATTGACATTTTGGGCTGGATAATTCTTTGTAGTAGGGGCATGGCTGTACACTGTAGGATGTTTAGCAACATTCCTAGCCTCTATCTACTAGATGCTAACAGCAACTTTCTCCCACAACCTTAACCCTGTAGTGACAACCAAATACGCATCCAGACATTACCAAATGCTTTTGGGAAGTGGGTGCAAAATCACCCGCAGCTGAGAACCACAGCTTCAGTTAATACTCTGAAATAAGAAACTTTGGCTCACTTCCCTCATTCCCAAAAGACACCCAATCATAGGCAATTATGGAAGGCAGGCTTTCTTTTTCAGGCAGAGCAAATAGTAATGTCCTACAGACAAGGGGAAGATAATCAGTAAAAGACAAAAAAGTAATACATGGCTTCAACTACATTATATACATCATCATTTTATATCATCCCCATAATGAAGGTACCCCTGAGATATTGAAAAAGGGAGAAACTGGGTCAGTAATTGAAGAAAATACACTTTTACATGAATTATAAGATATTTTTGACACTGATGAGAAGCAGACCCAATTCTATTTTGAAGTTTTAACTCAGAATGAGCCCATACAATGGGGGCATACTGTCACATTCAATATCTGCTTAATATACTCACACAGTTTGCTTAACTATTTTAGATTAGCGACTTGTTTTTCTTGAATTTTTATAGCTTCATGGATCCTACCTCAAGGCTTAATATCTGGGTGAATTCACCTAAGTTTTAAAAGGTATATTTAAATTCAACAATGGCTTTGCCAATTCCAAATAAAAATGAATAATGTGCCACTATACCACCTTACATCAAAGGCAGTACATACAAGTTTATGTGAAGGGGTGAAAATATACATTTTTGGTACTTAATGATTTTTTAGGCAGCATTTTCCAAGCCGGTGTAATAAACTATAAGGAGCCAGATTAAAAATTCAAGTAAACATTAATAGGTCTCATAATTATTCTAACTATGCTAAATTAATATATATTTGCTGCAGAAATAATATGGTTATCTCTCTGAGAATACTGGATAGAAAATGTCCTTATATATGTATACAAATACTGTTCAAATATACAGAGTTTTACATATTAATTCTAGTTCTATTATGGTAAAAATATCTTTCTTATAAAATCAAAGCTGACAAAATCTGGGGGGCTTTCGATAGTGTGGCAAGTATTTCTTAAATGAAGAGTTTGAGCTTCCACTGAGCATACTGTGATTTTCTGCCTCTCTTACAGATTTGTAATTCTTCACTATACACATCTTTTTCCTGTGATACCATCTTCTCTTCTTATCTCTTTCCTCTCATCATAAACATTATCTTATTTTCAAGATGTTACTGCTTTTGCCACTGTTTTCCTAGACAAAACCAAGGAAATATTTCATGTGTGATGTAAATGGAAAGAACTCAGTTTTTATCATCAGATATGTGAACTTGGCCAATTAATTTACTTCTTGAAGTCTCAGTTCTTTCATGGGGCAAATGAAGTTGCCTCTTATATTTCTTATATTTTTGCCAATTAGTAGATTCCCCACAATTAGTAAATATTATTATTCTTCATTAGGCTGAAAATGTTGGAGTATTTTTCCCTTGTGGGCAAGCCATACTTGATCCATTCAAAATAAAATGCTGAAGAAGTCTAATATAACATAAAATACCTTTCATTAGAAATATAGGGCCAGGTAAAATTTACTATGAATCTTATTTTTCTCCTTTCTATCACTTTTTGTCTCTTAAACTGATAACATTTGTGGATTGTAAAAGATCTTTAAAAAAAAAAACAGAAGGACATATTCCCATTTGTTTATTATCAACATAATCCCTAGATTTTTTTAAATGTTGAGCATTAAGATTTATGTTTCTAAATACAATATGATTCCATCCCACATCTGAATGCAGTTATTACTATAATATAAATTAGAAAAATACTTGGTTATGTCTGGTGAATAATTTAATATATTCGGGATAATTACTTATTTTGTCCAACACAAAACAAACAAACAAACAAAAACAAGAGTGTTTTTAGACCAGATAGGATTTTCTAAGCCTTAAGCTCTTGCTGTTACCCAGATTTTCTTTCTGGTTCTCAATATGTCACAGCTATCTGTCCGCAGACTAGTATAAAGAATTTAGTAACCAAATGATTCAGAGACATTTTATGCAAATGGTAAACTTAGCATGAGTTCTCCGGTAGGTACTAATTGGAAGAGGGACAAAGAAGTTTTGAAGCAAAATTATGTTTTCTATCTGCCTTCTGAATTTCCTGCTCAATTTTGCTCAAAAGCCAAGTTTCTTCAAACTTGAGATCAAGATCCCTTGGATAGCACACACTCAGAAACCAGGAAGCAGGGGACACGAAAGGAACAGTGAATACTAGAGGATCAGAGAATGTTTACCTGAACCACAGAAAAAATTATTTCTGAAACATCTGAATTATATCTCATAAATCTACGTTCCCCTCTTTTTCTTCTTCTGCCTCTCCTTCTCTTCTCTTTCTTCTTTTCATTTAACCCTGCAGACATTGTTGATGAACAACAGTATCTATATTATTCGAGTAAAAGCTAGAGGAAACTGCCCAGCTGCCTTATCAGTCTCTCCATATGCAAATATAAAGAATCTGATCCATCTCCTGATACTCGAGACCCAAAGGCAGCAATAGGATTATTCTGGGACCAATTCTTTCTCTGGAATGACTTGAAATGTATACGAAAAAGCACGCACATCAGCAAGCCAAATGACTGATGGCACAGGACTCATCCATATTTATCTTTCCAGGATTGGACAGGCATCCTATTGATTCATACAGGTCATTACACAACATGTTTACAATCCAGTACCATCCAATTCAAAAGGAAATGTGAAATTAGTGATGAATCTACTTGCAGGTCTGTACCTAAGGCTCAAGATAGGTAATCAAGCATCACTCTGTTTTGACATCGCTGTACTCTCCCTTAGTTTAATGTCAGTCGGTCTTACGTAGATGACTCTAAAACAATAGAAAATACTGAGATTGTCTAGTTAAAGGAACATTTTAAAATGATAAGCCTTTTCATATAGCCAATATATTCTTGGCAGAAAATCATTTCTGGGAAAACTTAAACAAATATATCCTTGTTTTATTCTAGGACAAATGTGTGTATATGTACCTCTTATATGCATAAAAGGAAAGTTTTACTAAGGTCACTTTGAAAAGAAAATAAGCAAAACAAAAGAAAGATAAAAACAAAATGCAGATGCAAACTCATTAGAAAAATCAGAATTAGACACCATGATAATCAGGTTTGAAATTCTCAATAGACAGAAAAAAAGGTCTTGAACATTTTTATAACTAACAAAACAAAGCAAAAATAGGTTATGAACACCAAATTATATTCAAAATTCAGTCAAACAAAATCTTTACTTTCCAAGTGGGATGTTGAGAAGTTAAGAATAGTGAAATAAAGCTTTACTCTCTTTAACAATTTTCATGCTTTCGGAGTCCTGTAGCTTAATTTTTGCAGTTGCTGAGTCTGGGCCTTGACATGCCTGGAGGCACTCAGCTGCAAACTCAGGCTCACGCAGGGTAACAGCACTGAGCTGTATTTAGTTTTGAAAATTAAACCAAAAGGAGAATATTCAGTGGGCTATTTGATAGGAAATTAAGTTCTCAAATGACACTAAAATCATCTTGTAATACAAAAGTGACTCTGAAATAAAGAGCCCACTTTACAATGCTCATAGTACCATTGATTCATCCACATGTGTGCTGTGCCCTCTAACCCTGGAGGGTCCCGCATTTATTCCAACAATATATTCATTGATCGAGATATTTTTGTAACTTCTTTTTTGGAATTATCCTTAGACCCCATTGGATTTTTCTGTCTATTAATTTACATGTGTATGAACTCGTTCATTTAGCAATTATTTGTTGAACCCTAAGGTGTTTCATGTGCTGCTCTAGATGCTGGTGATACCACTGTCAGTGAAAAAAGATGGATGAAAAGCCTGCCCTCTAGGTCCTCAAATACCAATGTGAGGAGAAAGAGGCAAAAATAAATACGTAAATCATATGGCAGGCCAGAGGACAGAAGTGATGAAGAGGAAGATGAAGCTGAGGAGGAGGACGGCAAGGGCTTGAGTGGGAATGACTTTCTGTGGAAGCTCCTCAGAAAGCGTGTCATTTGAGTAAAGATCTAAAGGCGGTAAAAGAGTGAGCCATGGAGATATATTAGGAAAGAACATTCCAGAGAGAAGGAATAGCATGTGTTTTATGGCCTTTTATGGTATTTTTTTCAGATTAATTTAAATAAAAACTACATTTAGTAATTCTTTGGGGGGGAAATAATAATAAAAAAAAATCCCCAGCCATAGACTAGTATATAAAGTTAGTGAGGAATCTTCCTGCAGGTCTGTGCCTTGGGCATAAGATAGGTAATCAAGCATTACTGTATTTTGATATCACTATAGTCTCTCCTTGTTTAATGTTAGTCTTACTTAGATGACTCTAAAAGGATGGAAAATACCAAGATTGTCTAGTTAATGGAAAATTTTAAAAAAATATGCTAGCATAGAAACTATCCCTTAAACCAGTCCTATAATTCTCCCCACTTGCACACACATTTGCCGTGTGTTTAGAACCAGTATTCCTGAATGAGCAAATTCTAATTTACTATCAACTTCTTGGAGTTTCCTCTCTGTCTCCTTGTCTTAACTGAAATTTGGTCCACCTTAGACACCACTAAGCCTGCAGCATTCTCAAGTTCTTTCCATTTATTGTCTAGTACCATGTGTATTTCAGGGGCTGGCTAATGGGTTGGTTCCTCCACAGTCCTCTTCATAACTTCTAAAACATTACTTCCATACCCTCTTATTAAAAGGAAAACAAAACCAAACAAATAAAAAGTCTTGCCCCTTCTTCTAATATAACATGCTCTCCTCCTCTTATTTGCTACTATCTCAAGCCTCTCAGTTGCTACCCTTTATCTTAAAATAGCTAGCAATGGCTCCGAGACATCCTGGGACCATTAATTACTCTCCCCATCCAGGATACCATGGTCTTTCAGGTACCTTGTTGTCTTTATTGAGGGAGAATTTCTCCCATCTCAACCCTCAGTCAAGCTCTCTCTCAGTCACATTAGCATTGCCTATGATTACTCTGAATTTTTAAAAGATCACAAAATCACAAAAAGCACAACCTCCTGTCTTACAGTTTGCCTTATAAGAAAACCATTTTTTTAACCTCATATGAACACTGTCCACTTTATCTAGTTCAAATCACCACTCTTAATCTTCATGCACTTTTTCGTAGTGGGCATAGTTTTCCTGGCCCATCATTTTAATAATTATAATAGGACACCTAATTCCCTTGTCTTTTTATCACATCTGCGTGGCAAAGATTCTCCATAAATTACCTGCTTTCTTTAGCTTGCTCAGAAACAGCCACACGGGACTGAGAAATGTCACACAACAAGGCACACTACTCAAAATAAATGTGTGATCTCTAACTTAAAGAGGAACTAAACACTGTTCATTTGACAGAGAAATCCTCTGCAACTCCTCTTAACGGCACACCAAGTCTTCTTTGAGCTCCTGTAAACAACTTCCATTTCTGTCTTCACCCTGTATAGACGATTCTAGCTCCTATATCATAAAGACAATTGTATTTTTCCACAGAGAATCCTTCAACTTTCATTTCATTTTTCTTTCTTTCTTTTTTTTTTTTTTTAAGACAGAGTTTCCCTCTGTCACCCAGTCTGGAGTGCAGTGGCATGATCACAGCTCACTGCAGCCTTGACCTCCTGGGCTCAAGCGATCCTCCCACCTCAGCCTCCTGTGTATTTGCGGCCACAACATGAGCCACTAGTGCCACAATGCCCAGCTAACTTTTTTGTTTTTTAGAGATAAGGTCTCCGTATGTTGCCCAGGCTTATCTCAAACTGCTGAACTCAAGCAGTCCTCCCACCTTGGCCTCCCGAAGTGCTGGGATTACAGGCATGAGCCACTGCACCTGGCCAACTTTCTGTTCCTTTACTCACAACTTCTTTAACATTTGTCCTCCTCCTTGTCTTCCTTCCGGTTATAACAAGAGGGCTGCATCTACATCTAAGGCCAATCTCATCTACTCTGCTTTGAATCATGATCTGTTTCTCCCTTCTCAGAGAAGTTACATCTAAACATACCTTCTCAACGTGATTCAACTGGATAAAATTGCCAGTACTTCTGATCCATACTCTAAAGTTATTTTGTTTTCACACTTAACATCTTTGTCCTTTTTGCAACTTTTGACAATGGTGAATATTTTCTAATTCCTTTAAGCACTGTCTTCTTTAGTCTTTGTGACACCCCCTATTTGGTTTTACTTCACCTTCACTGGCTCCCTAGCAGCTGTTTTTCCCCAGGCCTCTTTGTAATCTGACCACCATCAACCAACCATTTTAAGGTGGGAGTTATTCAAAGCTCAGACCTAAGTTCTGTGTTCTCCACTTGCTCTACGGTCTTCCTAGGCAGTTCCATCCATATTCAATGTTTCTTCTATCTCCTATATTTAGGAGATTCCCTGAATTGTTTTTCTACCTCGGTCTTCCCTACTGAGCTTCAGATCTGTATATCTAATGCAGTATTGTTATCCATATATTTCAGAGAATATGTCCCAGCCAAACTCTTGACACTCTCTCCACACTACCTGATTCTCTCCTATCCTTGGCCAGCTCAGTGAATGTCGTCATTGAGTCACATGTGCAAATCTGGAGCTTAAGAGTCATCTCTGGTTCTGACCTCCAGCTCACCTTCCTGTTCAATTCATCACCAAATTACACTCAAATTAATCTCTCTACCTCCAGTGCCAACAGCTTAGTCTAAGCTACCATTATCTTTATTAACTATTTGACCTCACAGGGTGAATTCTATATGCTCAATTCAGGTAATGTCAAAGAAACAAACGGGTCAATATACTTTATGGGTGAATAGTTTTAAATAATAATTAATTAATCTATTTATTTATATACCTTAGCATGTTTATTCGAGTGGTCTCAGAGATACAAGAGTTTTCTTCTGCTGAGTTGACCACTTAGATTTAATGGGAAACCGGAAATGTCATGTTCAATAATTGTTCATTTTCTTAACAGATTGTTCTATTTTTCTTAATCAGAATAAATAAATATAGCCTCAACTATTTTGATTAGCTTCTTAGAATATCTAGTAAGATTTTCATAGACATTTCTTCCATGTTAAAGTGTTCTTTCAGATCTGTTTAACACAAGCCTCTCAACTAATTCATTTGTACCAAAAACTTTAGTACCACTGTACTCTTAAAAAATGTTGTTGTAATAAAGGACAAAGAAGGAAAAGAAGAAGAAAAAGGAGAAAAAGAAGACAAAAGATGTAGGGATATAGAAAAGAGAGAGATATAGTTCAATTCAGCTGCAAAATTGGATAATTTTTGCATGTAGTTATAGTTTTTCTACCTAGTGAAGGGTCAATTGAGGTTCCACAATTGTGGGAAAAGATTAAAGGTCATTCAAAACTGTGTGAAACATCAATACTTGCTGATAATATTGTGATTAATGTAAATGTGAAGTACCTGCACCTTGTGATAAGGACAATAAAAATTTAAAACCCATCTGACAGTATATTTGGAACATTCAGACTATGAGATCTGACTTTGAGATACTTGAAATTTAGTGCAAGAAATTGGTATAATTTCCATTTGTCAGGGAGATTTTTAAAAAACCTGTTTATGTATAAAGGCCACTGATTCCATTGCCATAAATGGTTACAAATATTTCTCCAAAATTAGGAGGGGGCTGAGGTTTATGTCTGCAGATGTACTGTAACTTATATAGTTCTGTATTGGATATGGTTTACTAATACATACAACTCAGGCTAAATATGGAGAGATTTGTTATCCTTACATTTCTTTGAGATAAAACCATATATCCTTTCAAAGACAAGTTTGCAAAATAACAAATGATTAAATTTGCAATCAACTGATCATCTGTAGCATATATTAGACTAATTGCTAACAATACCAAGTAATTTCATTTTCAGAAAAAAAATCAGTTAATAAAAATATCTATTAGATATTCATCACAGTGAACCCCAAAGCCAATGCAATCTCTTCATTTCTTAAAGTATTTTAACAACAGTAAAGATGGTCTAGTTAGTATTCCATAAAATGTTTTTTCAAAAATCTAATTTATAATGAAGATATGCAAATCACCATAAGAAAAATGGTTTATAACTCACTATAATAAAATATATATTCTGTGCAAAAAGTTAACTTATATTTAACTTCCTTTCTAAAAACAGCTCTGGATTGATTGCATTACAGGAAATTAAGTATGCAATTTAAACAATTCTAAATGCATTGCTTTATTTTAATAATGTTTGGTAGACAATTCCAAACACTTTTTTGTTTGTTTCCGTAAAGAACAATTCTAGGGCTAAAAATTCTAAATAAACTGAACTAACTGACTACTGTGTAGGAGAAGCATCAGTCATATGAATGACATCAGGAAAGGATAAAACTGTACCAATTGCAGGAAAAAAAATCACTTGGATTTCACAAGTGACTGAATAAGTTAGGGTGTTAATCTATGTGTATAATAAGATAACTACCTTTTGCATCTTTCAGAGATGGGATCTTGCTCCATTGCCCAGGATAGAGTGCAGTGGTGTGATCATAGCTCACTGTAGCCTGGAACTCCTAGGCTCAAATGATTCTCCCAAGCAGCTAAGATTACAGACTTGAGCCACAGTGCCCAGCTGATGTTTTTATTATTTATTTCTTTCTTTTTGTAGAGGTGAGGTCTCACTTTATTGCCCAGGCTGATCTCAAACCCCTCCCCAAATGCTGGGATTTACAGGCATGAGCCATCGTGCCTGGCCAGTGCTCATGTTTGAAAGTTATTTTGTGACATGATAAAAATGAGATGAAAATTAAAGGCAATTTTTAGCTTCTTTTATTCCCGATAAATCTTAAATTATATTTATTTAAAATATCTATGATGACCTTAATTCTCAAATCATAATTTTTCTTATCAATGATCTTTCTCACTAATAATTGAGAGTTTTCTTGATTTCAAAAAGTATACCTTTGTCATAAGCGACTCTTTCTTTCAGTATACCTAGTATTAAAATGTAATTTCAAGAAAGTCTTCCAATCAGCGTTCTGTGAACTTCCAGAAACTAACCTTAATTTGCATAGTCACCATTATTTCTAGTTGTTTACAGAAAGAATCCTCAAATTTAGCAAAATGGCATGTTCATTTTCCCACTCCCCTCCAATCCTCTGCACCTTCAATCTATACCCATAAATGCATGTCACTTTTTGGCCTATCCAAATTCATCCTATGTCTTTAATAACCTACTAAAGCCCAGTCTCCCTTATGAAGCTTTTAAAGGATTGCAGACTCTCTTTCTTTTACTGAATTCTTATAGCATATATCATAATAACATAACATAATTATACATGTTTTACACTATTTTTAAACTATCAGGCTTCCTTATATAAAACCACAATTTCTGGTCTCACCTTTTGTCTCTAGTAGATTGCTGCGGTGATAGCTTCAGTGTACTCATGCCTCACCCCTATTCACCCCTTGCAGAGTCCCCTCCCATGTTGACTCCTCTGGGCTTGGTCAAGTGACTTGCTTTGGTCAATGTGACAATAGCAAATGTAAAGTAAGCAAAGACTAAAAAAAAAATGTTTACACTGGCCTAGGGAGGTGCAAGATCTCCATAACAACTATAAGCCACTGCTTAACAAAATCAAAGATGACACAAATGAGTGGAAAAAAAATCCCATGCTCATGGATAGGAAGAATCAATGTTGTTAAAATACTACTGCTGAAAGCAATTTATAGATTCAATGATATTCCCATTAAACTACGATTGACATTCTTTATACGAGACCAAAAAAGACCCTGAATGCAATCCTAAGCTAAAAGAACAAAGCTGGAGGCATCATGCTACCCAACTTCAAACTATACTACAGGGATACAGTAATGAAAACAGCATGGTATTGATGCAAAAACAGACACATAAACCAATGAGACAGAATAGACAACCCAAAAATAAGACTGTACACCAACAACTACCAGATCTTTGACAAACCTGACAAAAACAAGCAATGGGGAAAGTATTCCCTTTTCAATAAATGGTGCTGGGATAACTGACTAGCTGTATGCCGAAGACTGAAGCTGGACCCCTTCCTTACACCCTACACAAAAATCAACTCAGGATGCATTAAAAACTGAAATGTAAAACCTGGAAGTATAACAACTCTGGAAGACAACCTAGGTAATACCATTCAGGACATAGGCACAGACAAGGATTCATGATGAAGACACCAAAAGCAATTGCAATATAAGCAAAAATTGGTAAATGGTATCCGATTAAACTAAAGATCTTCTGCACAGCAAAAGACTGTTAGCAGAGTAAACAGATAACCTACAAAATAGGAAAATATTTTTCAAACTATGTACCTGACAAAAGTCTAATATTCACCACCATTAAGGAAATTAAATAAATTTATAAGAAAAAACCAACTACGTTAAAAAGAAGGCAAAGGACATAAACTGACACTTCTCAAAAGAAGACATACATGCAGCCAACAATCATGAATAAAAGCTCAACATCACTGATCATCAGAGAAATGCAAATCAAAACCACCGTGAGATACAATCTCACACCCGTCAGAATGGCTATTATTAAAAAGTCAAAAAAATAACAGATGCTGGCAAGGTTGTAGAGAAAAAGGAATGCTTATACACTGTTGGTGGGAATGTAAATTAGTTCAACAATTGTAGAAGACAATGTGGCGATTCCTCAAAGACCTAAAGACAGAAATGCCATTTGACCCAGCAATCCCATTACTGGGTATATACCCAAAAGGGTATAAATTATTCTATTATAAAGACACATGCCCAGGTATGTTCCTTGCAGCACTATTCACTATAGCAAATACATGAACTCAGCCTATATTGCCCATCAATGGGTAGACTGGATAAAGAAAATGCAGTACATATACATCATGGAATACTACATGGCCATAAAAAAGAACAAGATCACATCCTTTGCAGGGACATGGATGGAACTGGGGGCCATTATTCTTAGCAAACTAATGCAGAAACAGAAAACCAAATTCTGCATATTCTCACTTATAAGTGGGAGCTAAATGATGAGAAGACATGGACACATACACACAGGGGCCTATTGGAGGGTAGAGAATGAGAGGGGCAAGAGGATCAGGGAAAATAACTAACGGATACTAGGCTTAATACTTGGGTGATGAAATAATCTGTACATCAAATCCCCTTGACACAAGTTTAATTATGTAACAAACCTACAAATGTACTCCTGAACTTGAAATAGAAATTGAAAGAAAAAGGAAATTAAGACATCCTCCTTGATTTAAAAAAAAAAAAAATATATATATATAAAATCTCTCTGCACATCTAAAGAGGTAACAAAAAAGAAGATAATGTTTAAGTATCTCCTAGTGTGCACTAAAAAAAAATAAAGTGGAAATATGAGAAAAAAATAAAAGATATAGAGAGTCGATCCAGGAGATCTAACACTGGACAGTTAAGATATTCTTACAGAGAAGAAAGAAAACTTAAGAGAAAAAAAAAACAAACATCACAATCAAATTTTCTAGAGCCAATGGAGAACACTAGTCTTTAAATAAGTTGAAAGGGTCAATCTTGTGTAGGGCAAGATTAAAGGAAAAAGTACCCAACTCTAAACATTCTAAAGAACCACAGAAGATCCTATAAACTTTTACAGAGAGAAAAATAAATCCCATCCACAAATGAAAGATTATTCAACTTTCCATCAGCCAACTTAATGCTAGTGGCATAATATCTTCAAAGTTAGGAAGGAAAATAATTTTGAGCCTAGAATTTGATACAGAGCCAATGCATCAGTCAAATCTGATGAATATTTCAAGACAAGGAGAATCTGAAAAGTTCACTTCTCATTCATTCTTTTGTAAAAAGTTACTTGAAGGTACAATACAGCACAATGAGGAATACATGAAGAAGCAGGAAGATATGAGTGACACAAACAGGGATAGACTTCAGTAGAGCATTGAAGTTATGTTTTGATAGGATAACAGTTGACTTTGATGTTATAAGGAATAGCCTGTTATATTTAGCAAGAAAAGGAAAGGCCACTGATAGAAACTTTCTATGACTTTGTTTTAATAAAATAGCCCCTAAAAGAAAAGAATGTAATAAAACAAAAAGGCAGTGAAAATTGTAAGAATTTTTTCTCAATAAGTATATTTCTTATAATAAAAAAAGAAAGCAAAATTAAGAGGAATGGAGAAAGATAAAAAGAGGAGGAGAAGGAAAGGCAGAAATCTGAAATTTAAAATGTGCAAGAAAAAGCATGGCTGAAATATGAAGTTTATAAAGCCCCCAAATGGGACTTTATTTCTATCTTTGGGTGAAGTGAAAAAATGGCATAATGTTAATGACAAAGGAATTGTAGACAAGGAAATATAATCACAGAACACCAATAAACTTTGCTATATACAGTTAACCTATCAATAATAGTAATAATGTACATTCAACAATGATTTTTAACATTCAGTTACAATGTATAGATAAAGCATATAAATAACCAAATTAAAAATAAAAGAAGTATAACTTATACAGAAGTTGAGAAGTGAACCTGATTACAGGTTAACTAACAAGTGGGATCCAATGCAGAGAAGCCAAAGTCCTTGACTTTGCTTTCCTGGAGAAAATTCCTGTCATTCCAGGCTACATCCATTGAACTCCAAGTGTAGCATTCTTGAATCAAGCAAGGCAACGGGAAGTCACATCCACTCACCCGCATTCTTTTCTCATTGGTATCCATTGTTCTATGTGCTATTTTAAAAATAAACTCCGTTTTAAGTTATCTGAGAAATCTCCCAACTCCTTTCTGCTCTCCACAGTGGCTGAACTAATTTACATTACCACCAACAGTATATATGTTCCCTTTTCTCTGCAGCCTCAACAGCAACTTGTTTTTTGACTTTTTAATAATAGCCCTTCTGACTGGTGTGAGATGGTGTCATGCTGCCATTTTGATTTGAATTTCTCTGATGATTAGTGACGTCCGGCATTTTTTTTTCATATGTTTGGTGTCCACTTGTACGTCTTCTTTGAGAAGTATAAGTTCTTGTCTTTTGCCCACGTTTTAATGCAGTTGTTTTTTGCTTATTCAATTGTTTAAGTTCCTCATAGATTCTGGATATTAGACCTTTGTCAGATGCTTAGTTTGCAATTATTTTCTCCCATTCTGTAGGTTGTCTGTTTACTCTGTTAATAGTTTGTTTTGTTGTGCAGAAGCACTTTAGTATAACTAGGTACTACTTTTAAATTTTTGTTTTTGTTGCAATTGCTTTTGAAGACTTAGCCATAAATTCTATCCTAAGGCCAATGTGCAGAATGATTTTTTCCTAGGTTTTCTTCTAAGATTCTTAGAGTTTGAGGTCTTACATTTAAATCGTTAAGCCATCTTGAGTTACTTTTTGCATATAGCGAAAGATAGGGGTCCAGTTTCATTCTGCATATAGCCAGCCAGCTATCTCCGCACCATTTATTAAATAGGGAGTCTTTTCCTAATAGCAATCTCATTGCTAGGCATATATCCAAAAGAAAATAAGTAATTCTACCAAAAAGTCACATGTACTCATATATTCACTGCAGCACTATTCACAATAGCAAAGACATGGAGTCAACCTAGGTGCCCATTAATGGAGGAATGGATGAAGAAAATATGGTACATATACACCATGGAATACTATGCAGCCATAAAAAGAATGAAATCATGTTCTTTGCAGCAACATGAATGCAGCTGAAGGACATTATCCTAAGCAAATTAACACAGGAACCGAAAACCAAATATAATATGATCTCACTTATAAATGGGAACTAAACATTGGGTACTCATGGACATAAAGATGGCAACAATAGACACTGATGATTCCTAGATTGTAGGGGGAGGGAGAAGGGTAACAACTGAGACACTAACTATTGGGTACTATGCTCATTACCTGAGTGACAGGATCAATCATACCCTAAACCTCAGAATCATGCAATATATCCACGTAGCAAACTTGCACACGTACCACCTGAATCTAAAATAAAATTTGAAATTATTGGAAAAAAATACAAGCAATATCAAATAAATGCACATTTGAACTAAGTTCAAACCTTCATTCTTACCCATTTTTGAAACTCAGGTAGAACTTTAGGGTCAGACCTACCTTAAGGAAATACAGAAAGTACTCTAATTATATTGAGAATAAAGGGAAAGATAAATGAGAAATTAGAAGACATGAGAAAAATATTATTTGTCTTCTTGAATAATGTTTCAAATTTATAAAATTATACACAGTAGTCTAAACACATTATTGAATATTGAAATAACATCATCAAGAAAGTTTTTATTTTTTAAAAAAGGAAAATAAGTGGTTGCATTTGGGGAGTGATATTGGAGAACAGGTAGAATTAAGGCAAAGTATTTTCATAATCATCATTATAATAGTAAGGGGCGCTGTGTAGATCCCCTCTCCAAAACATATACCCAAGTTACTGGGAGTGTTGCTAAGAATAGCTCTCAGCTGAGTTCCACTTCAACTTTTGACTTGGGCTCAAAAATGTCAGAATGTCATCCAAAGTCACACTTATCTGGGAATAGCTCACATCAAATGAATGGTCAATGTTGGATCTTTTACTCTTATTCAAGAAAAATCTCAAGGGTCCTCCATATTTATAGCTTCCTGGAGGATCATCTGTGGCCTCTATTTCCTATATCACAACTTGGCTTTTCCTCTGCCCAGTGCTGTTTCCTTTTCCCACCAATCATCTCAATTCCCTTTTATTTTTTAATCTTGAGGACACTCTTCAATTTATCTCTTGCAGACAAATCTCCATATCAGAGTCTGCTTTCCAGAGACCCATATTTAATTATATATATTATTGGGTTTAAAAATACAAAAAGATTTTTTGCAGTTATCTCTTAAAATTACTATAAGGGTCAAATTAAGCTATAGGTATGGTATACTATATTTTTGAAAATTTTAGAGTTAATGAAAATAATGACAACAATATAGCATATTGTTGTTCTATTTTGACAGTTATCACAGATACGTCCCTTTCTCACAGAGAAGTTATCATTTCCCCTTCTGTAAAACTGGGCTTTGGACTTCTGTTTTTTAGACTCTTTGGTCATTTGATTACTTGTTAAGGGCATATATCTCTGACATGTTCCACGTATTCAATGCTAGATCCTTTCTAGCAGCAATATGAACACACGTATGACATTTTCATACTTAGAAAATAAGCAAACTAATAAAAATGAAATAAATCACGATTCCTAGTATTTACTGACTTCTCTGTTTTACACTGCAGCGAAACCACCTGCATTACCTCTACTTGCCCCCTCTACTTGCTCTGTCCATTTCCTTATCTCACTTCAATGTCATGGCAATTCAGGTTCAGTGGCAACATTTTCATGTTCAATGTGTGCCAATTACCAATGGTTTCTTGTTGTTAAATCCCAAATGAACAAGGGCATTTTGTAATTTGTATTTTCTTTCCTGTGTGTAACCTCACTCTCATATATCATATATACGAAAATTATATACATAAAAATTAACAACTTCCAATAACATTTTTTTTGACTTCCAACAACTTAAAGTCTTTTTGTACAGGGAACGTTTAAATGAGTATGTCATTTCAATATATCTTTTAAGTATTATTTTTTAAATTTTTCTTTTGAATCAGGATTTGAAGATGTAACCTCTGAAAAATGAATCACTAGTTTTGTGGTATTTGCAGAGACATATCTAAAGTAAAAAGAAAACACAGGCTCTGTGGTATGCATAAGCTTAATCATTGTTTTTAGTAACAAAAATAATTGAGTAATGTACATTTTTTGAAATTATTTGAAATTAAAGATAGTGAGCATACAGTTTAATTTGCTGACTGACATTGCAGGTTAAATGAAAACAGATGAGCAAAGAATAGTGGATAAGAGTTCAACTTTTGCTACAGTAGGAGTAAAAGTAGGAACAGCTTTTGGCTGCGTTCTACTGGAAGACTTGACCTTGACTAAAAGAAGCCAAGAGTGACATTCCATGGCTTAACTTGATTATTAAAAATATAATGAATTTGAGCACTCTCAAAAAGTGCTAGAAAAGAAAAAATGTTATAAATCATCTCAAAATACTAATACTATAAATGCTGCCATTAACAAAAAACAAGAAAAGCAAGCAAGTAGAATATATGAAATATAGAGATTTTTGTAAAACTCAATGCTATTTATTGGTGATAATGTTCTTGAAAGTGTAATAAAAGTTCAAAAATGGCCGGGCGCGGTGGCTCACGCCTGTAATCCCACCACTTTGGGAGCCCGAGGCGGGCGGATCACGAGGTCAGGAGATCGAGACCATCCCTGCTAACACGTTGAAACTCCGTGTCTACTAAAAATACAAAAAATTAGCCAGGCGTGGTGGCGGCGCCTGTAGTCCCAGCTACTCGGGAGGCTGAGGCAGGAGAATGGCGGGAACCCAGGAGGCGGAGCTTGCAGTGAGCCGAGATTGCACCACTGCACTCCAGCCTGGGCGACAGAGCAAGACTCCATCTCAAAAAAAAAAAAATAATAATAAAAAAGATAAAAGTTCAGAAACATCTTTGAGAAAACAGAAGCATTGAAAATCAAAATACTCATGGGTAAAGAGATTGTTATGCATGATGAGAATGACCTGTGGTTTCATCTGCAGAAATTGTTGAAAAAGCTAGAGTTAATTTCTCCGGCGGTCACTCTATCCGAGTCATACACGTAATTTTTGTCAAATGTTATTTGCCAAAAGATGTAGAAAAAGTCTATTGTTTTTGAGCAGTCTGTTGCTGCTTTTAAGTACTGGAGATATAAAAATAAAAAAAAATTTACTGAGAAAAATTTTATCAGCCAAAGCTCTTGGATCCAAAAAATTTCAGTCATGGTCACACCATGATCCACTTAACCTAATTATGACCAAAAAGGAACACTCAGCAGCTCATATTGTAAAGGTAGAGCCACACATTTTGTAAAACAGAGAACATGATAGAGTTCGGACCTAGAAAGCAGTGCGGTCTTCTGTCACACCTGACCTACATGGATTGTGCCATTTGAGGTCTTGGCACAACAGGCTGTCTGCTTTCTTCTGCTTTTTCCTTTGCTCAGGCTTCTCTGTGTCTTCAGGAAATAAAATTTGATCTAGCTCTGAAAAGAGCCACAATCAAGGAAAGAAACAAAACTATGAAGCCATGTAAAAATACATTTATTTAGTACATTTTCAATTCCTTTTGAGTATTATCTAATTTTAAAATATAGCAATTTCTGAACTGAGCAAGTTGAGTATAATGCAATTTAATCATTACCTGATGAGATTTTAACTGTATAATAGAAAGGGTACTGAAAATATTACCGCTATCCCATCCTGCCTCCAAAGTCCTGAATTTTTAAAATGAAAAATCCATACATTCAAAATTTCTGGAAATGCAATACTCTTCAGATGATTGCCAAAATAATGTTTCTAAAGTCCTGTTCTTATGAGGTCTTCTCCAGCCTGGCTTCCTAATCTTTTATATGGCAAGGTGGATACAACTTTGGGTTCAATATTCTACCATGTGCTGCCTTTGTGACCTAAGAAATCACTTCATATATTTAAGTTCCACTTCCCTCATTTATAAAGTGGAGATAGTAATAGTTTTTGCTTAAACATTAACTAATGTGACAAAGATGAAGAGCTCAGCTAACTTCCTGACATAGTTTTAAGTGCTTGATCCAGGTGAGTTATGATGATGCTATAGTGATGGCCAAGGCAAAAACCTAGGGATCACACTTTATTTCTTCCTGTTTTAGGTCCTGATTAGATGCAATTGACTTCCAAGTCTCATTAATTTTTAACTGCTTAGTATTTCTCAAAGTTGTTTCTCTTTCCCTGCTCAGTATCCCTGCTTTGCTTTAGATTCTGTTTTCTGTCACTTGCACAATCCCAATTGTCTTTTTGCCTCTATTTTCAAAGCTTCTGCTCCAAGTCTATCATATTCCATATTGCAGTTTAGTCATTAGAATGATTTAGTCATGTAGAAGTCAGTTCATGTCACTTGCCTTAAAGATAAAATGTAAAATCCCTAACACAGCACAAAAGTCCTTTGGGATCGAGCCATTGCACATTCTCCAGCCTCATTTCTTCCCACTCTCTCCTTAGTACTATACAACCAGTAGGTCTGAATTATGATCAAATCTCAACGAACAAAGAATAGGAAGTATTGGTGGCATTTGGGAATAGATAAGTAATAACAACAAATAACGGCTAAGAAAAAGTATCCAAAAAGTGCTATAAAGTGCACTCAAAACAAACCTATTTAAAATTCTTAGGAACACATTTACAACTAAACAGGTATCATGTAAAAGTTATAAAACAAATTACATAAAAACAAATAATGGCACTATATATCACATGAATGGATTAGTGAAAAATAAGCAAAGAATCACTATTCCCTGAACCCTGCTCTTGTACTATTTCTTCACTGAGTGCTTTTGTGATGACATGTTGAAGACTTAATTGAATACTTTTAGTTCTAAACATACGCTTCTAATTTCTTCATTTCCACAGCTTTTATATAATTATAGATTACATAGCTACATGTGGCTTCATTCTGCTTTCCAAGAGTATCTGACTTCACTGCCCACATCTGCAAATGGGTTGTCAGTGGTATTATCAACGGACTAACCATCTATCTGATGGGAGAGGACGGGGCACTGCCTTATAGGATACCTCAGTGATGCTGTGAGCACTCTCTGAATAACTATGTATAAATATTGATAAGTATCAATACATTGCATTCTCTTTTACATCTGTTTGATCTTTTCACGTTCCCAAACTGAATATTATTGCTTAGCACAGCACTTAGTATAAAGCTTTATATAGAGTATATATCTAATGTATATGTAATTAAAACATGAGTGTATGTGCCCACAGAAGGCTTTCTTTCCCCACCTACATTTTTAAAAATTCACAAATAAACTTGTATATATTTATGGTGTGCAACATGATGTTTTGGTATATCCTATCAATATATTGTAGCATGTGGTATATATTGTGGGGTGACCGAATCAAACTAATTAACATATCCATTACCTCATATACACATCATTTTTTTCTTGTGGTGAGAATATTTAAAGCCTTTTAGCAATGTTTAGGTATGTAGTACTTGTTATTAACTATAGTCACTATATTAACTATAGTCACTACAGTTATGAATATATAATACATTGTTATTAACGATGGTCACTATTATACAATAGTTTTTTAGATTCCACATAAAAGTAAAATCTCACGGTATTTGTCTTTCTGTGCCTGGCTTATTTTACTTAGCACAATGTCCTCTAGGTTCACCTACGTTGTTGCAAATGACTAGGATTTCCTTCTTTTTAAAAATTGAATAGTATCCTATTATGTGGCACAAATTTTTGAAGAAGAAAATGGATATGAACAGTTATTAACATATTTAATAAACACAAACACAGGATTGTGTTTTAGCAGAATAATGTGTTAAAACATTTAAGTCTGCTTGATCATCCAGTTTATTAACACAAAACTTTAATTATTTTTCCTGGCCTTAAATTTTATCTGTTTTTGAAAACTGGGGGAAAGAAATATGAAGCCAAACTTTTCAGTGTATTCATACAGGCCAAAGAATGTCTTTGCCTCTGAAAACATTTGTATTGCTACCACTTACACAGATATAACATTATATTTATTATTTATTTATTTATTTTTGAGACAGAGTCTCACTCTGTCACCCAGGCTGGAGTGCAGTGGCCTGATCAGGGCTCACTGAAGGCTTGACTTCCTGGGCTCAGGTGATCCTCCAACCTCAGCCTCAGCCTGGGACTACAGGCATGTGCCATCATGCCTGGCTAGTTTTAAAATTTTTTTGTAGAGATGGGATTTTCTCATGTTGTCCAGGATGTTCTCAAACTCCTGGGTTCAAGTGAACCTCCTACCTCAGCTTCCCAAAGTGCTAGGATTATAGGCATGAACACCTTGCCATGCCTCATTTTTTTAACTTTGAAAATATAGTAAAATTTTTATACTTAATGCAAATATATTAGAATTATGCAAAATAATGTTCTTCTGACAAATGAAAGAAATATTTTTGTTAACTTTTGCAAACATTTTATTTTCAACTAAAATTGAGTTCTTCTAGCTTAATCTTCCAACAGATTTTCTCTAAATGATCTCATTGTTTCCAAATATAAAATTAAATCAAAATCACCCTCTAAGGACTGTATTTCTCATCATTAAACGTTTTCGAAAGACTATGCTACAAAGTCTCTAGATAGCTGCATAAAAGGAGTGTTAAGAATGTTTTAATTACTAGAAACAGACTAGAGAAAATACTTCTTTCCAAGGAAGACAATGATTTGAATATCTATGTTCCTATATGTTTAGATTGCCATACATTCATTTATTATTCATACATCCAGCACCTCATTTATCAAGTAAATGTATTAACTATTCTTAGTATTTATATTCAAAAGAAAAAAATAAATTCTTTTCCTTTTTTGACTTATTTTTTCATCTGTAAAACCAGGATAAGTCACCTATCTCAAAGGGACGTGGTGAAATTAAATAAGTTAAAACATTGCCTGGCACATAACCAGTTCTCATGAGCTGTTAGCTATTGTGGACTATTAAATTTTGATATATGTTTTGCCTATAATATTGGGTTATTAAACTCATCTTACATAATAGATAGTAATAACCAATATTTGTGTAAATATAGATAACAATATTTATGTAATAAATATGTAATAACAATATTTATATAAATATAAATAATTTATGTAAATATAAAAATAAACAATATTTATATATGTATTTTCCCTGAAAATGTAGTATGATGGTGTTATGGGGTTATTTAAAAGTTAAGATTTAGAGTAATGATGCAAATTCCATGTAAAATCAGTCTTGACCTCTACTCTTATAGCAGGCACTACTAGCCGTCTTAATATTTGATTCATCTTTTGGTAGTAAGTCTTCTTAATGCTTAATTTAAGCTTTTTTTTTTTTCATGAAAGACACATTTTCTAGACTCCCTTGCAGCTAGGTGTAAAACAGAAATACACTTGGGCATCAGAATGTGAAATGAAAGGTAATGAAAACCTTGTATCGTGGCCTTAAAAGAAGGATCCCTGACCCTTTTTGCTCCCTTTATATGACTGGAATGTGAACATAAGGGTAGGAATTGAAGCAGCTGCCTTAGAACAAGATGTGAAATTTCTGTGTTGAAGATGGCAGAGAAATAAGATAAAAGGAGCCTGTGTCTCTGACCCCATAAAAGCACATTAGAACTGAACTGCTTATGCTCAGATTGTGATATGAAAAAAAAAAAAATTCTCTTTTATTTAACACACTACTGTATCAGGTTCTTGCTATAATACCTATGCCTGTATTCTCCACTTAAAAAAAAATCTATTAAGGGCCTGGGCCTCCTATATATAATATTTGCATCCTAGCTGTAAAAACATGTTACTGTTATGAAGCCATAGGGGCACAAGGATAAATAAATAGCATATGTTCTTTGCTCAGAGGAAACACCAACTCAAGAAAAGTTACCACTATATGTTGAAATTTTCACATATAGGAAAGTAGGTGCCAATAAAGCCATGGACATGGTGCTGTAGGGGTGCTACAGAGAGCAATGGATGCTTTAAACTTCAACAAAATTCACAAGCTGCATCACTTATTACATTCACCATCTATAACTTTCTTTTTGATATAAACTTCAGTTTTTAATGATTGATAACCTGAAGCTGGTTAGCAGGGGAGAAATATTTCCTATAAAAAAAGTCTGCTCTGTCCAGTGTTCTCATAATAGAGACGGTAATAGCTACAATGCATTGACTGTCTGTGATGTCCCAGCCACTTAACCCTCACTATTTCTTTCTTTTTTCATTATACTTTAAGTTTTAGGGTACATGTGCACAACGTGCAGGTTTGTTACATATGTATACATGTGCCATGTTGGTGTGCTGCACCTATTAACTCATCATTTAACATTAGGTATATCTCCTAATGCTATCCCTCCCCCCTCCCCCCCACCCCACAACATGCCCTGGTGTGTGATGTTCCCCTTCCTGTGTCCATGTGTTCTCATTGTTCAGTTCCCACCTATGAGTGAGAACATGTGGTGTTTGGTTTTTTGTCCTTGCGATAGTTTGCTGAGAATGATGGTTTCCAGCTTCATCCATGTCCCTACAAAGGACATGAACTCATCATTTTTTACGGCTGCATAGTATTTCATGGTGTATATGTGCCACATTTTCTTAATCCAGTCTATCATTGTTGGACATTTGGGTTTGTTCCAAGTCTTTGCTATTGTGAATAGTGCCGCTATAAACATACGTGTGCATGTGTCTTTATAGCAGCATGATTTATAATCCTTTGGGTATATACCCAGTAATGGGATGGCTGGTTCAAATGGTATTTCTAGTTCTAGATCCCTGAGGAATCGCCACACTGTCTTCCACAATGGTTGAACTAGTTTACAGTCCCACCAACAGTGTAAAAGTGTTCCTATTTCTCCACATCCTCTCCAGCACCTGTTGTTTCCTGACTTTTTAATGATCACCATTCTAACTGGTGTGAGATGGTATCTCACTGTGGTTTTGATTTGCATTTCTCTGATGGCCAGTGATGATGAGCATTTTTTCATGTGTCTTTTGGCTGCATAAATGTCTTCTTTTGAGAAGTGTCTGTTCATATCCTTCGCCCACTTTTTGATGGGGTTGTTTTTTTCTTGTAAATTTGTTTGAGTTCATCGTAGATTCTGGATATTAGCCCTTTGTCAGATGAGTAGATTGCAAAAATTTTCTCCCATTCTATAGGTTGCCTATTCACTCTGATGGTAGTTTCTTTTGCTGTGCAGAAGCTCTTTAGTTTAATTAGATCCCATTTGTCAATTTTGGCTTTTGTTGCCATTGCTTTTGGTGTTTTAGACATGAAGTCCTTGCCCATGCCTATGTCCTGAATGGCATTGCCTAGGTTTTCTTCTAGGGTTTTTATGGTTTTAGGTCTAACATTTAAGTCTTTAATCCATCTTGAATTAATTTTTCTATAAGGTGTAAGGAAGGGATCCAGTTTCAGCTTTCTGCATATGGCTAACCCTCACTATTTCTTTTGGTTCTACCAGCAATCCTACGAAGCAGGTAGTATTCAGGCAAGGATTTGAACCCACGGTTGTCAGATTCCACCGTTGATGTTCTTTCTATCATATATTCTTCCTCCTTGGTTCATTTCCTTATTACACCATTGGTAATATTGCATAACAAGAACTCATTAAGGTTAGCTCTCTCCTCCCCCTCTGACTATTTGCTCCTCAATGGTCAGAGCCATATATTGCCCATATAGGCACTTAATGAATATTATGCAATGAAATAGTAAGTGAAAGGAAGTGACAAACAAAATTTCACACTGACAGCCCTTAAAAGGAAATGATGTTGCTGCAAATATAATCCATCTTTAAGCTCAGTCTTAAACATAAATACCCCCAGGATGGTTTTTAAAATATTGTCTTTTGAAAACTATTTCAAGCACTCAGGAAGTTTATTGCAAAATTCTCCAGTTGTCTCTAAAGTTATTGTGCTTTGCTTTTGTGAAAAACAGTTGTCAAATGTGTTTTTGATAAGAAATATTTTCTGTGATGGCATCATGTAGCTACACCCACAGGCGGTACACCTGTGGTTAAAGTAGATAGGAGACAGGCATGTTTAGATCAAAGAACCAAGTTTCGTATCTATGCTCTGATTCTATATATAAATCCAAGCAACATTAAGCTTGGGTTTAAAAATGATTCCCTTACTGTATTCTGTATTTGAATAAAATATTACATATCCATAAATAGGCATATACATTTTAGAAAGTGTTCAAGATAATGCATTATTTTCTGTTTTTTTCTTTGTTTGAATATACTTCATTTTTTTTCCACTTTATTTTTATTTTAAGACATAAGGGCATTCTGAAATTAGAATGCTAACAGCTCTAACAGCCTGGTTACAACAAGACGTAAGTGGCATGAAAGAATATAAGGAGATTTTCTCATATAGTGACTTTTAGATTGACTACCACACATGATTAAAATGTCTGAATTTTGGTACATTGTTTAAATGTTTGATATTCAAGACAATTCATCTAGTCATAACTTATATATGTTTTATGTGTATATATTTTAAACCATTGGATCTATTTAACATTGCTTCTAAAAGATCACATAGTCTGTTGTTCTTCAGTAAGAAACGTTGGTTTTAAACTCATTCATCTGGACAGAATAAGATTTTTCTTTTTATTAACTCCAGATACTCTTTAGTACTGAATTTCAAACAAAATATTTTCATATGGCAAACTACTGAGAGACATCTACATATTCTTTCAAATTTATACTTCATACAGGATTTGTAATGGATCCTTTAAAACTGCACTAGGGTTATTGAATGTGGGTAGACATTATAAAGTCAAACATTTGTGTCCTTCCTAGTGCTAATTTATGCATTCATCCACTTGAGTATTGGAGACTTGCCTCTATCATGAACTCTTACTTGGTTAAGCAACCAGCTGGCTAGCTTTGAGGTCTTTCCAGATATGTGTTGGGGATGGTGGGGGAATGTGAATCCTGAGAAAGATATTACACAGAAAAACGCAGTTAAAAAAAAATAAATCATGACTCCAGCAAAGACCCCCACCCCACCCCTCAAAAAAATGCAAAGGGAAAAGGCAAAGTTACATTGTAGAAGGTAAATCAAACAAAGGAAGAGTCATTAGGAAAACTGCCTGTTCCTTTCACTGGAGACCTTGGGGGAAATGCTTTATCATGCCTAATGACAACCTACACAGAGTCAAATCTAAATGTGAAAGGTTTATCCTAAATGGATTGAAACAATAATGAAAAAAATCTTACATTTTATTACTAAGTAATATGTTCCCTATGGAGCACAGACTGACTCACAAAACTGTAATCCCACCAGGGATCACATTTAAATACACTTTTCCCTTTACTGGGGGAACAGCTGTATCTCTGACTCAAATGGTCCCAAGTCAAGTGTGACCCAATAATGTGTTGAAAACAAAATGTTTAATTAAATTGTCTCTCTGGTACCAGATATTTAAAGTCCATTCACTGTACTCCTTTAAAACTGATTATTAAAGTTGCTGACACTAATTTGTGTACCTATATGGATGCTGCATTTTATTTTGGATATATTGTCATTTTAAACAGTAAACAGACTTTAGATATAATAACATAACTAAAACATAACTTATGAATGAATGCCATTTGGTATTTTGTGACCTATGTATACCATGTCTTTTAATTTTCATGACAACCCCAGGAGGTAGGTATTAATATCATCCCAGTCTACAAATGAGAAAATGAAGGGAAACTTAGATGTTGTGGCTGATTAGTTGCAGAGTTAGCTGGTGAATGAACTTGAACAGTCTTGCCCCTGTGTCTAAATAACAACAGAAATAGGCTTTGCTATTGCAAATATTTGTTTTTATGCTGATGAATAGTGAAGCAAATCTTACCACTCCTGATTTATCATCCTGGTTGGAAAGCCTGCTTAAATGTGTTTCTACTAATGACCTCTACACTGTCTTAATCATACAATAGTTGAATATCCAAGTCTTTTACTCACCATGGTCTGTATCGTGCAGCTCTGGAGCACTCTGCCTATGTTCAAATTCTGGTTTTGTCCCTTATTATTTGTGTGACCTTGAGCTATTGCTTATATTGTTTTGGCCTCATTTTTTCATGTTAAAATAAATAACAGTATGTTATATATAACTAGAACCTGTGGAGTTATCTGATATATAACTAGAACCCATAGACTGATCCCATATATAATGAGAACCTACATGGTTCTAGGGAGAATTAAACCAGTGAATCCATAGAAAGCCCTTCCATAAATTAAAGCTAAATATAAATATTTATTGGATGCCCACTGAGTGCCAAACACCATGGTAAACCCTGGGGTACAAGGGTAAAGATGACAGAGTTAATCCTTATAAAGCACTTTATGCCTGGCATGAAGTAAGCACTAAATAAATGCCAGTTATTATAACTGCCATTATTGTCAGGCAGTCTTTGGCTCATCTTATCCTTTTTTCCTCTAATGCTCTGTGGATCTTGAATGTCTTATTATTGCATAACGTTCTGGAGAAAAGCATTAAGGCTCCTGTTTACTGTTTTTTTTTTTTTGTAAGAAGTATAATAGAGACAATGGAGAGAAAGCTGTGAACATAGATAGAATTTTAAAATTACTGTAACTGTGATTTCTTCGTTTCTCTCTATGAACAAACAGTTAAATTGTTCCAAAGTGCACATAATATAAAATGGCCCACCATTAAAGACTGCAACAACTACTACTACTACTGTCTTAACTGTCAGACGCCATACTAGAACCACCAATGGCAGCTTATTAACTTCATCCTGTTCAGATTGTTTGAAAGGTTTAAAGCAATCGAACAAAGGAAAAGTCCATTTATTTGGAACAAAGAAACTTAGGACTTGTCAACAATTGACCTCGAAAAGGTATCTAGAGAGTTCATTTACTAAGAGAATCTTGTTTAAGCAACAGAAAATAAACATTTTTTTTAAGGCAGCGAGAGAAGGAAAAGCAATAACGGAATCTCCCCAACTTGCTTTGCTACTTTGAGCTTTGCTGACAACAGAAGCTTTTCAGCTGCTGATCATAAATAGCCTAAAATCTCATTTCAAGCTTCAGTCCACAAAAAGAAAAAATATTTAATACTTTGTGCTACAACGCTCACAGGCACTTTGGAACTTCTCTGAGCTGTAAGACATACTCCTCAAGTAATATGCCATGGCATAGAATCAATGAGAAAATAATTTGTACAACAAACACAAGCAGACACAGTAATGAGGCAGAAGGACTTATTTAAACTGGAAAGTCCCAGACACAGAATAAATAAGCATCCTGGCAGTGGAGCCTGGGACAGACATGAGTGCATGTGGATTTGGGAATGTGTTTCCCTGCCGGAAATCATTCAATTATCAAAATTCTTTCCCCCTGAGACTTACAAACAGAAACCTTGGCCTGTGCTCAAATATTAAACATTAATGATGTTCTCCTGATGTTTAAAGAAGAGAGGGAAATCTGTGTTCTACTGCAGTTATTAGAGAAGCAGTTGGGAGGAAACTTTGGATAGATTTGGGGGAAAAATGATATTGTCATCAGCTTCCAGCTTTATTTTTCTAGTAAGAAGAAAAGTATTTCCAGCCACTCTTAATTATATTTTGAGATAGGTGATCCCTTGTTTTCTTTTACGATGGCTAGTAAATTTATTCATTTAATAAATATTTATTAGATGCTCATTGTGTGCCAGACACACAATGGAAAACCCTGGGTACAATGTAAAGTTGATAGAGTTTATGCCTAATAGATAAGGTCCTAGATGGGAAGACAGACCAAAAAAAAAAAAAAAAAAAAAAAGAGAGAGAGAGAATAAAACAGAAAAATGATTTCAAGTTTCAGTTAAGAACATGGGAAGAAAAACAAAAGACTGACAGAAAGGACAACAGAATAATGCTTCATGCAGAATAAATACGTGGTGTGGCATTTTGATTTTATTCTAAGTCTGATAGAAAGTTATTGAAAGGTTTTTTAAAAAGCAATATTGTGATTCAATATAAACATAATATTGCTACTGAGTGAAGATGTAATAAGGATTGGGAGGCAGTGCTGGAAGCAGAGAGACGAGTTAAGCTTTCGTTTTAATGTTTCTGGCAAAAAGATGAGAGTGGTTTGCTCTAAAGAGGTGATAGAATAGAGTAACATAAACCTTCAAATTTAAGCAGTGTTTTGGAGAGTAAATAGGACTTGCCAAGGTATTGGGTGTGGGGGTTGATGGAAAGGCATGGATCTTAGCCCATCCCTAGATTTCTAGGTTGCATATCAAGACATATAGTATTCTGTTCCATTCACTGAGGGTGCAAAATTGTAATGGGGTCAGGTTTGGGAGAAATGGGGAAAGAAAGGGTTCGGTTTTAAACATATTGGATTTTAGACTCTAATAAGACACTGTAGTAGAGAGACTAATGAAGTTTACATGTATATCAAGTACTATTAGAAATCTACCTGTTATCCTGTCTTCTTTTCTTTCTATTAGAACCTCATTTTGTTGCAGTTGCAATTTACCTAACTTTTAAAAGTGTACCTAATTTAAAAACAAACAGACTAATACACTGCTTTCAAAGTAAGAAGTAGTCATCTGATACAGTTTTGACCAATACGTGTAACCTTGCAGCTGCTGGGTGGGCATTTTGAGAAAGCCCTTTAAAAAGCGGGTGACAGCTGGGCACGTGAACTGTTCACCAGCACGAAGAGGACTACGTTTCCTGACTTGTCTGAGAAAGACAGAGTATATGCCTAATTCCTGACTTAATTATGAACGCCTTACTTTTTGGTTTCAAAACTCTCTCAATTTAGGCAATAACTTTCGTGGTCATCTCACCTATGACCCCTCCTTTCACTTTCTCTGGTGTTTGGATGCGTTGCTGGATCTTCAACTATTGTTTTGTGCCCAATCATAAGAAAACAATACTAGAGATTGTTAAGGACTTCAGTTCTGTTATGATTGATTCACTGGACCAGGTTTGTATTATGTATCTTGCTACAACAGGGAAAACTTAAACTCCTATATGGCATAAGCAAATGTATCTGAGTTTTCTCCTTTAGGTGAGTAAGTGCAATTTTCAACTAATATAGAATGCAAGTTTGTAACCTAGAAGAAGAGCCTCAAAAAGAAATATAAGTGTGAGTCCCATCAGCCTAAATATAGCTGTGTTTAATTACGTGGACATAGACGTATTCTAGGCACACAGTGTAGAAGAAAGAAGTGTGTACGTTCCCAAACCTCAGGAACATACAGACTTTGGATAGAAAAAAGTAACTGACAAAATAATGAAGCAATGACTCATCAACTGAATAGAAATGAAGGAAAATGGGTGCCAAAGAAGCCACAAAAACAGAATGTTTTAAGAAGGAGTGAGTGGTTGGTTGGAATAATAAGTGAAGACCAGAGAAGTAAGAGAAGTAGGAGAAGACCAGGGAAGTAATCACTAGTTTTTGCTGGGAGAGTCGTTGGAGTCTTTGAAAAGAACTGTTTCAGTGGTGTGGCAGTTAGAAGCTAGGCTGATACAGATTGAAGACTGAATTACAGAATATTAGAAGATATCAACAGAAATGTCAATCTCATATTCAAATAGTTTTTGAGCTTTGAATGCACACATGCACTATGTTAAGTAGAGGAAATATTAAGGAGCACAGTAATGGTCACTATTTTTAAAGAATTCACAATATAATTATATATTCATTTCTGGATGTCCTAATTGTACTGCTTAGGTAAATAAATGGAATTTTCTAATGAAGACATTAGACATTAAAATAGTTTTCTGCTGGACAAAGCAGCCATGTTGCAAGTAATACTAATATTTCAAAAATATGACTGAGTACCTGGTTGAAACACCAAAAGGACTTTTTGTATATTCTTTACATCTGAATTTAAAACTGATTCTTAGAAGTTGCCAAAAGCATTCAGAAATATCTAGTTTCAAGCTATGTTTTCTGGCTGTACGTTTGAAAATTTATAATGTGTGTGGGGGGGGTTCTGTATCTCAGTTTTAAAGGATATCTTATAAAACAGTCTATACTGCCATAGCTTTTACACAATGATTATATTGGCAAAAGAATATAAAAAATGATAAAATAACCAGAATAATAAATTAGTTAATTCATTAGACTAAATAACTAATAATTTTAATATATAAACCCTATGGAATATTTTTTAGCTATTAAAAATGAAATGAGGGCCAGGCGCGTTGGCTCACACCTGTAGTCCCAGCACTTTGGGAGCCAAGGCAGGTGGATCACTTGAGGACAGTAGTTTGAGTCCAGACTCATTAACATGGAGAAACCACGCCTCTACTAAAAATACAAAAATTAGTCAGCTGTGGTGGCTCAAGCCTGTAGTTCCAGCTACTCTGGAGGCTTAGGCACAAGAATCACTTGAAGCTGGAAGGCGGAGATTGCAGTGAACTGAGATCATGACATTGCACTCCAGCGTGGGTGACAGAATGAGAGCCAAACTGTCTCAACAACAACAACAAAAAAGGAAATCAGTAAGATTTGTTCATATCAATATGAATGTCTGTTTCGAATATGTATACCAAAAGTGATAGACAGAATTATATGTATATAATTACCCAATTAAAAAGAGCAAATAAAATTTATTTAAATGGTTTAATATTAATAGAGACAGATGCAAAAGCAACACATTATTATCTTCAGAGGGGAGGGATAGAGAAGGCAAGCAAGTGGGCAAATATTTCTTCATTGTCTTATTTGCTTGCATGCAGAAGTAGTACTTTTGGAAATATTTCCTAAATTGAGAAGTAATTTGTTTACTTATTGTTCAATACAAAAAGAAATTCAGGATAATGGCTGTAAAATACTGTAGGTCAACAAATTGGGTAATAACATGTTGCATTAAAAATTTAGGTGACCAGGCTGGGCGCTGTGGCTCATGCCTGTAATCCCAGCACTTTGGGAGGCCGAGGAGAGTGGATCACTAGGTCAGGAGATTCAGACCATCCTGGCTAACACAGTGAAACCCCATCTCTACTAAAAATACAAAAATTAGCTGGGCATGGTGGCGGACGCCTGCAGTCCCAGCTACTCGGGAGGCTGAGGCAGGAGAATCCCTTGAACCTGGAAGGCAGAGTTGCAGTGATCCAAGATTGCACCACTGCACTCCAGCCTGGGTGACAGAGCGATAATCTGCCTCAAACAAACAAAAGCAAACAAAAAACAAACAAACAAACAACCAAAACAAGAATTAGCCAGGCATGGTGGCGCGCATCTGTAATCCCAGCTACTTGGGAGGCTGAGGGAGGAGAATCCCTAGAACCCAGGAGGTGGAGGTTGCAGTGAGCCAAGATTGTGCCATTGCACTCTAGCCTGGGGAAGAGAGCAAGACTCAGTCTCAAAGAAACCAGAAAACTTAGGTGACCCAAAATCAAGATTTTCCTCAGAGTCTTTAAAATAGGCAATTTTAAAGAAAAAAAAAAAAGAACAACCAATATGTTGTGTGATGGCAACTCTATTGTAAATTTTATCTCACAATATATACTTGGATGAAGAATGACTATTTAGATTTTGTAGCTCTTGCTTAACACGTATTTTATTATTTCTGGTCATATATTGAAATTATTAATATTAAATATACAACTTATTATGTGTATTTGGGTTGGATAGTGTCTGCCCAGAATTCATGTCCACCAGGAACCTATGAATGGGACCTTATTTGGAAATAGGGTGTTGGAGATGTAATTAAGTTAAGATGAGATCACACTGATTTAGGGTAAGTGTCCTTATCTGGTGTCCTTCTAAGAAGGGGAAAATTTGGACACACACAGGGTAGAAGTTCATTTGAAGATCGGACTTAAGCTGTCACGAACTAAGGAAGGCCAAGGATTGCCAGCATCCCTAAGAAACTGGAAAGGCAAGAAAAGATTCTTCTGGAAACTTTGGGAGGAGCATGACCCTGCCAATGCCTTGATTTTGGTTTTTCGGCTTCCAGAATTATGAGAAAATAAATTTCTGTTGTTAAAGCCACCCAGTTTGTGGTAATTTGTTACAGCAGCCCCAGGGAACTAATAAAGCATGTACCAATAATTGTAATAGCAGCCAGCATTTATTCAGTAATCATTATGTATCAAGTATTAAGGTAAGTGAAAGTCTGGAAGAAAAAATTTGTATCAAGATTACTTAGGATTCTACTCATATAATAAATATAGCCAAAAATGGCTCTTTAAAAAATTTTATAATCAGTTTATAAATCATAAAATGCAGGCCACACAGAAGTACGCAGCCACACATATGCAATCATATCATTAATCCACATTTTTTTTCACATTTGCTCCCTCAAGGAGATAGATGTCTTGCATTAAATTATACTAGTGTTCTCCTGAACCCATTGGACCATAAAACTGGCCTACATGAATCAGCTGGCCTTACCAGTGTGACCTAACTTATGTTAGGGCACTTGGAATTAAGCATATACTGTAGCTTTTTAATATGAAAAATACATCCACACATTTATATACTGTGCAGAAATATACTTTTGTTTTTATCTATGGGGCACCAAAATAAAAATGAAATTCAATACAAATCAATTATTAGCAGTGTGTAGACAAAAAAGAAATTGCTTGATGAAATTCCCTAAATGTTTTAATAATCCGTGTTAGTGTCGAAGTATACAGCCAGAGTCAGAAAGATGTTTGTATGGTAGCACTGTCACTAACAGACTCCAGATGTACCATTAGAAGACCCCAAGGAAAGCCCCAGCAGTTTGGGTATTAAGAGAGACTCTGTGCTAAGGTAAACATACCCTGGAATGAATGGGAGGCTATTCTCTGCTCTCACAAGAACATATTTTACTTCTTGCAGTACTCAGTATGTGTTCCAATTCATCACCAAACACTTCAAAAACAACGGCATTGAAGATGTGTGAAGGAGCTGCTAGGCCTACTTGCTAGACTTCTGGCTGTTTTGGCTTCGTGAGCAAATAGTGGGTGCCTACTTATGTTCTTTAGTTGAAGATGGTGCTCAAGGCTTGCAGGAATTCTTCCATGCCAATTAGAACAAGGAAACACAAAAACAACATTCAAAGTTATAGGCACAGGCCAAACAAAGACAAACTTGAGTTGGCCTTAGTGCTGGATCTTCATTAAGTACAAAATTCCTGCAAGTGCAAAAATCTTAATAAAGAAGGAGGAAAAGAGAGAGAGTAGCGTGAGTATATCTTAGACGCTAAGATTTAGTTTCCCCAGTATTCCCTAAAGATGAGCATTCTGACTATAACTGAGTAACTCACATGTGTAAAACATATGGATTTTTTCAAGTGATTAAAGCAAAGTGTGACTGTACAGTAATTTCAGTTCTGCCACATGTCTCATTATGTGGTTTGGGTTGCAACATGATTTAACGTCTCTGCAATTCAGTTTTCTAGTGTGCCTTGTTAGGAGCACTTATCCACCCGGCAAGAAGGCTCTGGAGTGACTTCTTCTTGTTTCAGTTATTTATTTTCTTGAAATGCTTTCCTTAACTCTAATATTGCATCTATCTCTGGAAAATCATTCTAACATATGTTCAAAACAGCTATCTCTGCAATGAATATAAAATGGATTATTCTTGAAACATTTGACCATTTAACTCTACCTATAATCACAGGATATAAGATAAATAACATTATGTTTGATATCAACAATATTAATTTTTATCGATATATATGCATGCTATAACTCCATTTTAGCTCTACCTGCTGTTTTGCATAATAGGAACTTACGTGTCTCTTTGGCTTTTTTCTTTCATTTGTACTATATAATAGTTATTTAGGCTTTTTAGTGTTTTGGGTACTTCTCAATCTCTTTTTAATTCCTCCAATTCTTGACTAGTTATCTCTTTTCCGCTAGAGAAAGGAAGCTCACACACATTCACACACTCACACATTCACACACTCACACACATACACACACAAAATATGAGACTATTAATATGGCTGCTGTGGCACAAATGGATGACAGAAACAAGAGAAGAACTAATAAAGATAATACCTGGCCCAGTGAACCTGCAAAATCAGAAGAGACATTCATTTTTCTAACATAAACTACAGTATCATGTTATGAAAGTAGCAATAAACTTGGAGAAAGAAGACCTGAATCTGAAATACCAGCTCTCCTGTTAGCTATGTAACCTCGGGAAGTCTCTCTCATTATTTCAATGCCCCTTATTGGGTGTAAGCTTCTCCAATTAGGCAGTAAAGTTCATAGTAACCAAGACTGTAGTATGTTTTCTCTATGATCCTCCTCAGTTCTCAGAGCTGTGTCTAGCATATTCTGGTAACTTTATAAATGTTTGTTGCATCAGTGAATGAGTGTACTTCAGTCTCTTCATTCTGTTTATGCACAGGGGTACATGAGCAAATGATCATCAAATGACACAAAAAATGTGTGAAACAATAACTGGCACACAGTAAATAAAACTTCAATATATGCTTTCAAATAGAAGTTGAAAAAAGTCTTCCGCATTTGCTGGGTAATACCATCATCCATCTCATCCATCAAACTAAGGAAACCAGCCTACTCGGATTTATGCGTCCATTATCCATATAAAGCCAGGATGAAAAATCAACCCTAGGCAGCATAGCAAGACCCTGTCTCTATAAAACAAATAAAAATAAAAATTAGCCGGACAAGGTGGCACACCTGTAGTCCCAGCTACTTGGGAGGCTGAGGCTGGAGGATGGCTTGAGCCCAGGAGTTTGAACTGAAATGAGCTCTTATTGTGCCACTGTACTGCAGCCTGGACAACAGAGCAAGGCTATCTCTAAAAAAACAAAAACAACAACAAAAACAAAAAACATAAGTTTCTCCCACATCACTGTTCTTCTTTTCATATCCCCAAATGCAGTTTCGTCTTAAGACAAAATTGTATTGTTCTTGTAGGTGATTTTACTGCTGAGCTAAGGAATTTTCTGAATCAGCGTGTAATGGCTACATTAGAAATCTATTCGGATTGTTGGTAAAGTAGTACCGATATAAGCAAAACAAAATTATTCTGCATTTTAATCATTAGTGTCACTGTGTTTTCTCACTTGTGTAGTAAAAACACACTACCGTTCTGGAAGTATAGGTAAGCACATATTCACACACACATAATATTTTGTGGTGGTAATATATACGAAGGGCGATTTCAGGGGTCAGAACTTAGACTCAAAACTGAATAATGTCAAATATTAATCATTTGTCAACCTCCCACTTCTCATCTCCCCCTCCACCACACTGACAGCAGGAAGAAGTGCATTGAGAGAATTACTTCCCCATAAGTGAGGTAACATCTGCCTCAAAGCTGGGTCAGGATGGAGGCTGGATCATCTCCTCAGCAAAGAGCTGTTCATGTGGAATAAGAGAGGCAAGCAGTTTAGCCTGAGGCTCTTTCAGGATTTAGAATGCATAATTTGGTAGAAATTGTAATAAGGAAAGCATCCTTGGCAGACTAGTAATCTCCATTGAATACAAACTTCTGAGGACAAAATTCTCACACACAATTTTCATTCTAATGGTTTTTGTTTGTTTGACTGGCTTTTTCCTTTTGACTCCATGAATCATGATAACAAACCTTTAAGAACAGGGATTCTTCCATCCACCCACTTAAATAATGGCTTTCTGGATTTTCTTTTGGAAGTCTGTGTAAAAACCACATAATACTTTCTAAGTCTCCTCTTCTTTGGTTCTAATTCGGAAGAATCACCCTTTCTTCCAAGGCTGTAGACACATGGTACATGTGTTCATTACCAACTTCACATTTCTAAGCACTTTCAATAGACAGCACTTGAGAGTACAGTTAATGGAAACAGCCTGACCATGTTAATCTAGTTGATTAAAACCAGTGGAACAAGTTACAAGTTAGTATTAATAAACGTTGTATACAAGGTGATGGAAATAAGATCTTCCATAAATGTGGAATGAGGAAAAATAAGAATGTCAATAACATTTTGTCAATACTTAGGATACAACTTTCATTAATAAGACAAAGAGTAAAAACTAAGAAAATAATATTAGGATCTAGAACCCATTCTAAATTTGTGAATTCATCTAAATTCTGTCATCAAGATATTTGATGAACTCATAAGACTTAAGTTTACAAAATGCCTTTAAAGTTATGAAGTACTTTACATCTATTAACTTTCTGTGATTAAAGAAAAAACTCATGACAACCTACTGATGAAGGTAAGGTAGAGATATCTTAACTTTTAAAAGCAAAAATAGATATGTCCTATTTTTAATAAACATTACAGGTTATTTTGGTGTAGGAGCTCCAGGTGTAATTTTTGCTGTGCACTGTAACAGTCAATGAGCTTCTTACTGATTGAATGTGTCTTAGTAACCTCTAAATTTTTAGATTTTAACTTGTAGTTTGGTACGTGGTATTCAATAGTTTTGGTTAAATCAGTTAATATACCTAAACACAGTCTTACTTTGTTGTCACAACTGGTCTTTCCATAAATAAGTTACATCTTCACAGATTAAAAATTTTAAGTCCCTATGGGATAACTAACGGTGTCACTTTCCAGAAAGTAAGTTTGAAATTGTAATCCTTGGTATAATGTTTGTAGAGGAAATCAAGTGAATTAAATTGTGTTTATTTAAGCATATCTTTAAACTGTCAGTCTGAGAATTTTGTCAACTAGTAAATAAGGGTGTAAACTTGATTTTTCAATTCATGACTGATTTTGATTAAATCTAGTTCATAATAGACAAAAGAGGGATTTATCATGCTTTCAGAGAACAAAATCACAAAAAGCCCTTCTCACTTGCTAAAAATATCAAGTGGAACTCGAAAGTACAAACTGAAGTTGACTCTCTGGGGCAGCAGTAGAGTAAATTAGATCTTGAAATAATCGTATAAACTGGAATTCCCACTCTTTTAGCCAGGCCATTAATTAGTCCACAGTGAATCTTCGGTTTGTACTACTCCATCATGGAAGTCTCTCCATGTTTTGGTACAAGTGTGGTTGGCCTGGCATAGATTGATACGTTTCATTTATTGAACAGCTTAGAGTTGGGGTTGTTCACATTCCATTAGCTCATTTTATACCATAATGATTGTTTGAAGTAAGCAGGAAAGGGGGAACATTACTTTCATTTTATAAAAAAGGACAAGGAGCTCAGAAAGATCAGGTTGACTTCCCCAAGGTCATGTGGCAAGGCAGTAGTTAAAATGATGTTAGAATAGTGGTTTTAGATGCTCTTTTTGCTACACCATAATACACTCGAATGTTTCTTTTCACCTTAGGATGATAATAAGAGTCACTCTCCTAAACCAAAAATGATGACTAAAACAAGAATTTAGGGCAGAGAAACAACCACAGTATATTCAGTCCTGTGTCTTATTGGAGTTTAAAATTCCAACTGGAAGTAATATTTTGGTTAGTAATAAAGCTATAACCCAAATTCCAGTCTGATACTAGATGGTTTTCAGCCTTTGGGATGTGTCCCATTCCAACTAAACTGTCTCTTTTCCTGTCTTGAAATGTGCTAAGCATCTTTAAACATTTAGCTACAATGACTTCAACCAGATGCTAAATTAAATGGAAAAATTTTGGAATTTGGTATTCCCCTTTCTCCACATGTCTAATTTTATACCCTTGCTACACTTCTTACACCTACATTTGACTTCATTTTGTACTTCATCTTTGTTGTTGTTGCCAGTTTAACCACACAATGTTTTACTTCTATGCTATCAATTATTTTTTTCTCAGAAAATAGTGTACACATGTGAAATATGTTCTAATTCATAAACACACAAGCAAATACACATTTGCATTCTAAAATTAGTACAAATGATGAAAATATGTCTGTGATAATTACAGTTTTACTTGGTAGCCTCTCCTTTTAAAAACTTAAAACTTTATTTTGTGTTCTGCTTTTTCCTTCACATTACATTAACCTGATTTAGGCATATTGTAAATATTTCAGTTGGTTTTTGAATACCAAAGATCACAGTAGAAATTTTTATCTAATGCTGTCTATGCCAATATTAATATTTTGTGCGCCATGTCATAGCAGCACTGAGAAAGAAACAGGCCTTCAGTGTGAATTTCCCCAGAAATTAATCACCACCTTGGCCTGAAGTACCATTTGGGATTCAATTACTCAACTCTCTAGGCTGATGTTTAATCTCTTAAATATTCTATTTCCACTGGGAGACACAAACACAGATGAGCACAGAATTTGTCATGTCAAATTGTCAGACTGATCCCAAAATTCAAACCCTTCTTCCAATATTGTTGGTTCAGGAATGATATTACAATATTGGGCAACCCTATTAGGGTTGCCTAATTAGGCTATTGCCTAGAAATCCATTTGAAAAATGGATTTGTCAGGGAAAAACTCACTATAACATTCATACTATGTGCCATTTTAAAGATATGATGCCATATAGAGATGCTTCTATTGAATAGCAGAGAAAACACCACATATATAATTTGTTAACTTTGGATCTTGACCCTAAACTTTAATATTCAAAGGACAATTTGCTCTAAAATTTCCTACTTTTTTTTCCATTCCCTCAATCATTTAAATAATTTATCCTTTGAGTTGCAAACAATCCAAATATACTTTTTGTTGTTGTTGTTGAGACAGGGTATTATTCCTTCACCTGGGCTGGAGCACAGTGGTGCAATCTTGGTTCACAGCAACTTCCGCCTCCCGAGCTCAAGGGATCCTCCCACTTCAGCCTCCCCAGCAGCTGCATGCAACACCATGCCCAGTTAGTTTTTGTAATTTTTATTTTGTAGAGACAGGATTTTGTCATGTTGTCTAGGCTGGTCTCAAACTCCTGGGCTCAAGTTATCTGCCCATCTCGGCCTCCCATAGTGCTGGGATTACAGGTGTGAGCCACCATGCCTGGCCTAAGCACACTCTTTCAGTTATCTTAAAATGTACAATTAAGTTATTATTGGCTATAGCCATCCCATTGTGCTATCAAATAGCAGGTCTTAATCATTCTTTCTATTTTTTTGTGCCCATTAACCATCCCCACCTCCCCCTATGCCCCCACTAGCATTCCCAGCCTCTGGTGATCATCTTTCTACTCTCTATATCCACCCACAGAATGGGAGAAAATATTTGCAAACTACCCATCTGACAAGAGTTTAATAACCAGAATACATGAGAAGCTCAAACAACTCTATAAGAAAAAATCTAATAATTCCATAATAGGCAAAAGATTTAAATCGACATTTCTCAAATTACCCACTGTGTGTACTGACCTTCACTTTTATTAATAAAACATGATAATCTGCTATCTCCAATCCCTGATAAAGACAACCAAATAAGAGAAAAGTGTTCAAAAGAACTTTTTCAATTGTAAAATGCATTTGTAATTCTTGCTTCATCAGTAGGTATTTTGTTTCAGGCCTCTGAGACCGGAGGCAAATGTAGCTTTCCCTCCCTTCACCAGTTTATCAAGTTTTAAAGAAATGTTACAATACATAATTAGAAAAGAATGAACAAAAAAATTAATGTGCAGTAATGTACTGAACTTGCTTAAATATATGTACACACACACACACACACAAATATATATATATATATATTTGTATTCCCATAATGTTATTGAAAGTCAGCTAATTGAGTTAAAATCTAATTTAAAACTGTCCTAATTATACAACCAAAAATCCCCTGGGAAATTATGTATAAAATCACATGAGTTTCTTTATCATAAATATCATATTATTTAAAATGTGCTCTGGAAATATTCTGCTGGGTGTTTTGTGAGGCTCAGAATCACTCTCCTAAGAGATAAAAGAATTTAGTGTTTGTATTTTTAATGTATTCTAAATAGATATATATCTACGTTGTATATCTGCATGTGTATATATTTATGTATATTATCTGGAACCTCCAAAATTATGAAAAATAAAATTTTCTAATACCTTTTAGTGACACAACCTCAGAATTCAAATGTTCCTTACAGAAATACATAAACTTTGCTTTATAAAGAATGTTCTTCTCACTACAAGTTTTAACTGAGTTTAGCTTAGACCTTACTTAAAGTAGTTTAGTTATGATTGTGTTGTTCTTATTCTGGTTATTAGAGAGTTTTAAAGAAAGTCTCACAACATTGAATCAGACAGCAGAGCTGTTCAATGGGATGAGTCTGCCACTTGAGCAGGATAAAAGCCAATGCTGTCTTCTGCTCAATTGTAAATAGTATTAATGAAAAGTTTTAGAGAACTTCTGATGGGAGCAATCACAATTTTTTAAAATGGCATAATGAATTATCTGTGACCCAAAATCATGATATCTAATTTTCCATATAACAAGTTAATTTAAATATTCCCATAATTATTCACCTATAATCTACAAAATTAAAAGTGAACTCTGCTCAATTCTATATTTAATTTAGTATGGATTTTCTCTTACAGAAAACAAAAGAAACCACAGAAAGCAAGCTCTATTCACAATACTTGTACATCCTATCCACTGAAGTTACCATTTTTAGTGTTTTTAACCATTACATACAAGTGATGTTATAAAGAGTGTTTCCCTACAGAAAAGACCCTGGTAAATATCAGACTGATCTGTTTCACTTACAGTTGATTTTTAAGGATTATCTGACTTTCAAGGAACATAGTATTTTTTTTGTATATGTTACCTTACTAATTTGGCTGCATTTACACCTAAAGGAAACAGTGTGAATATCTCTCTGCAGATTCCATTTTCATATTATGTAGAAGAACAGCTGTAAAAACATTTATTGTATTTTGCTTTTATTTTCAAGACTAAACAGCTAGTGGATGTAAAAGCTGAATAGTATCAGGCACTGTAAAAATGGGTTGTATATATTCAGTGTAATGATTGACAAACATATTGTGAAATTAAATTGTGAGTATAGAAATGAAAAATGTTTTTCATTTTTAAGTTGTATATATTATTGTATATATTCAGTTGTTGTATATATTCAGCATAATGATTTTCAAACATATTGTGAAATTAAATTGTGAGTATAGAAATGAAAAATATGTTTCATTTTTAAGGCTATCTTCTTAAGAGCTTGCATTAAATCTGTTTTGTTGTAGCTTCCACTCCCCCCACCAAATGTAGTAGGCCGTCTGATGTAAGTTGCTTATATAGTTGATCAGGCTGCCCTGATATTATTTTTTAATTTACTTGCCAAAGATATTTATGAATCCCTTTTGTATAAGACACCAAGGATATTGTTTCAGATCTAAAAAAGAGTTCAATGAATGTCAAGTCAAATACTATTTAATTTTATCAATATGTTACTGGATAAAGAAATATACTTCTGCCTAGTTTGAGAAAAACCAGAAATCAACTGGTATTACCTAGAGTTGCTCTACGTTGTAATTGATCTATAGAAATTAGTGCTATGGCTTACTCAAGATTGTAAAAGACCTTTCTGGACAAATGTAAAATTTATACTTTATCTGAGGGAATTATGGGAGGCAAAATTGATTAAACATATTCTCTAATTATTTAGGCTTGTACAGATCTAAGAAACATGTGCTCTTGGTCAACAAGCCAGGCTATCTATTATCTAAGACAGAGCAAAACAACTAAAACAAAGTAAAACAAAAGAAAAACACAAATTCCTTGATGAAATTCCCTAGGTAACTCATTTGACATTTACCAAATAGTACGACTTTTGAAGTTTTTCCTCTGAGGGATAGCTCTTAAACACTCACTCAAGTCATTTTGCTCTAGAAAATCAGCAGGAAATGGGGGCTCTTCACTTTGGCTTCACTTTCTCATCGATTCTCTCTCCAAGCCCACCTAATCAAGTTTGGGGAAAAAACTGAAAATAAAGATATTTTGGTAGATAACTTTAAGTGCTAGAATCTTACCTCATCAGCTTGAATCATTTAGAGACTGAAATTGCTAATCTGCATTTGATATTTAGAGTACAAGAAAAGAAACTTTTGTTGTTTTAAGACTTTTGATACTATCTGTTACTGCATCAACTAAGCTATACTTTCTGGAAAGGTTTTTTTCTAGGCAAGAAATAAAGGAAGTATAAACTTGGATTGAAGCAATAGGAAAGGGAAAGATAAGACAAAGTAAAAAAACGTTTTAAATGGAATAAACATAGCTTACAGTACTAAAAGTACAAAGAGAAATTGCTTTTAAAAAGTGTCTTACATGAAAAATATATTTTCATTTTACTATAAAAAGCAGCATTATATCATATGTATTTTATATTTAAATGATAAAAAAATAAGTATCGACAGAATACACAATGTAAAGTCGTTTGCCAAATTGGGAATTCCATAGTGTGCTCATACAAATTTCATTTATTTTATTTTAAAAAGTCCTGATAGCTCTTGAGTCTTCCAGAAATATCTGAGATGGAGGAACACCTCATATCAGATCAAGTCAACCATTCTCTAAGTTCAAACTTGAACCACAAATGTTCACTGTTGCTAGAAAAGATTAGAGAGTTTTAGGGACTACTTTTAATTAAAACTCAAGATTTTACATAGGCCCTCAACTTTGTCAAGCAATTGTATTTCATTTTTCTGAAAGGACTGTTTTCATACCCTTTAGTACCATCATTTTCATATTTTCCCTTTCTTCAATTTTCCTGCAGCTATGAAATCTGCGCTCTCAACTCGGGATAGTTTTCAACTTTTTGAGAAAATAGAAGCTATCAACTGAATAACACCTTCAATTTCTTGAAACCAAATTCACTAACCTATGTACTCATTTATTTTCATCTTTCTTTCTGTTACAACAAACACAGGTATCTCCTGATAACAAAGACCAGTCTCTCCATACATGCAGTGAATCACATTCTTCTAGCTTTCTCAAGATCAGGGCTGGGTGCCATGGCTCATGCCTATAATCCTAGCACTTTGAGAGTCCAAGGCAGGAAAACAGCATGAGGACAAGAGTTCCAGACTAGTCTGGTCAACATAGCAAGACCCTGTCTCTACAAAAAAAATTAAAAAATAATTAGCCAAGGGTGGTGGCATACATAGCTACTCAGGAGGTTTAGGTGGGAGGATTGCTTGAGCCCAGGAGTTTAAGGCTACTGTGAGCTGATTATGCAACTGCACTCCAGCCTGTGAGACAGAGTGAAACCCTGTCCAAAAACAAACAAGAACAAAATACCAAAATAAACTGAGGACTTTGCCTTTCGATATTTTACTCTGTTTCCTCCATCATCAGTCTTCCTGTTTTGTAACTTGCTTCTTGATTGCCTTATTTCTTCTCTTCTTCCTCCCATTTTCTTCTTTTTCCCTCCCACTTAAAACATTACAAATAGTTTACTAACATCCTCTAATATGTAGTGGGAATAATAACTAATGGTACGGCAATTGCTAAAGACAAAAAGCTGTGAGTCATTTTTAGTTATTCTACTTCTTTGACTCCTTCTATCCGATTCATCATCAGGTTATTGAATTTCTACCTCCAAAATCTACCACAAATCCTTGCATGTCTTCCCATTCTTATACCAGCTTTTGCCCAGACAACAACTAAACACTTAACCGGTGTGTAAGCTTTCACACATGCCCTATTGGAAATAACAATTTTAAATTCAACAATGGCAAACATCAGATGATGTTAGTCCAAGCTTTGTACCATGGCCTTATTTGAACATACAGAACTGATTCATCCTGCTTTTTCAACCCACTGGGTTCTGGCCATCCTACATTAATCGGAGACAGTTTAACATACCAAATATTTCCCAGTACAATTCCTTTGCACATGTGGTTCTTTCTGAGAGAAAGAATATCCTGCTTCATCTCAATCTCTCACAAAGCTAGTCTTTCTGAATTTATATATATATATGTATGTATCTTTTTTCAAGGACCTTTTCTTCTCACCTAAGTCTATCTCCTCATTATCATGTTATTTAATTTTCTTTATCACAATTTAACTTTGCTTTGTCTCTCTTTCCCTTCGCCTATTCATGCATTCAACTATTCATATATTAACATTTTATCTGGCTCTTATTACATTTCAAGGTTCCCAAAAGACAGAAAGTTTGTCTTTTCATTTAGCATTTTATACCCATACCTATTGTCATGCTTGTTAAGTATAAAACTTACTAAATATATGTTGAAACAATTACTCCTAAAAATATGTTCCTCACCTCAGGAATAGGATACTTGACTAAAGTAGGGAAGCATAGTTATAGACCCGTAAATTTCTGGTCAAAGTTTTCTGAATACATTTTGAAGCTTCATATACAAGGCATTGAATGACATTACTACTAGCTAATAGGTTGGACAGCAATAAGTAGGCACAAACATTTGTCACCACACCAAAAATCAATCTTTAGAGATATTCAGCACTTAGTACTAATCTCAGTTGTATTATAAGATAACATGATCATAATTTCTGTTTGTCTCTGCCAGAAACTTTTATTTTTATGTCAGGTTGATTAAGTTTATCTGAAACAGCCGGATTCTAGGTTATAATGTCAGCAGCGGCTGGAGGAGGAGAGAACCATAGAATCAGAACACTTTGGTTTGAATCTTGGTGCTTCTACATTTTAACCACTAGGGCTGGGAAAGTTATTTATTAGAAATACCATCCAAAATCACATTAGGTTAAAATTACTTCATAGAGTTTTGAGATTATCTAATCAGATAATATACATAAAATTATGTTTTAAGCCATGGAATTCAAAAGTAACATATAATTGTTTCTGTTAACTTTCTCATCAGGATAGGGATGAGTATCTCTATGTTCTTTTGGAGATAGGACTAGTCTTTAATTTTCAAATTGGAAAAGCAGATTTTTTTTTTTTGCTGAGGTTTTTAGGTTAGAGCTTAGCAAATGGTAGTTCCTTATTCATTTATAAATTCTATCCCCATTCATGCATTTAACAAATTATATTTGGGAATTTACCATAAGCCAAGTACTGATGAAACACAATTATACAATATGAATAATGCAGGCAGAAGCCTGCACTAATGGAGTTTAATATCTAGAGGAGAGAGTAATATTTAGTATATAAAATTACAGCCAAACAATTATTTGCAAATTTTTTAAGTTGTATAAACGAAAATAATGAGGGATTATAAATGATAATAAAGTTACAATGGGTAAGAAGAGCTTTCAGAGTTAGTCACTATATTGTGACATTAATAATAAAAATATGAAAAAAGTTTTCTTCATTTTTCAATCGAATATTCTCATAAACTGAAGAAACCAATATATAATAGAAGTTTGTGTACTATAGATGTTACTATAAATGTTACCTTTTAGAATAATCATGTCATATTTTTTATTTTGTCATAATAAAAATACTTTGAGGTTATTTTTTTCTGTATAATTTTACTGCATCAAAACTGTTATACGACCCAATGGTATTGAAGATTAATATTGTAAAATATATATTTTATGAATGATATAACAAAATGTGAAACAACACTAATCCATGACAAGAAAACAAAGTATCAAAAAAAATCAATTTAAAAGTAATGAGTAACAAACATTAGTAATGAGTACATAAAATTTTTACTCTTTTCTCCCTAAAGTTTAGGAGGTATTTGTAAAAGTTAATACCATTGTAAATCAATGCATTTACCCATGAGCTATTATATGCACATGTATATAAATAAATCTTTTGTCTCTTTTCTTGGAAGATTCCCACACACATCTGCTTTTTTCCACAGATATTCTTTAAGATGATGAATGATTTAAGTTGCATGTCAGTCAGAAGAAAATCCAGCGAGAGCTCAAATACATGTTATTTCTAGATGTAGCAATTTTGATTAAGGTGTTTTAATTAAATGATATTTATTTATACAAAGACTAAAAGGACAGCAAAATGGAAAGTAATGCCAATTAAAATCCATTTGGTCATGTGAAAATTACAAATATTGAAAGTTTTAAGGTTTCCAAAAGTGAGAACAAACCTGCAAGAGATAGAAAATATCCTTCTTAGCTACAGAATACTGACCTGTGGATCTATTTTCTTCTCTCTGTGTGGTGGTTGCTATAGCTGCTTCAAGAATCCCAAACATTTCATGGTATGTAAGAACATAGTTGATGTATTTAAGCATGGACTTCACATTTTAACTAGAGGATCATTTTTCTAAGGATAGTGGGTCCTAATAGAAATATTAACACAAACTGTTACCTGATAGAAAATAAATTGATATCCAAACCCTGAGTAGGTCTATTTGGTTGGTGTCCAATGACAAAGGATGGTTACAGCTGCATGAAGTTGTTATAACTAACTGGTTTGTAACCATCTGTTTGAAAATGTGCCCAACCCATTTTATACCAAACAAAGTGAATATAAACTTTCCACTTATTTGGGTTAACATTTCAACTTTTAAAAATCCTGTTCAGACAATGATACAAGGGATAACTATTTAAAAATCTGCTCTCCCATATAATGTAGAATAAACTCCCTTTAATATATTTTGAAGTTTCTCCCATTATCCTCCGTTCACTTATATGCTTTTTGTTGGATTATTTAGTCCCTCTTGGTGTTAGTAGAGAAATATGTGAACTCTATATACACAAATGGCATGCTATTCTATATGGCAGCCACTATCCATATGTGGATATTTAAATTTATGAATATAAATTGTAAAAATCAGTTTATTAGTCATACAAGACATATTTCAAGAGCTTGAAAGGTAAAATAGAACACTCCCATCTTCATTAAAACTTCCATAGGACTCTGCTGTTCTAAAAAGCTAAATATAAAAGAGGAATATATAATAAAAATTTGTATTCTTTACTATTTATAGTCCTGGGTCCAGCTTGAATGACTCTCTATTCTTGGGAGCTGTCTGAACTAATCTTGCCACTCCATTTCAGAGTCAAACCCATTTTAGAACAGAAGTGACTTATAAAAATTAAATTACTTAAATTCAGTCAAGGTGATAGTCTAGGTTTTCATAGGTTTTAAAATTGTACCTAGTTATGTGATGCTTTACTCCCTCCATTAGTCTATGTGGCTAAAACAATCTAGACTGATGGAAGAGTGAGAGGATAGTGGTGGGAATCTTGTGTTTTAAATCTATCTCTTTTTTTTTTTTTGTCACTTCACTATTGAATCTACTAAAAATTGGAAAGCTTGGAAAGACCCATCTCATTTATAAGCACTGCAGGTAAAATAAATCTACTTGAAGTTTTCTTTTTCCACTTTCCACAGTCCTGATGCAAAACAACAGACTGATTATAAGTATTATGACTTTAAAGGATTTCTGTCATTGATCTGTTTTGTTGTTATTTTAAGTCTTGTTCCTGATTTATAGCAACTCCTCCTGTAACTTCATCATCTTTCTACAACTGCTTATTATTTTGAATATAATTTTCAATTTCATCTAACTTTGTATGTTTCTTATTGGGCATTATATAAGAACACCAGAATTAGCAAACAGAGAAGCCTGATGAAAGACATCCAGTCATTTAGAGATTTAAGCAAATTATAAGATTCATTCATCATCCATGGGAAAATCATATTTCAGGCTAAATTAGGAGAATGATGTATTTCTAGTCATTCACTCTCCATAAACTGAAAGAAAAATAGTCAGAAAAATTCATTGTCAAGTTTTCTCTTGCAAATGGTTGTGTGCAGAAAAAATTATCACAGGTACATTTTGGTAAGGCTATTTCCTTGAGATTTTGAGTTCTGAAACAAATGTCATCCTTCACTTCATTGGAAGTAAGCCTTAAAAAATACTGCATCATGCTTACCATGCTTCTGTTATTTTGGTGTTTCAAGATTCAGACACATCAAAATTGTAGATTTTTAAACAAAACACAAACCTTACTACAACATCAAACCTTATTCTATAAGTTGGAAGTGTACTATAAATGATATTTAAAAGTCCTCAAACTTTTTTTCAATTTCAAAAGTAAAAACATTTTCATTTAAATATTTGGAAATAATCTGCCCCTTTCTGTATCTTTCACCTTCCTGTCCCACATGATGAAGACGTTAACAATATGGTTTGGTCACATCAGCCTCCCTGATAGACTTGAATTACATTGTTTCATTTCCCCTTTTACACACCATGTTGGTTTCAAATTTACGGTTTTATCTCAAGATGGCACTTAATTCCAGGTCAACACACGCTCTTGTTTTGATTCACTGCAATATATCCTGGTAAGAGTTTGCATTGACAAAATGACTTCCATATCCGTTTGGTGGATTTAGATGATCACATAGCCTACTTATATGAGTAATACCTTGGTTCCAAACCTTGCATCATTGTGTTTGACTGACATAACCTGTGCTAGTCTTCTAACCATCCTTGCAGGAGGATTTGGATTGACATGGGTTTTGAGTATAGACCACATGGATACTATTCTGATTTTAAAAATCTGGATTAATTACGATTAATACAATGGTTTGGCCACAAAATGTCTGTTATATCATTTTTTGGACATTCTATATATTTAAAATATTTCATAATAAGTACAACATTAACCCTTATCATTATAGAATGAATCACAACATCTTCTCCAGTCCATTTACTAGAAGACCAATTCGCTTTCCAGAGGGTTGCATTTGTTCAATAATACTCTAGCCAGTCAGTGGGAGATGAATTTTTTTTTCTAACTAGATAGAGCAAATGTGGTGCAGAGACTGACATATAGAATTAACCTCTAAATACATGTGTTTGCAGTATTTAAGTTTTCTTGGCCTCATATTTACTCATAGGAGGATATGATATTACGAAAATATGAGGGAAAATAATATGAGAAGTTAAACTAGATTACAATGTTTTTCCTAAAAGACAGGATCAGCGCCATATTCATTTTAGTATTTCAAGTATTTAGCACAGTGACTTTCTCAGAGTAAGTGTCAAATCTCAATGAACAAATGAATGCTATTTGTTTTCCTTACGCCATATAACTATTTGTCACTTCCCTTTTAACTTCCTTTTTGTAACATGGTCACACAAAATAACTAGTGTAGTTTTTTTACTAGTTGGGGACAAAGGGAAGAGACTTATTTATTTATATCTAGCAGCCTAATTTAGATAGAAGGATTTATGAGAAATTATAGTCAATAATGTAATGATACTGTGAATATTGGTTCCTCATACATTTATTAGGGCAGATTTTTTGCACCTCTCCAGTTTACTTAAAGTGAGCTTCAAGATTTTACTGAAAATTAATAATGTGTCTGTGAATTCTCAAAGGAATATACAGAAACTAAAAATGTAATTAGCACTGTATTTTAACAAAATTTGAGACTGTTCTTCCCTCAAATACTGAGGAATATGAGCTGCAGATGTGTTTACTCTGGCAAAAGATTCAAGATTAAAACAACTCCCATCAACATAGACTGAAAGATCCATTTCCCCCCTAAAATCCTATATTCCATATCTCATGTCACTTTACAAATACTTCGGTGTACCATCCTGGTTAGGTGTTTGCAGAGTTGTTTTAAATGATACTGAAATAGATGTATCCAAATTATTTCCTCAAAGAGGAAAATCTGAAAATCACTTGCAGTAAAGATGGTTGTTGAAGAAACAAATTAATCATGATACAAAGTGTCTGCTGCTGCACAGATAACATATGGTAGCTCAGTTTCTATTTTGCTTCCCCACAGGTTAACAACCATCGACTAGGACATGAAAAGAAATGCATAAGTGTTGTCGATGTTCCTTGGGGAATTTGGATAGTTTACATACATAATGTTCTCTCTCTCTCTCTCTCTCTCTCTCTCTCTCTCTCTCTCTCACATACACACACATACACAGAGGATTTCATGGAATTTGAAAGTTAAGAAAGAGGTTTTTCTCTTTTGTTGTATTTTATAAGAGAGTTTTAACATATTAAATTATGGCATGATCTTACTGCTTTAATACTAATAACAATGTTATTTTCCATTGGTATGCCTGGGGAAGAATGTATGTGCCAATATTTATAATTTTAACGTTAAGACAAATGTCAACTTAAAAAAAAACAAATAAATTAGTGGAGTGGCTCAGTAAAGACTGCACAAAATTTATGCATGCCCTAGCTAAAGGCAGTTTTTTTTTTCCCCCAGGCTGCACCTGAATTGTTGCCATGAAGCAAGGAAGACCAACATTATCATATGCAAGAAAATCCCTAAATCAAAATTTTAGCTTGACATCTGCCAATTGTTAAGTTCTTGCTATTTCTTTCATTCATTAATGTTTCAGGTAAAGAGAAAAAAAAATCTTCCAGTCATATTCAGCTCTAGGGCTGCCAATTTATGACCTCTGTTGAAACTAGTTAGTTTGATCTATTTGAAATGTTGGTTAATTGCATCTCTCTCTAAATACTTCCCTGGCCACAATGTTTCAAGAGAATGGCTTTTTCGGCTTGACAAATAGTTGAATTGTGCTTCACAAACTCTCATATAATGTAATCATATTTATCTTATATAAATATTCATCCTTTAATTTACTATCAGAAATAATATAATAGCAAAGAGCTACTTTTTTTACTTTTTAAGTATTTATCACTACCATTGTAACATGATTCTTTATATTAACCTTGAAAATGGCTGTGGAAATAATGGAGCTGTAGATTCAGAAGAAATATTATTATCATGTCATAGCCAATTAACTGATCAATTTTATTATTTAATGGAGGTAGAAAAGTAAGCTGTAAACAGATGTGCTTTCAAAGCAAATTACTCAACTATTGTGTGTCATGCAATCTTTACTTCTTCTCATCTCTGAAGACATATCAACATGGACAAACAAACCATTACCAGAATTTTTTTTATTAGGAAGTAAATATGTAACTGAATCTATCATTTATTCTTACTTTTCATGTCCCCTCAGTGTCTGTTTTATTATAACCACTGGTCCAGCTTCAAGTGATACAACACTGGGAATAGCCTTCTTATCTTGTTACTTACACAGCAGCTGCCTTTGATACAGAATTGACCAAACCAATAGTCCACTAGTGGTTGAAGCTCTTTGCCTTAAGTGGTTTACATACATTTTTATACTGGAAAATATTAGACTATTCATTAAAAAAGCTCATGGTGGGAAAAACGAAAAGAAGGTATTCTAGGCAGAGGGAAATTTAGCCATATGCTTTCTTCCTGCTCTTTTTTTGGAAGGGACAGATATTGATCTTTCCAGCTACTGACTGTCTCCTATATACAGTCTTGAACTCCAGTGAAAATTAATCTCTTCCTCCTCAGTGAGATAATGGTATATGTATGTATATGTGTATATATATATATGCATATGCTTATCTTTTACTATTCTCCCACTTTCATCTAAGGTTTATATAAGATTCCCAGAATCTATAATAACACCTGGCACATTTGAGTTACTGAATTAAGGTTTGGTAAGTGAATGAATGATTGATTTAATAACTACAATTTGAGCCCTTCATTATTGACCTTTAAAATTAATCAATTTATTTTCTAAATTATTTTGAAATGTGGATTCTGGAATACATTATTGAATAAAACTGGTGACATGGAAATCTATCTAATATGTGATACTGACATATAAGTAAAAAATGAGTGCGTGGGGTGGTTGTACTCCTTTCTAACCACTATCAAGATGTTAACAATGTAAGAGGAAATATAGAGCTAAATCTATTTTTAAAAGGTCAGTGTCGCAGCACTCAGAAACATTTACTGAGCACCTGTAATGTGCCAGGCACTTTAATACATACTGAGGAAAGGAGGATATAAGTATTGAAAGCATGGAGAAAGAAAATTTATAATGTATAAAGGTAAAGAAACAATACCAGGAATATATAGAATTAGCTAATGAGAAAGACAGTGGAAGTAATGAGTATAGTTCTATTATTACTTAAAGATTAGGCATAATATGCATATACATATTAAACCTAACACAGCTGGGAGATGATGGAGCAAGATGGCCAAGTAGAAGCCTCCACTGACCATCCTCCTTGCAGAAACATCACATTGAACAACTATCCACACAGAAAAAAACACTTTCCTTAGAACCAAAAGTCAGGTAAGCAATCACAGCAACTGGTTTTAACATCATATTAAGGAAAGAGGCACTGAAGAGGGTAGAAAAGACAGTCTTGAATTGCCTACACTATGCTTCTCCCATCTCCCAGCAGCAGGGGCATGGCACAGAGAGAGAATTTGTGTGTTTGTGGGAGACAGAGTGCAGTTATTGTGGAACTTTGCATTGGAATGCAGTGCATTGCATTCACAGTGGAAAGCAACACCAGGCAGAATTCAGCTGGTACCCATGGAGGGAGCATTTAGACCAGTCCTAGCCGGGGGTGAATCATTCATCCCCCACTTTAGCCCAAAGCGGCAGGCTGATGTAACCCAAAGAAGACTACCTCAACATTGAATAACCAAACTCCTGAATGTCAAAAATAAAGAATCCTGAAAGCAACAAGAGAAAAGAAACAAGTAACATACAACAGAAATCAATACATTTGGCGGCAGATTTATCAATGGAAATCTCACAGGCCAGGGGAGAATGGAATGACATGTTTAAAGTGCTGAAGGAAAAGAACTTTAACTTTTGAAGAGTATATCTGGTGAAACTATTCCTCAAGCCTGAAGGAGAAATAAAGACCTTCGCAGACAAACAAAAGCTGAGTGATTTCGTCAACACCAGACCTACCTTATAAGAAATGCTAAAGGAAGCTCTTCAATCTAAAAGAAAAGGACATTAATGAGCACTAAGAAATCATCTGAAAGTACAAAACTTAGTGGTAGTAGTTAACTGACAGAAAACCACTTAATATTGTAACCGCGGTTGTGGTGTGTAAAATACTGATATCTTCAGTGGAAAGACTAAAGAATGAACATATCAAAAACAATAACTACAACAACTTTTCCAGACATAATGTAATAAGATATAAATAGAAACAACAAAAAGTTAAAAAACAAGGGGATGATGTTAGACTATAGAATTTTTATTAGTTTTCTCTCTGTTACTTTGTTCATGCAATAAATGTTAAGTTGTCATCAGTTTTAAATAATGGGTTGTAAGATGTTATTTGCAAGCCTCATGGTAACCTCAAATCAAAAATCCTATGACAGATACACAAAAAAATGAAAGGCAAAAAGTTAAAACCTATCACAAGATAAAATCACCTTCACAAAAAGGAAGACAGAAAGGAATGAAAGAAGAGAAGACCATGAAACAAACAGAATACAAATAACAAAATGGCAGGAGTAAGTCCTTACTTATCAATAATAACATTGAATGTAAATGGGCTAAATTCTCCAATCAAAAGACAGTGACTGAATGAAAAAAAAAAGACTCAACAATCTGTTATCAACAAGAAGCACATTTCACCTATAAAAGGTACACATAGGTTGAAAATAAAGGTATGGAAATGAAAAATGAGCAGGAATAGCTATACTTGTATCAGACAAAACAGATTTAAAAAACTATAATGCTAACTATAATACTATAGTTCAAAAAACTGTAAGAGACAAAGAAGATCATTATCTAATAATAAACGGGTTGATTCAGCAAGAGGATACAACAATTTTAAATATATATGTACCCAACACCAGGGCACCCAGATACATAAAGCAAACATTACTAGAGCTAAAGAAAGAGATAGACCCCAACATAATAATAGCTGGAGCCTTAAACACCCTACTTTTAGTATTGGACAGATTATATAGACAGAATGGCAACAAAGAAATATCAGACTTAATCTGTAGTATACATCAAAAGGCCCTAATAGATATTTATAGAACATCTCATCCAACAGCTACAGAATACACATTGATCACCTCAGCACATAAATCATTCTCAAGGATAGAGCATATGTTAGGCCACATTTTTTTTTAAATTGAAGCTATGTCAAATATCTTCTCTGACCACAATGGAATAAAACTAGAAATCAATAAAAACAGGAATTTTGGAAACTGAAAAAATACACGGAAATTAAACAATATGCTCCTGAATGACCTGCGGGTCAATGAAGTAATTCAGAAGGAAATTTAAATATTTCTTGAAACAAATGATAATGGAAACACAGCATACCAAAACCTACGGGATACAGCAAAAGCTGTACTTAGAGGACAGTTTATAGCTATAGGTGCCTACATCAAAAAAGAGGAGAAACTTCAAATAAACCATCTAATGATGCATGTTGAACTAGAAAAGCAAGAGCCAACCCACCCAAAATTAGTGGAAGAAATAATAAAGATCTGAGCAGAAATACATGCAATTAAAAGAAAAAAATACAAAAGACTAATTAAACGAAAGTTGTTTCTATGAAAGATCAATAAAATTGTAAAAACCATTAGATCAACTAAGAAAAAAAGGGGTAAGACCAAAGTAAGTAAAATCCGAAATGATGAAGGAAACATTGCAACAAATACCGCAGAAATCCGAACGATCATTAGAGGTTAGTATGAGCAACTATATGCCAATAAATTGGAAAGCCTAGAAGAAATGAATAAATTCCTAGAAACATACAACCTACCAAGATTGAACTATGAAGAAATCTAAAGCATAAACAGACTGATAACAAGTACTGAGATTGAAGCTATAATAAGCACTCTCTCAGCAGAGAAATGCTCAGGACCCAGTAGATACGCTGCTGTATTTTACCAAACATTTAAAGAACTAATACCAATCCTACTTAAACTATTTCAAAAACTAGAGTAATAAGGAATACTTCCAAACTGATTCTACAAGGCCAGTATTACTCTAATGCCAAAACCAGACAAAGACACATAAGAAAATACAAAACTGCAGGCCAATATTCCTGATGAACATGGATGCTGAAATCCTCAACAAAATACCAGGAAACCAAATTCAACAACATATAAAAGATCATTCATCATGACCAAGTGGGATTTGTCCCAGGAGTGCAAAGATGGCTTAACATATACAATTCAATCAATGTGATATATCCTATCAACAGAATGCAGGATAAAAATCATATAACCATTTCAATTGATGCTGAAAAAGCATTTGATACATTTCAACATCCCTTCATGAAAAAAACCCTCAAAAAACTGGGTATAGATGTGACATGCCACAGCACAATAAAAGCAATATATAGCAGACCCATAGCTGGTATCATATAGAATGGAGAAAACCTGAAAGCCTTCCCACTAAAATCTGGAACATGACAAGGATGCCCACTTTCACCACTTTTACTCAGCATAATACTAGAAGTCTTGGTTGGAGCAATCAGACAAGAGAAAGAAATACAGGACATCCAAACTGGAAAGGAAGAAGTCAAATTGTGATGGTTGGCAGATAATATGATCTCATATTTGGAAAAACCTAAAGACTTCACCAAAAAACTATTGGAACTGAAAAACAAATTCAGTAAAATTGCAGGATACGATATCAACATACAACAATCAGTTCATTTCTATATGCAAACAACGAACAATCTGTAAAAGAAATCAAGAAAGTAATCCCATTTACAACAGCTACAAAAAAAAATACCTAGGAATAAACCTAACCAGAGAAGTGAAAGTTTTCTAAAATGAAAACCATGAAACACTGATGCAAGAAATTGAAGAGGACACAAAAATGGAAAGCTATTCCATGTTCATTGACTAAAAGAATGGATACTGTTAAATGTCCATATTCCCCAAACCAATCTACAGATTCAATGCAATCCCTATCAAAATATCAATGACATTCTTCACAGCATATAAAAAATAATCCTAAAATTTATATGGAACCACAAAAGAACCAGAATAGCCACAGCTATCCTGAGCAAAAAGAACAAAACTGGAGAAATCACACTACTTCACTTCAAATTATACTACAGAGGTAGAGTAACTAAAACAGCATGTTACAGGCATGAAAAGAGACATATAAACCAAAGGAATAGGGAGAGAACTCAGAAATAATTTCATACATCTACACTCAACTCATTTTTGACAAACCAAGAACTAACACTGGGGAAAGGACAGTCTCTTCAATAACCAGTGCTAGGAAAACTGAATATCCATATGCAGAAGAATGAAACTAAACCTCTATCTCTCACTATATACAAAAATCAAATCAAAATGGATTATTAAAGACTTAAATCTAAGACCTCAAACTATGAAACTATGAAAGGAAAACACTGGGCAAACTGTCTAAGACACTGGTCTGGGTAAAAACTTCTTAGTAATACCCCACAAGCATAGGCAACCAAAGCAAAAGTTGACAAATGGGATCATATAAAGTTTAAAAAACTTCTGTACAACAAAAGAAACAATCAACAAAATGAAGAGATAGCCCACAGAATGGGAGAGAATATTTGCAAACTATCCATCTGACAAGGGATTAATAACAATAACGTATAAGGAACTCAACTCAGGGAAAAAATCCTAATAATCTGATTTTTAAAATGAGCAAAATATTTAAATACATATTTCTCCAAAGAAGACATACAAATGGCAACAGGTTTATGAAAAAGTGCTCAACACAATTGATCATCAGATAAATGCAAATCAAAAATACAGTGAGATACCATCTCACCCCAGTTAAAATGGCTTTTATCCAAAAGGTAGACAATAATAAATGTTGCCGAATGTGTGGAGAAAAGGGAATCCTTGTACACCATTGGTGAGAAAGTAAGTTAGTGCAACCACTATGGAGAAACCTTTAGAGATTCCTCAAAAAGCTAAAAATAGAACTATCATATGATGCAGCAATCTCACTGGTAGGTGTATACCCAAAAGAAAAAAAATTTGTATATTGAAGAGATATCTGCTCTCCAATGTGTATTGTAGCACTATTCACAGTAGCTAAGATTTGAAAGTAAACTAAGTGTCCATCAACAAATGAATGCATAAAGAAAATGTAGTACATATACACAATAGAGTACTATTCAGCCACAAAAAAATTAGATCCTGTCATTTTTGTAACATCATGGATGGAACTCAAGGTCATTATGCTAAGTGAAGTAAGCCAGGCACAGAAAGACAAACTTCACATGTTCTCACTTATTTGCCAGAGCTAAAAATTAAAACAATTTAACTCATGGAACTAGAGAATAGGATGATGGTTTTCAGAGGCTGTGAAGGGTAGTGATGTGGGGAGGATGGAAGTGGGGATGGTTAATGGGTACAAAAATATGGTTATATAGAATAAATAAGATCTAGCATTTGAATGCACAAGTGACTTCAGTCAACAATAATTTATTGTACATTTAAAAATAATTAAGAGTATAATTGGATTGTTTATAACACAAAGAAAGGAAAATGCTTGAGGTGATGGATACCCCATTTACTCTGAAGTGAATATTATACATTGTATATCTATATCAAAAAATCTCAAGGGCCCCATAAATATATACAACTACTATGTATGCACAGAAATAAAAAATAACATTAAAAATAAAAAAAAACACACACTTGGAAGTCATACCCAGAGTTATTAACCAAAAGGAAACTATAGAGGGCATCCAAATTGAAAAAGAGGAAGTAAAGTTATCCCTGTTTGCAAATGACATGATCTTATATATAGAAAAACCTAAAGACTCTACCAAAAATCCCTTGGAACTGATAATTTTGATAAAGATGCAGGATATAAAATTAATAATCAAAAATCAGTAGTGTTTCTATAAACACAAACTAGGTGAAAAAGAAATCAGTAAGACAATCCTATTTACAATAGCTACAAAATAAATAAAATATCTAGTAATAAATTTAGCAAGGAGATGAAAGACATTTTCAAAGAAAACTATAAAACACTGATGAAATTAATTGAAGAGTGTACAAACAAATGAAAAGACATTCCATGTTCATGGATCAGAAGAATTAATATTGTTAAAATGTCCATACTACCCATATGAATCTACAGATTCAATGTAATCTCTATCAACATACTAATGGCATTCTTCACATACATGGAAAGAGAATCCTAAACTTTTTATGAAACCACAGAAGACCCAGAATAGCCAAAAGCAACCCTGAGCAAAAACAAAAACAAACAAACAAACAAACAAACAAACAAAAAAGCTGGAGGTATCACAAGACCAGACCTTAATCCTACAGTGCTACAGTAACTAAAGCAGCATAATGCTGCATGGAAACAGAGATACAGACCAATGGAACCGGTTAGAGAACTCAGAAATTAATCTAAAAATCTACAGTGAACTAATTTTTGAAAAGGGTGTTAAGACAACTCACTGGAGAAAGGGTAGTCTTTTCAATAAGTTTTGCTGGGAAAACTGAACATTCATATGCAGAAGAAGGAATCTAGACTCGCACTTTTCATCCTAAGCAAAAATCAACTGAAAGTGGATCAAAGACCTAAATGTAAGGGCTAAAACAACAAAACTGCAGAAGAAAACATACGGGAAATGCTTCAGAACATTGGCCTGGGAAAAGATTTTATGAATAAGATCTCAAAAGCACAGGCAACTGAAGCAAAAATAAACAAATGAGAGTATATCAAACTGAAAAGTTTCTGTACAGCATAGGAAACCACCAACATAGTGCAAAACAACCTACCAAATGGGAGAATGTATTTGCAAATGACTCATTTAAGGGGTTTAATATCCTAAGTATCCAAGGAACTCAAACATTTCAGCAGATAAAAAAATGGACAAATGTCACACCTGTAATCCCAGCACTTTGGGAGGCCAAGCAGGCAGATCACCTGAGGTCAGGAGTTTGAGACTAGCCTGGCCAACATGTAGTTTCTACTAAAACTACAAAAATTAGCCAGGCATAGTGGTGGGTGCCTGTAATCCCAGCTACTCAGGAGGCTGAGGCAGGAAAATAGCTGGAACCCAGGAAGCGGAGGTTGCAGTGAGCCGAGATCACACCACTGCATTCCAGCCTGGGTGACAAGAGCAATGCTCTGTCTAAAAAAAATAAACAAACAAACAAAAAAACAAAAACAACAACAAAACAAAACAAAAGACAAATGATTTGAATAAATATTTCTTGATAGAAGGCATACAAATGGCCAACCAATGATTAATTAACATCACAGATCATCAACGAAATGCAAATCAATAACCATCCCAAATAGTATCACTATTATAAAAAAAAGATTTTAAAAATAGCAAATGGTGGCAAGGATAAGGAGAAAAGGGAAAGCTTATGCACTGTTGGTGGGTAAGTAAACTAATACAGCTACTATAAAGGTTCCTCAAAAACCTACAAATACAAGTACCATGTGATCCAGCAATCACATTACTGGGAATTTATCCAAAGGAAAGGAAATCATTCTACTGAAGAGTCAACTGTACCTCCATATTTATTGCAGATATGGAATTCCATACCTTGGCTACTGTAATTAGTGCTGCAATAAACAAGGAGGAGGTAGAGATGACCATTCATTCTTCTGTGATGTGATGTATATATCACATTTTCTTTATTCATTTGTGTGTCATAGGTGTCCAACAACAAAGCTGAAGGTATCACATGTGTTGTTGTAGGTGTCCAACAAATGATGAATGAATAATGAAAATGTGATATATAGATCACATCACAGTGGAATATTATTTAGCCATGAAAAGAATGAAATAATATAATTCATGGCAACATGGATGGAACTGAAGGGCATTATGTTAAGTGAAGTAAGCCAGAAATAGAAAGTTAAACACTGCAAACTATCACTCATATATGAAAGCTAAAAAATGTTGATCTCATAGAAGTATTGTAGAAGAGAGGATACCACAGGCTGGGAAGGGTAGGCAGAAGATAGGGATAGGTAGAGATTTGTCCAAAGATACAAAACTAAAGTTAGACAGGAAGAATACATTCTATTGTTCTATAGCACTGTGGTTAACAGTATTATGTAGTTTTAAATAGCTAGAAGGAGGATATTGAATGTTCCCAAATCAAAGAAATGATAAATATTTGAGATGATGGATATGCTACTCTAATTTGATCACTATACATTATATGTTTTGAAATATCATTATGTACTCTGAGAATATGTACAATTATTATTTTTAATTAAAAAATAAAAATCTAAGTATGAAGGTTTACGTTGTATATACAAAAGTTGGTAGAAAAACCCTTATTATCTACTTTCCAGACCCACAGGACAAACAGAGGGAGCAGATAAAACACACCTAACTACAGCTGTTTGGAAACAGGGATCATAATTTAAACTGGGATTAATGTGGATATGGAGAGTTAAGAGTTTCTTGTACCTTAACATTGTATTCTCTTCCTTTTCATTTTAATCTGACTTTTGGATTGCTGTGTCTTACACCAGCGGTCCCCAACCTTTTTGGCACCAGGGACCAGTTTTGTAGAAGCCAATTTTTCCACTGACATCGGGCAGGAGAATGGTTTCGGGATGAAACTGTTCATCCCGAACAGTTTCAAGCATTCGATTGACCTCAGATCATCAAGCATTCGATTCTCATAAGGAGCCTGCAACCTACATTGCTCGCATGCGCACTTCACAATAGGGTTTGAGCTCCTATGAGAATCTAATGTCTCCGCAGATCTGACAGGAGGCGGAGCTCAGTTGGTAATGCTGGCTGGCCACTCACTGCCAGCTATGCGACCTGGTTCCTAACAGTTTAGGGGCCAGTACGGGTCCATGACCCAGAGGGTTGGAGACCCCTGTGTTAGACAATACTACAAGTAATAAAAATAATAAATAAAAAAGAATGTACTTCGTTGCTCTTTCCTAAGATAGATCTTAACTAAGGCAATTGGTAGATATTGAGTTTCTGTGTTTAAAAAGATTAAATCAATGCTACTTGATAAAATGTGTCCTGTTTTAGAGTAGTAAATCTTTGATTGAATTAATATAGGAGAAATCTGTATTAGGACTAATATGAAAGTTCAGAAAATCCACTTAAAGCAAAGCAGGCATTTGAAAATAAAAGTTTATTTATTTTTGTTAAAATGTTTTTCTCCATTTCATATATTCTTATTTATTGATTGATTGATTTATTATTATTATACTTTAAGTTTTAGGGTACATGTGCACAATGTGCAGGTTAGTCACATATGTATACATGTGCCACATTTCACATATTCTATATCAGGTGATGGGAATACTTTTTATCTTTTTCAAATTAGGAGAAATTTATAAAACACAATAAGTGAGGTGACTGTGAAAAATGTTAAGCTTGAAAAGAATAAACATTCTATAGAATGTTTATAGAAGTTTGTATTGTAATATTCTGTGCTCAATACTATATTAGTTTACATTTACTGTAAAATTAATTAGATTGTGTTTTTATTTATTTAGTCAGTAAATCAGGAATATTGATAGTGAATATCTTACATTGCTGTATATTCAATTTAAATTAATGACAACTGGATTTATTCAACTTTCCACAGTTGAGAAGAAAGTTATTGCAGTCATTCATATTCATAACTTTGTGCCATCATCGGAGGGAACAAACTTTCTATTTTGCAAATGAGGCAACCAAGCCTCAGAAATATGAAAAAAGATGCTTAAAGTAATATGGCTCAAGGAAATTGAATTTAATATTTTTGACAGATTTCTATGTGTATGGCACTGTTCTAGGTATCAAAATGAATAAATATTTTTGCAACCATTCATTCGTTTGTTCACCCATTATTTATTCAAAATGTATTGAGCACTGAGTATGTGTTTGACCCTAAATTAGTGCTGGAAATACACAGGTGAAGAAGCAAGAATATTTTCAAGGAGTTAGTAGTGGTCTACAGGTAGGGACAGGCACATGAAGTGAAAAACTTCAATAAAATGTGGTACATGCTACGAAAAAAATAATTAAGATGTGCTATGTAAATACAGACATTTAGACCAACATAGTTATTTAGAGAGGAATTTCTGTAGGTGATGAAACCTTAATTAAGTTTTGAAGATACTGTAAAGGTGAAGAACAGTGTAAAGGACATTCAAGATAGAATACAGAATGAAGAAGTGTATGAGCACCAAAAAAAGAACCCTCCTCTTTATCCATCAAATTGTTTATTCAACTAACATTTTTTGAGCATCTAATGCATACCAGTGACTGATCTAAGAGAATGAGTCTGATAAGGTCCTGCTATTGTGGGGCTTTCATGATGGGAAACAATGAGAACAATGTCTAAGCAAGACTTGACAAGGGCGTGAACAAGAGAAGTGACAGGAGAAGTGGAAGATAGCAAATGAATTTGTAAAACATTGAGAAGGTAAAACATGTGTAGACCTCTTGAATGATTGAACCTGTGGAACAAGGGAGAACAAGAAGTCTAAGAAGAGTCCCAGATTTTTGGCTTGGAGAATTAGGTAGATGTTTTACCGTTAGCTGAGATGTGGCATAGGAAAGATGAGAAAATTTTACGCATGTTGAGTTCTTGCTCTGCCTCAGAGGATATGGCTGGCAGGAAAGGAATATATATTTCAACTAGTAATGGGGAGAACCATGGCTTAAATACAGACCTTTGGAAACAGTCAGTGGCCTTTATATAATTTAAAGCCGTAAAACCAGAGATACTACTCCTGAGCAAAGGATAATATTATTAAAGAAATGATAAGACTTAGCTAATAAATAAAATGCCAAAAATATACCATACACATCTAACACATTTCAGGTTGATTGGAATGTTTTTATATTATTTCTAAAGGGAAGTTGCTGCACATCAAACCCAGAAAAGAATAAAAATGATCTTGTGAAAATTGAAAATCTTGAACATGTGCTTATTTGTATCTATATAAATTCAATGTCATGTTTAAATAAGTTTCAGGGTAATTCTAAATAATTCTTTGTACCTAATTAGCAAGTACATTCCTCAATCATGCCATCCATAATTGCTTTTTAGACTTTAAAAGTTTTCCCATAGATGGGGACACTAAGTACTGAGTACTACCAGCTGGGAGAGGGATGGAGGAGGGCATAGGCTGAAAAACTACCTATGGGGTACTATGCTCACTACCTGGGTGATGGGATCAGTCGTACCCCAAACCTCAGCATCATGCAATATACCCAGGTAACAAATCTGTACATGTACCTCCTGAATCTAAAATAAAAGTGGAAATTATTACAGAAATTCTATTTCCTTCAATGGGTCTCAAGAATTTGTACTGTATCACATATCTTCATCTCAGAGTCCTGACACTATTGATTAAATAAAACAGTACAGATTGGTATATTAAATAGTTTCAGGCTTGATCTAATTACCATTGGAATATGAAGAAAAATTTAGATTTTATAGTTTAAGGAAATATCGGAATTGCTCATTTTATCTCCCCCATATTCCTACTCAATCTGCTAACTCTGTGTAAGCATTCTATTCACTTTCAAACAAAGTATATCAATGGATATCAATGAGAGTCCACATTTATCCATGAATTCTTTTTTTTTTTTTTTGAGACGGAGTCTCGCTCTGTCGCCCAGGCTGGAGTGCAGTGGCGCGATCTCCGCTCACTGCAAGCTCCGCCTCCCGGGTTCACGCCATTCTCCTGCCTCAGCCTCCCGAGTAGCTGGGACTACAGGCGCCCGCTACCACGCCCGGCTAATTTTTTGTATTTTTAGTAGAGACGGGGTTTCACCGTGTTAGCCAGGATGGTCTCGATCTCCTGACCTCGTGATCCGCCCGCCTCGGCCTCCCAAAGTGCTGGGATTACAGGCGTGAGCCACCGCGCCCGGCCTATCCATGAATTCTTAAAAATGTTTTCTGTTTTGTAAGTTCTGGGTCGCTGGTGGATTTTTCTCATCTGATAGGCCTATATGTATATATATGCATGTATATATACATGCATATATATGATGGTCATATCAGGAATAAATGTTTCTCTTTCTCTTACCCAATTTGGCACCCTAGATATGTCGATGTTCTTTCTTTTTTGATTTGTAATTAACTGAGGGCCGGAGAATTGAGAATAGTGGGAGAGGGAGACCTTAAATAATATTCAATAGACATGCCCATTTCTTCTTGGTACAAATATCATTGCTCAAAGTTATATGAGAACATAAAGTATTTCTTAAGTTTCCTTCAGAAAACATAGGTTAATTATAAAGAAACTATTCTCAGTTTTAAGATGGGTTGATGGGTGCAGCAAACCACCATGGCACATGTATACCTATGTAGAAAACATGCACATTCTGCATGTGTATCCTGGAACTTAAAGTAAAATTAAAAAACAAAAAACAAACAAAAAAGAAACTATTCTCTATTATTAAAATAACTGTATCTTTATAGTCAAAATACTTCGTAGTATACAATATAAACTTATGTCTTAATTTTGGTAATTGTTGTAAAATGATTATTCTGAAAAGGAGCATTGAGAAAAGAATGGTAATCAAGTTTTGAAAGTAGAAACTTGAGCTGGAATTGACATAAGAATATCAAGGTAAATGGAAAATTAGCAAAGTCTAACATATCACTTAGTTACACTTAGAAGATTTTCTATACTTGATTGAAGTGAGATTGCATCTAAAACAAATGAGATAGTACAGTTATTGATTAGTCATCTTAATTCATAAATCTTTACTTGTAATAGAAATAAGGTGATAAAATGCCACTTCAAATTAACTTAATTATTACTCAAAACATTTAGAACAGGTGACAAAATAGCCTGGAAAAAAAAAAGTACTATTTAGTCAAACATTTTAACCACATCCGTTTGTTTCAGGTTATTCTGGGTTTTTAAAATTTCCCATGCTTACTCATACCTATAAACTAGTTTCTGTCATTCAGTTGATTTTTATAATTATATTAGGTTTTGTTGAATAACTTAACATATTGATAATTATATTTTAACTTTCTCAGTAATTTATAAATCAACATGTTCTTACGAAGCATTTATTCAAGAGTTTATATATGGCTAACCGATTAAAGACATTCAGAGGTAATGTTTTGGCTATAAAAAAAGCAGCAAGGAAGGGTTATTAAATCTCACACTCACTTGACTTAAAGTCTATAGCCCCCATGGAAGAATGTAAAATTGTAAAAAGCAAACCAACCTCTGCAATGTTTTCCTTAACGTATTGCTTGCACCTGTATATAATTGTAAGCTCCCAAAGCATTACTAAATAGGTCAAAGGTTATAAAGTTATAAACATAGAATAGCCCTTGAAACCCAGAATACTAGTGTCTCATTTTAACCATACACTACTCAATCTGTGCCTACAATTAGCAATGCAAAGAATGTTAGCCGGCCCGTCATGGTCATGCCTTGCCTGGTATCCAGAGGCACGAAAGAAGTCTTGATCATGGGACCCTTCAAGGAAGCTGTGCAACAAAACAGAAATCAGGGCCAAGGAGACATATCAAAGCCCTGGAATTTTCCTTAACTCTGCAGAAGTTTTGTGAAATTCACCCTAAGGGAGGGGATACAGGAAATTGGGTAATATTTTGCAAAGACCATTAAACCCTTGTGTCTCTCAATAACTCTACACATATAAGGCCTAGAATTCCAAGAAATTAGATGATGTAAACTTAATATATTGAATCTTTGAGACAAATAGATGAACACATTTATTTTGTTATTCATAATGGCTTAGACTTAAAATGTTAACATTTTAAAATACAGCTGCATGAAATAAGAAGCAATGAAAAAAAGACAAGGTGAAGGAAAAATGAGACACAATAACAAAGTATGACAAGAGGGTGGAAAAAATGCCAATTTTATTTGCATTATTTGAAGTCTATTCTGGCAAATGAATTAAATGTGAGCTACGTATAAACTTGTAAGTCATTAATACTGTAGCATAAAGCCAATGTCCCAAAATATAAGCAAGGCAGTCAAACATGAAAGAGTTGAATCAATAAACACGTCCCAAAGTAAGTGCTATAAACAACTATAGTTAATGAATGTATCAGATGTTCACTAATATTTTTCTGAAAAATCTAACTGGCATTTAGCTTAAAAGAAGTGTACACTTCTTTCTTTATGGACATTTAAACAGCTAACTTCAACTTTCCCATAAAATCCTTTGCAAAAATTGATGTTACACTTCATATGCATTCTACATTGAAGTTCAAGAAGCATATTTGTCCCATATCTCCCAATAACACCATCTTTCGAATGTCCAATCATCCAATTGTTCACATTTTAAAGAGACAGCCTGTGGAAATGCAGTCATACTCAATTTGACAAAAAGATGCCAATGTTCCCACTATATTAAATGCCACATAGAAGCAAATTGAAACCCAGTCCAACAACAAAGGATGACTGGAAGCTTATTTCTACTCAGAGAAAACTACTTCGGTCCCCTATGCCCACCAACCTTAATTACTAAACTGCATTGAAACTCCCATGTGTTCACTCTGATATTGTGGAGAAATGGGATGGAAGTATGAGAAATGAACAGATTTTAAATTCCTGAGAGGCATTTCCTAACGCCTGCCCAAGGATGAAGTGAGATATCTCAATATGAATTTTGAATGAATATGTATATATAAAATAACTGGAATAATAATAATATCACAACTCATACTTCAACAGAAAATAGTTACAATTGATTTTCATTTTATAAATTCCAGATAAATGTAAGGATTTAATTACATGGTATATTATTTTTCAAATCCACATGACTTTTAAAGATGGGTATAAACCATTCTATACTCTGATACGTAACATTCAGTCACAATAAAATCAAGACACAAGGTACTTTTCCAAACATTTCTGCATCATCCTTTGCATGCATATGGTGATATCATTGTACATATATGTCCTTTTGTGTGTCCATTTTGGGAAGTTTTCCAGCGCACAATGAGTCACTGTATCTTATAAAAAATTTAGGATTATGACATCATGTAATGGTAACACTAAATTCTTCAGTTTGTTGAAGAGGGTTCGTAATAGACTAGTTCAACATCTGAAATAAATTATATACATAAAAATCTTAAGTTTGGAAATATTTTGGCTTCATGTAGTTTTGCTCTTCATTTTGGATGTATCTATCCTCTGTCTTGTGTCTAGAATGCTGCCATTTAATCTGATAGCATAACCAATCAATCTCTCTGCCTTGGTGATTGCCTGAGTAACAAGCCTGGTTTGAGTCACAGATGGCACAGGAGATGAAGTTTCTAGTCATTTCCAGACATATGCAAACCCCATAATTCTCCTTTACTTTCTATCACTGTATATTCTCATGTTGATGGAGATATTTAAAAATGCTATCTCAAATATACTGAAAGTATACACTAGTCATCTGCATTTCCCTTCACAAGTGTGTTTTGCAGGTGGTAGACAAATGAGAAACACAATGACTAGTTATCCCCATCTTCCAGATGGTTCCTCTTCTGTGAATATGATGATGGTGACACCACCAACATTCCATATTAACGTATATTATTCCAAAGTTTATGAACTACAATCCTGTTCATTTTATGTCCTTACTTGCTTCAGTTTTCCCCAAATCCCGCCTATACAACTTTTTATTCCTGCATTGTACTTGCTGAATTTGAAAAGAAAGGGGAAAATTTAAATATACTAATACTTGATTTTGATACAAATGTTTCCATTTTGTTGAATGGGTTATAATTTCTAGTGTAGTGACATGTCTCTTTGCAGTTATATAGTTTTTTTCTTTTTTATGTAGTCATATTTTTTACATATTATTGATGTAAATTGAATTCAGATGGACATAAATGAGAACACCCTAACCATTCAAAATGAAACAAAAGAATGCCTAACTGTATTTTTGTATAAAAATACAGCTTAAATAGTAATTTTCTTAAAGATTCAGTTAACTCTCTATGACAAACTAAAATAACCAAATTTATTTTTAAGATTCCTAAGTATTTTCCCTTGAAAGTAAAACAGCCAATCTTCCTCCGTTTTCAAACTTTGCACCTGATAATAATAGGGTAAAAAACACCATTTCCTTTTCTTAGTGAAAGGTTTAAAAGTCCTGAAAGTACATTCCCCTGATACTTGTAATTTACTATTATTACTGCACTTCTGAAACTAAGGAAATCCTTTGGAATGACCTCAGTTTTTATTCTTTTCTGAATTACCAGCTTTGATGGTATATCATAACTCCCAATGTTAAGTTTAAAGATAGAACTTCCAACTTTAAAACATAAGCCACAGTTATTGAGATGAAAGAAAAAAATAAAAAACAGAACATTGCCACTCGATATTCAGCATTCATGCTTCAGAACATTCTAAACTTACGATTTCTTTAGATACGTGTGCATGTGTGTTGCTGTGTGTTTGTGTTTTCCTAATTGCAAACTTGAGTATAGAGTTTGCCCAGTTGCAATCTTGGATAAAAATCTGGAAATGTTTGAAATCAAGGAGGCCAGATGCAGAAACCCAGTTGAACAATCAATCTTTCCTTACATTCAAAACCTCTGTTATTGGACCCGCTTCCTTTAGCATTCTACAGCTGCCCAGTAAAATGACCTTCACCCTTCTGCGCCTATATATTGCTATTGTTAACACTGAGTATTTTATTTCTCCTCACCTGTTATTGTCCTTTTATATCTCGACCTTTTTTTTTCCAATTTCTACTCAGTTTAGATTGCACTCAAAGTGTGTAGAACCCAAATAAATATAATGTGTGTTATTTTTCTCATTTGTATAGTAGAATCATCTTATTAAGCCCCCAAAATAATTTAGCGGTCTTTTTTTCACATCAGGAAATATAAAACTTTGACAAGGACATTCAATGTTGTTGTAAGGAAGTAACAAACAACATGTCTTTCAATGAAATGCAAGAGACTACGAAAATTTCAAAAGAAAGGAAAATGTAGAACTATCCAGAATATTTAATCTAAGTCCAGGTGAAATCATTTTTTTTTTTTAGATAATAAAAAAATCCCTAGAATGTTCAAGTGCCTTCATAGTAGAAGTACAAAGATACATTAAAAACATTCTTCCTTATTAAAATAATAAAAACATTAAAAAATCACACCATTTGGTGACAGTACCATTTGTCTCAATTTCAAGACTATATCCTCAAGCAGATAAACCAATATATTTGGTGTTTTGGTTTGGAATTTAATGAAGGCCATAGTAATTAGCATTAAAACAGTAAAATAGCAAACCACTAGCCAGAATATGTGGGGGTTTTATGTGTGAGAGAGAGGGAGGGAAGGAGGGAGAGAGGTTTGAAATTAGACTTGCTCTGAGAATTTCATTAGTGGAGGCAAAGTAAACTTTTAAACCAATGGATGTCTCTTTATTTTCCTTTAGGTGAAATGTTTACCACTTTTACTGTCTCCCTCTTGGTATTAAGGCACAGTTGTAGCTCCTTCCACCTAGAGAGATGTAAGCTTGGGCTTGATCTGGGTGTTATATAGTACCATAGATAATTCTCAACAGCTGAGCTGCCTGATTTATCTTTTACCATTTTCTCAAAACTTTTGGTTAAATAATACATTTTATGAAATACAAAAATAATATGCAAGAAATAAATATTGTGACTGGAGGGATAACATTTCCAGAACCACAACTTGAACTTTGTTTTATGATGTGTTAACCCAATAACATACTTTGTTAGGGTGAAAATGTTTCCTGTTACCAAAGGGCATTGTAATAAACAGGTTATTACAGCCTATGTCACATAGGCTGAGATATTATTTTCTACCTATGTCCATCAACAGGAAGAGATGCAGTTTCAATAGTTAAATGGTCTCTCTGAAGGTACACATTTACAGAAGAACAAAAAAAAAATTGACCTTGAAATCCTAATGGAATAATCAACCATCCAATTTTCTCCTGTGTTCCTCCTTTCCTTTTCTTTTTTCTTTTTTTGAGATGGAGTCTCACTCTGCCACCCAGGCTAGAGTGCAATGGTGCGATCTCAGCTCACTGCAAGCTCCGCCTCCCGGATTCAAGTGATTCTCCTGCCTCAGCCTCCCTAGTAGCTGGGAGTAGTCCGCCACCATGCCCAGCTAATTTTTATCTTTTTAGTAGAGACAGGGTTTCACTGTGTTGGCCAGGCTGGTCTCGAACCCCTGACCTCGTGATCCACCCGCCTCGGCCTCCCAAAGTGCTGGGATTACAGGAGTGAGCTACTGTGCCTGGCCTACCTCCTTTTCATATCTAACCATTTGCCTCGTTTATGCTTGTGGTCTTGTAAGGACACAGATGTTTCAAATCTGATCCCCAATATACTTAAGTCCCTCTCTTTCATTTAATCAACATCAGGACTGTTTAATCTCTATAGTATTCTCTTACTATGCAACCTAGTATTTTCTTGGTTACTTGTTTATTCTGGAAGCTGATATACTATCCAGTGTTAAAGCTCTCCCATATTGTACTCTCGACACCTCTCTCTACTGTGGACCCACTCACTTACATATATGCTCTGACTGTCCCTAGAACACATCTTTCTTTTATCATTTACTAAAACTTGTCTCTATTCAAAGAACAAATCCCACAACCTTCTTAAAGAGTGCTTAATTTTCTATATTCCTTGTTCTTTGGGATTGAGAACTATGGTCCACATTCTTTTTGTTCCATGCTTCTACCTCTAGAACATTATCTTGCCACCTTTATTCAAGGCTATTTTTCTTTTCTGAGCTATATCCCATTTGGTTATACTACTTTTCCCCTATGCTGTCATCTAATTCTCTCCAGGTCACTACCCACATTATCAGAAGACATTGAACTATTCTATATTTTCTCCTTACACTATCTCTTGCCATTATCCTGAGGGATTTCAATATCCATGTGAAAAGAATATTATAAACCTGCCCTCAGAGTACTAAAAAATGGATGCCTACCACTACATTTGAACCTTGACATCAGCTTTAACTCCACCTTAACTAAATTAATGTCCTCAATATATCGGTTTGTTATTCCATATTGATAACTATTTTAATCCATTGAGACCCTGACTGCTCAAATCTCCATTCTCCCAACCACTTAGACTCAAAATTTGATTTAATCACAACACTGCTTAGCAATGCTTTGAACTTTTGCCTCCTTTGAATTTCCCATGATATTAATAGAAACTTTCATCATGTTGGCCCCTAACTGGCACCTAATCATAGTAAACTGGATCGTTCACAATATAACCAATGCAGTCTCCTCTTCTACCTCCCTCTCCAACCTTTTAGTATTTTCCAGCTCCCGTGTTATTTATGAAATAACACTCTTTCCCTTCTTCACCTGGTAATTTCAAAAATCATCTTCCAGAATCTACCTTAAGCCCATACCTTTTATTATGTTTTTCATTGCTCTCCCAAAAATTTGGAACTTCTTCAACACAGTGTTATAACGCTTACCAGATATGGTAATTTTTCAATTATATACTTCTCCTTCGTGCCCCCAAAACACCCCAGTGGAGCGTGAGATTTCAACAACAAGGGCTATTTCAATCACATTTACATCTTCAATGCATAGCACAATATCAGTCTTATTGCAGGTTGTAAATAGATTATTGTTATATAAATCCTTGTGAATTCTGGTTACTTTTGGGCACACTACCACATACCTTCAGAAAGATTGTTATAGTTTGAAATTATCTAGATTCTCCATATGATACATACTCCTGTGATAGCCCACCATAAATGGCCCCAAGTTTTTTGAAATATAGAATCAAGAAGTTTAATTACTTATGCCAAATATTTAAGAGGAGGAGAATACACTTCTCTACCCTGCAAAGCTGATTTGAGAAATTAAGACTAGTTGATTCTAAGTTCTTAATTTTTTATTCAGAATTGTAGAAACAATAACAGAATCTGTTAAATTGAAATTCAAAATTGAAACATAAGAAAATAGTTCAGATAATTTGAACTGAATACCCCCGTATATCCTACTGTCTTGAAAGTGATTGCCTCACATCCCTTGTAAGTTGTATTCCTAGGTATTTTATTCTATTTGTAGCAATTGTGAATGGGAATTCACTCATGATTTGGTTCTCTGTTTGTCTATTATTGGTGTATAGGAAAGTCTGTGATTTTTGCACATTGATTTTGTAACCTGAGACTTTGCTGAAGTTGCTTATCAGCTTAAGGATATTTGGGGCTGAGATGATGGGGTTTTCTAAATATACAATCATGTCATCTGCAAACAGAGACAATTTGACTTCTTCTCTTCCTATTTGAATACGCTTTATTTCTTTCTTTTGATTGATTTCCCTGGCCAGAACTTCCAATACTATGTTGAAGAAGAGTGGTGAGAGAGGGCATCCCTGTCTTGTGCCAGTTTTCAAAGGGAATGCTTCCAGCTTTTGCCCATTCAGTATGATACAGGCTGTGGGTTTGTTATAAATAGCTCTTATTATTTAGAGATATGTTCCATCAATACCTAGTTTATTGAGGGTTTTTAGCATGAAGGGTGTTGAATTTTATTGAAGGCCTTTTCTTTATCTATTGAGACAAATACGTGTTTTTTTCCTTTGGTTCTGTTTACATTACGGATTATGTTTACAGATTTGCATATGTTGAACCAGCCTTGCATCCCAAGGACGAAGCCAACTTGATCGTGGTGGATAAGCTTGTTGATGTGCTGCTGGATTCGGTTTGCCAGTATTTTATTGAGGATTTTTGCATTGATATTCATCCAGGATATTGGGCTGAAATTTCCTTTTTTTGTTGTGTCTCTGCCAGGTTTTGGTATCAGGATGATGCTGGCCTCATAAAATAAGTTAGGGGGGAGTCCCTCTTTTTCTATTATTTGGAATAGTTTCAGAAAGAATGGTACCAGCTCCTCTTTGTACCTCTGGTAGAATTTGGCTGTGAATCCGTCTGGTCCTTCGCTTTTTTTGGTTGGTAGGCTATTAATTACAACCTGAATTTCAGACCTTGTTATTGGTCTATTCAGGGATTCGTCTTCTTCCTGGTTTAGTCTTGGGAGGGTGTATGTGTCCAGGAATTTATCCATTTCATCCACATTTTCCAGTTTATTTGCATAGAGGTGTTCATAGTATTCTCTGATGGTAAGTAGTTTGTATTTCTGTGAGATCAGTGGTGATATCCCCTTTATCATTTTTATTGTGTCTATTTGATTCTTCTCTCTTTTCCTATTTATTAGTCTTGCTAGTGGTCTATATATTTCATTAATCTTTTCAAAAAAACAGCTACTGATTCATTGATTTTTTGAAGGACTTTTTATATATCTATCTTTTTCAGTTCTGCTCTGCTCTTAGTTATTTCTTGTCTTCTGCTAGCTTTTGAATTTGTTTGGTCTTGCTTCTCTAGTTCTTTTAATTGTGATTTAAGACTGTCGATTTTAGATCTTTCCCATTTTCTCCTGTGGTCCTTTAGTGCTATAATTTTCCCTCTAAACACTGCTTTAGCTGTGTCCCAGAGATTCTGGTACATTGTGTCTGTTTTCTTCAAGGAAAATTACAAACCACTGCTCAAGGAAATAGCAGAGGACATGAACAAATGGAGAAAACATTTCATGCTAGGAAGAATCAATATCGTGAAAATGGCCATACTGCCCAAAGTAATTTATAGATTCAATGCTATCCCCATCAAGCTACCATTGACTTTCTTCACAGAATTAGAAAAAACTACTTTGGGCCGGGCGCGGTGGCTCATGCCTGTAATCCCAGCACTTTGGGAGGCCGAGGTGGGCGGATCACGAGGTCAGGAGATCGAGACCATCCTGGCTAACACGGTGAAACCCCGTCTCTACTAAAAATACAAAAAATTAGCCGGGCGTGGTAGCGGGCGCCTGTAGTCCCAGCTACTCGGGAGGCTGAGGCAGGAGAATGGCGTGAACCCGGGAGGCGGAGCTTGCAGTGAGCCGAGATCGCGCCACTGCACTCCAGCCTGGGCGACAGAGCGAGACTCCATCTCAAAAAAAAAAAAAAAAAAAAAAAAAAGAAAGAAAAAACTACTTTGAATTTCATATGGAATCAAAAAAGAGCCCATATAGTCAAGACAATCTTAAGCAAAAAGAACAAAGCTGGAGGCATCATGCTACCTGGTTTCAAACTATATTACCAGGTTACAGTAACCAAAACAGCATGGTATTGGTACCAAAACAGATATATAGTCCAATGGAACAGAACAGACGCCTCAGAAATAATGCCACACATCTACAACCATCTGATCTTTGACAAACCTGACACAAACAAGAAATGGGGAAAAGATTCCCTGTTTAATAAACAGTGTTGGGAAAACTGGCTAGCCATAGGCAGAAAACTGAAACTGGAACCCTTCCTTACACCTTATACAAAAATTAACTCAAGATGGATTAAAGACTTAAACGTAAGACCTAAAATCATAAAAATCTTAGAAGAAAATCTAGGCAGTACCATTCAGGACATAGGCATGGGCAAAGACTTCATGACTAAAAGACCAAAAGCAATGGTAACAAAAGCCAAAATTGACAAATGGGATCTAATTAAACTGAAGAGCCTCTGCACAACAAAAGAAACAATCATAAGGGTGAACAGGCAACCTACAGAATGGGAGAAAATTTTTGCAATCTATCCATCTCACAAAGGGCTAATATCCAGAACCTACAAGGAACTTAAACAAATTTACAAGAAAAAAACAAACAACCCCTTCAAAAAGTGGGCGAAGGATATGAACAGACACTTCTCAAAAGAAAACATTTATGCGGCCAACTAACATGAAAAAAAGCTCCTCATCACTAGTCATTAGAGAAATGCAAATCAAAACCACAGTGAGATACCATCTCACGCCAGTTAGAATGGCGATCATTAAAATGTCAGTAAACAACAGATGCTGGAGAGGATGTGGAGAAATAGGAACGTTTTTACACTGTTGGTTGGAGTGTAAATTAGTTCAACCATTGTGGAAGACAGTGTGGTAATTCCTCAAGGATCTAGAACTAGAAATACCATTTGACCCATCAATCCTATTACTGGGTATATACCCAAAGGAATATAAATCATTCTACTATAAAGACACATGCATATGTATGCTTATTGCAGCACTATTCACAATAGCAAATACCTGGAACCAACCCAAATGCCCATCAATGATAGATTGGGTAAAGAAAATGTGGCATATATATGCCACGGAATACTATGCAGCCATAAAAAGAGAATGAGTTCATGTCCTTTACAGGGAAATGGATGAAGTTAGAAACCATCATTCTCAGCAAACTAACACAGGAACATAAAACCAAACACTGCATGTTGTCACTCATAAGTGGGAGTTGAAAAATGATAACACATGGACACAGGGAGGAGAACATCACACACCAGGGCCTGTTGGGGGTGGGAGCTAGGGGAGGAATAGCATTAGGAGAAATACCTAAGGTAGGTGACGGGTTGATGGGTGCAGCAAACCACTATGGCACGTGTATACCTATGTAACAAACCTGCACATTCTGCACACGTATCCCTGAACTTAAAGTATAATAATAATAAAAAAGAAACGTGATTGTCTCACAAATGCTTCTTGAAAAAGAAGGTAAAATGGATGAATCAACGAATAGTCCATACCTTGCTTTAAAAAAAAATCATACCCATGAAGTTTTTGTGCTTATTTTGTTTCAGTGTTACATAGTTATTATTTATAACCGGTAAGATAACAAACATGTAAATCTCTTTCAGAAGAAAAAAGAAAAACAGCCAGTTTGACTCTTAATGAAAGCGGAATCATTTCTATACCACTCTCCCAAAACAATAATTAAAAAAGAACAAAACAACTAAACTCTGAGAATTATGGATTTGGTGGATTTAGATAACGGTGAAACTAACATTTCATATGTATAAATATTAAGTTTTTTTAATTAAAATGTTTTGGTTACATATAAATATATAGAAATAAAAGTTGAAGGAGACAGAAAAAGACACAAGCAAGTATGAAATCCATATATGCAAATTTGAAAGCTACAACTAAACATCTAATCTGCTTTCGGGCAATCCAGTTGAAGAATGGAATTAAAATATTTTCAAACTCATTCTATAGGGATGGGGAAACGTCCCTCTTATCAAACTGTCAAAAAATTTCTTATAAGAAGCATTACATAAGACACATGAATGCTAACACAGATACGTTTATTACCTTAAGAGTTAAAATGAAACTCAATAATGCATTAATACTCAATTTTCCTTAGCATAGAGAGTATAAAATATGCAAATTAACCATCTTTTATATAATTTCACATTTATAACACATAGTTGAGCAATCATCAGATATACAAACCTTAAATAATTAATGATAATATTCTATGTGTAGACTCTGCCATAGAAAGACAACTTCAAGATGTCATTTCATTTCTAGAAGGAAATATTTAAAAGTCCATTCACTGGGGTGACCTGAGGGACATCAAGTGCTAACCCAAACCTTTCATGTTGTATCTAACTTGCCCAATCATGAACAGGTTTTGTGGGATGTGTAGGAAGCAAAACTTACATAGATTTCCAATTGAAATGGAATTGCATTATCTTAAAGGAATTTAAGGACACTAGTTTAGTTTCAGGCCAAATTTCAACATGGAATTTCAGTTATACTAAAACAGACATGGCCTTTGGGAGTCAGAATAGTCTCCTTTGAGAGAGACCTTAAATTTTAAAAGAACTCAGAAACCCGTGATAAGTGCAGAAATTATTGACTTCTATTCAGAAACAAATGCACCATAATCTTTTTGCTTGTTATTCCCCATCTTTTGTAGATACTCCAAAAGGTGTTCAAACTGTAAAATGTAAAACACAACACACTCTTTTTGGTATATTTAATCTTATGAAAACAAGTTTTAAACCTATGAATTTACATCAGGACAATTGAAAATGTTGTGTTACAATTTTTGAAAGCAAATTTAATTGTTAAGACTCATAAAATCCCGAAGTCTAATTCTCAGTTCTGTTTTTGTTTTAATGTTTGTTTTTGATTACGTTATTTTCAAATACAAAATGTAGTTGGTATTCAGAAGAACCTCCTGAATTTAATTCTCTTTCCTCTGCAAGGCTAACCAGATAGCCTAATTACACATTTTTTAGGAACTGCATAAAGTATAAACATTCAAAATAAACTGTTGGAAATATTCACTTGAACTCAATTTCCTTTTAAGTAGTCTAGTTTAGCCCAGTGCTCTTCAATGGGTCATTTGTTATGTCAACCCACTATAGAGTACATCAAAAGAGCCTGTCACTAATTGATTACATTTCTCTACCACCATGATTCACAGTGCTATAGGGACAATTACATAACTGTTTGACTTTTGCAAAACTGTGAGTTTAAGTAAACACAATTCTTTGTTATTATGATCTCTAGTGGGCATATGCTCAGTAAGTATCATGGTATGTAACCAGATCTTGCTACATTGTCTATCTGACTTGTGACTCACACAAAAACTCCCTCTTTTGCAGCAACTGGAGTTCTGGGGAACAGCTGCTGATCTCACTCTGAAATTAAAAACATTTGAGTTGTTTTGATTTATGTTAGCTCCCATGGGAAGAAAGAAATGAAAAATGGATGCTTCGTGTAAACAAAATACCATTTCTCCAAACTGTAAAAAGAAATTGTTCTAAATATTCTGACATATTTCTTTTATTGAAATATGGTGAGATCATGTCACTACTATATTGTTAGATGGGAAGATGTCTAACAGTATTCTAATAAGCCAACTGCTAGGATTTTCTTTTAATAAATACTATTCTGGAGGTACAACTTTACCATATCACCTCTGAAATTCAAATCTATGTAATATAGCATCATGTTGTCATGGAATGCAACTAGCAATGAAGATCATTAAAGTGATACACTCTTTTGAAAGCCCAAGCAAAGGAGTTTCTCTTTTCTAAAGAGAAAGTTCAATGTCTGGGACTTTAATGTTTCACTATATGTGAAATAATTTGATCAGGAATTAGTGAAATAGAGAAATACTATTCTCAAAGTGATAATGAATTGACTATATATTTTTGTGATATGGATTTAAAAAAAAATATCAGTTTCTTTTATATACCTCTGGGTAGAGAGAGGCAGGTTCTTTTATGGTTAGAATTCTCTTAGGATCTTGTGAAAACAGATTATGAAGAGCAATCTATAACCAGGCCAGCGGGCATGATTGATTGGCAACATACGAACAAAAAGTCTTTGGGTTTAAAGGTACGTTTCTCTCCTCCTCCACGTAGCTCATTGTACACTCTTTACTGCATTTTTTTTTCTTTTTAAAAATGGTCTGTAACCCTGGTGAGCTTGTGAGGGATCAAATACATTATAGATGATAATATGCCTCCCCTCAGGAGGCAGGGTTTAAGAAGTCAGATTTTTTCAGTAGTCCTTGCTGTCTGTTTCTCTATTTTATGGTCCCTTTGAAAAGACTGAACCATTCTTTTTAGCAACTAGTAATGAAATATTACTTTAACATAGGGATAGAATTTCTTTTTCTTATTTTGGGGATGTTCTGAAACAGAATGCCAGATTATCCTGAAACTTCTTTTAAAACAGTTGTAAATTCACCAGTCCATAAAGTTGTTTTGGGTTTATTTTAATGGGTGCAAAGTAGAAAAACCAAGTTTTAAATAATTTAAAATTAAGATATTACAAGTACAAGTTCTTCATGTAAACAGATACTCAATTATTTTTAATAACTAGAAAAATAATTTGGATTTTATTTATATTACTGAAGGAATTTACTAATTGAGTAATCTAGGAAGGAGTTCATTATTTTCCATTTTCAACTTTTTTGAAGGAGAAAATTACAGGTTAAATCCTGTCACTGCCAAAATGTCTGCATACTACAAAGATTTCAAACACATTTAATATAATGAAAATTTAATGGTTGCATAGGATATGAACAGTTCCTTTGAGATCATTGTATTGAGAATACTTCTATGTTTAAATCAAACAAATATAATAAATACACACTTCCAAAAAAGCTAAATACTTTTTTGGCACAATTGAACCTTCTATTTCTGTGCATGATGACAACATGGAAGGTCATTTGAGGTAACATAGTTGTATTCTTTTTATCATGAAAAATGCCTAACATGAGGTATATTGAAGTTTACATCGCATTTAGCATAGACCAGTATTTCAAATAATTTCTAAAAATAAAATTTAGAGAAAAGAGCATGAGCTTTGGGGTTATACAGACATAGTTTGAATCCTGGCTGCAACATTAACTAGAGTGTAATGTTCAGTAAATTAAATCTCTGGTCTCCAAATTCTTCACCAGGAAAGGGATTAACATGTGGCTTATTGGGAACTATGAAGATATTCAAAGTCAAGTCAGCAACTTGACTGAATTCCTGACAAATGTTGAAGGTGGCTAGTGTCATTTTCGTTTATTATATAAATAAGCTATGCATGCTGTAATATATGCTCTTGCAGATGTACTAATAAATGTTAACAATTAATACTATTAACGTTGCTTGCTTGATATGAGATTTGAAAATAAAGATATTATATAAAGTGTTTGCCAATAATATATTCATTTTGGAGGAAATATTCTGCCTGAGATAAAATAATAATTTTTAATTGAGATAATTTATGAGAAAACAAGACTTTTTAAAGCGTGTGTTGATGAAATCTTTCCAATTCAATGAAATCCATCGAAAAGTTGAAGGGAGAGTTTAGAATTGAAAATAAAAATAGTGAAGTGTAGTTAATTAACCAAGGAATGAAAATGAAAAGTTGTTTTAAATATCAACTCAAGAAACACTAAAAAAAAAAAAAATTGGCTCCAGAAAGTCTACTAAATTCTCTTAAAGATATTCAAACTTTCAGAATATTAACGATATAAAAAAGGAAATAGAATCAAAGTAATACCTGTGAAATACTTATTTAATACCTGAAATATTAAATAAATATTTCATTTTGAAATGAGATAAATGCCTTACCAAGAATATGTAGTACTGAGAGGTGACAGCGTGCTGGCAGCCCTCAGCCCTCGCTCGCTCTGGGCATCTCCTCTGCCTGGGCTCCCACTTTGGCGGCACTTGAGGAGCCCCTCAGCCCACCGCTGCAGTGTGGGAGCCCCTTCCTGGGCTGGCCAAGGCCGAGCCGGCTCCCTCAGCTAGCAGGGAGGTGTGGGGGGAGAGGCGTGAGCGGGAACTGCGGCTGCGCTCGGCGCTTGCGGGCCAGCTGGAGTTCCGGGTGGGCGTGGGCTTGGCGGGTCCTGCACTTGGAGCAGCCCGCCGGCCCTGCCGGCCCCAGGCAATGAGGGGCTTAGCACCCAGGCCAGCAGCTGCGGAGCGTGTACTGGGTCCCCCAGCAGTGCCGGCCCACCGGCGCTGCGCTCGATTTCTCACTGGGCGTTAGCTGCCTTCCCGCGGGGCAGGGCTCGGGACCTGCAGCCCGCCATGCCTGAGCCTCCCACCCCCTCCGTGGGCTCCTGTGCGGCCCCAGCCTCCCCACTGAGCGCTGACCCCCGCTCCATGGCGCCCAGTCCCATCGACCACCCAAGGGCTGGGGCGTGCAGGCGCACTGCAGTGGGACTGGCAGGCAGCTCCACCTGCAGCCGGTGGGATCCACTGGGTGAAGCCAGCTGGGCTCCTGAGTCTGGTGGGGAGGTGGAGAACCTTTATGTCTAGCTCAGGGATTGTAAATACACCAATCGGCACTCTGTATCTAGCTCAAGGTTTGTAAACACACCAATCAGCACCCTGTGTCTAGCTCAGGGTTTGTGAATGCACCAATCGACACTCTGTAGCTACTCAGGTGGGGCCTTGGAGAACCTTTATGTCACACTCTGTATCTAGCTAATCTGTTGGGGAGGTGGAGAACCTTTGTGTCTAGCTCAGGGATTGTAAACGCACCAATCAGCGCCCTGTCAAAACACACCACTGGGCTCTACCAATCAGCAAGATGTGGGTGGGGCCAGATAAGTGAATAAAAGCAGGCTGCCCGAGCCAGCAGTGGCAACCCTCTCGGGTCACCTTCCACGCTGTGGAAGCTTTGTTCTTTCGCTCTTTGCAATAAATGTTGCTACTGCTCACTCTTTGGGTCCACGCTGCTTTTATGAGCTTTAACACTCATCGCAAAGGTCTGCAGCTTCACTCCTGAGCCAGCGAGACCACGAACCCACCAGAAGAAAAAAACTCCGCAAACATCCGAACATCAGAAAGAACAAACTCCAGAGCGCCACCTTAAGAGCTGACCGCGAGAGTCCGCGACTTCTTTCTTGAAGTCAGTGAGACCAAGAACCCACCAATTCCGCACACAGTACTGTGAAATGTGACTGAGTATATAGATTTTCAATTTATAAACTGTGTGTTTTACAGACCACCTCCTATGAAAAGACATATGCTCATTCTTTCCTTTAAGTAATTCCTTTATGTTAAGCAATGCCCCTTATTTGTAACAATTTGAAATTCTAGGTCTAAAGGTGAATGCTTACTTCCAGTGTTTCAACCTCTGTAGGAGTCTTATTGTGTGAGTTGATATTTGTCATTGCTATGTTTCATTAGCTCACTTAAAACAATTTTATGCATTCCAATAGATGGAAACTTCTAATAAATGTCCCAGATTAACAATAAAAAACATAATTATTCCAATGGAAGGAAATATATAGTAAATACTCAAAACCAACAATAAAAACGAAAGGTATTTTCCCTTTCTCCTTCAAAAGCTCATAGTTATTCTTCAGACATACTAAGAGTATACCTAAAGACATTATGAATTGTGCAATATTGGGCTGTGAAGCTGACCTTGGAAACAGCTTTGGAAAATAAAATATTTCTGACCTCATAAAATCAATATAATAAAATGCTAGTATACAATCATAGTGTTGTAAAATAGATACATGGACTATGTCATCTCTCTTGACTGTATGTGTTCTACCCACTCACCCACCAGCTACAATATTGTCTTTGTATAAGCTACATTCCACAAGACTCCAATCAGAAGATAAGTAAAACGGTAAATGAGAACAGATACACCACATAGGGTGTATTTTTGGCTAAAGTAAAATGAAGGGACCAGACGAAATTCCAGGAACTGAATGTTAGTACAGGAACTATACACGCTATCCACATGTCTGGGTAATCTAATCAACCTCTGCTCTCTTTCGCATGCACGACTCTGCTTTCTTAGGAGTATTTCCACATTTATACTGCTCGCCACCTGATATGGTTCCTTAAGTCAAAGTAACGTGGTGAGAAATGAGAATGATATTCTCTCCAATATACACTCTGCTTGTGAGCACAACTTTGAAAGAAATCAAGATTCTTGGAAATATCAGACTATAACATTTGTTTCTATTTGGTCCATGATGATTTTAGGGATAGGTATGTCATAAGTGTATTTGCTTTTTGAAATTATTTTACTAAATTGAAATCTCTCCCTAATTCTCTAATTTGGAACTCTGTTATTTTATACATTCTGTGTAGGGGTAGCCCTTTCAATCAAATTGTGATCAGTTGCTCAAAGGAGTCAGTTTGGTCATTCTTCCCCTTCAAATTCATTTTGACTTAATTGATGAAACACATGAAGTATTATATATTTAGACACTAAAAAATCGTTGTTTTAAAATTAGAAATATTGCAAGAGAAAGAGTTTTTCCGTGTTCTTTGAATTTTAATTTGTACGTACAACATTGTGTAATTATGTATAATGGAAATTAACCTTTCAGAAAAAGAGAAGAGAGTATATCAGTCATTATTGCCTAAATTGACATCATATTAAAAAAAAAGACAGAGAAACTTGGAAATTTAGTACAGTTAATTAAGTGTGGTATTCAGTTTGATTTGAAATTCTCCTTTTACATTAACTATAGAAAAATTTTAAACCTAATCATGGGTATCCTTTGTGTCACCCGTATTTACAAAGAATATTGTCCTATTTTGCTGAGTGTTAATGAAACTAACCAAGAAAGTACATAGCTCAATTTTAAATATTTATTCATTTGTTTGTTCATTTTTTTAACTGATAGATATAATTGTATGTATTTATAATGTATAACATAATGTTTTAAAGTGTATCTACATTGCGGACTGACTAACTCTAGCTAATTAATATATGAATTATCTCACATAGGTTTTTTTTTTTTTTTTTTTTTTTGGAGATGGAGTCTTGCTCTGTTGCCCAGGCTGGAGCGCAGTGGCGCCATCGTGGCTAACTGCAACCTCCACCTCCTGGGTTCAAGTGATTCTCCTGCCTCAGCCTCCCAAGTAGCTAGAACTAAGGCATGCGCCACCATGCCCTGCTAATTTTTGTCTTTTTAGCAGAGACGGGGTTTCGCCACGTTGGCCAGGCTGCTCTCGAACTCCTGACCTCAGGTGTTCCACCCACCTTGGCCTCTCAAAGTGCTGGGATTACAGGTGTGAGCCACTGTGCCTGGCCTAGTTATCATTTTTGTGGTGAGAATACTTGATATACATTATCTCAGCATTTTTCAAGAATACAATATATTATTATTAATTATAGTCACCATGTTGTAGAATAGAGCTTGCAAATTTATTCCTGCTGTCTAACTGAAGTTTTGTAGCCTTTGATCAATAAATAAAGAACATGTGGTATATAAACATAACAGAATACTACTCAGCCATTAAAAAAGTGTAAAATCCTGTCATTTGGAACAACATGGATAAACCTGGAAGAATGTTAGCATTCAGAATTACGTTAAACTATGCTTTGACCAACATCTCCTCAAATACCTGCCAACCATCCCAGCCTCTGAGAACCACCATTCTCAACTTCTTTAGATTCCACATATTAGTGAGATCATGCAGTACTTGTATTTCTGTGACTGGTCAGTTCTTGGTCAAAGCATAGTTTAATGTAATTCTGAATGTTAGGGATAGGACAGGTAAGAAAAAAGAAAACTACTGTCAAATGTTCTCATGAAAAGCACACAATGCTTCTAAAAAAATAGTGAACAAATATTTCTTAATAGCCTGCAGTTTTCATTTTTTAAAAATGTCCCATTTGTCTTAAACAATAAACTGTAATTTTAGATGGAAAAACCTTTTGATACTATAAAGCATTAAATATACGCAAGAAATCGTTAGTTAATAAAAACAAAAGAAGCTCAAATAAGTAATCCAAGTAAACCTGTTTTGGTGTAATTTTATTCTATCCATACGGTGGAGTATTATCAAATGAGTAACTAACTTGGTTAAAGACTGAATTAATTATGTAATACACTTAATTTAGAATGAGTAATAAAAGTATGCACATACCACAGGAAAATGTCAGGAATTCACATAAAAATTCTACCTTTCAGTTAAAAAAAATACTATATTGAGGTATAATTGACCTGCAATAGACTGCGGCTATTTAAAGTGTGTAATTTGATAGGTTTATACATCTGTGAAATCCCCACGATCATCAAGATAATGAATACATCCATCATCTGCAAATCTTTCTTATGCCCCTTGGTATTTATTTTTCCCGTCTTTCACTCTCTCCACCCCAAGCAACCACCAGTCTACTTTCTGTCACTATACATTAGTTTACATTTCCTAGAATGTCATCTAAATTAAATTAAACAACATATATTTATTATTTGCTTTGGAAGTTTCATCCATAATGAGATGTGTATTTAGAGGTCATTCCTTTTAATGGCTGAGTATTACTCCATTATTATACCATGTTTACTCCATTCTTAAGTTCATGTACATTTGAGTTGTTTTTAGATTTGCATTATTATAATTAAAGCTGCTGTAACCATGTACATTTGTAAACATTTGTTTACATTTCTGTGTACATTTGTAAACATTCTTTATATGGAAATATGCTTTAATTTCTCTTGAATACCTAGAAATGGAATGACTGGCTCATATGGTAGCAAATATTTCACTTACATAACTGCCAAACTGTTTTCCAAAAAGTTCCATTTTCCTGAAGTGTATGCGAGTTCCATTTCTTCCTCATCTTAGTCAATACGTGGTATGGTTAGTGTTTTTAGTTTTGGGCATTTTATTAGGTGTGTCCCTACTTAAATTTCCTCTGACATTTCCAAGTTTCTTCAACATTTTTAACAAGTCTCAATGATAACAATCACTCACCAACAAATTCTAACTCACACTTTGAGGCAGGTTGAGATTTAATCCTTCCTCTATGTTTAAAAATTACAAAAGTGGCTGGAGTGGTAGCTCACGCCTGTAATCCCAACACTTTGAGAGGCCGAGGCAGGTGGATCTCCTGAGGTCAGGAGTTCAAGAACAGACTGGCCAATATGGTGAAAACCCGTCTTTACTAAAAATACAAAAATTAGCCGGGTGTGGTGGCACATGCCTGTAACTCCAGCTACTCAGGAGGCTGAGGCAGGAGAATCACTTGAACCTGGGAGGCGGAGGTTGCAGTGAGCCAAGATTGAGCCACTGCACTCCAGCCTGGGTGACAAGAGGAAAACTCCATCTCAAAAAAAAAAAAAAAAAAAAAAGAATTACAAAAGAAAGAGTCTTACTTTTGAAAAAATCAATACATTTTAGAAAATATTTTCAGAAGTGTGATTCAACAAATAAAAATAAGCTGCATTATTGCTTTAAAATTCAAGGCTTCCAATGCATTTCCTTCTTTTTGATATGTACAATTTCATGAAAAGAGGGATATTATTATTGGAAGATAATAAGGAAATTGTGGCTGAGAAGGATTAAAAACTTGCCCAAAATTTCGGTAGTAAGAGACGGAAAACTACAAACCAAACTGTTCTACTATTACTGTGGATGTATGAGAACAACACTCAAACTTGTGGAAAGAACATTGTTCACTATTGGAGTATAAGAAACAGAAATAATTTCCTTTATCTAATAGATATTAAATTTTCAACGTAATGTAAGTGAAGGTTGAAAAAAATTGAAAAACTATAGGATAGCCATGGAAAGAGAGTGTTAAAATAAGAATCCATTTTGGAGAGCATTTAATCTCCAAAAGGCAATTGAAACAGATATGCAGATGCTTAAAATTAGTAACAGGATATAAATCCGAGATAGTTTTTCTCAGAGGAATAAGCAAGCTGATACTTACTTCATAAATCTTTTGAACAGCAAAATATACAAAAATAATATAGGGTGTATTTATAATGCCTTTTTTGAATTTATTTTACTAATACAGCATTTTTAAGTTCATAATTTTCAAATGTTTTTCAAAACAGCTGTAAAAGTTCTACTACATACAGTCAACAGAGTGTGGTGATGGAAGGGGAAGAAGATAGGTGATAAAGAAACAAAATAAATAAAATTGACCTTAGAATTCAGGGGGTTAGATTTCAATCTCCAAGAATGATTATTTGAGCTCTTTCCTTCTCAAGATATCAATTTTTTTTTAGCATTTAATAGGCACATAATCAACATTTACTGTTCAACTGAAACAAAATTAAAATTGGGCGCTCTCTCTATCTTTATTTGTGATCGGCCCTAACTGCCCTGGCAATCTTTTCCGTTTTTTTGTTTTCTGTTTTCCATTCGCATGCCCCTTAGCGTACCTGGGGCTCCGGCTTCTTTACAAAAGAAACCCAAAGTGCTCCGCAAGCACAGCCAGTGAAAGCGAAAAGCAAGATATCAATATATAGTATTATTTTGTTTCCAGGACAATAACAGCATTCAACAACATATTTCATCTATATGATAAGGTAGTTTGAAATTCTCAAAATAGGCTTCCAGAAGGGATGGAAAAGCTGTTTAAATAATAAAGCAATTTTCACTTACTAAAACCTATTCAAGAGTAAAGCAGAGCCGTTCTTGTTTGCATTTTAAATTTTGAATTACTTATAATTCCTCCATAAAAATGTAAAAGGAATATTTCCACATTTGCTTACATTTGGGGGACAGATAGCTCAATATTTATGATGCCAGATTATTCAAGGGGAAATCTGTCAAATGTTTCAGTCAATTGTTCTTTTCTCTGTTGTAGAAATATATAGAAAAGAAAAACTAGGAAGAACTTCCTAAAGCAAATGGAAGAGAATGCTTATTCTCTTAGTTCTTAGTTCTTCAGGAAAAGAAGGGAGGGGGGTCGGGGAAGCTCAGAATTCAAGGAAGTGTTTGCAGAAGTCATTCCTCAGCCTCCTCAAGACATTTCCTGCTGGAGAGATGGGGAGCATTGATCAGCCAGTGTTATCTGAGCCAATCTGTTTACCTCAGATTGTAAATCATCTCAGTGTATCTGAGCCCTGGACCCCTCTGAGATGTCCAGTTCAAACTATAGACATTATCCATTTACAGGCTTTTCTTTTTTTTTAATGAAATAAAAACCCTATGCATTTCAGAAAGAAAAAAATGTGTTTACACAACCAAATGATTTCACATCTGGTGAAATTCAAGCTGCCATTCTGTAAAAACAACTCTAAAGTGTACTGCTCAGAAAATAGTGCAATGCCTTTTAAAAGATCACTGGAGTATAAACTGAAATAAACTGCACATTTCAGGATTTTAATGGATGGTTTAACTCCTTAATACTTCTTTTTATTTGTGTCTCTGATAAATAAGCTTGTTACAATTATTTTTGTGAGATGAAATTATGAAATCACTATGAAATATTTATAATATATTAATATCTAAATGTTATGGTTCTTATTAGAATTTTTGATAATTATCTCAATGATGTATTTAGAAAGAATAGGAATCTCATGGTAATATGTCAAGTAGATACCTGGGAAGATAGCACACAGTAGAAATAAAATAGATTTGTTTGTTGATTTGGGTTAATTTCATTAGGAGAAATCCATTTAGAGAATTGATTCACTTTGGAAGTAATGCCTATTTGGTATGAATAAAGAACATCACAGTGACAACAACAAAACAGAAAAAAATAGGCATTATATAATATGTGTTAATAAATATCAGGAAAAAACCTTATATTTGGAATCACTGAGCCTGATTTAAATTTGTTTTCTTTTATTATCTTCATAACATTGAGTGTCCTGCTTATAGGTAAAATATTTCTACAATCTGTGGCAAATTTCACACCTATAAATTCCCACAAGCTGACAGCTACATGGAAGAAACCATCTTTATATCAGGTTACAAGAGCAACAAATGTTTTGTTTCCTTAAACATGTTACATTATTATATTGTAGTACTTGTAAGGAGTTGTTTTTTCCTACTAAAAATGTATGTACTCATTAACTGGTAAAGTAGAAGTTGTATAATTTTTGTTTGCAATGTAAAGAGCATCGTACTAAGAAAAATAACAATTCCAAGCATAAATAAAAGCTAACAAATCAAATAACTCCACCTTTTAAAAATACGTAGGGACTTCTAGGACAAAATCTAAATCATTCATGCAGGAAAAATTTGCACATTTACTTTTGTGAAAAATGTATACATTTTAGTCTATAAAACTAAAGTTTAATTTTCAGAAACAGCCACCAGAAGACTTTCACTTTACATTTCTTTTACACATTCATTCATTCAACAAATTCTCCTGGATACCTATGATGTGCTTAGTACTATGCGAATTAGTGTGGAAATGGCAGTAAGCAAAGCAAAGTTATATTACTCATGGAGAGAAATGCATGGTGAAAAGTTCTATTAAAAAAAGAAAGCGGGGTCAGGCAAGGTATTGAAGTGTTCTGGGAAGTCCTCTCTGATAAAATGAGGCTTGAAAGGAAACTGAAATGCAGTGGAAAAGTAAGCATGTTATTAACATTTGCCTCTGAATCAATTACTAATATTTAACATCTTGGACTTATCTTCTCTGCAATATTAAACTGCAAATTGATAAGATGGTAAAAAAATGAAATTCCATAGCTATTTCATGCTATCCTGCATTTTTCACCAGGATTGTTTTATAACAATCAGGTCTATTCCCAACCCTCATTAAGGAAAACAATTGAACAATATTCAAAGTTATCTGTTTGTACTACATTTTAGAGAGGAACAATGTTTAAATCTGAAGCGGTATCTCTAGGATATATTTCCTGATGAATATACAGCTAAAACTTGTCATAGGGACATTGTCTCAACTCTAAGTTGGTAGAGTCAATGGAAAATTGAAGAAAAAAAAAGCCACTGTTATTAATTAGTAAGCAGAGTAGTTTTAAGAATCACCTGAAGGTTTTTAGAGGGGAAAATTCATACCTACTGGGTTATATGATATGTGTCTGTATGTGTGCCAGGAAGGATGAAGGGAACATCTCAGAACTACATGTTTATAATAAACTTAAAATCTGAGTTATATTGTACACATACTAAATAATTTTAAGAACTAATCACTGTGAGGCTGGGTGCAGTGGCTCACACCTATAATCCAAGCACTTTGGGAGGCCAAGGTGGGCAGAAGGCTTGAGCTCAGAAGTTCGAGACCAGCCTGGGCAACACGGTGAAACCCCCATCTTGCCCCGTCTCTACAAAAACCCAGTCTCTACAAAAAAATATGAAAAGAAATAAATAGCCAAGCATGGTGGCATGTGTCTGTAGTTCCAGCTACTTGGGTGGCTAAAGTGTGAGGATCATTTTTAGCCTAGAAGGTTGAGGCTACAGTAAGCCATGATAGCACCACTGCACTCCAACCTGGGTTATAGAGTGAGACCTGGTCTCAATAAAAATAAATAAATAAATAAATAAAAATAAATTAAGCACCATGAATAAAGAGGGCCTAATTGTGAAGTTTGTGGAAGTCTGTATTAGACAAAGAGAATTTAAAAATGTATGAGGTTGAGAAACATGTCTCTTTTTACAAGTGTATTAGACAGCAATTTAAATGAGCATACCACTTTCAAATTCTGATAGCAGAAGCATTTAAAGAAACAGATTGTGCCAAGAAAATTGCCTGAAGTTTTTATTATGGCTATGTATAATAATGACCACAACATAATAGTAGAAATAAAGATAAATTCTAAATCTAAAATTTAGATACAACTCTGAATCATGTCTAAACTGCTGTGAATTTAAATAGTGCTCCTTTGAACCATATTTAACTGTTGTTCAACTTGCTTAATTTTTTTTACATAACTAATTGAGCATCCACAATCTAATATGGGGCACACCAGGACCCAAACAGGCCTTGTCTTAGGCCCTGAAGGGTAAAGGTTTTGTATCACCTCCAGATTTGCAATTAGATCCTAATTATAACATGCCTCATTTAAAGCTACAGGACTCCCAACCCTGTCAACACTACTGGACCATAACATGTCTGTCTTAATTAGATCTGATTAGTTCTGGGCCCAGCTCATATTGTGCACCCTGACTCTGTTAAAAGCTGCTCATCTGGTTGGCAGCTGCTAGTATGGAAGAACCTTATTTATCATGCTGCAAGAAAGTGTGCGCCCTCACCTTCCTCTCCTGGGACTGGGGGCCTTTTATATCCCATAGCTCCATATGATCAGCCAAATAATGCACCTCACTTATCACTGGCAGTTGAATAAAGCTGAGAATGGAAGTCTATGCTGCTCAGGGACTACTTCTTGAAGTGCTGAGAGCTTTCTCTATTCTACCATCCAATATAACTCTACATGGCAATTTTACGTTTTTCAGAGATGATTTATTCATTCCTTACTTTCTGTAAGTAGGGTGGTTATAGTTAACAACTAATTGTATACCTCAAAATGGCTAGAAAAATTTTAGATGTTTCCCAAAGAAATGATAGATGTTTGAGTTGATGTATATCATAAAATGCCCTGATTTGATCATTACACATTGCATATATCAAAATATCACAAGTACCCCTTAAATATATACAATAATTTTACATTTAAAATGTTTTTAAAATAAAAAAATTAAAGTAAGTTTGTATTTCAATAAGGCTACATGAAACAATAGTTGTAATGCATTTTCTGAAATCCATTTTCAAATATAACTAGTAAGTGTTATCAATTTCATTAACATGAAAGAACAAAATTTGAAACACTTGTCCAAAGTGTATGATGATATCCACTGTGGTTTTCTCTCTTTGCCATTCACATTTGTTTCCAGAAACCTACAGATGAAAATATCAGTATTGATTTTCTTTTTTCTTTATTTGATACGTCAAGCTTGCTTCATGACTAATGGCTCATAAGCATCCTCAATTACTTTGCTTTGTATCTGGACAGCATTTTGATAATGGTTGAATTAATACTGGGCATTGACATCTTTATCTACAGTTAATGGAACTTCTTATTTAGTTGTGAGCAGTAGCTGAGGGATATCAGATTTACTAGGATCAACAAAAAGACCTGTCTTCATATTTTACCCTCTTCTAAGCTAGTAAACTGAGAAGAATGAGGAGGTATTCCAGAAAGGGCTTAAACTATTCCATAAGGTATGAAGCAATATTCTATATCATAATACTAAAAAGTACGCGATACTTTGTATATGTAAAGAAAACAAAATGTGAATTTTAAAATTCCATTTTATATTTGTGACTCTGAATTTCTAATTTAAATTCTTATAAATTTAGAAATAAAGTGTGTTTGGTTATTTCCACTAAATGAAATTAAGTTGTTTCTTTTTACAAAGCTATTTTCTCCACTAGTAATACTATAAGCATGCTGTCAGGTTAATCATGCAGGTAAGAAGACATAGAGATCTAGGTCCTATAGATGTATTATCTAAGTAGCTGGTTGAGGAAGACAACTGAAATAGAGCATTAAGATTTTATCATTTGTATGCTTTTTTTTCTCCCAGAGATGTGGCCTCCAGTAATAACACTAGCAACCTGTATTGTGTATTTGCTAGATTCAGCTTTTAAAGTGTTTTACGTACATTAACTTAATCAGCATAGTAAATCTACAAGGTATGGTCCTACCCGATATTTAAATATTGCTATACTCCAGGGCTACATAGCTAGCCAACTGTTATTTATACACACTATCTCAAGAGATACTCTCTCTTAATCCTGTGGTTTAAAAAAAGCCACCTAAAAGTGTCTACAGGTCTCTATATCCATCCCAGACCTTTTACCTTCACTCCAGATCCATGTATCCAATTCTGAACTCCCCTCACATAATTAAATCAAATTCCCAACATATTTCTGGCACCTTGGCTCTTCCCTAACACTCAGCCCCAAAACTCCAGCCCCTCCAAGCTTGATTTGGAAAATGTAAATGTTACCAGTATGTTCTGTAAACTTTATTTACAAAATATTTCTCAAATCCAACTACTTCTCACTATTTTCATTGATACAATGAAGGTTCAAACAATCTCCATTGCCCACTTTGACTAATGCAATGCCCTTCTCAACATTCTGCTCTCAAGTCAACTGTAACCTCCTAAAAGAGGTGTTTTCTGATCGCCACATCTGGATATAGAGCACATCATGACCTTTTTCAATTCGTTTGTCTGTTTTACTTACTTCAAAGAAAGAATTCCCACCAAGGATTATGTCATTTGTTTACTAGTATAGGTGTTCATTGTCAATCTTCCCAAAGAAATATCAAATTTTGAGATCAATTCCAGAGCCCAGAGCAACTACTGAGAGATAATAATTGCTTAAGCATGATTTGTTGAATAAATATATGAATGAAGCGATGTTATAGTGAAAAGTATATCTCTCCTTCCAAGATAAGGTACTATACTTACCCCAAGCTTCTTCATGTAAATAGATCTATCCCGGTGGAATTTGGACCTATCCATAAAGCAGTCCTTTAGATGTCTTCAGGCCTCTCTGAACTTGGAGTAGGAGTAATTTAGATTCATGTTGATTCACTGACAACTCAACCAGTTCTGAGGTTCACCACACATGCATTTGTAAAATTATATCCATTCATTCATTCATTTATACATTTGGCATGTTTTTATAACTGTGCTAACTTGGATGAAAAAAAATAACAGAATACTTGCCCTTAAGTTTTACCCTTTTTGAGTCTCTAATTCAGCATATTAAATATTAAAATAAATGTATACATGCATACATATACCTATACACATACATAATACAGATGAAACAAAAGTCATCATTAGCTCAACGTTGCCATTTACATTCCCCAAAAATCTTGCTTAATTTTTAAAAAGTATGATATATTCTAAAAATTCTGGTGTATTTCCAAAAAATTAGCAGGGGGCGGTGGTGGGCACCTGTAGTCCCAGCTACTCGGGAGGCTGAGGCAGGAGAATGGTGTGAACTCAGGAGGCAGAGCTTGCAGTGAGCCGAGATCATGCCACTGCACTCCAGCCTGGGTGACAGAGCGAGACTCCATCTCAAAAAAAAAAAAAAAAATTCTGGTGTATTTCAAATGTAGTAGTTGAAAAAAATCATATAAAGAGCAAAGAACATTCTAGAGAGATTTAATAATATTGGCAGAAAAAGATCCCAATCCTGCTTATGCCTTTTCCTGGGTAATTTGACAAGGAACAAGATTTAAAAGCCCCATCCTATTTCAAAAACTTTTATCTCTACTTTTAGTGTGAATCCCTTTGCACGATTAAGACTGATGGATTGTCTACAGAAAGGGTTTTACTGTATGAAGCCAAGAAAATTGTATTATTTCCTTCAATGCTTTTAGAAGCTCTCTTAGAAAACTTTAGAAATCCCTTCCTTATGTTGTTCAAATAGAAAAGACTGTCAGATTCGAGTACTTCTTAATATCTGATCTCACCATAAACAGAAAGATTATATATTGATCTTTCAATTATGAGTTATGTGCAAAGAGATAAAAAGAATCCTATGGTCATTATGTAGATGAAACAATCCTCTCCCTTAGCCCTATTTTGCTGAATTCTGACAACCCAATTCACATATAGGTGGGAAATAGGCCCCTGAGAAAACTCATGTCACCTGTTGTTAAGTTACTACACAGTTAAAGGTAAACAGATGAATAAGAATGATTTTAAAAAGGCTTTTATGCTATATCATCTGAAATATGCATTTATAAATCATATAGTCACTATTTAAAAGTACTTCAGAAAACTAGACACTTGAGGCAAGCAATAAAGATAAATGAAGGAATACATGAGGGTATAGAGTTGTGTTAAACTCAGCAGCTTAGGCATTATTTATAAAGATGTTATTCCTTTTGTTTGTCTTTTTTGATCTAAAATTAGGATGAGATATATCCTAAAGTTCAGGTTTTAGACTGACACTATAGAGATTGTCCTTCTGTGATTTCCTGATTCTATCTAGGTCTCATGCTCCTCCTTTAAAGGTTGAAAAGGAAGCCATATCATCTTTACTTGGATTTTGTTCTTCTCCCACCTCAAACATACATTTTAGGTTTTATTTTTAATTTTCAAAATAGAAGTATAAATTTCCAATAAAAAACCTGATGTAAGACTGATAGGGTTTGGCTGTTTCCCCACCCAAATCACATCTTGAACTGTAATTCCTATAATCCCCATGTGTCATGGGAGAGACCCGGTGGGAGGTCATTGAATCATGTGGGAGGTTACCCTCATGCTGTTCTCATGATAGTGAGAGAGTTCTCATGAGATCTGATGGTTTCATAAGGGGCTTTTCCCCTTTCTGCTCAGCACTTCTCTTTGCTGCCGCATGTGAAGAAGGACATGTTTGCTTCTCCTTCTGCCATGATTATGTTTCCTGAGACCTGCCCAGCCATGCTCAACTGTGAGTCAATTAAGCCTCTTTCCTTTATAAATGACCCAGTCTTGGGTATGTCTTTATTAGCAGTGTGGGAATGGACTAATACAAAGACTAAAAATTCTGTTTATTCTTTCCACAAATACTCACTGTGCAACATGAGTTGTTATGTTCTCTTCGACAGCATACACTCTTCTAGTTGCTATAGCAGAGCAGCCCAGAAAACAAGAAATTCCTGTTCTCACACAGTATATGTTTTAGTAGTGGTGACTGTCATAACACAAGGCAAGCAAGTAGGTATACAGTGTGGTAGGAAAGATATCCAGAGTTTGAATATTTTCATTACTGTCACTTCTTCTATTCTAATAGCTGTTAAGGAGCAAAGTAAAATTAAACAGTGAAGAAGAATAGGAAATAATAGAGTTGGAGAGTGCAGTTTTAGAGTGGATAGTAAAGAAAGTTCTCACCGAAATGTCTTTGAATAAAAATGAGGACAGAAACGAAATGGGAAACTGTCATATAGGCCCTTATGGTCATTGTAAGAACTTTGACTTCTAATCTGGGAATGATGGATAGTTACAGTGTGGTTTTGAACAGAAGGATGAAGTGTAGTGACACACATTTAAACTAGATATTCTAGGCCAAGTGCAGTGACTCATACCTGTAATCCCAGAACTTTAGGAGGCTGAGGTGGGAGGATCCCTTGAGGCCAGGAGTTCAGTACCAGCCTGGGCCACAAAGGGTGATCTCATCTTTATAAGAAAAATAAATGCATAAAAAAGTTTTCATTAAACTAGATATTCCAGACTACTGTATTGAGGATATATTGAGCTGTAAGAATGAAAGCAGGAGACCACTTACGGGACTGATGAAATAAATCAGGCAAGAGATTATAGTGAAACAAATTAGAATAGAAGAAGTGGAGTAGTGAAAATATTCAAACTCTGGATATCTTTTCAAGGTTAAGCAGACATAACTTACTGACACAAAGTGCTGTATGAGAAGATGGGAAATAACGGAGAGCAATAAAAGTGGGAATGAGAACTTAAGGGTGACTCCTCGATATTTATGTATTTGCCTCAGTGACAGGGAGAAACGAGTTTTGAGTTCTGAGATGAGAAAGTACAGGGAGAGCAGTTAACGGAAACATTTTTTGATATATTAAATTCAAAGTATCTACCAGACTGCAAGTACAGATGTCAAGTAGATAGTTAGATATAATAATCTGGAGTTTTAAGGCAAGATTTAGGCAAAAAGATACACTTTTGGCAACTGCCAACATACACATAGACTGCATTTCCAATTGTGAGTCTGGATTAGATATTCAAAAGAGTAATGATAGAGTCAGCAGAGATCCATGGAATGAACTGAAATACTCAAAGCTTTTAAAGAATAAGCTAACAAGGAAGTCCGAGATAGAGTTGTGAAAGAGTTGGAGAAAACCAGAGTCAAGTGGAAAAAGCTTGCCCTTGAAATCCACTATAATAACTGTACTTTACACGCAATTCTAACCTCAATAGGGACAGGGATTTTTGACCCCACAGTGATTCAGAAGCAGCAATGTATAAAGGAATAGTCATCTAAGTATTTCAAGTAAGATTATGACTGAGACAAGTCTTTAGACAAACTCTAAGATGAGACAACCTAGCAATAAGGAGATGATTGGTTTTCTTGAAAGGAGCAGATGTGTTAGAATAGTAGGGCAAACTGATTGGAGGAGGAGGTTCAAGAATGGAAATACATAACTTAGAAACAAAAATGTACCACTCTTTTAAGGAGGGTGGCTAAAAGTGACAGTAACTAGAGAGATGTGGGTTCAAAGCAAGATTTTTGTTTAAGATGTAGGAAAAATATGGTTGAAGCATATATTTAATGGGAATGATTTTCAGAGTATTCCCAGAGAGGGAATGGGATCTGGTGTAAAGGGCAGCTTTAGTGAGGAACATTAAAATTTCATCTTTAATTATAGGAGAGTCATTCAATTATGGTGGATGATAGGTAGGTAGACATGTGGATGAGGTGGGGGGAACTTTTGGAAGTTATTTTCTGGTTGTTCCTATGTTCTTAGAGATAAAGTCTGAGGATGGCATAAAGTAATGTAATCTTAGGGGTGAGAACTTATTAAGAAGTTGTCCGGAAGGTGGGGAGAGTAAATGGGTTAAGAAAAATATAATATAAATGTCAGATAGTACCAAGTGCCCAGCTGGGGTTATTAAGTATTTTACTCTTTTACTTATTTGCATTTTTTTGTATTTTGATTATTCTTTGCAAGATTATGCCACTCTGAAATTAAATATATCAATGGCCATAAAGATTACCAAGAAGGCATCAGCTGTCCTCTAGATCATAGAACATTGTCATTATTTCAGAATATTAAACATTATCATTGTCATCACTTCAGAATATGAAAGAACAAACAAGGGGAATAATAGTCACACACTGTCATTGCATGTTGCAAAACCAAATGCATCTGAACATACACTTTTTTTCACACACAAAACAACTTAGAACCTAAGTTTATAAAAATGTGTTTTGTCTCTACAATTGAATTAGAAATATTTTCCCACATGGATTAACTCCTCTCTTTATAGAGAATTGACCAAATAAGAATTCCCATTTCCTAAGGCCAGAAGGTCACTTTCTGTAAATGTGTATGTATTTATATTCATTTATTTTGGTTAAGAATGCCACCAATCTCCAATTTAAACCAAAAAATATTATTTCTATTTCCAGAGTCACTCCTATTTTTAAAGTTTTTCTCAAGCAATATCACATCAATTCTCTTCCTATTTTCATAGCCTTCTTCCATCTGACCCTCATTTTCCTGTTTTAGTAATTATCTCATGGTAGATTTTGTAGTAATCTCTTTGCTCACTACGCCAGCTTCCATATCTCCATATTTTATTAAATTTTGCTTAACATTACAAAATTACTTACCTAAAACTCATCAATCAGATCATAGTAATCTATTACCATTTGTCCCAACTGTCTACAGGATAAAATGAAAAAAAATATTTTTTATTTATTTGGCATGTACGGCCAAATCTAATCTTCTACTCATGTTATAAACAAATCTAAACAAATATTCTGTTACCGTGTATCTTGATTATAACGTCTAATGTTAGCTGGACCTAGATCATAATCAACATCCCATCCTTCCTAATACTCTTCTATCCCCACCCCATGTGTCTTTGCTCACATGTCCTCATTTTGAAATAGTTCTTCCCTCTGGGCCTACAAAGCACTCGTGTTCTTGAACAGTTTTAGTCAGGGTTCTCTGGATATATATGGTTATACACATATATACACATACATCTCCTTACAGATCTGTGTTATACACACACACACACACAATGAAATGCATTATATATATATACACACACGCATAAACAACTTTATGTGTGTGTATAAAGATATTTATTATAAGAAATTGGCTCATGTGGGATTACGTAAACTAGCAAATCCAAAATCTGCAGAGCCAATGTCCTAGTCTGAGTCCAAAGGTCAGCAGGTTGCTGTAGAAACAGGAAGAGCTGATGCTCCAGTTCAAAGGCCAACGGGCAGTCAGTCTTTTGCTCTAACCAGGACTTCAATGATTGGATGAGGACCACCCACATAATAAGGGAAATTTACTTTACTCACTCCACTCTCCACTAATTAAGTAATGATTTAAACATTAATCTCATCCAAATACTCTCACAGAAACACCCAAAATAATATTTGACCAAATATCTGGGCTCCCTATGGTTCAGCAAAGTTGACACATAAAGTTTACTATCACTAGTACTATCCTACCTCCAGATCACATGTAATCTTCCCAGTTCACCACAGTAGAATAACTTCCTTCTTGGAATTCCCATTGCATATACTATGTCACTTGTTAAATATTCCCATCCTCTAGTCTAATTGAGTAACTTTCTGCCAGTACATTTTAGCTATACAGCTAGATTTTAGGTCCCTCAGGAAAGTACAGCATTCAGTTTAACATCCTGGGCCCTGGAGCCAGATTATTTAGATTTATTCTGGAGACAGATTCAGCTAATTCTTTGATGAATTGACATATCTAATCAAATCACAAATCCCACAATAGTAGACAACTTCTGACACACCAGTGAATGTTGAAACAGAATTCTGATTTATAAATATATGTTTTTCAACCACAATAGCGATGCATTTCATTGTTTTATCTAGGGTCATCTAGACACATATACATCTAGACACACATAAATATACACAAATGTATATAGTTATAAAGTCCCTTTTCTTAAAGGAATATTTTTGATGGATTTTCTTTGTTTCTGAAGGTCTAAGACAAAGAGCCACAAATGTGAACCACACTATCTGTTTTTAAATTTTCTAATAGCCACATTTTAGAGAGTAAAAAGAAATAGGTAAAATGAATTTGAATTATATGCAAACTTACAAAATATCATTTCAACATATAATCAATACCATTTTTATTTGTACAAATTTAAAAAGTACAAGTGCAGTTTTGTTACATAGCTAAATTTTGTAGTAGTGAATTCTGGGCTTTTGGTGTAACTATCTCCTGAATAATGTACATTGCACTCATTAATTAATTTCTCATCCCTCACTCCTCTCCTATCCTTCCATATATTGTTGAAACATTTTATAAGTCTTTGAAAACCAGTGTGTATTTTACATTTCTGAAATTTTGAATTTGGAGTAGCTACATTTCAGGGTTTAATAGGCTCATGTAGCTAGTGGCTACCACATTGAACAGCACAGGTCTGAACTAACACGTGGTTTAATGTACTCTCCCTGATAATATTGATTAACATATTGTCTTAAATATTGTCTTAAATATGTTGATCAATATTATGAATAATATTTTAAAAAGTTGAGCTAAAAATAGCCTTGAAATACTTCTGAAATTTTTCATTGATCAATTGGAAACACTGGCTTAACAGAATACCTGGGTGTAATAGCAGGTTCCCTGTTTATCAAGTAAGTCCATTTAATAAGATTCTTGTGTTATTGTTGAGAAATAGATATAATTAATGCATTAAAACCTAAAGGACTTAAAATAAACATTATCTTAATGTTTATTTCTCTTTAAAAATAAAATGAAAACTGTGCCTAAAAGTGGGATGAAAATAGCCATGGAAGTGGTGTTTTTTCATATGAAAATATTAAAAATGACTTAAATGTATTAAAATACTAAAGCCCTAATGTTAAGCTTTGAGATATCCTGTTCTGTTATTGTAATTACAGTGGACACACAACTCAGAATATAATAAAAAATGCCTACCATAACATATAACCCATAGGTACTTGAATAAAGAGTTTAATAAGTTATAATTTATTGAATAATTAAGTTTTATCGGCTTTATGCTAAGTGTTCTCCATACACTCTTTCTAATCCTTCTAATAATGCTGTAAGGTAATATTAAATAACTTTTTCAAGTCAAGAAGTTGTAAACTGTATAACCAGGGTAGACCCTCAATATATTTGCTAACTTTGGAATAGTCAATCAATTTCATGGAGAAACATATGTAATGTCTTAATCAGTTTAGGCATCTATAACAAAGTACCATAGACCATGGACATATAAGCAACAGAAAATTATTTCTCACAGTTCTAGATAGTGGGAAATCCAAGGTCATGGTGCCAGGATATTTGGATTCTGCTGAGGAGCCTCTTCTGAGTTGAAGACTGTCAGTCTCTCATTGTATGCTTGCACGGTGGAGTATGGGCTACAGAGCTGTGGGGTCTCTATTAAGCAGGTGCGAATCCCATCCATGAGGACTCCACCTTCGTGAACTCATCGCTTCCCAAAGGCCCCGTGATCTTTTCGTTTGTTTGTTTCAGGGTCTCATTCTGTCACCAAGGCTGGAGTGCAGTGGCACAATCACAGCTCGCTGCAGCCTTGACCTCCTGGGCTCAAGTCATCCTCCCACCTCAGCCCCTGAGTAGCTGAGACTACAGGTGTGTACCATCATGCCCAGCTAATTTTTGTAGTTTTTTTGCAGAGATGGAGTTTTGCCATGTTGCCCAGGCTGGCCTTGAACTCCTGGGCTCAAACGACAGTCTCACCTGGGCTTCCCAAAGATCTGGGCGTCACATCTTTAATACCATCACATTGTGGGTTAGGATTTCAACATATGAATGTTGGAAGAACACAATCATTCAGTCCATAAGAAATATTTTAAAGACTCTATTGATTATATTTTAAACAGAAGGCTCTACTTTAGGCAAACCTACATTAAATTATTAAGGCTTAATGTTTGTCTTATCTCAGAGTGGATGTAAACAAATTTTAAATGAATCAGAGATAAGTATTTAATTTTAGATGCTATACACACTTTATATTTAATCTTTATAAAATTTAAGCTAGACTGTAGAATTTGGTTACATTTGTCACCTCATATATACTTGGAATTTTGAAGCTGAGAATTGAAATTCTCTATGTAAAGCTATAATGAAAATAAAGGTAGTTGAAGGAGTTGATTAAGCTAAACTTAAATATTATCCCCCAATATAATATGTAACTACCTGTTAAATTCTAGCATCTTAAGGAAGAACATCTAGAATCTTTTCCTTTGTCACTGCCAGATGCAAAATAAATAATCCTCATTGTCATGCTTCAGTTGCAGGTCAGTTTGTAAAGTTCATTTAAGTGGGCACTGAATAAATGCAGCTTTTTTTTTTCTTGAGTTCAGATGTGTCAAAAATTGTAAAGTATTGCTAGTGTGTTTTTTTCTATAGGGGTATTTACATTTGGAAATTTTTATTCACACATTTTCTTATGAATTTAGATTATCTCTAAAATGCCTAAGTGATTAGTAACAATAATAGTTAACATTCATTGGACACTTTGTAGCAGGCATGTTCCAAGTATTTTATACATGCTATCTTTTGTGCTCTGATTGCTTTTATTTGTGCTAGTATCATCTTTTGCTTAGATAACTTATTAGTTTAGATGTGCAATAGGATACTATATATGTACACACTCAATACAAACTCAATACACATTAGTTCCTTTTCCTCTTCGTCATTTATTCAAAGTTGCAGACTGCAATTCAGCAAGAATTGCAAGAGGATGAAGTCTGAGGTTTCCTTCTTCAAAAGCAAAACACTATAGTGATAGCCTAGAATGATATGAACCCTATAATAAGCAAGTTTAGAGACAAGGACAATCTATTGTAGCTTAAACTGCATTTTGTTTCTACAAGTAGGACTGATTCCTTTTTCACAGGCAGATCAAAACAGAGAAAGGAGACGGGCTAGATATTTGGGATTGCTCTCCTTAAAATGCATGGGTCCATGTCCGTAAATATACCAAAACCAAGCACATAACTTGGGTATAATATGGTAGATTAACTATATACATTATTGCTCATACTTATTAGCTGAGGTAAGTAGTTTCAAATTTTAGCAGGTATCAGAATCACCCAGTTTTTGAGCTCTAAATCTAGAATTTCTGATTCAGCATAATTGGCTCTGGAAATCAAGCACTTCCATTTTTAAAAGGTCCTAAGATGCTACTAATTCTACTGGTCCAGGGATCACAATCTCAAACCCAATGGTTTAGATAATTTGCATAGAATTTGAACTAATAGCTGCTGTGGCTTTGCTTTACTTAAACAAATTATGCTATCAATCAGACTTAACCTAGGTGCTCAGGTGGTTTCTACACAGGCCATACAAACCCCTTGGTATCAGGTACTATGGTAATACAAATAGTATATACACAGTCTTCTTTCTGAAAAAACATTCAGGTTAAAGGAGGGCAAAATCTAATTTTCAGATTTAGATGGAGAGTCAACATATGCCATAATTGGAAACCAACAAGTATACGTTAGTATTTTAAATTCCATAAATATACTGAGCATTATGGGAGCATAAATGAGAGGCAAGCAGCCCACTCTGGGAGGTCAAGAATGGCATCAAGAATGAAAAGATCTTGAAAAGAGTCTTGGAGATTGTAAGAGAAGGAGGCATCACATAGACTAGGAAAAGGGAATAGACCCTAATACTGTTCCTGACAAATGCCTTACCTGCTAGGAAAGACAACTAGGTGAGAGAGTGCAAATGGGATCCACAAATTGGATTCCCTTCACTAGAAAATATAACTCAAAATTTATTTCCTATATATGGACAGCAGGCTAATAATAGTAACCATTTGGCCGTATATTGGTTAGTTTGCCTATCAGCTTTTTCTGAGCACTGTATATTTTTTTCTATTCACATCCTTTCAGACGGGTTGACATATAACGGGTATTCAACAAATATTTCAGGAATGAAGAAATGGAAGAAGGGATATAAAAAACTATACTTTTAAGATAATTCTTGTTTTATAGCACTTCCTAAAGCAAAAACAAAATAAAATGGACACAATTAATCATGAATACATTTCAAATTTGCATCAATTTGTTAATCTTTTAAATCTATACCAACTGGTAAATGTATAGGGAAAATTTTGATTGCTTTGCTTTAGGATATCCTTCAGTTATAATTTTAGAATTTCATTTTGTTATGTTTTTAATATTATATTATTTAAAAAATGCTTACATGCTTCAAATTGTAGCTTTCTTTCTTTCTTTTTTTTTTTTTTGAGACGAAGTCTCACTCTGTCACCCAGGCTGGAGTGCAGTGGCACGATCGCAGCTCACTGCAACCTCTGCCTCCTGGGTTCAAGCTATTCTTCTGCCTTAGCCCCCCAAGTAGCTGGGACTACAGGCACATGCCACCACGTCTGGCTAATTTTTGTATTTTTAGTAGAGACGGGGTTTCATCATGTTGGCCAGGCTGGTCTTGAACTCTTGACCTCATGATCCACCCACCTCAGCCTCCCACAGTGCTGGGATTACAGGCATGAGCTGCCATGCCTGGCCTAAACTGTAACATTTTAATGGTAGTATAATGTCATTTTTGAGGTGATATATCTGCACTAATTTCCAATTAAAATGATGAATTAAATGTATCATTAGCTTATTAAGCATTCATTTGCACAGAAAACTATCTATGCATGCGTGTGTTCATGCATGCATTTACTAATTATATCATCAATTCTGAAGCCAAATACAAATGGAGATTGTTAAATATCATTTGTAGAGGGACATAGTATCATACATAAGATTGAAGTTATGCTACTCTTAATATAGAACTGACCATCATTTACTTGAGTTTATAAACCGACCGTATCTTTCGATATCATATACAAATATAAATTTATTCTTTATCACTATTTTTAGAATTAACTTTTGGAAATCCAAGCTTTCCTTCCATTAGGAAAGCCCAGGTGTAACTACAGTAGCCAGTTAGTTTTGCCCAGCAGTGGCAGTTCAAGTTGCAAATTACGCATTTTCCTTAACCCAGTAGTATAGATGTATGCCCCCCGAGTAGTGTTAATCTGTTTATTGCTTTAGTAAATCCTAAGCATTTGCTCAACTACCATAATTCTTTAGAGAAGACAAGTTCCTACAAAGACTGCACATGTGTACCAACTGCAGTGGTCAAAAATAAGTTTTTTTTTTAACTGTGAAATTTTAACAGTTGCTGTCTAAATAATCGAATCAATAAAAAACCCAGTGGGTAGTTTAATGAAAAATCTTAACTAAAAATCCGGACACCCATGCCGTCCTTTCAAATTGACCTCACACTGGCCATAAGCCTTTAGGTGAAGAACAATTTTGATGTGCCTGTACTCTAATAATGCCTGTTCTACAATCTCAGGAAGATTAATGTGGAGAGTTTGGTAACTGAAAAGATTCAATAGTTCAACAAAAATTTATTTTGCACCTGCTATCTACGAGGCACTGAATAGCCAACAGCAAATTAGAGAGAAGTTTTCTGGTCTCATAGAGATATAGAGACCACTCTTACAAGGTTGATGTACAGAAATGGAATCATCAATATATAAATAAAATGACTGCAGCAAGTGATTAACACCGTAGGATCTCTAAATTATATGTGACAAGGTGGGAAGGGGAGGAAGGGTGTAGTTACTTTAGATGAAATCTTTGGGGAGTGACACTAAATTTGAAACCTCAATGACAAGAGAGAGTTCTGGAAGAGATTACTTATCAGGAGAAACAAAAACAAAACAAAACAAACAGACAAAAAAAGCTTGGAATGGATCTTGAGGCCTGGAAAGAGAGGGAAAGAGAAAGAGAGGTGGCCTCATAGCCAGTGCACAGTGAACTCAAGAGAGAACAGACCAGGTTAAGGGCAGAATGGAAGTTAGAATTATGTTCATGCAACACATTGTAGCCCAAGTGAAAACATGAGAATGTCAACCATTGTTCAATAGGACTCCACATGGTTTAAACAAAGAGTTTTACGTTCTGATGTATGCTTTAGGAAAAGATAGTGTGTGGCATCCGTGCAGAGAATGGCTCTCAGGGAGACAAGAATACAAAGAGCCCAGAGTGGAAAGTATAGTCTTCGAGTTGAGAGTTGATGGTTACTCCCAGGTGCAGTGTACATGCAGAGCATGGACAGAGTCAATAGTGGAAGGATTGAGAACCATTTTAGAGACAGAATAGTTGAGACTGATTCTCCGATTACGTGGATTATCCCTCAGAGCGCATATGTGAATTAAATGAGAATATATTGGTGTAAATTCTATAAACACTGAATCATAGTTATAAAGTTAGTATTATTACTTTGATTTATACAAAGGTAATTTTTACTTGAATGTGCAAATTTGGGCATTTTAATATTTTAAACTTTCTCCCGGCCAACAGGTCTCTACATTGAACTTCTTGGAATACTGCTTGAATATCCTGGTTTAGTAAATCCAATAGGAAGCCTCAAATGACCTCACACAATATTCCTACACATTGTTTTATTTCATTCTTCACCCCTCAAAAAAGACAAGTGTCAGTACACTCTGAGGAAAGTATGATGAACCATGTAAATGAAATCCTGAAAATGTATCAAATCTTTTCTGCAAAAGGTAAAGCAATATTTTCTCATTGTCAAGATTATTTTCTGTGAAAAAAATATCACATGCAAATATTAACGTAATGTGTCGTGGGAAGTCAGGGACCCCAAACGGAGGGACCGGCTGAAGCCATGGCAGAAGAACGTGGATTGTGAAGATTTCATGGACATTTATTCATTCCCCAAATTAATACTTTTATAATTTCTTATGCCTGTCTTTACTGCAATCTCTAAACATAAATTGTGAAGATTTCATGGACACTTATCACTTCCCCAAGTGATTTCCTATGCCCATCTTTACTTTAATCTCTGCACAAATTGTAGAGCATGTGTGTTTGAACAATATGAAATCTGGGCACCTTGAAAAAAGAACAGGATAACAGCAATGTTTAGGAAACAAGAGAGATAACCTTAAACTCTGACCACCGGTGAGCTGGGCGGAACAGAGCCATATTTCTCTTCTTTGAAAAGCAAATGGGAGAAATATCGCTGAATTCTTTTTCTCAGCAAGGAACATCCCTGGGAAAGAGAATATGCGCCTGGGGGTGGGTCTATAGATGGCCCCCCTGGGTGTGGCCGTCTACTATGGTCGAGGCTGTAGGGGTGAAATAGACCCCAGTCTCCCATAGAGCTCCCAGGCTTATTAGGAAGAGGAAATTCCCGCCTAATAAATTTTGGTCAGACCGGTTGCTCTCAAAACCCTGTCTCCTGATAAGATGTTATCCATGACAATGATGCCCGAAACTTCATTAGCAATTTTAATTTCTCCCCGGTCCTGTGGTCCTGTGAACTCGCCCTGCCTCCATTTGCCTTGTGATATTCTATTACCTTGTGAAGCAGGTGATCTCTGTGACCCACACCCTGTTCGTACACTCCCTCCCCTTTTGAAAATCCGTAATAAAAACTTGCTGGTTTTGCAGCTTGTGGGGCATCACGGAACCTGCCGACATGTGATGTCTCCCCCAGACGACCAGCTTTAAAATTTCTCTCTTTTGTACTCTGGCCCTTTATTTCTCAAACAGGCCGATGCTTAGGAAAAATAGAAAAGAACCTATGTGACTATCAGGGCAGGTTCCCCAATAGTAATGAAAGGGAATTTGAAGGAGTTTTAAACGTTTGAAAGGTAAGCATAAAAGAAAATTAAGAAATAAGGGATATGTGAGAGAACCTAAAAAGGAAAACCAATATGAATTGTGAGCTGTTAGGTTGACACAAAAGTAATTGTGGTTTTTGCCATTAATACATTGTGGCCTCTCTGTCGGGGACACTGGACAATTTTTCTACTTCACAGTGAAGAAAAATTATTCATTTGAAATTCTTTAAAACTAAAAGTAAACTTCATTTGTCTTTTTTAAGATTATTGCGTAATTTTGTGATGTTAGGAAACTATATATGATCATACCTCTCAAGAATGAATTCAACTAAATGAATATTATTTGTGGGCAGAATGATTTAGGTGGATGAGTGCTGACTGTAGGGCTGAACTTCTTGGGCTCAAATTCAAGCTCTGTAATTTACTATATTTATAGGAAGTTAAGTCACTTTATCTCTCTAAGCTTCCTTTTAATCCTCAGTAAAAAGGTACGTTATGATGCTCAATTGAGTTCATGCATACAAAATACTTAACACATACTTATCACAAAAATATATGATTATTATTTACATTACACACAAAAAAACAAATAGGAAGACTTAAGAAAGAAAATTTACGCAAAATAAGAAGCATTTTAGAATTTCAGGACTTTGCTTTCACTGAAAAATTGTCCAATATTTCATTTGAAGAAAAATACTATGAGTAGGATCAAATAAAATACAAGAGACTGACAAGGTCATTATTAAATATAAAATGTATATGCATATAAAATATATAGATATATAAATGTATTTTCAATTGAATATTTACTCAGTAAAATATGCACTGGCTGAATATAAATTTATTTCCATTAAAAAAGACTTTAGAGAATACATGTTCAAGAAAATATATCAAGCCTTTGTTACAAAGTGGCTAATGTATTCAGACTGTTTGACTTTATTTTAAACTTAAACAGACTTCCCGAGTTCCTCAGCTTTATCATCATATTCAAATCATCAAAACATGTACCATAGTCATTAATCAGATTTTTATAACTGAAGATAGATTCCTCAAAATAAAATTTAAATATATATATATATGTCTGAAGAACAGGAAAATAGGTAATGATGTTCTTTATCCTGCATGAATAAATCACCAGTTGCTTGTTTTTTGTGTGTGTATTTCAAGCAATACATTTCACAGTAAAATGGTAATGAAGGAAGTAGAAGCCCGTGATCCATTCTCTAGTCCTCATCAATCCTTAACTAAGGGCTTATTCTTTGGGAATGATGCATATGACAGCCAAAAACCAACAGACAAAATCTGCTTCTTTTCAATGCTTGTCAACAATGCAATAATGGAAATAGCACGCCACTACATGAAACAGAGTATTAAGGATCTGATCATATTTCATTTGCTTTGGTATACTGTAACAAGTTAAATTTCCTATATAATACATTAGACATAATGAGTAAATTCCAGCTTTGTCATTTAAATAGATATGTAGAAATAAGAGCTATTAACCAAGTATATTTTCTCAAAATTTTGCAAAACATGTAAAATATGACATTAATTAAATATGTATAGCTTTTAGGCAACACAAAACTGATGGGTTCATTAGGACAATTCTTTTTTAATAATATGAAAGTTACATTACAAATATCATTATAAACTATTTCAATGAAAGGAGTTAGATCTAGCAAAGGTTTTACTTTAAGTGCAAATGCATCATTAAAACAGAGCCAGCTGTATTAACGCACATAAACTCCCTCTGTAACATGCTCTAATTTATACTGCCATCTTTCAAAAAATAATATATGAAGAGGACAGTTGGAAGCCTCAGTAAGAACATTCGCTAAATATCAATCTTGTTTTTCTTAGTTCTCAATCTTAAATACAGGGAAAATTTTAATATTTAAAATAAAATGCATTTTAAATTCATTTACCACAATTTTTCCAAAACACTGGCAGGGTGTTTGATTTGAAGTCATGCTTAGGAGTTGTATCGAGGCAGAATATTAAATAAAACTCTTGAAAACCATAATACAATTTTATGCACATAATGTCAATCTATAATAGAGTTCTATAATCCATGATTTTAAAAACATATCAGATTATATTTTTTAAAAAATTTCAATAGTTTTGGGGGAACATGGGTTTTTTTGGCTATATGGGTAAGTTCTTTAGTGGTAATTTCTGAGATTTTGATGCACCCACCACACGAGCAGAGTACACTGTACCCAACGTGTAGGCTTTTATCCCTCACCCTCTCCCACCTTTCCCCCGTCACCCCCCTCCCATCTTTCACCCAGAATTCCCAAAGTCTATTGTATCATTCTAATGCCTTTGTGTCCTCATAGCTTAGCTCCAACTAAGTGAGAACATACGATATTAGGTTTCCATTCCTGAGTTACTTAACTTAGAATAATGGTTTTCAAACTGAATGAGGTTTGAGATTCTGGATTTCTAAGGATAGAAGGCGTCATAAAAGACATCCGGTACAATTTTACTTCATTTGTGAGAATCTGCTCTTCAACAGGTAATTTTACAGATTTTGGAGGCACTACCTCTTTTATGGCTAGGCCATTTCACAGTTGTACTATTTCCTTATTAGAAACACTTCCTTATATTTTGTCAAAAGCTATTTTCTCATTGGTTCCAGTTCTCTCTTTGGACAATAAAATAATCTGTCTATTCTCGCTTCCACATGGCAAATCTTGAAAAAAATTCAGAGAGTTAGCCTTCCTACTCTAAAGCTTTACTAATCTAGGTCAATTGTTCCTAGTTCTCTCAAACATTTCTCAAGTTACTAGGTAACAGAACACCCTCCCATGTGGACTCATCAATGCTGTCAATATTCCTCTCATCGTGTGTGACTCATAACAAGCCAAATGTTTAACTGTAGTTTACCATCTCCCTTAACAAGTGAAGTTAAAAATCCTGGTTCTGGAATGATGCCATCATTTTCAGTTGGAAATTAATTTGTTTTCTTATAAAATAGAAATAATGACTTCTTGTTTTTCAAAATATGTCAGCTCTGCCTAGCCCACAGAATTGTGGTATGTATCAAATAACAAAATACAACTGATAGTGCTTTGAAAATTGTAAAGCACTATCAAAGTGTGGGGTAGAGATGCTGTTATTATTTTTAGCATTCTCTTAAAGATTAATTCAGTTGTTTTCTTTATCAAATCCAGTTGAATTTCCACTCTTTATTCAGGAACTATTGTTAAGTGAGATAGAATAATACAAATTCTTTATTGTCTAGTAAATCTCAAGCAACGTATTAATACTTTACCTGTAATATTTTATTTAATGGACATAACCTTGTGGAGGTAGTACAATTAATTCTATTTTACCTATTAGAGAATTCCCAAGATTATATACGTATTCTTATTAAATTTCCCCTGTTGGATTCAGATCACTGTTCTCTGGACCAGTAAACTCCAGATATTTTTACTGGAACTCGCAGATGGTAAAAACAATTGAGCCACATTTCAATAACCTTATATAATTTTGTTTATAAATTATATGTACTAATATCCTGATTTGTACACTAGTAAAATTAGTAATTTAAAAGGGTGATCTAACTATAAATGGAAATTCTAAAATTTTCTCACTGTGGAATATCTTTCTATCCTTAAAAATGTGTGTATGTGGCAGTGGAGGCGGGGAGGTTTAGGCAACATGCATGGCACATGTATACATATGTAACCTGCACATTGTGCACATGTACCCTAGAACTTAAAGTATAATATGTATATATATGTATATATATATATATATATAAAGAATTTATTTCCTCAAAAAATAAATAAATAAATAAATAAAACATCCCAACAATTCTTCTACACCACAGTTTGGCAAACTAAGACTCAAAGGTTAAATCTGGCCATAGAATATTTTTCTACAGTCCATAAACTCATAATGGTTTTTATATTTACAAATGGTTGACAGAAGGCAAAAGAAGAATACTATTTTGTGATATGTGAAAATTATATGAAATGAAAATTGTATAATTGTATTACAAATTTTTATTGGAACACAGAACTGCTTTTTTTCACCCTGTCTATGGCTACTTTCATCCTGTAACTACAGACATGAGTATTTGTGACAAAGTTTGTATGGCCTGCCAAGCCTAAAATATTTGCTCTCTGGAACTTAGGGAAAAAAAAAAAAAAAAAAAAAAAGCTTGCAACCCCTGCTGTAGACCAATGAAATCTTGTTTTTCGTAGAAATATAATGACAGTCATTGGAAATAAGACATTTTGTAGTTAAAGGGACTGGCCTTATAGTTTGAAACTCAGGCTTCTATTTCTTTCTCTCACTAGCTGCACATCTCTTGGAAATGATCTTTGCTTTCTGGTCCTTCAGGTCTGCATTTGTGAAATAACATTGGATTATATGAGCCCTCTGTGCTTGAAAGTTCATCAATTTTATGTCCCTGAAATGTGCCATGCATATACAAATACATCTGATATACATGCACCACAACAAGAACCGGACATGTATGGCTCAGAGTCTTTCTACACTTGATAGGATAACTAACTCTAGTAATATTAAAAATAAATATTTGCATTGATAATACAGTTGGCATCATTCAGTGTAATACTAAGAAATGCATTTTCAAAGTGTTATGCTTGAAAGAGCAGAACTTTAAGAAAATGAATGCTTCAGCATAAATAAGTTATGACCTCTAAGACCATAAAAATGTAAATCCAGATTTAATGAAGAATTAAATACTCTTGAATTCACCATTAAAAAACCCAATTTGATGTTGAATACTATAAAGTTTATTTCACCTTTTAGAAAGCCTTATGAAACATTTTCTAAAGTCTTAGGTTGCAAAGTAGATTTATTTTACTCATTCAATTTTACTTTTACTCTGAAAAATAATTAAGATAAAACAGTTATATAAGTACAATGTAATATTTAAAACAAGCCATTTATAAAAGACTTCTGATTGTGTTAATAAATAAAAAGTACTTTTTTAAAAAATAAGTGTTTATGCTCCTTTCAGCATTCTGAATGATTTTTCTGGATCAGTTTATTATCGGTGGTAACAAAGATTTTAGACCTTCTGATAGAAAGCATGTAATGATGATTGAGAAATTTTTTCAGCCAGAGCAGGTCCAGCTTGTAAATTATTGCAGAAAAAAAGTGTGTCAAATAACGGAGGTAGATTTTCCAGATGCCTAGGAAATCCCCCGTTCATGTGAAAAACATTTGGACTCTAAATAAACTCTTGGAGGACAATAGGTTACCAGTTTCTCTGGTCTCACAGACATTGTCTGCTAAAGTATGCTGATGATAATAAAAGAGCATAATTTTCTGCGACATTAAGAATGTGACTTTAGGTCGGGCGCGGTGGCTCATGCCTGTAATCCCAGCACTTTGGGAGGCCGAGGCGGGCAGATCACGAGGTCAGGAGATCGAGACCATCCTGGCTAACACGGTGAAACCCCGTCTTTACTAAAAAATACAAAAAATTAGCCAGGCGTGGTGGCGGGCGCCTGTAGTCCCAGGTGCTGGGAAGGCTGAGGCAGGAGAGTGGCGTGAACCCGGGAGGCGAAGCTTACAGTGAGCCGAGATTGTGCCGCTGTACTCTAGCCTGGGCGACAGAGCAAGACTCCGTCTCAAAAAAAGAAAAAAAAAAAAAAAAGAATGTGACTTTAAGGAGAACATTATTGATGACCTAAAAAAAAAAAAAATACCATGCAGGTACTAACAAGTGCTAACATATTTAAAAACACAAGAAGGCAGAGAGTTAATGCTAGACTTGTCCCAGAAAAGTCTAAGATGTGCATTTATAACATTTGTGTAAAATTTCAAAAGTGAATCTGAAAACTGAGCACACCAATGCACAAATGAATTTTTATCACAAACATAAAAATTCTAGGACTTGCTGTTGAACATTCATTGCTTGCCATCAAACAAGAGAAAAGAGAACTAGGAGATGAGAGCTGACATCTTTGACTTCTAGAGTGAGAGCTCTTCCACTAGAATACATACACACAGTTTGAGGATGTATCTTTACTTGTTTTCCCATTTCTACATCCCTGGCATCTAGAATCATGGCGAGCATTTGGTAGGCACTCAGTCAACAGTTGTTGAATAAACTAGGGGTGCAATGGGGACAGCTACAACGTTAAAATTAAATAGGTGGAAAATCTACACTGTCAGTGTTTTGGAAATGGCCATATTTACTGCATCACTCAAAGTGATCTTTCCTGATAATAAAGAAAATTGCTGCATGAATTAATTAAGTCCTAAAGAATTTTTAAGTATCCATCATTTCTAAGGTGTTCTTGGCACTGGAGATAAAGTAATAAATCAAACACAGTCTCTGACCTCATGGATCTTATATACTAGTGAAAGAAGTCAGAAAATAAATAATAAAATATCACTTTAATATGGCCAGGTGTGGTGGCTTACGCCTGTAATCCCAGCACGTTGGGAGTCTGAGGTGAGTGGATCACCTGATGTCAGGAGTTCGAGACCAGCCCGACCAATACGGCGAAACCCCGTCTCTGCTGAAAATACAAAAAATTAGCCAGGGGGGGTAGCATGCGCCTGTAGTCCCAGCTGCTTGGGAGGCTTAGACAGGCGAATTGCTTGAACCTGAGAGGCGGAGGTTCCAGTGAGCCGAGACGGCGCCATTTACTGCACTCCAACTTGGGTGACAGAGTGAGACTCTGTCTAAAAAAAAAAAAAAACAGAAAAGAAAAAAATCAATTATGATCACGAAGATTTTCTTCTTGATTATTTTTGGTTTCTCACCCTTTTTCTCTCACCCTTTGAAATGTCTTTGATTTAAAACACATGCGCAACCATGTAAATCACACATATCCTTATCAATTATCAAGCATGCGTAACCATGTAAATCACACATATCCTTATCAATTATCAAGCATGTGTAACCATGTAAATCGCACATATCCTCATCAATTATCAAGCATGCGTAACCATGTAAATCACACATATCCTTATCAATTATCAAGCCTGCCATGCCTACCCATCACACAGTCTCAAGCTTATCCACAAGATTCCTCAAGATCTGAATCCCACCCACTCCCCACTCCAACCTCACTTAGCACCCTCTTCCTTGCTCATTCCATCCACCCACACTATCCTGAAGTTGTTCCTCCAGCACACCAAACACTCACAGATCTCAGACATTTCCCTTTGCTGTTTCTTATGCATGGTATGTTTTGGTTACATTTAAGCCCCTCTTACAGACTCTGGAAATAAACACTGGGTTGAATTTTAGCTTTATTACTAATGGCCTGAAAAGTTGGTCAAGTTTCTCTTTCTCTCTGTGCCTCAGTTTCCTCATCTGTAGAAGGGAGTTTTTACCTAGCTCACAATTCGTTTGTAAGAATTAAATGAGTAAGGCTGCCTAACACATGATAAAATGCATGTAAATGCTACCAGATTGGCACAAAACTCTCTTTTACGTTCTTAAGGTCTTTGCTCAGAGAGGCCTACTGGACCCTCTCATTTAATATTACCACTTCCAGGCTGGGTGTGGTGGCTCACGCCTGTAATCCCAGCACTTTGGGAGGCTGAGGTGGGTGGATCACCTGAGGTTAGGAGTTGGAGACCAGCCTGGCTAACAGGGTGAACCCCGTCTCTACTAAAAATTAAAAAATTAGCCGGGCGTGGTGGTGCACCTGTAATCCCAGCTACTTGGGAGGCTGAGGCAAGTTAATTGGTTGAACCTATGAGGCAGAGGTTGCAGTGAGCAGAGATCGCACCACTGAACTCCAGCCTGGTGACAGAGTGAGACTCTGTCTAAAAAAAAAAAATATATATATATATATATATGTGTATATATATGTATATATGTATATATATATGTATATATATTTTATATATATACACATTTCCATCTAATATATTATCTGCTTCTTGTTATTTACTTTAATCATCTTCCTCAACTAAAATATTAGATCCACAAAGGCAGGATTTTTGTTTCTGTGATTATTGCGTTCCTAGCACAGCACCTGGTTATAGTAGATGTTCGATAAACTTGTGTTCAGAGAAGAAATAAATGAATGTGTGATGGAGCCCTCTCTACAGTGAAGACATGAATATGTTTATAGACGTCACTAATCTGACAATCTTTGATTCAACCATATATTGGAAAGCACTAACAGGTTGGTGTTTTGTGGCATATGTAATAGTTTCAGATTTGAAAGAAATCTTCAATTCATATATTTTATACCACATTTTTTTTTTTTAAAGGCAAACAGTTTTCTTCACTAACACACTGAAATTTCTGGATCTGCTTTTATAAGTTAAAGGAAATATATTTTAGGCTGGATGTGGTGGCTCATGCCTATAATCCCAGCACTTTAGGAAGCTGAGGCAGGCAGATCACCTGAGGCCAGGAGTTTGAGACCAGCCTGGCCAATGTGGTGAAACTCTGTGTCTACTAAAAGTACAAAAAAAAAAAATTAATTAGCCAGGCATGTTGGTGCATGCCGGTAATCTCAACAACTCAGGAGGCTGAGGCAGGAGAATTGCTTGAACCTGGGAGGTTGAGGTTGCCATGAGCCAAGATCATGCCACTGAACTCCAGTCTGGGTGACAGAGCAAGGCTCCATAAAAACAAAAAACAAAAAACGCAAAATGGAAAATAACAGAAAACATTTTAGATGTATCAGAATTCAAAAATATTTATTATCTGTAGTACAAATTTACTACATATACTACATATATTATTTTTTATTCATCTTCTGTATTTATATAGCGTATCAGAGAAATGAATGTATATTCAAGAAATTTGTACAGGGAGTGACAATCTCATATTGATAAATAAAGTATCTAGGAATGGTGATATGGCTTGGCTGTGTCCCCACCCAAAATCTCATCTTGAAGTGTCAAGGGCGGGACCAGGTGGAGATAATTGAATCATGGGGACAGTTTCCTTCATACTGTTCTCATGATAGTAACTGAGGTCTCGTGTGATCTGAATTGTTTTATTAGGAGCTTCCCCCTTCACTCAGCTCTCACTTCTCTCTCCTACCACCATGTGAAGAATGATATATTTGCTTCCCCTTCTGCCATGATTGTAAGTTTCCTGAGGCCTCCCCAGCCATGTGGAACTGAGTCAATTAAACCTCCTTCATTATAAATTACCCAGTCTCCAGCAGCTCTTTATAGCAGCAGGAGAATGGGCTAATACAGTAAATTGGTACCGCAGAGAGTGGGGTGCTGCTATAAAGATACCTGAAAATGTGGAAGCAACTTTGGGAACTGGGTAACAGGCAGAGGTTGGAACAGTTTGGAGAGCTTGGAAGAAGACAGGAAGATGTGGGAAACTTTGGTACTTCCTAGAGACTTGTTGAATGGTTTTGACCAAAATGCTGATAGTGATATGGACAATGAAGTTCAGGCTGAGGTGGTCTCAGATGAAGCTGAGGAACTTCTTGGGAACTGGAAAAAAGGTGACCCTTGCTGTGCTTTAGCAAAGAGACTGGTGACATTTTTCCCCTGCCCTAGATATGTATGGAACTTTGAACTTGAGAGAAATGGTCTAGGGTTTCTGGCAGAAGAAATTTCCAAGTGGCAAAGCATTCAAGAGGAAGCAGAGCATAACAGGTCAACAAATCTGCAGCCTGATGATGCAACAGAAAAGAAAAACCCATTTTCTGGGGAGAAATTCAAGCCCACTGCAGAAATTTGCATAAGTAATGAGGAGTTGAATGTTAATCACCAAGACAATGGGGAAATATCTCCAGGGCATGTCAGAGACCTTCCTGGCAATCCCTCCCATCACAGGCCTGGAAGCCTAGGAGGGAAAAATGGTTTTGTGGTCTGGGCCTAGGGCCTCCCTGCTCTTTGTAGCTTTGGTACATGGTGCACTGCATCCCAGCTGCTTCAGCTCCAGCTGTGGCTGAAAGGCGCCAACGTACTGCTCAGGCAATTGCTTCAGAGAGTGCAAACCCCAAGCCTTGGCAGCTTACACGTGGTGTTGGGCCTGTGAGTACACAGGAGTGAAGAATTGAGGTTTGGGAACCTCCACTTAGATTTCAGAGGATGTATGGAAACACGTGGATATCCAGGCAGAGGTGTGCTGCATGGACAGAGCCCTCATGGTGAACCTCTGCTAGGGCAGTGAAGAAGGGAAATGTGGAGTTGGAACCCCCACAGAAAGTCCCCACTGGGCCATTACCTAGTGGAGCTGTGAGAAGAGGGCCACAGTCCTCCAGACCCAAGAATGGTAGATACATTGACAGCTTGCACTATGCACCTGTAAAAGCATCAGACACTCAATGCCAGCCTGTGAAAGCAGCTGGAAGGGGGGCTGTACCCTGCAAAGCCACAGAGTGGAGCTGCTCAAGGCTGTGGGAGCCCACCTCTTGCATCAGTATGACCGGAATGTGAGACATGGTGTCAAAGGAGATCATTTTGTAACTTTTTATGTTTAGTTTAATGTTTAGTTAAAGTTTAATGACTGCCCCATTAGATCTTGGACTCTCATGGGGCCTATAGCCCCTTTGTTTTGTCCAATTTCTCCCATTTGGAATGGGTGTATTTACTCAATGCCTGTACCTCCATTGTATTTAGGAAGTAACCAGCTTGCTTTTGATTTTACAGGCTCATAAGTGGAAGGGACTTGCCTTGTCTCAGATGAGACTTTGGACTATGGACTTTTGAGTTAATGCTGAAATAAGACTTTGGGGGACTGTTGGAATTACGTGGTTGTATTTTGAAAGGTGAGGACATGAGATTTGGGAGGGGCCAGAGGTGGAATGATATGGATTGTCTGTGTTCCCACCCACAATCTCATTTTGAGTTGTAATAATCCCCATGTGTCAAGGGTGGGACGAAGTGGAGATAATTGAATCATGGAGGCAGTTTCCCCATATTGTTCTCATGGTAGTGAGTGAGGTCTCACAAGATCTGATAGTTTTATTAGGGACTTCGCTCCTCACTTGGCCCTCACTTCTCTCTCCTGCCACCATGTGAAGAAGGACGTGTTTGCTTCCCCTTCTGCAATGATTGTAAGTTTCCTGAAGCCTCCCCAGCTATTTGGAACTGTGAGTCAATTAAACCTCTTTCCTTTTGAAATTACCCAGTATTGGGCAGTTCTTTATAGCAGCAGGAGACTGGACTAATGCAAATACCTTACTCATACTTTCTCACACCCTATCACATTGTATAGCTATACTTTATCAAAATATTTAGAAAAATATTTATTTAAACAAATTAAATATAAGCCAATCAATTTTCTTACAAAGCCTCATGCTATGCTAAAATATGTGCTGCAACTTGTTCAGAAATCATTATACAAAATAATAAAGGAAGGTTAACATAGATAAAGTAATACAGACTATTATAATAATTTTAAAGCCTTAAGTATAACCAAGAAACACTAAAACTTTTTAAACATTTTAAAAGGCAAAACAAAATATTATCTTTCATTTCTTATTAGTTTGAATAAACAGCTTATAAAATACAAGAAAATATTGGGCTATTATGCCAAATCAGCAAAACCTACAATAAAAATTTCATTGTAAACTATATATAAAGGTCAAAATCAATTCTAATTATTATTTTTGGTTGCCTTCAATCTTTAAAATTTAAAAAGTGTTGAATTCCTAATTGTATTTAATTTAAAAATGCAGTAATTGCTTGCTGTTGTTTATTGTTAACTTTGGAATTTGATTAAATAATCTTATACAAACATATCAGAACATTTACTTATGAAATCCAGGCACCAACTATACAGATGACTATCTTTAAATATTGCATTTAATTCTCTTTTGCCTTTGTTAAACAGAACTAATCATGTTTTCAAAATAAATTTACATTTCTCTCAAAAACAATTCTCAAATATTGCCACCTTTATTCTTGTAAGTGCCTATTTGCCCACTGAATGTTACTTTACCACACTCAGTATGATCATCTTATTGCCCATTTCTAACCTATTTTGTCAGAATATTATATCACCTGATTACCAGATTCAGAGTCACTTCTATAGTTCGTAATTGTGGCTTAGCTTTTAGTTCAGTGTAATTCAATGGACATGCTGAGGACTTTTGTCAGGTGAAGCATTAAGGGAGGTTTCACCATCCCTCCCTTTGATGTATTTTCTTCACTTGAATGCTAGGACATTGTCTCTCAGTTTTCTTTCTACATCTCTGTTCTTTTGCATTCTCATTTGCTGGTAACTTCTCAGCTTCTCAAATTCTAAAAAAAAACCTTCGGATCTTTTTTCTATCTCTATACTCTCTAGCTTGGCTATTTCTTCTATTATTGTGAATTTAAATACTATGCGTATTGATGGTTCTCAAATGTATATCTCTATTCCTACTTCTCACCTGAACTCCACTCAGATATGCTACTGTTTATTTGTTATTTCCATTTGTATATCTCATAAGCATTCTCAACCGAATATTAAAAAATCAAACTTTGATTTTACATCCCTCCAGCCTTTCTCTTTTCAATTAATGGCAGCTCCACTCTTTATGTTTGAAATCAACCTTGACTCATCTCTTTCTTTCTTCCCACCTACAATCCTTAAATTCAACGGCAAATGTTGTTGCCAATACCTTCAAAATATGTCCAGACTCTTAACTCTCAACAGTTTTCACACTTTCTATTGCCAGCCCCCAGATCTGAGCCACCATCTCACCATTGGTTCATTGTAATAGTCCCCTGTCTCTTCTGCTTCCATCCTTGCTCAACTTCAATTTCTTCTCAACATAGCAGATCGAGTGAGCAGGTTTAAATGTAAATCAGCTCACAATAGTCTTTTGCTCAAAGTTTCATTGTAAATAAAACCCAAAATCTTTGTAATGGACCGTAAGAGCCTGCTTGATCTTCCTCATCCCTCTTACTTCTCTGGCTTTGTGTGCTGTTTTCTCCCATTTGCTTATTCTTCTCAGCCACTGTGGTACCATTGCTTTTCCACAATACATCACAAACACATTTGCATGCCATCGTACCTCCACACTTACTCTTCTCTCCGACTAGCACACATGGCTCACTCCCTTTTTGTACCTGCATACATTCCCTCAGTTGTCATCATCCCTAGTTAGCCTGTGTTGAATTACAATCTAATTGCACCCTCCCTGAAGATACTTTGTAGTTCTCTTTCCTGATTAATTACTTCCTTAGCACTCATCAACATCTGACATACTATATAAGGTGATTTTTTAGTTTTGTATTTTCCATCTTATCCCACTAAGCATTAAGCTCCGTTGAAGGCCAAAATTTTGTCTGTGTACTGCCATTTCTTTGACCAACACCAGTGACCAACCTTTAGAAGGTACCCAAAACACATTTGTTATTAGTGAATACATAAGTAAAAGTTTACAACTCTGGAGTTATTTAAAACAATTTATCTTGATTACTATTGAGTGCCTTTACCGCTCCAGTTTCTCTAGGTCTGGAATATTTCTGGCTCTTGGCTGACTTTAACCTCCACTCCAATGACTTTGATCTTACAATTTAATGACAGGCCTATCAAGTTCCAACTCTCTATGTTCCGGCTTCTAGGTTCCCTGTATGTTGGCCCCACCCACTTGGCAGGTGTGATAGCCTGTTTGCTCTGCTGGCCTCGCCTAGAGTTGCTTGCTGCAGCACACCCAGTCTCTGTCACTCATTTTTCAAAACCAAGTTATGCCAATCTGCTGGCCTTTCCCCATCACCTTATATAAATTTGTCTCTCTTGAACCTGGATGTACCCAAAAGATACTGAACTGCCTCAATCCAAAAGTCATATCTAATTCCATTTCTTTGCCCATTCCAGCCTGCTTTATACCATTGCAATCTTCCCCTGCTATGTCACAAGATGGGACAAGTCCTCAGAGTGCCTGCCTCCTGCTTTTGTGATCCTTTTCTTTCTTGGGTATTAGCCTTTTCAGGTAAACTTGGATCATGACTTGAATAAGGGGAGAGTATACTTCTGGAGCTCCAAAAATTCATATTACCAGGGGAAAGGAAGTGTGAGGTCTCTAGGTTCAGAGTGGATGTGATGGTGGGCTGCAGGTTGTTCTAAGTCTGCCAGACCCCCATGAGTGGACCCCTAATGATGGCTTGTTTTGGTTCTTCTCATCTTAGCAGAGAGAGAAATTAACTTTTCCTATTAGAACGGTAAGAATAAAATGTCACTAGGGAATGTACCTTGGTACCACCCTTTACTGTGTCTCTCCTATTTCTTAGGAGTTAGAAATAAAAAGATTTTTGTTTGTTTTGTTTTAAAAAAGCCAGCTCTTATAACAAAACCAGATATAACCAATTTTCATAAAATCTGCAGAGTGCTAAAATAGAAATGTACACAAGAAATATATTGAAGGTTGGCATGTGCAAAGGTGAGGAGGCTAGCCTGAACCTGGTATTTCTGGATTCAAAGTGCCTGATGTAGATTAAATATGGGGAAGTGATTTTAGATAATATAAAAGAGTTAAGCAGATGTGATTAGGAAACTCATACATAGGGTAGCCAAAATGGCTCCTAAGTATACTGCGGAATGTACAAATTCTTTAGTAATTTTATAAATGCAAGTGAAATCAAAAGTGATATTGTACAGCACCCATTGAATTAATAGAATTTGGAAGGTGGGTAAGTCCAAGTATTGACGAGGTCATAGAAAACCAGAAACCCTCATGAATTTCCAATGCCATCTGAAAATAAATCTGATTGTACTGAATGAACTAAGTATGCTTATAGCATGTCATTCAAATGGAATTTCTGGTAGAGTGTTTTTGCTTCACAGGCTCAGGAAATGGCTACTTTAAAGAGAAAAACAGTTGCTTAGACATATGAGATATGATTATAAAATGAAAAAAACTAACATTCATACATTAGCAAAACTGCTTCTGGGAAGGATTTAGAAGATTCAACTTTCAATTGGATAGGCACTGAGGCTTCACTTTTTTATGTCATTTTAATTTGATAGTGTAGTTTGCCATCACATTCATTTCACATCTTAGCAGTTCCTATCTTTTTTCTATTCACTAATTTACCACTGGTTCTTTTTTTTTTAATTAAAATAATTACAGATCGGGTGGGAGGTGTCTCACTATGTTACCAAGGCTGGTCTTGAACTCCTGGCCTCAAGCAATCCTCCCAAGTTAGCCTCCCAGTTAGCTGGGATTACAGGTGGGACCCACTGTGCCTGGCTTCTACTGATTTTTTATGTTCTATTGTCTCATTATGGTATTTACTCCAACTACCATACTTATATTAAACGTTTAGCCCATCTATTTATAGTAGTTTTTTCCATATATTTTTCCATTAATATTCAGATTAATAGAATTATTAGAGTAAATCTTTGTTTTCAAAAGTTAATCGGGAAAATAACATGCCGTTCCTACTTTTTAATATTAGAGGCTTCTTTTGCGTTTTCTACACTTCTGAATCATAGTCCTGTAGGTAATTTTTATTCAAACACTACAATGAGTAAGTGGAAAATTTTAATCAAGAAAATTTTTCTGAGGCAGAGGAGTTAGGAACAAATGTTTATTACATGTTGAGGGAAAATGAAAGAGAGGGGCTTTCCAATTGAAGGGAAACTCAAAGCCATGGAAATAAGTAGAAAGAAGTAGCAAGGAAGAGTGGAAAGTTGGCTGGATTTAGCTGGATGGGAGAGTCAGTCTGTAGTGGGAAAAGATAAAATTAGAGAGGTACAAAAGTGCTAGCTGACAGAGGACCTTGAATTATAGGCCAAGAGTTTAGACTTGATATGGTAGGAGTAGCTGATTCTTGAGCAGGAAAGTGACATGATAAAAATGGCATTTGCAGAAGATTATTTTAGCAGTCTACAAAGGGATAACTGTAGCAAAAAGAGACTGGAATTGGGATAACCAGCAAAGAAGTTATTGTAACCCCTGTGTGAATAGAATAAGTCTGAAGTTATAGAAAAAGGGAGAAAGTGATAAATTTGTCAGACATCATAAAGAAAAGTGGCTTTTAAAGCTTGCTTTCTAGATGGCCAATTTCAGAATTACTTCGAGTGCTTGTTAAAAATTCACATTTCTGTACTACATATCAAAATTTTTAATGTGATACTTTCAGTGTGATGACTGGGAATGAGCATTTTAAAAAGTTACCTATGTGATATGTTTTAACATAGAAGTTTGAGAACTTCTGGCCTAGTGGAAGGATTAAGAGACTATAATGACTATATCTTGGAGTAAGGGAGGGAAAAAAGGATAGAGTGATCATATGGCAGTCAACACAGGGCTCGGGAAAAATAATGGAATGATGAATCAAATCTTTAAAATAGAGTTGATGTTTTAGAACAACTTTAGGTATATGTATAGCTTTCCCCAGTATCAACATCCCTTATCAGAGTAAAATATTTGTTCTAACAGCTGAACCTACATTGCACATCGTTACCACCAGAGTCCATAGCTTAGAATTCAGCTCTTGATATTGCACATGCTATGGGTTTGAATAAATGTATATAATATGTATCTACCACTATAGTATTATAGGAAGTAGTTTCACTGCCCTAAAAATCATCCGGACTCCACCTATTTATCCATTCCCTCTCTCACACCCTAACAACAATTGTTCTCTTCACTGTTTTTGTAGTTTTGCCTTTTTCGGAATGTCATATTGTTGGAATCATACAGTATGTAGCCTTTTCAGATTGGCTTCTTCCACTTAGTAACATGAATTTAAGTTTCTTCCACGTCTCTTCACAACTCATTTATTTTCAGCATCGAATAATATTCTATTGTCTGGATTTATTTATCCATTGAAAAATAAATGTATTCATTCACTTACTGAATGATATCTAGCTTGCTTCGAAGTTTGGCAACTACAAATAAAGATGCACAGGTTTTTGTGCAATAAAAGTTTCCTGCTTCTTTGAGTAAATACCGAGGAGTGTGGTTGCTGGATCACATGGTAAGAGTATGTTTAGTTTTGTAAGAAACTGTTCTCTAAAGTGACTGCATACGTTTGCAATCCCACCAGCAACGAAGGATAATTAATTGGAATTTGAAATAAATAAACTGAGCAATCATGGCAAAAAAAGATGCTGAATTTTGTGATTAACAGGTTAGAATTAAAACAAAAGCCTTCACAGAAATGCACCTGAGACATTGAGAAAGTTAGTGAGAAGTCTGCAGTAAACGTAAACGTGGAATACACCGCACTACTGATGACAGCTGAAACCATTAAATACAGGCTATCACTTTATACAGAAAAGTAGGGTCCTATACATAGGTTTCCCCTAATTTAAGTGGGAGAAGAAGAAAATTTGCCAAGTAAGGAAGAACAGCAAACAAAGATGTAGAAAAGAATCTGAGTGTCCTTTGAGCAAAGTCTGGGAAGAAAAAACATTTAAAATAATTAAAAAGGAGAGGAGGGTTTTGTCAATTGTACACACTCTCTATGGTCCTTGGGTTCCATGTCATAAGACCTAGTTGTTTGTTTCCCAAACTTGACTTAGGACAAGGATCATTTGGTGTATTTATAAAAAACTCAGACTCCCAGGCCCCATCTCAGTACTAAAGTCAGAATATGTAGGAAAAAAGCCCAGGAACTGGAATTTGGCAAGTTTCTCAGGTGGTTTTTATGACTGCTCAGAGGCTAATTGTTTCTTATTGAGATTAGCAATTCCCAAACTGTTCATAGAGGGATGGTTGTGTATGTTGATATAATTCGGGTGTAAAATAATAGACTTGTATGCAGGCATGGCTAACTAAAATTACTTCAGGTGAAGATGGAAGTACCCTTCCAGATTAAAATAGAGCAGTGGTTCTCAATCCAAGGTGATTTTGTCTTTTGGGGACATTCCGTAACATTTGGAGACAATTGTGATGGTCACAAATTGGGGGTGGGGGAAAGCTGCTGTTACCTAGCAGATACAGACAAGTGATATGCTAACAGTCCTATCGTGCAAAAGAGACCCTTCACCTCTCTCCACAGCAAAGAACGATTGGCCAGCATGTCAACAATGCCAAGACCTAGAAACTACACAATAAAAGCGAATAATAGTTGAACGCAATAAGTGAATCACATTTGGATTATGGTTTAAAATTAAAAGTAGCAGCAACAGCGGCTATAAAGTATATTCTCAGAACACTTGTGGGAAACTGGTTTATGGGATTACTAGTGTATAATATAGAATTATTGCTGTTGTTTTTCTAAGGTGTGATGTTAATTGAGTTACAATAATGAATGCTTTTGTTAGGATAGGTATGAGGAAGGCTGTAAAAATGCATACATATATGCATATATATATATGGAGAGAGAGAGAGAGAGGGTGATATGGTTTGATTCCATGTCCCCACTTAAATCTCATCCCCAGTTGTAATCCCCACGTGTCAAGGGAGGGAAGCATTTGGACTCTGGGGGCTGTTTCGCCCATGCTGGTCTCATAATAGTGAGTGAGTTCTCATGGGATCTGATGGTTTTATAAAGAGCAGTTTTTTCCTGCACTCTCACTTTTCTCTCCTGCTGCCATGTGAAGAAGGTGACTGCTTCCCCTTCCACCATGATTATAAGTTTCCTGAGGCCTCCCCAGTCATGCAGAACTGTGAGTCAATTAAACCTCTTTCCTTTAGAAACTACACAGTCTCAGGTATTTCCTTATAGCAGTGTGAAAACGGACTACACAGAGGGATAATCTATATGTGATTAAATTTTAACAACTTTGAAAATAGGAAGAGGTCTAGAAATGTTTACTTATTCTTTCAACTGGGTACATTTCAGTGTATTTGAAATGTGTACACTAAAACATTTAACAATATATGCTTTGGATTTGGACAGATTGGTTCCTTATGCTTGATTTGATTCTAAAATTGTTTTTGATTTCCATCTTTATAGTGCTTTTGGCTGTTCTTAGTCATTTACAGACCCTGAGATGCCTTTGCTGACAGGAGCAGAAGTGTAGGCAATTGACACGTGACTCAGTGAGGAATCTGACAGCTTTGGCCAGTCTCCCTTTTTTATATGACTTCTCTTCTTCCTTTTATCTAGATGGCTTTTGCTCTCTGGGGGCAAACGATTCCAGACTGTTTTGCTCTCTTTCACTTTTTACTGCAGGGTCTAATTACCTGTGTGGTACCTGTGAATGGGAAACTACCCAGTGGCTTTCAAAAACTGTCCCTCAGGCACACAAAATAGGAAAAGAGATAAAGACCCACACCGTTTTTGCTTTCACTTGAACTATCTAAACCCTACCACAGCCACTTTCTAATCATGATATGATGCAGCTTGAGTGACTGAATGCCTACAGAGGCAAAGTTGTAATCTCTGGTACTCTCTCCTTACCCTGCCATACATTCCAGGGTAATGAACAATTTTGCTGAAGCACACCTTTCAGCTTTGAACAGTTTATAAGCTGTCCTCATGTTTTATTAAAACATGGTGGCTTTTTCTCTCTTGCTAAATATTTAAAAATATCTTTTCAGTGTTTATAGTGTCCTGCATTCTGGGGTGCTCTGTAGATACTTGATGAATTAATACAGCCCAGATTTTAAATATGGTATTTTCTGCAACTGGTAAACACACTGAAATATTTCTGAGAGTCTATGGAGGATAATTCGTAGGTCAAGAATAATTTCTGAGAAGTGTCTAATTAAAGTCAATTTTATATATCAAATCACAAGTGAATAGATGCAGTGATATACTGTCACTGAATTTACTTTCTTGACTTTGATGTAGATTGCTCTATATTGCTCATTTTTAATATTTATAGAGAAATACTGTAATTCAATTTTTGAGTTAAAATTAAAACAAAATACACTTCTACAAAATAGGGCTGGTGGTGGCTTAACCAAAATGGTTTTGATAATCAAGATATTATGGCTATGTTGTATTTTTCTTACCAGAACTAAGGGGCTTTCTAAATGCTATTTTCTGATACTTTCAATTTGTAGAGTCTGAAACCCAAGTGGAATGAATGAAAGTATGTTGGGATTTTCTACATCATCATAATTGTAGAATTATGTCTGTCTTAAACATACAGGCTGACTCTTGGCTTCATTTTATATGGGTTTTATCAGAACCTATTAACTCTTTAAGAAAAAACATTACTTTTTTTCTTTTGTTCATACACATATACTTTTAGGACAGCTATCTAAGTGAAAACAGCATTTAAGTGAATATTTCTAGGAATTAATTTTTTCTATGTAGAGATCAATCTACTTTTCAGAATTTTACAATGATATATTAGTATCAACTTTTCAACTAAAGCTTGAATTTTCTAATAAAAGTTTCCTAAATTAAAAAGAAGACCTATTTCCTTAGGAGAGCTTCACAAATTTGTTCACCATCTCAGATCATCAAAGGACGTCATTTTTAAAACTGATCATGTTGTAAAATAATACATGGTCTAGGATAATAAGCATATAGATTACATTAATAATTATTTTAAATATTTTAAAAATATATAGACTATACATTTACAGTTGGAATAGTTTTCAAATCAATACTTTATTTCTGTACTATGATAACTATGACAATTTAAATTGTCCACAGTCAAAATATTCAATTTAATGATAACCTTTTTGGAGTTCATAATATGGTGATAAGTAAAAAAAATAGGTTTTACAAAGTACTATATAGTTACTTATAAAAAAATTGTCTGTGTATATTTAGCTTTATAGATAGGTGAACAGACAGCATGAAAACAAATATAACCCCATTTCGACAGTATTTATACCTAGGGGTTGATAATACAAAGCAAATGGAGGGATGGAGAGTTGTAATTTTTCTTGTGTTTCATTTATTTTCTAAATATTTCCATAACATGCCTTAAATAGTATTAAAGAAAAAAAGCCATAATGCTATTTCCTCTTCAACGTGTGTGTGTATGACTTTAAAATCTCGTGAACACTTGATATGCTTGATATGAGGATTCTGCAGAAAATCCCAAATTCTGTAATATCTTAGCATGTTTGTTGGACTGAAAATATTTCTGATGACAGTCAAGGTCATTTATTAGCCAGCATGCAACACAGTCTTAAATTATCTTCTCAAAGCATTCTATCAAGTAATGATGACATGATAAGTGAATAAATGCCTATTTGTCACTAAATTAATTAATGGATTTAGCTTGTAACCTGACTATAAGCCTCAGGATTGCGATAAAGTGTGACATCTGACATGTTAAGGAATTTCAATATTTTCAACTACAGACAATAAGTGTCAATGCAATAGTATTGGCAATAATATCTTGGAATCCTTGTAGAAGAGACAGGATCAAAGAATACTTGGCAAGTAGGTGAGTTGATAGTGATCCACCATAAGCAGGAGCACAAAAGTTATTTAAACACTTGCTAAGATATAACAACAAATGTAGAATAACATTCACATTTAAAAGAAGAAAAATAGCTTGCCCACTTAGGTGAATCAGAAATAAACAGGCTCATTTTGAACAAAGGCACTGAATGAATCATGAGCCTTAATACCAAATGTAGTACCGTATTATGAATAGAAGTTAAGATGTTGGTGGGGCGCAGTGGCTCATGCCTGTAATCCCAGCACCTTAAGAGGCCAAGGTGGGCAGATCACCTGAGGTCAAGAGTTTGAGATGAGCTTGACCAACATGGTGAAACCCGTCTCTACCAAAAACACAAAAATTAGCCGGGTGTGGTGGTGCACACTTGTAATCCCAGTGACTTGGGAGGCTGAGACAGGCAGATTGCTTGAACCCAGGAGGCAGAGTTTGCAGCGAGCCGAGATTGTGCCACTGCATTCCACCCTGGGAGACACAAAGAGACTCCATCTCAAAAAAAAAAAAAAAAAAAAGTGAAGATGCTGTAAGTGGAAGAGACACACATGTACTCAGGTGGAATGGAGTACTGGTCTATTATTTCTGTTACATTGAGACACACATAGGTAACACAAGTAACAGAAGCACCTTTGATCATGGCCAAAGTTGATGGCCAAATATTCAAATGCATGCATTTGTTTAGCTCCTCTTACATATGAAGTTTTATCTTACGGCTACACGCAAAAATGAGGCAAAGTCTTCCTCCAAATGTTCACAGTATTTTTTGAGGGGGCAGGCAAGGAAACACAACTGTGGAAAAATTGGCATAATATAGGTATTTATAAAGTGACTTAGAGGCAGAAGACAAAGAAACAAATTCTAATTAGGATATGGAGAAGACATCCTATTGGAGGTAATGTTTGTGCTGCACATTAAATAATAAATAATTTTCCCTCCCAATGACAACAATCACAGGAATTCATATGGCTGATGCTGCATAGAACACTTTTCAGTGACAACTACCAGTGAGGTGCCTATTTTGTATTTTTGAGTGGAAAAAGACACGAATACTTTCAAAATTTTGTATGCATAGGCAAAGGTAATGATTATATGCTTCTTCCTATTTCAAAAGGGACAGAACATAGGAGGCTTAGAAGCAGAATTCCAAGTTTCCTCTCCAAAATAGGCCTGATTATGACTAAATAATAGTGCAATGAAAACGCGAAAGTTTAACTAAAAAAAAATCAATTGAATCTAAATATTAACAATCCACTGCTTTAATAATATTCAAACAACACTGTATAGAACAATATTTGTCCAACAATCTAGTTAAATCTCTGTTTGTATCTTGTTCATAGGGTTTTGTACTGTGAGGATGCTAGAGAAGGTAACCCAAAAGATCTTTACATACGAAAGTAAAATATCTGTGGTATTTTAGGATAAGCATTCATGAATTATGGGTTTAATTTATAACCAGCATCTAATAAAGATGATAGAATTATAAAGTGAGAATTAGCCTATGAGGATCAACTTGAAGTAAATGCTTCCTTAGGCTTGTGATGGCATTAAGACCCAGAGAGAATTTTCTAAAATATTAGTTAAAAGAAATTAAAGACACTTTTAATAAATAGGAAAATAACCATATTCACTGATCTGAAGACCTAATATTGTTAAGATGGCAATATTCCCCTAATTGATCTACAGATTCAACCCAATCCCTATCAGAATATGAGCTGACTTCTTTTAAGAAATTGATGAGCTAATTTAAAATAGATAGATAAATAGATGATAGATAGATTATAAGAAACTAAGACTAATTAAAACACTCTTGCAAAGAACAAAGTTGGAAGACTCACATTATCCATTTTCAAAGCTTACCTCCAAAGCAACAGTAATCAAGACAGTGTGATTCTGACATAGGCTAGATGGATTAGTGAATAAAATTGAGAGCCCAGAAACAAACCTATGTGTGTATCGTCAACTGATTTTCAACAAGGGTGCTGAGACTATTCAATGGGCAAATAATAATCTTTTCAACAAATGGTTCAGGGACAACTGGATATCCACATGCAAAAACTGGGCTCTTGTTTCACACCGTGTACAAAAATTAACTCAAAATGAATCAAATGTAAGAATGAAAACTATAAAATTCTTAAAGGAAACAAACAGTTGAATCTATGTGACCTTGGCTTTTACCATAGATTCCTATATATGACACGAAATGCATGAGCAACAATAGAAAAAAACAGATAAATAGGACTTCACCAAAACTAACCTTTCAAAGACACTATTAAGAAAGTGAAAACACAACCCACGGAATGGGAGAAAATATTTTAAAATGATATATCTGATAAAGGATCTGTGTTTAGAGTACATAAATAACAAAACAGCATAATAAAGAGATACATAGTCCAATTAATAAATGGACAAATGATCTGAATGGATATTTCTCCAGAGAGGATATATACAAATGGCCAATCTTTTTATATACATAAAAAAGATGCTTAACGTCATTAGTGATCAAGGAAATGCAAAGCAAAACTACAATAAGATAGCAATTCACATGCACTAGGATGGCTGTAATAAAAAATACAGACTATAGCATATGTTGGTGAAGATATGGAGAAATTTTATCCTCACGCATTGCTAGTTGGATTGTAATATGTTACGGTGACTTTGAAAACCACTGTCCGTTCCTCAAGAAGCTTAACATAGTGTTATCATTTTGATTCAGCTAAGAGAATTCCACTCCTAAGAGAAATGAAAACATGTCCATATAAAAACTTGTACACAAATGTTCAAAGTAGCTATATTCATAATAGAGAAAAGGTAGAAACTACAATCCAAATGTCCATCAACTGATGAATGGATAAATAAAATGTGGTATATCTTTATAATGGAATGTTACTTGGCTAACAAAGGAAAAAGGATGGCTACATGCTACAACATGTATGAACCTTGAAAACATCATGCTACATTAAAGAGGCTGGTCACAAAACACCTATATATGATTTCATTTCTACGAAGGGTTCAGAATAGGCAAATCTATATAGACAGAAAGTAGATTAGTGTATTTTTAGTGCTGAGGGGATTGGAGAGTAGAAGGGCAGTAGCTAAAATTACAAGAATTCTTTTTTTTTAAGGGATGGGGTCTTGCTATGTTGCCCAGGATTGAGTGCAATGGCTATTCACAGGCACCATCACAATGTACTACAGCCCCTAACTCCTGGCCTCAATTGATCCTCCCATCTCAGCCTCCCAAGTAGCTGTGACTACAGTTATGCACTGCTGCACCCAGGAGGATTTCTTTTTGAAGGGTGGAAGATGTTTTAAAATTGATTATAGTGAAATTTTCCCATGAGTATGAGTATATTAAAACCATCCAATTATACACTTCTAATTGGTGAATTGCAAGGTATATGAATTACATATCAAAAAAGCTAATATAAATGAGATCTGAGACCTCAACAAGGCATATAAAAAATTATGACTAAATAAAAAATTTGGCTTTATAGTTTTATGTTGCTTCAGGCACTTCAAATATATTATCTGACTTGGTCACAGATAATCATGAGCAAAATAAACAACTTAAAGTGCATAAAGTAGTTTAGGCAGCTGCCATTGATAGCTCAACTTCATGCTGAAATTTATTTTAAAAGATCAATTATATAAATTGTTATTCTTTTAAATGTCAAACACTCAGATTTAACTTGCCTATATATAGTTGACAATAATTAAGTAGCCCACACGTTTCTGGCTATGTTCCTCGATTAGCAAAGTCATTTTTTTTGTTTGTTTATTTTTAAATAACAGTGAACCAAAAAACCAAAAAGATATTTTATTTTTACAAAATCAAATATTTAGTTTCTTTATGTTCCTAATTATTTTATGATAATACTTCTCATAGTTCTTTGCCTATAAGATTTTTAGTGATTATTGTTCATTTCATCCCTGTTCAATTACACTGTTTGAATAGGATGACTATTTGTTGTTGCAAGTTTTGCCTTTTTTTTATTTTAATGAAAGAAAAAGCAAAATAGAAGCTGACTATCCAGTGAATTTTCTTATGAAAAGATCTGATTTTCTTGTTTCTTTCTTTCTTTTTTTTTCTTTTTAAAGAACCAACTTCTGGGAAATTAAAAGGAGGGCACAGTGTGTCCTTAACACACATGTCTGTACGAGTTCCCATGGCTGGGAAGATGATTTAAAGTGCAGTATGTGCAACCTGTTTTTCCAGTAATTACAAATCAAGACATACGTCTTTGCAATAAAAATAAGCTAACTGCCATTCTACATAAGCATTCCTCTGTCCTTGCTGACTTAATTTGATCACACAAATATCCCAACAAAGGTAATTTTGAACAGAACATCCTGATGCTAGATATTCCTTTTGCTAAGTTTCTTTCTTTTGAACTGCAGGAATACTTACTAGAAATTGAAGTATCCCATCAAACTTAGATTTTAGGCCTCTATAATACTCTAATACTCTAATCTTGCTGGAAAGTCATGGAGGAAGGAATAAATAAATTTCTGAACAATGTCTTGGCAAATATATTTGACTTTTCTGTTCTCCCACCTTTACTTACTATTCCTTATTTTTTCTTTTTAACTTTCTATTTGAAAATGCATATAGACTCACAAGAAAAGTATGAGGACTCACAAGAGGTTACAGGTCCCAGGTATCCATCGCTCAGCTTCCCCACTGGTAGTGTCTTACACAACTATAATGCATTATCAAAACCAGTAAAATGATATTGGCTTAACACCGTCAACTAGACTACGGACGTTAATCAGATTTCACAAGTTTTTGCCTGCACTCAGTTATTCTAATGCATATGTATCTAATTCTGTGAAATTTAATCACACGTAGAGCTTCACGTAACCACCATCTAATCAAGATACAGAAGTGCTCTGTCACTACGAAGGAACTCCCTTGTGCCTTCCCCTTTCTACTCACACTCTGTTCCCTCCACCCAGCCGCCTTCTTTAACCTCAGAAAGCCAGTGATCTGTTTTTCTACCATATAATTTAGTCATTTTAAGAAGTTATATAGAAGGAATCCAACATATTATATAGATAGAATATATGGGCAAGATGGCCGAATAAGATTACTTACTATTGTATACATTAACTAAAAATGATTTATAGATGTCTATTTCTTACAAATGTGACAGATTCATTATATATATATACACTCATTTAAAAATCTCAAACAGAATATAACTGTTGCACATATTAAGGGGAAGTGGAACTACTTTTAAATTTGTGACTCTATTATTATTGTACTGATTACAGAGAGTTAAGAATCAATGTTAACTCTGAAAAATTGTAGTCTTATAACACTAACTCTTTAGTTAATAGACAACTTATTACTGACAAACTATTTTCTTAACTGTCTATCCGTAATCTAAAAGTGAAAGACTGTAGTAAAAGCACAGTGAGATAACATTTTTTTATGTTCAGACTGCAGTATTCATTCATTTATTCAATCTCAAAATGTTTAGTTAGTGACTATTAGATATGATGTATTGTTCTGAGTCATTGAGACAAATTATTAAGAATTTAATTGGAGAGAGCAAATTGCTCTTACATGGGAAATGCTATAATAGATATATGATTAAGGTAGAAATATAGAGGAAAAAATAATTCTGATTGAATGAGAAAGAATTAACCTCAAAAAAAGAATATAGAAACACACAGAAACAAACACACACACACACACACACACACACACACGCACAGAAGCACACATGTACGCAAAAATAATTTCCAAGTAGGGAAACAAAACTTGGAGTAGTCATGAGAGTGGCTGCTATATTATAAAAAGATGAGATGTTCAGTATGGTTGTATGCAATGGCTTTTACTTGTTCAATCCCTCAATCCAAGCGTGTGGACATGGAGGTGCTGGGGATAAACTCAGAGGGCCCTTTTACACCCAGCTAAATAATTTTGATTTATTCTATAGTCAATAGGAAATTAATAGAACTTTTAATCAGAGGGCTATGGTGTTGGTGTGGAGGATGCACAAGAAGCTAGTTTCAGAAGGAACAGATAAGAAGTTATTGCAGGCCAGGCGCAGTGGCTCACGCCTGTAATCCCAGCACTTTGTGAGGCCAAGGAGGGCAGAATGCTTGAGGCCAGGAGTTCAAGACCAGCCTGGCCAACATGGCAAAATCCCATTCCTACTAAAAATACAAAAATTAGCCAGGCATAGTGGTGGGCACCTGTAATCCCAGCTACTCAGGAGGCTGAGGCAGGAGAATCACTTGAACCCGGGAGGTGGAGGTTGCAGTCAGCTGAGACCCCACCATTGCACTCCAGCCTGGGCGACAGAGCGAGACTCTGTCTCACAAAAAAAAAAAAAGTTATTAAGTTATTGTAATAGTTTAGGAAGGGCACTATACTACTGTTGCTGCTGCCACATCTAATACTATTACTGAAACTGCTGCTACTTCTACAACACTATAACAACTGGCCAGTTTATTGAGGACTTGCCAAGTACCAAGAACTCTTTTAAACTTGTCTCATCTACAGTCAGACTTAACGCTAACCACAACCCTATGTGGCAAGGAGAATGAGAAGAAACAGAACTTATTTTCTTCACTGTTTTCAACCTCCTATACTTGGCACTTGATTTCATCAGAATGCCTTTGCTTCCATCATCTTATCTCAATCAACTTCCTCCTGATTCTTCTGCTTCTCTGCCTTCTAAAGGCCTAATTTACCATGCCAACTTCTCTCATACCAGTATCCTTGATTACTTTGTATCCCTATCATTCCACTGGAACTGCCTAGGAGAATTTCAACCCTGTGTCAGTGCTATAGTCCACATTTTTTGCTCTGCAAGTATACAGCTGAGTACCTCTGGATTATATCACTCAAATATGTTGAGTGGCGCAATAACAATTCAAGCACAGCAGGGCTCTCAGCACCACTGGCCAACCTTTTATAGATTTGTCTTGAACTCTGCCTCTTATTTCCTCCTGCGTCTATTTTGACACATTTGCCACAATCTACAAGTCATATACTCCAACAAGTAAGACACCTTTGCAACAGAGTGGAATTACTAAATTTAATCATGTTCCTCCTCTACTTAAAGCTTTTAATAACAGAAAAAATAATAACACGTCAAGCCTAGAGATGTAGATTTGTGGGTCATTAGCATATAAATCTTAGAAACCATGCAAGTGGGCAGAGCATGGTGGCTCACGCCTGTAATCCCAACACTTTGGGAGGCCAAGGTGGGTGGATCACGAGGTCAGGAGTTCAAGACCATCCTGGCCAAGATGGTGAAACCCCACGTCTACTAAGGATACAAAAATTAGCTGGGCATGGTGGCGGGCGCCTGTAATCCCAGGTACTCCGGAGGCTGAGGCAGGAGAATTGCTTGAAGCCAGGAGGTGGAGCTTGCAGTGAGCCGAGATTGTGCCACTGCATTCCAGCCTGGGTAACAGAGCAAGACTCGGTCTCAAAAACAAACAAACAAACAAACAAAAAAAAAACCATGCAAATGAATGAAATCATTGCTTTATTTAAAAAAATACTACTAATTATCAGAGGTTAAATTTTATTTTTGTTATTTTTATTTATAATGCAGCTGTAATAAGTGCAATTTACGGGGCACGGCATGATATTTTGATAAATGTATACATGGTAGAATGATCAAATCAGGGTAACTAACATCCCATCACCCTAAACATGTGTCATTTCTTTGTTTTCAGAATATTCAAAAACCTCTCTTCTAGCTACTTGGAAATATACATTATTGTTAATTCTACTTATCTTACTAGGCAATAGAAAACCAGAACATATTCCTCTTATCTAACTGCAGCTTTGTACCTGTTGACCAATCTGTCACTATTCCTCCCTCCTACCTCCTCTCCCCGTCCTCTGGTAACCACTGTTCTACTCTCTAATTCTATCAGAACAACATTTAGATTCCATATATTTGTAAACGGTGCCCTATTTGTCTTTCTGTGCCTAGCTTATTCCACCGAAAATAATGCCCTCCAGGTTCATCCATGTCGCTGCAAATTACAGGATTTTATTCTTTTTATGACTGAATAGTGTTCCATTATGTATATATACATCACATTTTCTTTATCCATTCACCCATTAATGGACATTTAGGTTGATTCTGTATCTTGGGTATTGTGAAGAGTGCTACAGTAAAGACAGGAGTGCAGAAATATATTCAACATACTGATTTTATTTCCTTTTTGGATGTAGACCTAGTAGTAGAATTGCTGGATCATATAGTATTTCTATTTATAACTTTTTGAGAAAAGTAGTTCATTTTTACGCTTAAAAACTCAAAAATGTAGCTTTTATTCCATATGCTATTCTAAATTATTAACATTTTTGGCCAGAAATGGTGGCTCACACTTGTAATCCCATTATTTTGGGAGGCCGAGGCAGGCAGATCACTTGAAGCCAGAAGTTCCAGACTAGCCTGGCCAACATGGCAAAACTCTTTCTCTAATAAAAATACAAAAATTAGCCAGGTGTGGTGGTGCACACCTGAAATCCCAGCTACTCAGGAGACTGAGGCACAAGAATCATCCAAACCTGGGAGGTGGAGGTTGCAGTGGGCTAAGATACTGCCACTACCCTCCAGCCTGTGTGTCAGAGTGAGACTCTGTCTAAATAAAAGATTAAAATATTACAATTTTTATTTTAACAGAGATGATACACTATTATTTCAGAATAAATGCTAATCAAATCAATCTTTTGACCTCAGAGTTATAGTATTGTAAGGCACAATTCATTAATAGAGTAAGTCTCAACATGTAAATCTAACACCTATTCCAAATATGTAAGATGCTTTGATTACAATACTGACATCCCTCCATTACCATTCACTTCATCTTTGGCATAGAGTCTTTCAACTGTAAATGTATTCTTGGGATCTAATCTTTATCAGGAAGACAAGACTCATAAGGTAACAAAATGTTGACATTTCATTGTTTTTTCCCTTTTATTTATGTCATTGAAGATACCAGTATCTGAATTTGTTTCCACTTCTGCAATCCTGACATTTGCTAGCAAATGTGCTAGTGTGTAGTTTGTATTTCCATTTGTAAAGGAAATCAATGACTGAAAGACATTCGCAGGGCATTCAGGGCAGGTTCATCAGATCAACTAGGAAACTAGAATTTCCCTGAGTTAATGGAATTGTTCAAGTCTCCTTGAGTTGCACTATGGTTTCAAGCCATTTAGTATTTGAAATAATGTCAATGTTCTCTGTTCCTGGGAACTTAAATTCCAGTCAAAGGGAACTGATTTCTTTTGTTGTATATTGATATGAGTTGGGAAATTCAGGGACTCATGATAGTAAGTCAGCCCAATTTCTAGAATCATTACATTTATCTTTATTTCTGCTTCTGGAGGAGTTTATCTTCATAATCATTAGTGTAAGGCCCAAATGGTACATTGAAACAATAAGAAAAATTACCCTAGAAATTTCCACCTAAAAAATTATTAGAAGCATGCTCTACTACTCTCTTCTTTTCCTGACTCTAACAAGTCATGAGGGCACATGCCTGAATGAAGTTACTTTGGATTTACAAAGGCAGTGACAATAACCTTTGAGAGCCCACCCTGTTTGTAAGTTAAGAGGCTTCTCTATATATTTAAGGGGCAAAAACCTGTTAGATGTCCATCCCATGAGCAACTGCAGTATGCGTTTCATGTCAGAGAGTTAATGGAAATGCCTCAGGTAGTCAGCTAAAAAGAAAATCATTATGTCAATTAAAAACATTAATTGGGGTAATTACAAGGAGGTCATGGTTTATATAGAATTTAGTTATAATTTCTACAATTATCCTCAGTTACACAAGAAAAAAATAATGACACTGTTTATCTGAAGTATTTACCTAACTGAAAACTGCAACTACAGAGAGGGTACATATACATGTTTCAACTGAACTGGATCTACCACAAGTCTGGTTGTAAGCTAATGAATTTCCCTGAGGACAAGGTGGTTTGGAGAGAACATAAGACTTCTAAAACACCACATATTGCCAAATTGGATTCCTTAATTTTGACTTTGTTTTATGTGAGTCTCATTTAAGTTTAATTGCTAACCTCTAGCACTAACCTTCTCTAGTTGTGGAGCCAGAGGTATTTCCGTACATATAAAATTTGAAATCTGGCTCCTGACTTTCTTAAACTTCATAAGTGGAATCTAATTTCATTTGCGGATTAGTGGAAACAAGAAATAAAATATGAAATTAATGGGGGGATAGCATTTTACATACCAACTTTTTAGTCTCTTTCTATTCCCAGAAAGAAATACAAAATTGGGGTTTGTCTGATGGTGTGTTTTTTAGGTGGATTAGAATATCGGTTAAGAGCATGATCTCTGGAGCTGACTTTCTTGGTTTAAATTCTGGCTTCGTCACTTACATAGCTATGTGACATTGGTCATGTAAGCTATTCTCTTTGCCTCAATTTCTTTATCTATAAAATGAAATTGTGAAAAAATACTATTTATCTATAGGGATGTTACAATAATTAAACATCTTAGTAACTATGAAACACTAAGAATAGTGTTTGGCATAAAATAATCATTACATATAGATACGGCTATTCATATTGACACAGGGAAATGCAATATGATTCAGGTTTAAGTGTTAAGTCATCGGGGTCCAAAGGAATAAGCAAAGGTCAGAGGAAAGATTTTATTTGATTCAGTCTGTGTCTCCTCTTTGGATTTGGTTTAGGAAGACGTTGATATCCTGAGAAGCTATAAATGGTTTTCCAGCACAGCAGCAGTTAGAAGTTAATAGTGATTTGTGACTGGGGAAGCTTTCCTCTATTTGTTGATCTCCCAGATAATACTTTCTGTTCTTGTAAATCTGTCTTGAGATTTCAACATATGTATGGGAATCCAAGGTGTGTCTGGGTGTGCTTTAATTTTATTAAATGTTTTCCCATGCTGGACGTCTGGATACATTTAACAGTACTTGTACGTTTGAGACCTATTTGCCATTTTAATAAAAGGAAACAAACTCCAGAAATGCAAGAATTTAAACTAAATACCTCTTTTCTCAAATTTAATCTATAATTTTAAGAGTGGAATGATACTCTTCCTGCATAAGGAAAGACACACACAATTATATAAAATGACACACTTTCACACATTTTGCCATTACAAGTCACTAATGCACTGCACTATTGACGTATTTTACTGTCCTGAATATTTTTTGGCCACGTAACTTTAAAATTACTGCAAATTTGGACAACATATCATGGTTTAACACCAACTGAGGGGGCTTTTTCCCTATAAACGTTCATCTATAAATTAATGACTGCTATTTAAAATGTGTTTCTTCAGACACCAGTCATATCATGTCCTCTGTGCTACTATAAGATTACCTCTTTATTTATCTATGTGGGTAAGTTAATTATAAAAATGCTTGTACCAACTGATCATTTTGCTGGCATAATGAGTATCTTAAACTAGATTAATTTTCTAGCAATATCTAATGGAGACTAAATCACACATGAACATGCTATAACAATATAATGATGAAACAGTGAATGAATCAATTAACTCCTTGATAAACATCAAAAACATACCTCACTCTTATAATTTATAAAGTGAAAAAAAAAGCCTTTCTACTTTCTTTCTGTCAGCATTTAAAACTGGCTAAATTCTGGACAATAAACATTATGAAATACATTTTCCATACATGGTCAAAATAATCTCAAAAGGCTGCTTAATTCAATTACTGACAGAACTTTCAAACAAAGAGGCACCATACTTGGTATCATATGTTGTCTGTATATAATTGCTTCTAAAAACATTTCTTGTCAACTGAATTGGTGGTTGATGTTGATCTTGTTTAAAGGGTTCTAATGATCAAGTTGTCATGATAGGTTATATTTTCTGTTTCATTCTAAACGCCAGATTTGACTTATTATTTGTTCAATCTATCCAGTAAACCATGAAACCAATTATCGAAGCCTCAGTCATTCAGCATATAATCTAGAAGCTGTCCATTTTATTAATCTGAACACTTCTCGGATTATAAAATATCCTAAGAAAAGAATTGAAAGCAATCCTAAGTATCAAAATAATAGATTTCCTTTTAGTAGGCACCAGGATGCCAGGAATACAGATACCAAGCATAAGATAAAATACTTCAAGAGGTCAAAAAGGCAGTAGGCGTGCTGGACTTCAGAGTAAGTGGATTGAGGCCCTGTTGGGAGGATTTCTGGAGTTGGTGATACTTGAACTAAATTTGAAGGAAGAAGAAAACTTCCATCACCAGATAAAAGAAGAAAGATAATTGCAGGCAGAGGAAATTGTGGAATACACTTTGGACTCTATTTCTGGCAGTGGTACTCAAGACAATAGCATGAGCGATTATACTGTATGTTCTCTGCAAATGTTTTGGATGGAGTTCAAACATGCCCAACTTCAAACTTTAGCAAGGTTTAATTACTAGATGCTTCTAAGAAGAGTCTAGTTATAGTCTTAATAGCATCATATTGTCTCAAGGTCTTAGTGATATCAGAATGTAAATCAAATTTACATAAATACATTTTTTAACTTTCATAAATGGAAGTTATGAACAAATCTCAAATGATGATTTTTTATAAAGGGAAAAGACATGAAATCAACTCTTAACTATCCGTGAATAAATTTTCTGAGGTTTTTAAATTTTCTGTTGACATTAGTTGATAAAATTATTTATGAAGAATTTTTTTGTACTTTTAAATTTTTTCTTTGTTTTCTCCACCTTCTTTTTTAATAAAAAAAGAAAATAAAATAAATATTGCAAAAATACTACAAATTTATAGCTCATCTACATAGAGGACAGCTACAGTTTTGCATATTAATAACAATGACATTGATGATGGTGATGATGATGAAGTTGATAGCTCTTACCAATTATTTAGGGCTAAGTAAGTTTTGGACACTTTACATGGATTAGTCACTTTGTTTCTTAGAACAACCTCATATAAGGTAGATGCTCTTATTGTCATCATTATATAGTTAGGAAACCTGAAGCATAATGCCATAAGAAACTTGATTTAGGTCATGGAGGAGCTGAGAGCAAATTCACAAAGCTGGCTCCATATTCCAAAGTGTGAAGCCAGGGTGCGGAACACTTAGATAATATGATGCTCTTTAATCAAACTCTCTGAGGACCAGTTCTTATTTCTCTAGTGTGAAATAAGTGCTACCCTTAAAAGTTTTGAACACTGCAGGTGGCCATGCTCACCTCAATAGTTTTGGATTCAATAAATTGATCCATGGTGCAGCCTTGGTTTCTATAGTTTTAACATTTGTACAGTTAATTCTGATTAAAACTTCGAGTTAAGAAACTTGATGTACATTCTTTGTTTAGTCTGAAGTATTGTGGTATCTAATGGACATGCCATATCACAAACAAAATTACTATATTGTATTTGCCACCCATCACTAGTCCACAGAAAGATAAATGATAGTTGTATGACCTGAGATAAATATTTTTAATGTTTTTTGATATATTTTATGATAAATCTTAATGTGTGGGGTATAACGTATCTTTTTTTCAATATTAGAATTTTCTACTTATGCATCTTTGTAGTAGATAAAAATTAACTTTTTATTTAAAAAGGAGGTCAGATTGAATCAAAAAGTAAGGCAAATACAATACTGGAAAATCATCTTTACTATGAGATTTGTCATAGGTAGCAAAAGGAGAAAAGCAAATAAATATTGTCACTGAAAAGAAGTGAATAGCCAAATTTTGCATAACCAGAGCCCATTAAACAACTTAATATTTTAAGCTCACGATTTAATACCAGCAAAATAACGATTTAATACCATTAAATAACGATTTAATACCAGCAAAAGCAGTGAGCAGTTTTTGTAGAAGACATTAATAAAGATTGGCAAGGACGAAAATTTTAAATTCAATGTCGAACTCTTCCTGCATACGCTGCGATGGCTGATAAAAATGTCAGTATAGAAAAGAGTAATATTCATTTGTTGTTTGAGCTCTCAACTTTTTATTGTGGCCGTAACAGATATTTACACATATGAAAAACTCATTGCATACTTACAAGTGTGATTATTTTCTAGTATTGTATTTACCTTACTTTTTTATTCAATGTAACCTCCCTTTTAGACAGAAAATTAATTGTTGTATACCACAAAGATGCATAATTAGAAAATTTTAATATTTAAAAAGTATATTTCTTGATTAAAAAATAATTTTTCTCAAGCAAGTTTTCCAAGGTAGTAGCGTCCAAAGGCAGCTTAGTGCCATCTAGTGGCAAAATTAGTTATCAGCTTATTCCTCCTGATAAAAGTTCAGTAGAGTGCCGGACATGAATCTACATCACACATACGGTAGATATGAATTTTAGGATGTATGTTGACTTCGTATAATAATGAGGCAAGCCTATGATAATTACACCAAAATTTAAGTCTAACATTTAATTATTATTAATTAACGAGGAATTATGTGTATCTAAGACACAGACAACAAATGAAAGATACAAGACAGTAGCTTTAAAGGATAAACCAGACCTCAGAAGGGAAAGCGACAACCAGTTTTTTAAAAATAATAGATCGAAGTGCATTTTCAGTGTCAGGATGTGCTTAAGGTTATGAGTAACAATTAGAATGAAAAGGAATATTTGTTTCTCTGTTGTGTTGTGGGAGAAACTAGCTAATATTTGGATAAAATTCAGAACATTATATTTAAGCTACAGAAGAGGAGAGGTTACTGAGAAAACTATTCAATAACTATGAGATTTTATAAAAGGACCTATAATTTCTCCCACTGTAGAACCTAAATAATACAAGATTGAAAAGTATCTCTCTAGAAATGTTTGTGAACTGTCTTTCCTTGAAGGAAATGGAGTGGACTTGATGAAATTAAAATTAAGTTTCTTTTCAGGCTTTAATTGTATTAAAAGCCAAGTATGCTCCCTCAGAATTCATCTTTTTTGGTTTTGAGATAATAAGTCTGTTTGACCCAGCTGAAATTCTGCCTTTTGTTAGTCCTTTTCCTGAGACTCCAATTAACTTTACGAAATTTCTCTTCAGGGAAAAAATCTAGGCAAAAGGATTAATTTAGCTAACAATGCTGTGATATAAAAATCTCTGTAGGAGCTTTTTCTGACCTATTCCAGGGACTCTGCCAACTCAAATGCTGGGATGATAAAAGAGTTCTTCATAGCCCGGGAGATAAGGAAAAAACCCATCGCATCAGACCCAATTGCTCTTAGAGGAATTCAAAAGAATCCAAAATAGCCTTAATGTCTAAAAATGCCACACTTTCTCCTAGTCAGATTGGAAAGGGTACATAAGACTGAGTTTTTAAGTGATGTAATTTTCTCAGCCTGATGAGGAAAGCTTTCATATGTTCTAAATGAGCTATCAGAAAAAGAGAGAGCCACTCTTTTCTTCTCAGCCACTAACAGCAAAATGAAACAATATGATTTTATGAAACACATAAAATCTGTGGATAGGAACAGACACAAAGCTTCTCTTGCTCCCAGTCTTAGCCATGATGAGTTTTCTTGGTTTGCTTATGAAACACAGAAACAGCTGTGATTTCTTTCCTTGTCTGTGTATTGCTTAAAACACTCTCTTCTCTCCAGTCAAGCACTTTGATCCTTTTGTATCTCTAATTCAACATGATCACAAAACATGAAGAAAGAAAGAAATGGATGGAACTGTTATCATTTTATCCATATAGGTTTAAATTATTTTTCATTTTCTTATTTATGATACCAGGATTTTAAAATTTTTAAGAAGTCATTTTTACATAGACTATCCTTGTATTACACATCATAATTTAGGAACAAAAGTGAATTACATCTTTCAACATATTTTTCCTGGAAGACCGTATAATTAATGTGTGTATAATTAAAACACGACTACTAACTCTTTGCAAAGAAAGATATCAGTTTCACTGAGTTCTAGGCTTCCACACAGAAACATATGCATATGTACCCACAGGCATTCACATGCACACACACAGAAGCACATACATGGTTTGACACATACACGCATGCAGTCTTGTGCATACATAAGCACAGGTGTGTACATCCAGACACATTTACTTTCATATTCCTTTCTTCATTGTGACTTGCAATTTGAAAGCCTCAGTATCAAGTTTATGATAATAAGAAACATAATGACATATATTATTATTGCAATCAGTCATTTTTCCAAGAAGCAATTTTCACCATATAGACCACGGTCCAAATCTGATGGATTAAAATATAATAAAGGTGCCTGTAATCCCAGCACTTTGGGAGGCTGAGGCGGGTGGATCACAAGGTCAGGAGATCGAGAACATCCTGGCTAACATGGTGAAACTCCGTCTCTACTAAAAATACAAAAAATTGGCCAGGCGTGGTGGCACGCACCTGTAGTCCCAGCTGCTCAGGAGGCTGAGGCAGGAGAATGGCGTGAACCCGGGAGGCGGAGCTTGCAGTGAGCTGAGATCACACCCACTGCACTCTAGCCTGGGCAACAGAGCGAGACTCCGTCAAAAACAAAACGAAACTATATAAATGTGTGTGTGTATATATATATATATACATATATATACACACACACATATATATATATACACACACATATATATAAAAATTATAGGAAACAGTAATTCCAAGTCATTGATAATTATGTATTTATCATAATTCTATTATATATTGTGTTTCAATGATTGATGATAATTTTGATTTCATCATTTGAAATTAATCATTACTTTTCAGAAATATCTCCATTTGTTTTAACAGCTAATTACCCTCCCTTCATGCCACTCATATATATTTTTCCATATTCTAGGTTTTTTCTCCTTTCCTCTAATTTCAACTTCTTTTGCTTACTCTTGACTAATTAATCTTTTCTTCTCTGTGATTTACTTATCACAAATCAGGCCTTAATCCATTATTTTCTTATTTAGGTGACAATGTGAAGCAGCTCTGGTTATAATTTGCAGGGATTAATCAATCCAGTTTCTGTATATTTTTGGTCCTTTGTGGTACGTTTTTATAATAAAGTACTTTTATTATCAAAAAAGGCATTGACATCAACTACTCTGAAAACATTTAATAGTGATTCATACGTCCGATACCTTAACTTTAGTTTAACATGTTTAAATAAGCATGCATACCTGCTAAACGGGTATTTCTTTTACATATTTTCTGACGAATTAACTGAGGATTCACTGAGGTATCAACAGAACCCTGAAAGCCATAAGACTACATTTTCTGAAAAGTAGTTCTCTTTGGGGAATACCCTCTTTCTGAATACCTGGGGAAACTTCCACTCTGACTGAGTTCTGAAAGAGCATGTTTAATCATTCCTCACTCTATAGCTACAACTTCTTTATATTCAGTTCTTCCCCTCAATTTCCAAACATATTTGTACGTGAATTGCATCAGAATGTCCTGTCCTCAGAATCTTCTACTTGTAGTTTACTTATTGGTTCCCTCTATGCTTTACTCCTTTCCTCTCACGATTAGAATCCAAATTTCATCTAATGGCCACAGCCACCCTTCACCAGCATTTTTTATATCTCTGTGCCATTGAGCTTCTTTCTCACCTGCTTGGCAAAGCCACAACTGTGTATCAGTTCACTTCTTGGCCTTTCCACCTGCACATCCGTACCAATTCACACGTATACTAACGTCATGTCAGCAAGCTTAACTTGGTCCTGAATGTGGACAGACAAATGCATTTCTATCATAGCCCCATGGGAACTCTGCGTCGGTTGCTACTTAGTCAGAAATCTTGGCTCCTCCATCTCTCTGCTTTATCATCAGAGGATCCCCTAACTTCATGAATAAGTAAAAGTCCTCACATGAAAGTGCTACCAACCCCCTCCATTGAGTCTATCAACTTGCAGCTGCACTTCTATTTTTAACTCTCCGTGTTAAAACGGTACTACTTTCCCAGGGCCGGGCACGGTGGCTTAAGCCTGTAATCCCAGCACTTTGGGAGGCCGAGGCGGGCGGATCACGAGGTCAGGAGATCGAGACCATCCTGGCTAACACGGTGAAACCCCGTCTCTACTAAAAATACAAAAAATTATCCGGGCGTGGTGGCGGGTGCCTGTAGTCCCAGCTACTCGGGAGGCTGAGGCAGGAGAATGGCGTGAACCCAGGAGGCGGAGCTTGCAGTGAGCCGAGATCGCGCCACTGCACTCCAGCCTGGGCGACACAGCAAGACTCCGTCTCAAAAAAAAAAAAAAAAGAGTACTACTTTTCACTGAGGCTTCTCCCTCCACTTTTCCATTGGGTTACATCTCTTCCAGACTTCTCAGGACAGGGAGTTTTTGGTTATGCACTCTCATCCTTGTATGTTTAATTCTACCTATACAAAGCCTTCCTACAGAGATGCTGACTCCAGAGTCAGGCAGACCTGGAGTTCTTTACTAGTCTTAGTATTAAGACTTAGCAAGTGGGGGCAAGATACTGCCCTCTAAACCTCAGTTTTCTTACCTGTACAATGGGAATAATAATAGCACATACCTCACATGATTAGGGTGATCGAATAATGGATGAGGAAAATTTTGGCATGAAAGATTTGACAAAGTTTTGCTGTTTATTACTCTTCCTAACAGGATTCAAGGAAGCCTATTCATTGGGAGTATGGGAGGGCAATAGTTTTTCTTAAACTCAATGCCTCCATTTTGTATTCTTGTCTGACTTCATTCTTCTGATTCACCATGAAACTACTTAAAAGAAATGTACTCTTCACCTCTAACCCTGTTTCCAGCCTCCTCTTTCTGACTTTGACATTCACCACTCTACTGCAAGTCCTCATAAAATTCACAACTTCAGCTCCATGTTAAAAGTCCCTTATCTTAGTGCTCTCTTGGCAAGAGAGCAATGTTTTATATGCCCTCCTTACTCATCGCCTCTCTTTTCTTGGCTCTCTTGGACGCAACTCCAAATAGAATGCCCAGCACTTGGCCGGCACAACACAGGGCACATAACGGCCACCAATAAATATTTGTTCAATGATTTAATTAACACATGAACGAGAGTTCCAGGGTCACATTTGCCAATGATGTTTGCCGAGTTTTCAATCCTCTCGACGTTCACTTCCCTGAAGAAACAGCTGGAATCCTAAATTCCTTGTAAGGTAGTTCAGTTCATATTAGATTCCTGCTAAAAGGCTAAAACCACATTAGTCTCTTAAGAATATTCTATATTAAGGATGTCTTAGAAACAGGGGGAAGCTCTTAAGTTTACATTATATAGCTTTCAGAGCTATTGCACTTGGTCAGAAATAGGAAACAGAAATGGTGAGGCACATTTCCATGAAAGCTCAAATTACACTATTTTGTAAAGTTTAAAATCTGCCCATCATTATCCATAAATTGCAGCTATACATTATAATTATTTAATCTACATTTCTTGTTAAACATCTAAATTATGTCACTTCACCAATTACAGGAATTATGTGATTAGGTGTAATTATCCTAAATAGCTGAACACAATTAAAACATCTTACATGCAGGAAGTGTCATACATAGTATGTTATTTTTTTTTTCTCTTGACTCACTGTCCTTGGTCTCTATCAGAAGGAGTTAGAGACTGACTCAGTTTGAATGGAATCAGGGAATTTCCAGCTTTCAAGTGACCACTGGCTCAGGGGCCACCTACAACAATTCCTTTCTGATATTAATCTCATTTTCAGACAATTTCTGCAGTTAGAATTCCCTGAAGCTTATCACCAATAATATAAAGAGCAGCAATGCTGACTCTGATATTTTATACTGCTCAAGGGTCCAAAAGATCTATGCAAGACTGAATTGGAAGATTATATTCAGATTTCTCTGCTTAGAAGATCCCCCACACAGTTTGCCTGACTACTGTCTACCCATCGTTCGTTAAAATGTGTTTCAGACAGTCATTCAACCTTTCAACCTCTTGATTTTTCCATCTATAAAACATGGATGATTATAATAGACAATAAATGTGAATAATAATAGTACCTCCCTATTATCAGTTTCAGCACATAGAAAGTACATATTACTCCTGAGTTCTCAGATTAAATCATTGCTTATTCAGGGGCCCTGAACAGCATTTTTCACTTTTCTCACAATTTGTAATTAAGTATTACGAGTTTCGTAGCTTAATATCATTTTCCTTTATTAAGCCATACATTTCATGAAGATATACAGGGATCGTGCTTGTTTTGTGCCTAGCATACTGCTTACACACAGAGAATGCTGAGTGAATGAATGAGTGATGAATGAATAATAGGTAGGTTTTTTTGTTTGTTTTGTTTTGAGGCAGAGTCTCACTCTGTCACCCAGGCAGGAATGCAGTGGTATGATCTCCGCTCACTGCAACCTCCGCCTCCTGGGTTCAAGCCAGTCTGGTGCCTCAGCCTCCCAAGCAGCTGGGACTACAGGTGCGTGCCACCACACCTGGCTAATTATAGTAGAGACAGGATTTCATTGTGTTGGCCAGGCTGGTCTTAAACAACTGGCCTCAAATGATCCGCTCACCTCGGCCTCCCAAAGTGTTGGGATTACAGGCGTGAGCCACTGCGTATGACCTCCTTTGCCTTTCTTTTGCCACAACCAGATAGTGTTTTTTACAGTTGCCTGATAAATTCATTCATGCTAGAGTCCTAGAGACCCTTTGTTTAGATCACAAGAGAGACTGCATGGAAAATAATTTTCTAAAAATAACTGCAAACTACTATGCAACTAATTGATGCTATTACTACCATCTGCGCATTAAAAGAGAGTAGACTGCCTGCAACCCACAGAAACAGCAACTCAGTGGGCTCAGGGACCAGCCCAAGGGGTGGTGAGGAAGTTTTCTGGGAGCTCAGAGCTCCCAGCTCTGAGCTGTTAGGTACTACAAAACAACCTCCTAAAATTCTGCCAGGTGTGAGGCTATTATGCCTGAGAACCAGACTTTCCCTAACCACAGGAACTTGTTCTGTTGCTACAAACATCCACTTCACGTTCTTCCCTCAGGCACCTTCTTTAGCTTGTCTCACCCTGCTGCTGCTCCTTCCTCTCCCACATTCTACTGTTTTAGAGTATAGTTTAAACTACCTGCTCTGACTGTGGATCCTTAAATCCGCTTGCACCTTTTTTGCTCTTCTGTCTCTCAGAAAGAAATTAAATGCAGGCGGGACCTGCTTTTAGGTACTTAGATACCCCCAACAGATCAAAATCCTGATTGTTTTTACATGATGAAAGAGTTTTTCAATAAAATTTACAGCAGCAATTCTTTAAGTAACACCTGCTCATTAGTGCATTTTAAATCTGATTTGATTAATAAATGTTTAAGGTATGCACAAATTTGCAAAGAAACACTTATTGTGCATAACCAGTACCTTCAACTATCCTGTCAGTTCATATGATAACATTCACAAAAGTCAGCTTCTACAGCTTATGGGGCAATCTAAATAGTGGGAAAAAAATGAGAAAATATTGTTTTGTGTATACATCATCAAAATGAACAATCTTAAACCAGTAGGACTGGTGAATTTTAAGACAGAGAGAGCCACAAAACTCAATCCAGAGAGATACTGTCTTTTTCCTTCTTCCTGCTTTAAAATTCAGCAAGCTGTAGCCAATCTGCTAATCACATAGAAATCTAAATCCCTCCTGTGGAAAAAATAAACATGGGCACAACTCGAATAAGTTCCATGTGTAAAATCCCTTTGGCTAATTTACACAAGCAACTTCCTTTACACAGTTTGGGAAAAGTCAGCTATAAAACTGTCTTCTTCTCCTTCCTAACTACACTCTTGTTCTAACCTTATGTAATTCTCATGAAGGGAGCTTAAATAATCATCCTTCATATTGATTTTAGCAAGTACAATGAGAAAACACCCATTTTCTATTTGCTACATAGGTCTGCCCTCTGTGGGTAAGAGAGCAAACTTCTCAGAGAGTCTCTTATTGAAAGGTTAGATTTTGCTGGACCAACATGTGTACAGTTTCATGATCCCTTTACTTGCAAATTTTAAAGAGGCTTCTTTCTTTTTTTTTTTTCTTTTGATCTTTAGTCCCAAGTGAATGAGCAGATTTCTGGTCTAATTCTAACATTATGCCATTGCAGAGAGGAAAGATTATTGCAATAAGAAGAAAGTATGCTACTTACTGGCCTTAAGTACGTTCAAGTAAAACTGATTCCTTCAAGAATAATAATCTAATAAATTTGCAGTTCTAAAACTTTTGCAAGTAGTTACTAACTTGAAAGTCTGACAAAAATATAAAGACATAAGAGAAACATTTTAAGACCTGATAGAAGTGAGAGATAACCCTGCCATGCTTAATATTTTGAACACATAGAAGTTTATATTCTGTATTTTCCATGTTTACATTTCTTTTGAAGAAAAGGAAAATAACTTTATAAAACCTGATGTTTAATAGTCTCTTTGGGCAGTGGCTCATGACTGTAATCCCAGCACTTTGGGAAGCTGAGGAGTGTCAATCACTTGTGCCCAGGAGTTCGAGACCAGCCTGGGCAACATGGTGAAACCTCGTCTCTATTAAAAATTGGAAAAAAAAAAAAGCCAGGAGTGGGCATGTGCCTGTAGTCCTAGTGACTAGGGAGGCTGAGGTGGGAGAATGGCTTGAGCCTGGGAGGCGGAGGTTGCAGTAAACTGAGATGGCCCCCCTGTACTCCAGCCTGGGTGACAGTGAGAACATGTCTCAAGTAAAAAAAAAAGTTCCTTTAAAACACAACTAACTTTTTCATGTTATTCTCCATATATATTCTCCCTTTATATTCACAAAACCCTATGCATGGGTAAGACAATTATTATACAACATCCGTGTGTTTCTGATATGCAAATACAAACTCAGTAGGCTCAATGACCAGCCCATGGTCATCCGTCCACAACATGGGAACCCTGGGATTGATATTCATGTCTTGTACTACCCTAATTCCTTTTCGACTTCTTTACTTCTTCAACAGGGTGTTATGATGTAAGTTATATATATATATAAAAATGTTATCTATAATAATGTATTATATATATATTATTTAAGTTCTGGGCTAAATGTGCAGAATGTGCAGGTTTGTTACATAGATATATACATGTGTCATGGTGGTTTGCTACACCTACCACCCCATCATCTAGGTTTTAAGCCCTGCATGCATTACATATTTGTCCTAATGCTCTCTCTCCCCTTGCCCCCCACCCCCTGACTGGTCCCAGTGTGTGATGTTCCCCTCCCTGTGTCCATGTGTTGTCACTGTTCAACTCCCACTTATGAGTGAGAACATGTGGTGTTTGGTTTTCTGTTCCTGGGTTAGTTTGCTGAGAAGGATGGTTTCCAGCTCCATCCATGTCCCTGCAAAGGACATGAACTCATTCTCTTTTTATGGCTGCACAGTATTCCATGGTGTATATTGCCACATTTTCTTTATCTAGTCTATTATTGATGGGCATTTGGGTTGGTTCCACGTCTTTGCTATAGTAAATAGTGTTGCAATAAACATATGTGTGCGTGTGTCTTTATAGTAAAATGATTTATAACCCTTTGGGTGTATAACCAGTAACGAGATTACTGGGTCAAATGGTGTCTCTGGTTCTGGACCCTGGAGGAATTGACACACTGTCTTCCACAATGGTTGAACTAGATATTAATATTTAATCAACCTGCCAGATATAGCTTCTGGAAACATATTTGAATACCTATTTCCAGAAGACAGAATTTAAAGTTTCAAATAAATATAAGATAATGGACCCTTTAGAAAATTTAGAAACCGGTAAAAGAAATGAAGGTAATGTGTAGTTATATTCCATTTACGTAGTAGATGGAAAGTGATGCACAACAGAAACAGAAGATAAGGCAAGCCAGGTTATTCATAGAAAATATAAAACTGGCTGAGGAAATTTTGAATTTACGTAAAGACACAGAATACCAAAATGCACATGTAAACATGCAAAAAAAAATGGTTCTTGAAGGAATATAAAGTGCGGAGGGTAATATATAAACATTGAGGATGAAGAAAGTATGTGAGAACAAAATAATGTATTTTGAGACTGTTAATGGACTGAATATTTGTGTCCCCTGAATTTGTGCAGTGAATCTCTAATCTCCAAGGAGGCAGAATTTGGAGATCTGGCCTCTAAGGAAACAATTAAAGTTAAATGGATTTATAAGGGTGGTGCCCTCATCTGATAGGATTAATGTTCTAGTGCAGTGGTCCCTAACCTTTTAGGCACCAGGGACCAGTTTCTTGGAAGACAATTTTTCCACCAACTTGTGGGGGATGGTTTTGGGATGAAACTGTTCCACCTCAGATCATCAGGCATTAGATTCTCATAGGGAGCAGGCAACCTAGATCCCTTACATGTGCAGTTCACAATAGGGTTTGTGCTCCTATGAGAATCTAGTGCCGCAGCTGATCTGACAGGAGGCAGAGCTCAGTGGGTAATGCTGATTCACCTGTCACCTGCCACTTATCTCCTGCTATGCGGTCTGGTTCTTAACAATCCATGGATTGGCACCAGTCCACAGCCAGGGTGTTGGGGACCCCTGTTCTAGCATTCTTTTTTTTTTTTTTCTTTTTTTGAGACAGACTCTTGCTTTGTTGTAAGGCTGGAGTGCAGGAGCACGATCTCAGTTCACTGCAACCTCCGCCTCCCGGGTTCAAGCGATTCTCCTGCCTCAGCCTCCCGAGTAGCTGGGATTACAGGTGGATGTGCCACCACACCCAGCTAATTTTTTTGTATTTTTAGTAGAGATGGGGTTTCACCATGTTGACCAGGATAGTCTCAATCTCTTGATCTCGTGATCTGCCCGCCTTGGCCTCCCAAAGTGCTGGGATTACAGGAGTGAGCCACTGCGCCTGGCCTCTAGCATTCTTATAAGGAGAGATGTGGGAGTGCTGGCTTGAATGCTCACGTGCTCTCTCTCTCTCTTTCTCTGCCTTCCCCCCTACCCCTCAGAAAAATACATACACACACAAAAGAAGTCATGTGAACACATAGTCAGAAGGTGAGAAGCTGGCCATCCACAAGCCAGGAAGAATGCTTTCACCAAAAACTGAATTTACCAGCATCTTGATCTTGGACTCTCCAGTTTCCAGAACTGTGAGAAAATACATTTTTTTTTCATTATTTGAGTATATTAATGTGTTAGCTATAGCATATCATATAACATGTAAAACATAGTCTATAGAAGCATTGTATACTAAAATATAGATGGTATATTAGCATGTTGTAAAAACTAGTATTTTTTTTTTTATCTTCTTTTACATTTTTTATTTTAGTTTCGGGGGTACATGCGCAGGTTTGTTATATGGGTTTATCAGGTAATACTGGGGTTTGGGTTTCTGTTGAACACATCACACAAATAGTGAACCAGAAAACACATTTCTGTTTACTGATGACTTCTTTATTTTTGAAACGACCCAATCTGTGGTATTTTGTTACAGCAGCTAGAGTAGACAGAGGCTGCAGTTGTGTTTGATACTAAGCTTTAGGTTTACTTAAAATACAAGTTCTAACACTTTCATTTAAAAATCTGTTCCATATTTGTAACTACCAAGAAGTAAAGCTAATGATGTCTACTTAAATGTATTTCATGCTTGAAGTATCTATTTCATTGTTAATATGTAAAACACGTTTTTTTTTTCCTTATGTGTAATCTGTGTGTCTCTTGAGGGGGTTCCTTGTCTACCCATTATTCCTTCACTTTGCCTTATTTCTGACCCAGAATGTATGCAGCAGATGAACTAATGTATTAATCTCTTTTACAAGACTTTGAAGACTGCCCTAATTCTAAACAGCTTCAATAAAATGGGGCTAACACTTCACAAATGTTTCTCTATTATCACACCTAGCAAGCATAGCTAGTCAACAAGCTGTGCTCCTCAGATACACACAGAAAAACTGAAATTCTACAGAGAACAATAAATAAATTTTTAAAATACTGAGCCACTGAAACTCTGCCATTTTCATAAAATTATGGAATTGTATCTGATCTTTAGTATTTGTAATAGGATAGCCTTCAGCTTATTTGACAAAGATCCTCTGAAGTGAATTTATTGTGTGCAATTTATTCTAGACCATGAATGAATTAACTTACCTTTGAGCCTTTCTTGGATATGAAGCCAAAAGGGAACATAGCCATTTAAGGATCTTAGTTCAATAAAAGCTCCCAAATGCAAAATTCAGCATTCTGGGTCACTATGTGGATTTAAAACATCCCTTGGGGACCTTTAGATCTATAAAGCAATCAGCTGATTACTGTTATCCATTTATGCTATTTTCCTTCATGCATCTGGGGTTTTAATTGGCTTTTTATCTTGTATTGACTATTTGATAGGACCATAATTGTTATTTTTTAATTTAGTAATTGTATCATAAGATTCTATTAAAAGCAAATTTCAGTTAACTGCATAAGAACTACATAGAAAAGTGATGGGAATGAAAAGGGCATTTTAAAAAGTGGAGCAAAAGATAAAGTATCAGTCATGGAACCTCTTAAGAGTGAAATTCGGAGTTCCTTCCTTTAGTGTATAGAGGCTGGTGTTTCAGCTGAATTTATCACCCAATTCCTATAACAGTTTCAAATATATTAGTCTCTTATGAAATATGTAAATGAATATCTAGTTAAAATTCTGAAAATAATTTCACAGACACCTGGATAGAAAATATAATAAATATTCTTAGAGCTCAAACATTCTTTCACATGAATATGTTTTAAAATAGAATGATAGGTATATGGTTGAAAATACAGACTCTAACTCTCTCTTCTTTAGAAAGAGGAAATCTCCCCTCAAGCTACTTAATGACATTGACCAATGAATATGTGATTAATTCTTAAAAAGAAGAAAAACTGATATCTGTTTTTTTATTTCATTTATTTGGAGAGGGCAATCATTAAAATGCAAAAAACTTTGGTTTAATTTGATAATATATTTGAACCATAAGATATGTGCATATTTTAAATAGCCATGCTTAAAAAGGATTAGTTGCCATATAAGCTGACATTTGCTACAAGCATTGACCACATGTAAAATACTTTAATGGTTATGCTATTTACTTTCAGTACTTAGTCTTTTGTAGAAATGCTGCATTTCAAAATCAAGATTGTTTTATTTTTGCCATTCAAAAAAATTCTATATTCTAGAAGTTATTCTTGCTTGACTAAGTTGGAATAATAGTTGGGCTTGTATTCCATTTTTTTCTAATTCATATTAACTAAATTAATACAATCAGACTTTAGCTCTAGGCAAAGGACTTTAGCATATGTGTTTTTATTCTTACTGAATGTACTTAAGTTTTCTCAATAAAATTTTGCATTTGTCCATCCTTTTACTTATTTATTCAACGTTTATTTATTCAGTGCCAGCCATGTACAAAACATAGTTCTAAAAAATCACAGGAAGACAAACTTTGTGTCTTCAAATCTACTATGGAAAATCAGGTAGTCAACAAACACCCACATTATAAAGGAGGGTGAATCAAATGGCTTAACTGGATTTGAATCTAGAGAGATATGGGAAAGATGCCTCTTATTTGGAGATTCATAAGAAATCTCACAGTGTTCTGTGGATTGTGAAGACATACAGATTGGCAACTCAATAGTTAGATGAGAAAAAGATAGACAGAGTTGGGAAGAGGAGGAAGGGCAAGCAAGAGGTGCTAGAAAAACTGAGTCTACTATGGCATGGACTCCAGAAAATGACCAGCAGCCCAAGGGGACGGATGGAAATTGATACTTCTTAATGTATGATGGGATTTTTACTATTCATTAGACAGAGGAGTGGACATCCATGCCAGTTCCAGAGCAATAGCAAAAGGCCCAGTAAGGAAAATATCTGTGTGTTAATTCTAATGCTCAGAGTTGAAATAGTCACCAGCCAGTGGCCCTGAAGATAATTACATACTCTATTTCCTGCAGATAAATTCGATGCTTCTCAGGGCCCCAGCCAAGGTTGCATTTCAGATGATGGCCAGGAAAGAAGTTTCCAAGGGGACCTTAGTCAAGTGTACTGGAAATATCCCTGGAGGAGATGAGAAAACTAATATCTGTAGACAGGTCAATGGAATAGCAATGAACTCAGTCCTCGCTATATTAACAATGTTAAGATTTTGAAGAGTAGGAAACAAAAGCTGAGAGAAATTAGGTTAACTGCTTAATATACACGCTACCAGAAAATGATACAATTAGATCTTAAACCTGTTCTGGGCAACAAAAGGCTTGAGTTTAAAGTCTAGTTTTATCATTTCCTAGTTGTGTGACATTGAGCAATTAGCTTAGACCAGGTTTGGGTCTGAGTACCACGAACATGCCCAGAAATTAGAGGCCAGGTGATATCCACAGGACTGAAGGATTTTTCTTGCTGTGGTAGTCAGTATCTACATTGTACATCATTTCCAATCCGTGTAACCTAACTAAGCTTAAATAACTAAAGTGTGCTATGTGAATATATTGCTGCATTATTTACAATATTTTGAAAACCTCTTAATTTTTGAGTTTACACAATTCATTTTTGAGCCATTCAACCCATTGGAAATCATGTGAAAATTACACAAATTGCCTTATTTCCCAAACCTCTTCATACTTTATGACACTACTCACATCTAGTTACTAACGCAGGGTCAGGTGGAGGCTAGCATTAGGACTAGGCATCTACAATGCTTGTTTTCAGAAGTCTTTGTCCCTTAAGATCTTTCTTTTATGTTTTATGAATAATTCTAATTCCATAATTTAAATATATTCATCTCTTCTGTGTTAGAATGAAAATACACGATGGGTAGTGATATGGTTTGGCTGTGTCTCCACCCAAATCTTGTCTAAATTGTAGCTATCGCAATTCCCATGTGTTGTGGGAGGGACCTGGTGTGAGGTAATTGAATCATGGGGGCAGGTCTTCCCTGTGCTGTTCTTGTGATAGTGAGTAAGTCTCAGAAGATTTGATGGTTTTATTTCCCTGAACACGCTTTCTTGCCTGCCACCATGTAAGTTGTGCCTTTGCTCCTCATTCACTTTCCACCATGATCGTGAGGCCTCCCCAGCCATGTAGAACTGTGAGTCAATTAACCCTCTTTCCTTTATAAGTTACACAGTCTTGGGTATATCTTTATTAGCAGCAAGAGAACAGACTAATACAGGTAGTATTTTAAAGGTAGTAAAAAGGAGTTTGATAGTCCTTTTCAAACTTATCTTTGAGGAGAGCATTTGATAGGAAGGAATGAATAAAGAGATTGTCTCCAAGGAAACCAAGAAAATAACAAGATGTAAGGTTTCTTCTCCTACCACTTCAACTTTCACTTATATAACAATAGAAACACATACATGCAACCACAGTACTGTTTGGGGGAAATAAAAATATATAATTAGATAATTAAGCAAATATATAGCAGAGCTCTGAAACAGTAAAGGAATTAAAAAGTGAACCAGCCGAAGAAGGCAAGTTTTTCAAGCCACTGAGAAACATAACACCTACTTATTGTATTTGTGGTCTTTAAAAAAATACATTATTTTCATCTTTATATTGTGACCCCCCTAATTTATTAAAAAAGAAAAAAAGACACACAATTCTTTCAAATACATGTCAAGCCATATTTAAAGATGTTATTTAATCTGTTGCCAGAGTATTAAAAAGTTCATTATTCTGACACCTAAAGTGTTCTGGCATAAATTAAAAATTTAACAGCTTTTCTCCAATAATTTCTTGACAGAATATTACATTTTACAAATAATACAATCCTGCCAAATATCTTTGAGGAAACAGCAAGGGGATTTAAATGTTCTACTTCTACAATTATTTGAATATGAAATGATTTTTAGTAGTAGTTGGAGATCTAATTGAGCGATGAACAGAAAAACCATTTCAGAACCACTTACCATTAATAGAATTGCACCTCCTTTATTGTAAAATATTACCCTCCACTTTATTTCTAAATAATTTATTCGATGTAGTTTTTGCCTAATATTTATGTTTATCCTCTTCATTATACCCTGTGTCATATGTTATTTTGACCGCATTTTCACTTCGTAATTCATCAGAGTTTGCACTAACGGAGAAAGGTGGTCATTAGGGACAGCCAAGAACTGTTCCTGCTGTATCTCTCTAGCTAGAGCCTAACTGCTCATGTTTTGTGCATTCCAGCCACCCTTTACTGTCCACTTAATTTCATATGTGAGTGATACGGTCGTGCTAGCAGATCAGAGAAGATAAACCTAAAACTATTTTGAATGTTTACAACTTGATAATCCAAATTGTACACAAAGGACTTGACTATCTTAATTAAGCAGATGAGCAGACTTTGCATGACAAAGGTAAAACACTGATTAATTGGAATGGCAGTCCTCATGTTCTTGCTCATGCAAGTCCCTCAACACCCTGCCAACCTCTGCCCCCACCACTGTCCCTTTTTAACCTCCAATATATATATACTCAATATTTTTATTACAGAGAAAGCAAATATTTGATGTTCTTTTAAGTTATGCATTTAAGGAACATACTAAATCTCTCTTATGGTCACTCTCTCTCTCTCTCTCTCTCTCACTATCACACATTCTCTCTCTCTTTCTCTCTCTCTCTGTCTCTCTCTGCTCTGTCCACTTTAGGCCTTAACCAGGGCTTGCGTAATAGCCATTCAGAACTAACTAGTCTGGGAAACTCTCTTTTCCCTCGGTGCCAGCCTCCAGCATGGGCCTGTCTCCCTGTCCCCCATGCTGTGGTGCCTCCAGCACGTTTGCCTTCCTGGCAGCATTTTCTATTCAGCATTCTCCCCACCCTGTCAAAACTTACTGCTGCTGTGCTTTAATCCCTCAAGGTGTTGTTCTTTGTTTATCTTATCCATAAATTCATGTGATAGGATGTAGAATCCATGACTGCTTCATATAGATAAACTATTTGTATTTTGGCAAGAGTTTATTAAATTTTACTCTCAAACATGGATAAATAGTTTATTTAGCTCTTCCAATCTTTTTCCCTGTAAAATTATGTTATTTCTTGAAACTAAGTATAGGCTCCCTTGAGGGAGTGCTTTTATTATTTTACTGTTTTTAAATTGCATACATTAAGCTTTATATTTTCACGCCTTTACACCTTATATGCTCAGAAGAGAAGTAAACTTTTCCAAGAAACAACTATTGGTAATAGACTTTTGCATCTCCCACATCATATAGCATGATGCTTTGGTGTACAAGACAACGAAAGAGCAATGGAGCAGGGAAAGGCTGAGCATCAGTTTCAGCTCCGCCTCTTCCTGTGTAACCCTGAACAAGCAAATCGCCCTGGAGCTTCACATTCCTCATCTGCAAAGCGAGTTTAATAGTGCCTTTACTAACTAACGGTGAGGTCAGATAGTCACAAATGTTTCCCTCTGTGCTCTGAAGACACTATGTCAACATAAGCCGAATTGATATAATAGATTCTCCATAAATCATTTAAGTTTTTGGAGGATAAGGTTAGCTAGTGGAACATTACACATGTACACTACACATGTACCTCTAAGTCAACTCTTTACAGATAAGGAAAGTGTGGTCTAAAAGAGAGTGAAAATGTATTTCAAGACAAGATACTAAGGCTTGACTGTGGTAGTTATTGCTCTCGATTACGTTTCATGCTCTCTCGATGAAATAACGTATTCCATTCTTGCCATGTTTTCACGGCCAGCAGAGTGTAGTTCCTTGCTTCTTTGGGCTTGGTCATGTGGCTTTCTTTAGCCAGTAGGATGTTAGCAAACTTAACATCAGCACAGGATTAAATGTAATTCTCAGTTTTGGTGTGATCCCTCTTGCTCTTATAATGTCCATGAGTTCATCATGTCTGGTAGGCATTATCCCTTCAGGTCAGAACCAGAATGAAAAGGTATAAGTATACCTGATGACTGGTGCCAAACCTAAAGATACTTCAATTGGATCACGTTAATATACCTTAAAACATAATTTCCACTTACCTTGTGATCTAAAAAACCTTAAGGCTACACTTTTGCACTTACATCGTAATTCACACTGTAGAATTGTTCATAATGTGGCTGAAAGGTAATATTGTAAGATAAGGCTATGTTTGTATTTATTTTTATTAAACATCTAATACTTCCATAGAAATTAATGCCATTTACTGTATATTATGCCAGTGGCTTTTAAAGTATTGCCACCAGGCGACAAAAATCAGACTCACTTGTATATTTATAGACATATAAAATATTGAGCCCCATTGCAGACACACTGAGACCAGAGCACCAGGGGTGAGTTCTGTAATTTGGTTTTAGCAAGCACTCAAGGTGATTTTGATGCATGCTAATGTTTAACCCTGTATTATATAACTATTTATTTAATTATTCCTTTACTACAACAGAAATTATGCCCACATGTTCCAATACAAATCATGGTTAGCACTATAATGTGTTCCTACTTCTTTTGTCTCCTGTAGATTCCTCACATAATTATTCTAACCTTCCAATTTTCTCCATTTCTCAATCTCATTCTATTACTCCATGCATCATGTGATCTCCTTTCAACTTTCATTGAGAATAAAAGGGAGTTCCTTTCTCTTCCAGGTTTGTCACTGAATATGTTACTTTTACTATACCTACTCTTTACTCTTTTCCTTCAATTATAGGAAAGGATTGTCATTTTTCTTTGTAAAACTCTATCTTTCCCAAGATTATACAGTTAATCCCTCTATGCAAGTGGCTAGTATATCCTCTTTTTCCCTTGTCTGTTCCTCCCAATTTGCAAATGTATAAAATGGGGAAAAATGATCCAGTCTGCTAACTTTCTAGCTACCAAGTCATCAGCACCCATTGCTTTAATATTTCACCATTGACTCAAAATTCTTTGCTATATAATGTCTATCCCTATTATGCTCTTGCAATTTTGAACAATCTCCACTGAGATTCCTGATGAAGATTATGGTCACTTTTAGTTTGCATTTTGCTAACCTTTTCTTAGGTTAGCAAAATTTTATTTTAATATGGTAGATTAATGTCATAATCTACCATATTATTTGAAAATATGGTAGATTGATTCCACTGATCGTCCGAATTAATGACTTCCCTATGTTGTGTCCTATCCAATGCGACTGAGACTGCTCCCATCAAGAGCCGAAGTCCATTTTCCCATCCCTTAAATCTAGGCTGGCCTTGTGACTCACTCTGACTAACAAAAGGTGGCAGAAGTGACAGTGTGCCAATTCTGAGTCAAAGCCTTAAGAAGCTTTGAACCCTTATGCTTGCTCTCTTATAATCCTGCCTCTACTATGAGAACAAGACTGTGCTATCTTGAGTGAGAAGTATGTGGAACTGAGACTGAGATGCTACTAGACTAGAGAGCTTTCAGCACACCCTCCATTTGGTTGCAGACATATGAGTGAGTCCAGCTGAATTATGGCAAAATGTGTCTAGACCAGCAGAGAGAGCAAGATGACTCTAGACTTTGGTAAAATAAGAAATGCGGCTGGGCGCGGTGGCTCACGCCCGTAATCCCAGCACGTTGGGAGGCTGAGGCGGGTGGATCACGAGGTCAGGAGATGGAGAGCATCCTGGCCAACATGGCGAAACCCCGTCTCTACTAAAAATACTAAAATTATCTGGGCGTGGAGGCAGGTGCCTGTAATCCCAGCTACTTGGGAGGCTGAGGCAGGAGAATTGCTTGAACCCATGAGGCAGAGGTTGCAGTGAGCCGAGACCATGCCATTGCACTCCAGCCTGGAGACAGAGTGAAACTCCGTCTCAAAAAAAAAAAAAAAAAAAAAAGAAAAGAAAAGAAAAGAAAAGAAAAGAAATGCTCATTATAAGCCATAAGTTTTAGTATAATTTATGATGCAAAAATAGCTGACTAATATGAAAATAAAACTATTTTCTATAGCATAATTCTTGGCCATAGTTGTCACTATCACTGTTTTTCCATCCCTGTAAACTGTTGTAACTTATTCCGCATATATTGAGCTGCCACCTCCTATATGAGTTTTGTTTTATAGCATCATCATTAGCCCTAAAGTCTTACTTAAACTCTAGCCTAGTGTAATGGAACTGCATTTAGATTATGGTCAGGGTCCAATAACAGGGCTTAAGGCAAATTTGCAGAGTCAACATCATCTTTGAAACTTTATTAGTTTTCCTACAGAAAATTCATGTTTTCATATGTAAAATGCTATATATTAATATGTAGGTATATATATATAATTATAGTAATATGCATGTTATCAAGAGCACATATCCCAGATAAAATTTTGTACGTCTTTTCAAATTTAATATATTTGAAATGGAACTTAATATTTTCTCCAAATACTCTGACTCCCTATATCCCTACAACCGTATTTTCTCATTTTTCACAATCATTTTCTAATCTTTAATCCATCTCGTATATTTACTTAGATATCTTTAATCTGCATTTCTACTGCCACCAGTCTAGTCTAGCTGTTATCACCTAACACCTGAATTATTGAATCTTTCATCAGGGATGAAGATAAAGCACGATCATCAAAACAGATCTTAGATTACACTGGAGAAATAGGTAGCATTTTGAATGACACTATCAGGATGCTATACTCCATTCTCTTTTCCTGAACACTGGAAAGTTAGCAATGAATTAAAACTCTCAAAAATAAACTTTATCAAGAATATATTTTTAAAAAGTGCACTTAATTTTTATAAACCTACTGTACAACTTATAATGTAAAAATCTAGCAAGAAGAAATAGAGATAGAAATAGTGATGAAGTTATAATGAAGGAAAAAATCAATGAGTGTATCTGGCTAACATATAGAATTTGTGTAGGGAAGCATTTGGAATATAAATTTTCACAGAGGTGACGTGACAAGATATTCAAGAGTCTTGAATGCTGGGCTAAAGACAGACAACTATTACATTATAATAGATGCTGCTAATTAATTTAAATAATTTTCTGGTGATATAATCTGATAATATTGAATAAAGCTTTGAGATACAGGGCAGGACCTAATGTTTCCTAGGCTAGATGCTGTTAAAAATTAAGTTGAAGGTATGATTCTTAATAATGGTACTTTTTGTAACATTTTCTCTTAGACATTTGACCATTGAACTAAATCTCATTACAGTCTCAATTTACATCCTGAAGTTTTTGGCCAATAACTAGTGTTTTTTGATACACGATATCTATTTCCTGAAAGTAATCCCTTATTTCTGTATTTATCCTCTATTCTCAATTCCTTGTAATCAACTTTTAGTTGATTTGGAGCATAGGTGGTGAGGCACATATTTAGATGGTGGTATTTTCCAGGAGGCCTTGGTACTTCAGCTGTTTTCCTCTTACACAGAATCTATCTCCTAAGAAACAGAAAGGGGAAACAGCTCTGTGGAGGATTCAAGTAACCTTCGACACCAAGGACAGTTGAAAGAGTTGATGCTAATAAACTATGGAAGATATGATTCACATTGAAAAAGAAGAGTTCTCAATGGGCTGCTGGGGAGAAAAGGAGTTACCTATTAGCAATTCAAAGAGAGCTTCCTATTATACAAATCTTTATATGTAGGTTAATTGCCTGCCAAGACTTCCTTTTAAATCAAAGTTAAAGTATGCAAGATCAATGCCACACAATGAAATGTCATTATTTTTGACTACCTGAAATGCTGCATAGAGATTTTGTACTGATTTTATTCCACTAGGGAGCTGTAAGTATTCTTTTATTTTATTGATTATTATTATTACGATTTTAATACTGAAAGGTTGATAGTAAAATGAGAAAAAAATTTCCGTAAGATTTACCATGTTTAAAACTGTCAAAATAAATTGTTTGATCAACAATTTTTTCTGATTGAAATATAATAAGTGGCTTTGGAAGAGTCAAAAGCAAAGTAAAAAATGGACCTGGAGGTGCAATTTTATTGTGATTCTTAATTTGAGGATGGTATGTTACAAAAACACTCACAACAGTCAGTCTCATCTCTTTGTTCCTTTCAGTTTTGCTTTTCTTTAGGAACTGGAACGAAGCCACATTTTTTTGTTGTTCACTTCCTGCACCATGCATTCCCCAGAAAGTAACGTTTTTTACTCACTATTAATCTACCAAAAAAGTAGGCATGACAGTTTCCATATCCCTTGCAAAATTCATGTACTCAGTTAACCCATGCCTCACTTGAATTTCATACCAGTAATTTTCCTTTCTTTCTTTAGTTAAGTTTCATTAGATGAATTGCCAGCGTAGATGTCTGGGCAGGTCAGATACCTTTCCCTTTAACTGTGAACTGAGCTTTAGATCTTTGTGATTTACAGTAAAAATGCTCAGTAATCAACCTTTGTAAAACATCATATTATACACCAAACTAATAATTTGTGCCATATGCCCTACTTAATTAGTTAGTTGTTTATTTTGATAATTAACTATTGGTTAATTTAGAGATAATTTCACTTTTTTTTCCTAACAGATGGGCTGGGTATATCACATATGCAGTGTATCAAAATATCTTGTCCATTTAAAAACAAGCTATTCTGAGCAATAATCTGATGCCAAGAAGAAAATATTGATAGTTTAACTTGACATTTAACAACATTCCAGAATTAAAGAAAATATCTTATACTTTTATTATTTTGCTTTTCTTAAAGTTGATACTATATTCTATGAATGATGAATAGTTTGAATGTGTTATTCTTCATTTTGTCACACTGCATCTACTAAGTTTAAAATTCTACTTTTTGAATTCTCCATCTGAATAGAAAATACAATGATCAAAATTGCTTTCTGCAATTTTTTGTCTTAAATTACATAGTAAAAATAAACCTGTTTTATATAAAACCAAATATAAGCACTGATGAAAGCAACATGTAAATAGGTATTTGTCTGTTATATGTGTATATTATGGATTAAAGAATAACTATATAAGAATTGGAAAAATTAAGAAATTAGAAGGAAGAAAGCACATAAACCCAAGAAACTCCTATAAGGCGATGAACAGAGAAGTGTTTTAAAATTATTTTATTATAAGGTAGATGAGGCTTTATTTTCAAACAATAAAGTTGAGTTTAATTTTAAATGCTTCCTTTAAATGTTTACTCGCTTAATCTCTTTTAGCAAGTTAAATTATGATAAGTCCTAGATGTTGCATTACAATCTGTTTATGTTATAGGAAGTTAAACGTATACACACATAAGCACACACACGTTTTTAAAAGTATCTCTGATAATATTCATAATTACATGGGGGTAAACATTATGGATCTGTTAAACTAAGAATACTTTATCTCAAAACATTCTGCTTTAAGAAAAGAATACATAAATCTCAGTCATCACTAAGGAAATCTCCGATACAGGAAAGTTATGCATCTTCTCTTCTTTTCTTACACGGGAAGGATGACAGAAAAAACTGCTGTCTGAAATTTCACTGATAGAATATTTTCAGTTTGATGATACTACACAAATTGCAATAATGTCTGAAAGTTAAAGTTAGCTGAATTTAAAGTTTCTGAATTTAAGTGTACCATGAAAAAGCTTTCTTGCCTGGAGTCATATGTTCAGAAGAATCTGTCTCAAATATGAATGAGAACAATTTTCATTCTTTAGGAATTTCACTATTTGTATTTCTTAAATTTGGACGCATGAAGTTAAATTTTAAAAATTGTAAACTAATGCATACTATGTCAATATTAGATGGCTTCAGTTATTTGAATCTTTCTGTATATATCTAATCCTGAATCCTATGTCTCCTTATGTGCAAATGTTATCACAAATGTTTGAAAATAGCTTTTTTTAGGAATGCAAATTCAAGAAGTTTATGACCATGGCGCCTGGAGCTGAAGAGTATGGTGTGGTATGTTGGTGAAGATAAACTCTTGCTAAACAGGATTTTTAAAAATAACTCAGTATCATCATTGTAATGTTACACTACTGCACAAAATATCTTCATGCCTTTATGTGTTATCTTTCCGCAAGACCAGCTAATCCTAAAGGCGACATAAAGCTTGCTGGATAAAAATGTGGAACCTGAGACTTTCATGCAATAATCAGTTGTGACCTTAAAACTTCTTGCTAACACCCCTAGGCTGAATGCTAGACTTCTGTAAAAGAAAGAAACTCTTTTAGTCTTCATGAATCAGTTGCTACCTGGTAGACATGGAATAAACAAAAATGACTTCACTGGCAGAATCACTCTCAGGGGAAAGAAAGTAACAAACAAACATTTAATAAAAAAACATACCTGGGAAGAAACAGAAAAACTCAATGGAGATAGTTTCAAGAAATACAAATCTTCAAATGGTATAGGCTATAATAAAAAGTCAACTTTTATACTGTAGATTTACAAAGAACAATCTAAATGCTCTCTACACATTTATATTATTTTCTCTTGAAAAACATTGAACAGGGCCTGATATTAAATTCAATCTGAATTTTTTGCTTTTGATAATTTTGGGAAAATAACGTAAAATTGTGAGGTCATCTTTATATTAGTCCTCAATATAGTAAGAAAAATAGCTCACTATCAAAATGCCTGGACACTACAATATTATAGTGATAGATTTTAACTGACTGTTTTTTACATGAACTACCTGAGTGCATTTTAATTAGAAACAGACATATCAGAATATGTGATTTAAACTAAAAAAACAAAAAATGGAAAACAACTTACTGTGAACGTCAGTTCGATAGAACTCTAGGGAGTTTTATTTGCCTACTAATCTATTTATATAAGTAATTTTTATTTTTGTACAAACTCAATGACTATGTAATGGGGAATTTAAAAACGGGGAAGAGGAAGGAAAATAAAATGTATAGATATTCTAATAATATTGAGGTTGTTCTATTCATAAACGGGAGAAGGAATAGCAAATTTGAAATTATGGAGTTTTTACCATCAACGTATAAAGTAAGGTCAAGCAATACTACGTAATTAGTTTTCAATGAGACTTGTATTCTTGGTCAGTTATTGTGCTAAATGCAAGACAATGAAAGATGACTGAGGGATGCTTGTTGTTCTCACATTGCAGTTGACAGGGCATTCAAGCAGAGGGCTAACATGGATGAAAGTGCAGATGCAAGACAGGGCAGCCCAGCCAGCAGACGGTAAAATACCCAGGGTAGCTTCACGCATTGGTTGTGAGATAAGAAACAATACTTCCAAATAAATGCTGCCTGTACTAAGATGAATAGATGAGAATTATGTCACAGAGCATTTTGAAGCCAGAAGCAGGATTGTGGGCTTTATTCCTCAGTGCAGTGGAGTACCCACACTCTACAGAATATGAAAGCTGATGCAGTGGGGCATTGAAAAGAAAAAACGATCCTAACTTATTGTTATTTTGCATCAAAAAAAAGAGAAGAAAATTAAGCTTCACTCTTATGTATTACAGAGATTTACAGTGACTTCTCAGCCAGGGATATGTCAGAATGGTGACTTGTCATATAGGAGAAGGCATAGCTCACTGGGGTAGAGTCACAATTTTGAGATGTAGAAGGGATGACAAAGTGGGCTTCTCCTTCATCTATTTGCTTTTAGCACTTTTTGAACTATTATAGTTTAGAGGCATCCAGGGAAGAGAACTTGGGATTACCATATTTAGTTTTAACTAAATTAAATCTCATAAAATGGCATGTGCATGAAAAGATTCTTACAAAGAAAGTACAGGTTGATGATAATACAAATCATGCCAGTATAAGTAAACCAGAAAATGACAGTAGCAAAAAATTTGTAGCAGTAACTATTATTAGTATTAGACTGAGCCCTTTGTCAACAACATTAAAAAATGAAAAACAAATGGCTATATAAAATTTTTAAAAGATTGTGTAAAGATTGATATTTAAAAGAAGACTTCACTTGCATGCATAATTTGTGTATATATATACATATATGCATGTTATATATAATATATAAAATATATACAAATATAGTACATATTGCATATGCATGTTTTTGAAATATTAGCTAATGTTAGTAAAATGCCATCATGGTTAGCAAGTCTTTTTAAAAAGGGCTTATTTCATGTTGATCATTGATTTTAAATTCCCGGTTACTTTTGTATATCTATTACCATACCCTTCAGTGCAAGGATACATTTACATATTTTGTAAATAAATATAAAACAAATATGTAATAAGTACTCAAATTTAAAAAATGTGTAATGAAAGGTAGTAAAAATAGTTGTTAAAGACTCTGTCTAGAAAATGGAAAGCCATTAGAGTAAAAGAACCAAATGTTTGAAACTTTGCAATAGCAATATTATTCTGGTTGCAGGTGCAGAAAAAATTAGAGTAGGATAATGGCTTTGAGAGACGCTGCCAGATCCGATTCAATGTGACCTTTCATGTGGACGGCCTTATGAGCTCCTTGCAAATAAATGCTATGTTCTTTTAAAATTTGTATACCCAGCAATTCTCACAGTGCTATAGGCACTGTGTGATATGGACCCATTGGAGGTGCCTGATGCGTATTTGTTAAACTGAATGGAATTCTCACAAACTAATTTCTTGGTTAAGCTATTAAAAGACTATTATCAATGTCATCTTTTGACTGATCTTTTATAGTGAAACTAAGATCTTCAATCTCTTTTCACAAAATATAATTGCTGCCATAATACTTGTACCCTTCTTTCTTACGCTAAAATTATCTATGTAACACATGACATATACTTGAGGTAAACTTAGAATGTAAGTGCTATGAAAGGGGAACATTCAATATTTATGCAACTACCCAAATAGAAAATTTGTTTTTTCATATAATTAAAAAGGGATAGAGATATCCTCATAGATAGAGCCAGGAATTCTACTGTTATAGTATCTCTCTCTCTCTCTCCCACCTCCTGTAATCAGCACCCCTGGGGATGGGTGTGAGGGGGGCAGGTAGAGAGGGGAATCAGTCTGTTGGAACATCTTCATTCATAATAAAATAATTCTGTGGTATAATAGATATCATCTCTCAAGTAGGAAAAAAACAATAAAATTTAAAAATAACGAATGAACTAGCATTGCAGAAAAAAAAAATCACTCTGGTCAGAACAGTTGGCCCTATAGTGAACTCCATGAGGCAGGCACATGGAAGCCCACTTTAGACTGAGCTAAATGATATACATATGCACAGGTAATATAAATAAAACTAGGCACCTAGGTTCAGAGTTTTAAACTTCTAGTCTGCTTTATGCTCTGAATATACAGAGAGAAACTATATTGTGTGGAATAATTAGGATTCTTCTCCATCTAGACTAATCCAAACATACCAGTTATAATTTCAGATACCTGAGACAGAGACAGAGCAACAACAATCCCCAAACCTCATGTATGATGGGTATATATTTTGTCCCACAGTTAGAACCAAAGGCCAGATAAATCTTTAAAAATTAAAAACAACGTATTTGTTAATGCCAGCATAATTTTAAAGAGAGGAAAAAAGTAAACTTCATAAAGGTCTAACAATAGAATGATGTGTAAGTATGCCACTAGCTAAATTAATAATAAAATTAATTATATATTTAGTATGATTTCAAGTATACTCTAAAATTTGGATGGGAGCAAGATTTCTTCGAATATAACTTTTGACTTTTGTATGATGTAAACCTTTTCCATATTAAAAATAATGCTCAATAAAATAGAATAAAAAACTAACCCTGAATTTGAATTTAAGTAAGAAACAAACCTAACTACACATAAAATGAATAATATAACTATAAAGAAAAAAATTATGTAATATGAGCAAAGAATTCTGACTGTACACCTTTCACAGCATAGCTTCTATAGACAAAAAGAAGTGCAAAGAAATATTAAACTTCACTTGGTAGGTTTCTTGTTGTCAGCAGTGATTCTTTGTGTGCGTTGCAGGGTAGCACAAATAAATATATATTAGTATGGTTGAGAAACGAGATTCTCACTATGGGAAAGGGACCTACAAATATGGAATTGAGGAAAGAGGAAATAGAAAATATTAATCAACAAGAAAACACAAAATAACTAATCTGATTTGTAATAATAAGATTCAAAAAGAGAACAAAACAGAGTTTTGCTAATACATGAGGCAGAATCAGCCATCAGGATTGGTCACTGTGAAGAGGCAACTTTGGCAGTGAGCTCTGAATATCTAAGTGGAACCATCCATGATCCAATTTTGGAGAATAATGCACTGGATAGAGGAAAGAGCAAATATAGGAACAAACTTGTCACATGTGAAGTTTATATGTAACTAGTTTGTTGGAAACATAGTCCTGGAAGCTGTGTTTGAAAAAAAACAGGTGTGGTCCAGGTTAGAGTCCTATGGCCAAAGGAAGAGTTTGGAGTTTTCATCTGAGTGAAACAAGATGCTTGGGACAGATTTAAACAGGGAAATGATGTGATTTCATTTATGTTTTTTAAGAATCATTTTGGTTTCTGTGTGAGGAGTGGATGATACTCAGAGCACAAGTGTGGATTAGGATGATAATAATGATGATGTAAAGAGGTGAACTAATCTGGAATTATTTTAGAGATACAGTCAAATAATATCTACTGATAGATTTGATGGGAGAGAATAAGAAATATCAATAAAAAATTCTATATTTTTTAACTTAAGTCAAAGATGAATGGAAGGGCTGAATACTGGTATGGGAAAGACAAGGGGAGGACCAGACTGAGAAGGAGCAGTGGGAAAATAAAATATTTTATACGGTCTGTGTAGTGCTTGAAATGCCTATTTTATATTCCACTGAGATTAAATAGGATACCGGCTCTGAAACAACAACAACAACAAAGGAGGAAAAAAAAATCCAGAGCTAGGGATATAAGATTGGGAGTTAGAGATATATCAAAGACATGGATTAGCAAGTGACTCTACAAGCTCATTTAGAGAAAGATTGCAGAGGACAGAAAACAAGCTTCAAGCTCAGGAGGCACACCAACATTTAGACACCAGAAAAAAAAGAAGACATATGAAAAGGATATTAAAGAATAGCTGACAAGGTAGGAAGAAAACTAGGTGTGTGTGGTGTGACGTCATGGAAGCCAAGAGATGAATACGTTTTAGGGAATGGACCAGTGTCCAGTGATGCTGAGCAGCCTTAGTAAGAGGCAAACAAAGAAGTGATCTGCATTCAACAAAATGAAGATGGCTGAGGCTTATATGGGTGCATACACACCTAGGCAGAGGGAAATGGTGAAGGGAGGAGACAGAGGAGTCTGAGGAGATAGAGGAGATTGGGAATGTGGGAAATCAAACTTAGGAGAAAAATGTAGTAAAAATTGGCAGCCAAATTTGAGTACATATTTACCCTACTCACAAAGCAGTATTTTTAGTTTGGGCATGAACAGGGAATGAATGAGAGCACGGTAACTGAACAGCTGTGTTATGAAGACCTAAAATAGGATATGTTTAAGAATGGAGATGAAAGAAGAACGCTTTAAGAATACCCCAAAGCACTGCTTTAACAATTAGCATAGTTCTTAATGAGTTGTTAAAAACACTGGCCAAGGATGGTGGCTCATGCCTGTAATCCCAGCACTTTGGGAAGCCGAGGCTATGAGAAGATTCCTTGAGTCCCAGTCTGGGTAATATAGCAGGACCCTGTCTCTACCAAAAAAAAAAAAAAAAAAAATTTGGCCAAGTGTGGTGACATCTGCCTGTACTCCCAGCTACCGAGGAGGCTGAGGCAGGAGGATCCCATGAGCCCAAGAGTTGGAGGCTATAGTGAGCTATGATCATACCACTACACTCCAGTCTGGGCAACAGACTGAGACTCCATCTCAAATAAAACAAAAAACAAAACCATAAACGAAAACATAATACAAATTCCATGCTGGTCCTAACACAGACGGAACAACTCTATACACATTATTTTTACAATTTTTAAAAAATCAATGTTGAACTTATTTTGTACTCTAATAAATAGTACAAAGCATGCCAGGCTCAGCAGATGGTGACTCCTAATTCAATTATAAAGTAAGAAATAGTATGTGTTTTGGCCAATCAGCAACTCCCACAAACCTCCCACTTCCCCATCTCCATCCCAACACTATCTTTTATCTCAATAGCTCAGCCTAGAAAAGCAAAGATGTGAAATTTTCAGTATAACATACAGAGATATCTATGTGAATTGTATATAGTATTCCCTCTAATTCAAGTTATGCATTTTTATAGTATGAATTTTATCGCTGATTTTATCACTAGGGGATAAAAGCAACTGAAATATACTGTTATAGCCACTAGATACAAGTAAAAATTACTTGATAAAATTATCATAATTGTTTTTCTCTATTTTATTATATATTCACATTGGTGCTTCAGCCTTGGTTCAAACAAAGTTCTTATGATAAGATGAAATCAACAGTCAAATGAACTATAGTTCCCAAAAGACAAATCTACAAGTATCACTTCTCCCTCGATTTGTATCCAAATTACTGAGACTTTCGAATTGGTATGTCCAGATATAAAGACGTGATGCCTTCTAGTTTAAGACGAAATCATTATAAAGAAGTCAAGAACAGTGGACCAGAAGTCCAGATCTCTTTTGTTCAGAATTCCTCTTGAAAGGGGGAAAAAAGTGGAGCTGAAGGAAATGGTCCAAATCTCATTTTCACTCAAGGAAGGGATCCTCTGAGAATGTGTCAGAGAAGCAACCACGGAATGGACATTCAAACCATCTGGCACATACCTGCCAACAACTGAAATGGGCAACCTCAATGTGTCCCTCATTGCTTCACCAAATAAGGTGGACAACCAGACCTCCTCAGTCGAGAAAACATTTTGTGTATTAGTGTTTTATTTGAAGATTAAAGCTTGCAGAACAAGCTACTTTTAGTAAGAAATGAGTACCAGTTTTGAAGAGAATGTTATATGGCAAGTAATTACAAGGTCAGATGGAGTCTATTTCTGTAATAAAATTCTCTTGACGGCACCCATGGAGAAAAATGTCAAGGCAGGAATGATAGGAACTGCATATAGGCTTTACACACTAGATTATTTGAATGGGTTTTTACCTTCAGGGAGATCAATATTCCAAACGCAGGTGGCATTATTCTACAATAGACAATGCATTAACAATATTATAGGTTTTAAATGCAAAAAATACACTTGTGCAGCATGACTAAGTAAAAGGTCTCAGGTGAAACCCCAATGACTAGGACCTATTACATCACCCAACTAATATTTTCCTGTGGTTCTCCTCTGGGGCAATAAAAGAAACTTCATTTTTTCACAGGCAGAGATAGTATATCATCAAATAAAACAATGAACATCCTAAGAAAATACTGCAGATTATTTAAAAAGCTATAACTGGAAGAAACATTAGAAATCACTCAGCCCAAACCACTCATTTTACAAGCAAGAATATTGAGATTTCAAGAAATTAAATGAGTTGCCCAAGGTCACAAATTATGAAGAGCTGTCAGTGTTAGGCCTAACCTAGTCAAATCTGGAAAAGTCTCTTCCTTTCCCTTTGAAACATAATCCACTCCACTCTTCCAAATATACTTTGTCTCTTTCTTCTCTTTCAGTGTCTACTGTGACAAATCATTCAAGACCTTTCCTCTCTATCCAGGAATCCTCAAGTCACTGGCACACTGGGCCTGCCTTCCATACTTGTCCATCTATCATTTGGTCATAGGTAGAACTAATAAGCCTTTTCAATGCCATTGAGCCTACTTGATGCAATAAATTAGAAATGGATGAATGCTGGTGTAGAACAATATAGCTTTTATACTGTGGGGGTTGCATGGGTGTTGGAGGAATATTAATTTTAGCAATCTCCTACTGAAGAGGATATCATTCTTCAATAACTCAAAGGAGTATTCGGTAATTTGAGCCCAAACTCTTCACCACTGTATGCTGGTTACTACTCTTCATGGTTGAGAAATAGCCAGCATTCAGTACTTAAAAGAATAGACTATAAATTAATCTGTGTAGTTTGAATCAAGGTTTTACTTTTCACTAGCAGTGATCTTGGAAAAGTTGTTCAATGACTTTGTGCATCAGCTTCTACCTCTGATTCCACATCCTGGAATCTTCAGAAGAGAAAATATCAACATTTTTGAGAATGGGTGAAGATCTCTATGGAATAGACACAATAAGGAAAGAGACAGGCCCAATGACCTGCTAAGTCATTCTTCACAAGTGGCAGAAACTGGAGGAGAGCTGAGAAGAAAGGAGTGATTGTTATAAAGGGGGCTATGCTTCACTGCAGCCTTATTATAAAGAGCATGTCTTTATAACAGGTAATAGAAGTATGTGTTAAAATATTCTATAATCAATAAGAAAGAGAAGGAAAAATACTGTCAGCTTTGATGGATGGATACTTGATTTCAAATTTAGTAGGCAGGGAACCCGAACATCTGAATAACATCTGTGAAGACGGGGCCAGGCTTATGATAGAAACTTAAGTGAATAGAAAAAAAGAATCCTGCAGTGTGTATAAAACCGAGTGCTCCAGAGTGTTGCAGGGGAAAGAAAGAAACGACATGACAATGAATGGTGACTCTGAAGATTTAGCTTTCCCTTAGTATCACAAAAAGAGGATTGGGAATATTTGATGAAGCAAATCAAGAGAAATCAGTTGGCAATAAGCCCCCTGCTTTGGTATAGAATCCAGCATAAAAGAAAAAAAAAGATTTTGAAAAAAAAACTGGCACATAAGAGAAATTTTCAGGTCAGAAAAGAGTAGACTAGTTTGTATGTGAGGAGAAGCTAAGGATGTTCAGTACAAATGCTTTCACCATTTGATCTGACATATTCACTTAAAAATGTGGTAAGATCAATTGATTTTTACTGAAAGCACAAATAAACTAAGAAAACTTTAGTAAGTCACTTAAACGTCTTCAAAATACCTACTTGTTACTACAGGGCTCCTTAAAAGAATAAAGTAAATTGAATTTAAAAAATCAAATAGAATAATGTATAGTAATTACTATATGTGCATTCTGAATTATATATATTTATATATAAACACAATATATAGGCAAGTGGAAAACAGTAACATATATACAGATATAGATATAAATATAGATACATGTATTCTTTCACATCAGTAATTTTTGAAAATATGGAAGCGACTGTATAGGAAGATATAAGAGTATTGTGCTTCTATTCCATATGCATTTTTTATATTGTTGATGAGAACACAATTTAATAATCTAAATATAGATTCTTCTTAATAGAGTGAATGAAACTATTATTGAACTTCCTATTCTTGATGAAAATTCAACCTGTCATCGCCTTTAAGGATGTAAATAGGCAGGTACTAGTGAGTGTTAAAACAAAATAAAATGTTTTAAAATTGGGATCACAATCCTAATCAGTTAATTCAGTTGATGTTATTCTAATATATATGTTTTGATATACAAATTCTATTTTATTAGGGTAACACACATAAAATTCACAGAATGTGGCTTTATGGAGGCACAAAATTTAATTTTACCTATATTAATTATTTCTGGAAGAACTTATGGAGTCTAGATCAGTAGACCATCATTTTCAATATTTAATAGTTAAAACAGTGAGACCGGCCGGGCGCGGTGGCTCACGCCTGTAATCCCAGCACTTTGGGAGGCCGAGGCGGGCGGATCACGAGGTCAGGAGATCAAGACCATCCTGGCTAACATGGTGCAACCCCGTCTCCACTAAAAATACAAAAAATTCTCCGGGCGTGGTGGCGGCACCTGTGGTCCCAGCTACTCAGGAAGCTGAGGCAGGAGAATGGAGTGAACCCGGGAGGCAGAGCTTGCAGTGAGCCGAGATCCCGCCACTGTACTCCAGCCTGGGCGATAGAGCAAGACTCCGTCTCAAAAAAAAAAAAAAAAAAAAAAGAAAGAAAGAAAGAAAGAAAGAACATTTCAGTGCCTTTTATTAGATTTTAAAAGCAGTACTCTTTGAAGTCTTGGCATCCTAGGTCTTCATATTTTTAGGACAATTTTCCCATCTAATGAGAGTGCCAATGAAACAAAATTTATATGTAGAAATTTCTGAAAAATATTTACATGTTTTTGAAGTATAACATTTACTATGGTCATTGTAGAAAGTTGGAAGATATGAAGAAGAAAGTAAAAATTTCTAAAAATTGTAACTGCTATTAGTATCTATGTGTATTTACTTTGAATATTTGTATCCTACGGATACACATATATTTCTATCAGTTTATAGTGGAGATTATACTAAATACAAATTTTCCCACCTAAATTTTTCATGACAGTATGTGTTTCCTAAATTATTTTTAAAAACTTTCATAAAGACCTCTTTATTTGCTGTTAAGACACTATCTTAGTGTTACGTTCTAATTTATATAACTAACCCTCTCTCAATGGATACACAGTTTTTTTCTGATTTTCCAATATTATAAATATATTATGATTAACATATAAAGCTGAAGTCTACACATGACTTTGCATTGGAAATGCTATAATATTTTGGTGTCAGTTTCTAAGGAAGGACATGGAAGGGATGAATTACCATCTGAGTGAACTATAAGAATTTGCAAAGTTTGTTTTGAGATACCTCTTTGGCAAAATGAATATAAAATCATAATAATCTTAATAACCCTATAATTTCTTATAAAAGCTCTCAAGTATTTTTGTTATTAACTTGAGGAATAAACAATATTTCTATCTGAATGCAGGGGCTTTAATGTAAAACCAAGGAACAGCAGTATGGTGTTTAAAAGAACAACTTTTAATAAAATTGGAGTACTATGGTGAGAACAAAGAAACAAGACACTTGTGTTACACATATTTGAGGTTTTTGATAGTAAGTGAAAGCCTTAACGATAACTAATATTTTTTCATCTTCCAAAGAAAAATTTCCTGAATTTTAACATCTTTTGATATATTCTATACTAGGGTGACATTGGGAAGTATAAGTTATTAGTGAAAACTACTCTAAAAGGACTGTATGCTAACAATTCTTTATATCATGAAAGAAACATTTTAATTAGAAAAACATTAAAAAAAAGTACCTTCGTCTCCATTTGTAAAATAAAGGTATTGGTCAAAATTTAGCAACATTGTTATCTTCCAGTTCAAAAGAGTATCAGATACTCTATTAGGAAAAGAAGTCATAATTACATTATGTAACGACAGTTATCTTGTTTTATATTTTAAATAAGAATAAATGAAGGAAAAGTAAGGATACACAGCCTGGCATATTTTAGATCCATTGTAAATGTTAGCTGAGTACAACTGTAAAATGAGTCAAAAGTTTCTTTAATCTACAGGTTTCATCTGCTTTGTAGTTATGTATATACTTGGCCATGGTAAACCATTTAGTTTTATTCCACTACTTGAAACAGAGTGAGTTACATAGATGATTGACAGGTTGATTTTGGCTTTCTAAAATTTAAAAACTTTGCCTTTTTCAAACTTCTAAAATTATTTGTCATAAACACAGCTCATGCATACATTCACAATAAAATTACCGAGAATGTTCCTTAAAGGAAAACCAAATCAAAACTCACAGGGAATTTATTTAAGATTTAAAAATCCTTCTATATTTAGTCTATCTGTCATTCATTGAAAATATTCCCTGGATACTAAAACGTGAAAAATATACTCTTTGAATAATAGACTAAAATAGCTATCTAATGAAATAGCAATATATTCAAATTAGTGTGTAAAAGTATTTCTAGTTTATAAAACTTTAAAAAGTGTTTTGGAAGACTTGCAGATATGTGTATATATAAAATTAATAAGTATATATATACACTTAATAATCATATATATTTAATAATCATATATATATATGCTGTTTTCTATGATTAAGTAGACTACATCTAAGACTACAGCTAAATTTGCTCTTCAGAAGCCAGACACATTGCTTAACTGTCTTGTCTTGCTGCAATGATCAATACATTTTTCCAGTCAGTAAACATCTCAGCATCTGTCGTATTGGACAAAGCTTTTCCAGGATGCTCTAGTTCTGGCAAAGCATCTAAAAAGAATCAGCACACTGGAGGAACAAAGTTCACGAAGGACAGCTTTAGTTCAGTGATGAGACACAATCTATTAGACAAAAGATCTTCACTTATTCAAGTAATAAAAATTAGTAATTTTGCCTTAAATTCAAAACAAGCAACTAAACACATAAGCAGACCATCGATCACACCAATTAACTACAACCTATGCAACCGATAAGCCTGGGATATAGTACACTTGACTAAGCAATGAAACCCCCAAAACATTTATAAAGTACAAAAGCCACATGCCAGGCAATTAATGATAATAAAGTTTTGACCAAAGGCTCGCTAGTTAAATCTCAGCCCTATCACTTTTAACAATGTGCTTTTGCATTAAGCTACTTAACCTCTCTGTCTCTCATATTATTCATCTGTAAAATGAGAACCACTCCTGGGTTTACTGAAAAACTAAAAACATTAAAAATAAATTGTTTGCAATAGAGCCTGGTGCAGATTGAGCACTTAAGAAAAAATTTAAAAAATCATATGTAGTTAGCTACTAGCAGTTAGTTAGAAAGAAAATATTTCTATTCTTCTTTACAATATTAGTTTTTAATTATTAATTATCCATTGTCAAATTGCCACCTAATAGTGCTAAAACAAGATTTTTAAAACTTTTTTTCAATCATGTAATTTCTGCAATTTGAAGAATCAAGAGATGTCTGCCCTGTTCTCTGATTCTTATTCTGGTTTGGTCTCAACACACCCTTATATTGCATTCTTTGTTACCCTCAAAATAAAATACATATGTAATAAGCTATCACATAATTTAATATACAGAAATATATACATACTAATATGTTCACTGAAAAATGAAAAGAAAGTGAATTACACTAAAATCATGTCGATTTTAATATATAATTCTTAGACTTTTATATATTGAAGACATAATGAAATAGACATTTGGACTTCCACGTGAAATCACTGTGAACATGACCTTTACAGATGGAGGCTGATACTGATATAGGTGTGTAGTATTATTGAGTCCAACACCAAAAGCCACACTTTCCTCTGTGATGTGACTTCTGAGCAAACTAAAGTATAATCTCTCTTTCATAAGGTAGTTGTATAGCAAGAATTACTATAAAAAACTGGAATTAGCTTCTAGGCTCAGTTAATGACAGAATTTTTGCCTACATGAATTCTCAGTGGGACAGTTGGAAGTTTTCATTCAGAAGAGCCCTATGTACTGCAGTACATAAAGCTTCCCTGGTCTCTACCAACTAAATGTTGGTGGCAATTTCTCTCCGGTAATTACAAAAACCAAATGACCCTGCAGGTTTCCAAAATAACCCTAAAAGTACTGATTCTCAACTTTTTTAAAAAAGGTTATTATTAGTGCCACCCCTAAGGAGACTTTTAGACATTTTTATGTTAATCACACTCTCTCAGATGTTATGTTAATGGCACAGACACACTGTGCTTTATACATAAAAAGTATGTTTTTTTTTTCACCCCACATGATCAAATTTTCTTCCTTTTGAGGGCATAAGAGAGTGAATGCCTGTCTTAAGGGGACTAGACAGCCTCCATTGAGAAACAAGGATTATGCTGAGAAATAGAATAGGTCATAGGGCCAGAGTCCTGTCCGGCATGCATAGCTGGGGGCTTCAGATCAATAGCAGATTCCTTGGTCCCTTACTATGTATGCTTGCAGCTCCTCTGAGGCAGCAGTAAGGAGAGAAATGTGAGAAGTCATAAGTCTGTGTAGATACAAAACAAGAGCAGTCCTAAAGAGTCATAGTCAGATCATATCAGTGTTTAATCCACTAAATCTACTCAAACTCCTGCAAGTTGCTTCCCATTCCATCCAGATTAAAATCTCAATCCCTTATATTGGTCTATAAGGCCCTACGTGACCGGCTGCCCCCCGACCTCCCACTGACTTCTGAACAAGCTGACTTCTGGACACCCTCCCATAATCATGCCAAGTACACTGTTAATATCTAACCCTTTGCATTTACTGTGCCCACTCTTTGGAACACTTTTCCTCTGATTCCTCTGATATATCACTACTCCCTCATTTCTTACAGATTTGCTAATTTGTTCAATGGATACATATATACTGATTAAGCCTGTATTTAAAAATCAAAAGCGATCATGCCCATTCTGGCACAGACATGTTTACTTATCTGCCATAATATTTTAAACTACTTATAAACTGAAAAATGACCACATATCTCACACTCCATAAAATTTCCTTAAAAACATCAAGATTGTTTTTAATAGGAAGAAAAAACCTGATGCTTTCAGGTTGACAGAAGAGCATGGGCTCATTGCGTTGAGCGTAAATGAAAGCTGTTTCATATTTTCCCACTTGTAGACATTTATATATATGCATATAAACATAACTATGAAATACACTGAGATTGTTCTTAATTCTTAAAATTGTGATAGAATTTTTATAGGTGTTTTCCAAACATGATCCAAAAATGACATTAAAGACTGACATTGCTGATTCGCTCACACTAGACCCTTGTGTAGCAAAAGAGAACTCACAGTGCTTAGGTTTATTGGGTGCACATTTACCTCTGGTTTTATATTTAATTACTCATTCAGAAACGCTTGCTGTGTTCTGATCAGTCCTCTGAATTATGTCACCAAATGTAAATTTACTTCAAAATATGGTAAATGTGAGTTCTCAGCCAAACTATTAAATTAGAAAAATACTGCAATCAGCTAAAATAAATTCAAAGCTGTTTGCATTATTTCCTAGACATAAAAACTAGAGTGTTCAAATATTTTTCCAAGTTTTTCTATCAATTTCCTGAGTCACTCCATAAAAGATACATATATAACAACCCCCACAACACACACACACTTACGCACACCAAGTTGCACATTTAACAAATGCTAATATAAGGGAAACATGTTCTAATTGCATTATTTTTGGCAGATACATGACAAATTTAGCGTATGGATTCCCAAAATTACCCTCCCATTTCAAGTTCTTCTCTATGAAAGCATTTTACATTTCCCCCCATCACGCAAATCATGTGCACTTCTACTTTGAAGGCTTCAGTTTAAAAACCTAAATGCAAATTTTCATAACAAGGGTAATTTTTAATTTTTCTTTTTACGTATTGATAATAAGTTAGCTGTCAAGGATGATGGTTTGATTTGAAGTCTGTGTATTAGAATGTGATATGTCATTTATACAGCAAGACTTTCATATTGAGGAAAATGTCCATTCTAAATAATGCATGTCCTAAATTCATAAGTAGATTATATTAGGAGGAGATATAAAGGCTCTATTTGTTCTTTTTAAAAATCAGTATTGGAATTTTGATTAATTGGTTAATTGATGTATATATGTGTAAATGGATGGGTTTTATTAAATACGTCAATAATTTAGTAAAAACAATTCTAAGATACCCTCTTATATTTCTGTAGGATTTTTGGACTTGTTCATCTCAAATAAATAATTTTAACTTTAGAAATTCATTTGATGTAAGGAGAGGAAACAGCACCATTAAAAATTACTAATTACTGAATATTTATTGACTTTGCAAAGCATATATAAAAGTCAAGGCAATATAAATATATATCTATATACTGATATCTATATGTATACCCATATTTAAATTTGAGATAAAGAAAATTCAAATTGGGTTATTAGTTTAAAAGTTGGCCATTTGGAAATTATTATCCTTTAATTCAGTAAACCAGAGTAGGTAAATTATTCCTAAGAATTACTGATTTTTTTAAAAAAAAATTAGCTCTAATTTCCCCAAGCTGTTTTTGGAATATCTGTCCAGTCATTCATTAGGTAATTCATTATTTATTTATTAAGGATCTAAGACGTGTGGCTAATTTGGGTTTTAATATGAAGTTGCTACAGTTAGCTAAAATTTAAAGGCCAAAATATGTAAGAATTGGTATTCAGTCCTCTACATTTTGCTGATTGAACCACTCAAAGTATTCTGAGGGTAGACATTATAAAAGTGAATTGGGTCTGCTTTTTCTCTCATGAATAATATTTAATAATAAATGAGGGAAAATTAAGTCCTTTGGGAATGGCTAATGTCACATACATGATTTTAGATGATGAAGAGGAAGGGATAGGGCTTCTTAAGTTGGAAGCATTTTAATTAAGTTTTTGAAAGAGTTTAAGTGATTTTAAATACTACTGAACATCCAATATGTATTCGTAAACACAAATTTGTAAACGCAATGCAGAACAATCATAAATCAGAGATCAGTGTACTAACTATGCTTCTTAATCATCAGTGTCAGAAAAAGGAGGAGGATTATAAATACAGGTACTCTGCCAATAAAAATCAAAGAATCTTCAAAAATTTCTAACACTTAAAATAAAAATATATTATATAACCATAAAAATAAAATGAACTCTTGGCAAAGACAGCACTGAAATTTCTCTAGGTTTCTTCAATATTTTATCCTGATATTTATGAGTGTTTAAGTGCTCTTTCAAGTTATTTTTTCAGAAAGAAACAATACTTCATGGTTACACGTACAGTAGTGTGTGTGCTTATGTAACATTGGTAACTGCTTACTAATTTAAATTTGTTAAACGCATTTTGATTCTTTTTTATTTTTTGATTACTTGATATATAAGCTACTGTTCAGTGTGTTTTTTTAAGCTTTGAGAACGTAAATCTCAAAATACAACGTAATTTTCTCTGCACTTATCATGGTATCATATGATTTATGTGAGAATTAGAAAAAATAAACACAAATAATAAATTTGTGACTCGATTTGAATTAGATTTTTTCAATTTGGAGATAAGTTCTGATTCCATTAAAAATATATTCCCTAATCTTTTATCAACCTGCCTGTTGGTAAAAGACACTTATTATTACAGACAATAATAGATACATATCATCATTCTTTCATTGCTATGTTTAAGTTACATTTCCCCATTGCATACTGTGAGGTGGATTCTGTACCAACAAAGCAATATGCTTTCAAGAAACAGCTATCTTCCTGTTGGTAAATAACGCAGGCAAGTATATGCAATAAATAAAGAGGCATTTTGAGGGGAAGGAAAACTTAATAATTACAGCACTAATAATAATAAGTACCCCAAACAAAGTCACCGGTATTTGAACACATGTGCTCACTCTTTATGGACACTGGGGTAAATCTTTACAATTTGTGTGAGAGAACATATTGCTATCTCCATTTAACAGGTAAAAACAGAGACCCAGAGAGATCATGCCAGTTCTCACAACATATGCATGGAAGAGTTGGGTTTGGATCTCAGTATTTCTGCCTCCAGGGTGCCTACTCTTATAGTCTTCATATGACAGAATGCTTTTGAAACACATTGGAAACTTTTTAATTGTTTTCTCCAAAATTAGATTTGGGGTTAGCTTGACCCATTACTTTTCACTAGAAATAATTTTGATGATTATTTTTATGAAGCCTTTATTTATAGTATAAGAAATTTCTTTAGCAGTGAATGGTGAAATTTCTGGTGGAGATTTCTGGTGGAACTCATCGTCTTCTTCCCCACAAACTTTTTTCAGTTTATCATAGAGTAGCTACATTGCTACTGTATGGTAAACTGCTTAATTAAGTGACTCAGGATAATGGGCTGTCAAAGTGTCTTCAAATTATCCACTCATTCTCTCTTAATCCACTTCTCAAATATACAGTTTTATATCACAAAAAACCTCCCACCCTCTGTTTCTGTTTTTCTCAGGCAAGAAAAAATGCTGTAACAAGGCTCGATATTTTAATGCTAGTAACTTTTTGGATTATTTTCTTTATGATAAAAATGAGAGATGAACCAAGACTACACTACTGTTAAGTCTGCTCAGCATTTTCTTGTATTAATTAAACAACAGCAAACTGACATATAGTGTAAAATCTTAATGGAGAAAGTGTTAAACAAATTCAAAGAAAAAAAGTGGCTACTTGGGCAGGGATTTTGGACAAGTTATAGCAGTGATATATTCATCACCATATTTCCTCAGACACACTGTTCTACATCATTATGCTGTCCAAAACTAACTGAGTTCTAACACATAAATTTTTAACAGTTCTGTAACGTAGGAACAATTTCAAATGGCAAATAATAGGTAGTTTCTAAGAAGGACTAAAGAACAGTAAAATTGGACATCGTTTCTTTTTCAAAGACATTGTATTCTTAGGTGTGGTTTTACCCTACTTTTGGGGATTAATTTTTATGAGTTCAAATCACTAATTTTAAAATCAAAGTCAGTTGGAAAATAGTGATTTTCCAGAAATAAACTACATAGTCAAATTTGTTGGATTACATGAGTATCGTGAGAAAACCAAACAAAACAAAAAGAAAAAAAATGATGTAGACTCCATTTCTTTCAGTATGAAATATTTGTTAGAATGAAAAAGTTACAATGGAAATAATGATATGGGAGATGCTTGAAACCATCATGATGGTATCATTTGGAGCCATCTCTCTGTGGCAGAAGCTGGGATGAATGCTGGATTTATTTCAGTTATGTTCATCCTATTAGATTACTCAGAGGCTCATAATATCTATACACATTTAATTTCCATCACTTTTATAAAAATAAAATCAAAGTTGCTGTTGCTTTTCACTGTTTTGAAATCATGCTTCTGTAGAGTTTTAACCTTTCCATATGGAATGATTGAGAATGGATTACCTGAAAAATTGCTTTTCTATTCATGTGTATGACAGCTGAGTTCAGCTGTTTTCTTAAGCATCTATGGAACAGCTGAACACTTTCTCCTGGTTCCCAGATTTGAAGCTAGGGGACTTGAGGCAACAAAGTTACACTGGAATGTATATGATCAACAAAGTTACACTGGAATGTATATTATCAAGGCATTTACTTTTCCTTCATCTGCTGCAGCTTTAAGTTGTTTGTGGGACAGTTATGGGTAAAAATCAACTATGCCTCCTGTCCTTTGTACATATGGGTGTATATATTAACACAACTATATCCACCATAATTGCATATTAGAGAACCAGTGCAGTACAAAATAGGTAAGCTCCAAATTTCAATCTTGGTCTTAGAAACTTAACTATAAAGTTCTTATCTGTCATCTGGCATTTGTATTCACCCTGAGACGACAAGCATAGCAATGTGAAGAAATGCAAGAAAACAAAGTTGCTTTTATGTGTTAAGAGCAAATAAGACGATTTGGTGCCATGCACTGAAGGCCACTCATGTTCTGCCATCAGTTAAACCTGGTTTTCTGAACAATCAAGCATTAACCAAATGGAAAGAGACATAGGATGAATAAGCCTGTGTTGCTTTAGTGCAAAGGACAGTGTTACTATAATAATTTTATTGTCTATAAAGCATATACTTACCATGGCCATTAAAAAACTAGATTATAATTAAATTATTGGAATTTTAAAAATATTTAGTAAATATTCAAAGGCCTCAGCTGGAATGTATCTTATTTTACAGAAATAGAGTAACAAATAGATATGTGTAATCAAATTCATTTTTAAAGTTATTTTCTTGCAATAACTATTACAAAGTTTCTCTGAACCCTCCTTGTATTAAAAAATAATGGTTTTTAATATACTAGCTATTCTTTCTTGCCTTGAATTGGACTCACTGCCCCATTGAAATTATGTTTTTAAAAAATTTTTCAAGTAGATAATTTACAAATATTCATGATATTATATATAAACATTGTTTCTTCCCAAAATATTATACCACAAATGATTATGGGCATGCAACACTATAGCATTCTTCATAAAAGAAAATATAGAACACTTTCCAGAGTTTCACTATGATGTACTATGTAGTTTTGAAGTGTAATGATATGGAGATAGTCCTCTCTGGTTCTATGAACTTTTCTAAAGCAATGCCTGAGATCAGTACCCCGACTGCCACTGGTGCTCAGATGATTGCAAAATAAATATTTGCTCTACAAAGAGGTCAGTGACAATTGTATGTTATGACATGCAGTTCTGCTCCTGTATCTGCAAGGAAGCACATTATGCTTTCTCTGATAGGGCCCAGTCACCTCTGTGGCTGCTCACTGACAAATCCTATCAACTTGTCATGTTCCCTAGTTGTCTGTATTACACTGTGAGCTTCAGGCTGTATTTTAGTGTATCTTGGTTACTAATCTTTGTCTGGAGGTAATTCTTTACTTTTTATTTTACTTCATCATGAATCTATTGATTTTTGGTATTGACCCCATTATCTGATCAACATTGCAAGAATATTTTCTCACTGGATAAAAAAGGGATGAGAAATAATAAAGACAAATTCTTTTGTAACTTTATATTGTGGATCAAACACATATACTATTTTAACTTAGTGGATGTAATGTTTCTTTGCAAAAGAGATTTCTAAAAAATACGTAAAATATGGTAGTTTGGGAAAGGGAGGAAAAGACAAAGAATAAAGGATGAAACAAATTGTTTTCAACAAAAAATGTATAAGCCAATAAATGGCTCCTAGATTTTCAAAACTAGTGCTCTTAAAGAAGAGGAAAAAACTGTTTTGCAGTATTAAGTTCTTGGGGAATTGTATGATATTGCTAATAAAATGGCAAAATGAAACACAAAATTGGAAAAATAGCAATGGTAGTTATTTTTTCATCTTTAAAAATTTATTTCAAATTATTTCAGGGCATCTCTGAAGAAACTTTCCTGAATAATTCTTATATTTCAAAAATTTCTGCAAGAAACACTTGACCTTTGGCCAGTGAGAGCAGAAAAGGAGGAGACAGCTGGAGATAACCGTAGAGGGTTCATTTGAGAATGTTGAGATGTGATGCTAAAAAAAATAAAACTTCAAGTCTGGGAACATAGTGGAACCCAATCTCAAAAAAAAAAAAAATCTCTAAAAAAAAAAGTTAACCAGGCATGATGGTACATGTCCGTAGTCCCATAGTCCCAGCTACTCAGGAGGCTGAGGTGAGATCTCTTGAGCCTGGAGGTCAATGCTACAGTGAGCTAGGTGGCGCCACTGCACCCCAGACTGGGTGGCAGAGAGAGATTCTGTCTCAAAAAAAGATAATAATAATAATAAAACACCAAAACAGCAACAAAAAAATGCTTCCTGGCATATTTATGGAGGGATTTCTTTCCCCCAAAAGCTAGAAGTTTTGTCAAGCCTATAGGGAAGAGATGCATTGTGTGTGTGTGTGAGTATGTGTGTGTGGTGTGTGTGTGTGTTTGGGGGTGTTGGTAGTGGCTACATAAATGAATAGAACAGCCTAAAGATAAGGTGTTTCAGCCACTGAAAGTTATTCCTGGAAAGATGTTTAGGTTTGCAAGTTCAAGGGAAAGAATACACTTCACTTTTGGAGCATTTATGTACAGGTCCTGGAAATTTCCTGATTAAATTAGAGTTATGTTGATGTGAGACAATTCTTTTTTCTTCACATATAATTCTTTGTTTTTTTTCCTTTCCACATAGTTTTAAAGAATTTAGTCTTCCAATCTGATAGGGAAGTAGAAACATGGAATTACCAACACATTTCTTTTTCTTTTTCTTTCTTTTTCTTTTTTGAGACAGAGTCTGGCTCTGTTGCCCAGACTAGAGTACAGTGGCACAATCTTGGCTCACCGCAACCTCCACCTCTCGGATTCAAACGATTCTTCTGCCTCAGCCTCCCAAGTAGCAGGGATTACAGGCACCAGCTACCATGCCTTGCTAATTTTTTGTGTGTGTGTATTTTTAATAGAAATGGGGTTTCACCATGTTAGTCAGACTGGTCTTGAACTCCTGACCTCAGGTAATCCACCCACCTTGGCCTCCCAAAGTGCTGGGATTACAGGCCTGAGCCACCTCTCCCAGCCATCAACACATATCTTAAAATTTGACATTACAGAATAGAAGACATTGTAATAGCCATTCAGAGGTAGCAATAAATGGATGATGTACATAAACTCACAGTCTCGGGGCCTTGCCTTATGAAAGAATACCAGAAACCTTATTTCCCGATAATATAATCTTGTGTATAATACAATTCTGCCTCTTTAAACGTTGTGAAAAAAATACATGATACAAATTTATGACACTTGTTGTGTTTAGTTCCACTTTTATAAACCTGAAGAATAGACACTGCTTCCTTAGTAAAATTGTCTTTAAGTCATTATTGCTTACCTTATTTAACTCAGACAATAATTTTCTTTCTGTGTTCTTCCCTGCTTAAACTCTTATTTAATAGGTGTTATTTTAGTGGGTATGAGCCCTTTTCTTAGTAGATTCTTCTTTGTAGTGGGGTTGTTTTCTTATTTTCTAAATGTGTTTGTTTAGAAAAGATAGAAGTATTAATGATTTCTTAAATATTTTATAAAGTAATGAAGTAAGTAGGTATTGGTTACAATCTCTGATTTATTGTTAAATTATTATATACTTTAAAAATTGAGGATGATAAAAATAAGCACATTTTACAGACCAAAATAAAATAACATAATTCGATGTATAGTGAAGTTACTGTACTTCTGTAAACAATGGACTCTTCTAAGTCTTATTTTCCTTGCCATATGATTGTGGGGGTTCTATAAACTAGACACTTATTTTTTCTTTACAAAATTAAATAAATCTAAAGGTTCAATTCTATGTTATGTCTATGGTCCAGTTTTTTAATTCGATTAAATGTCTACCTTAAAAATTGTTTATTAAAAAAATTGGGTTAGCGAGGAGTGGTGGTACATGCCTGTGATCCCAGCTACTCGGGAGGCTGAGAGGCAGGAGATTCGCTTGAACCCACGAGGCCGAGGTTGTGGTGAGCTGAGATCATGCCATTGCACTCCAGTCTGGTCAACAAGAGTGAAATTCCGTCTCAAAAAAATAAAAAAAATAAAAAAAATTAAAAAATTTGGGAGAAGCCTCCAAAAGAACGCAGAAATAAGCAGAGATTACATATAATCTCAGTACTGAAGGAAAAGTTTTCTTTATTTGGTGCCTATACTTTTAATTGAATTTATCTTTATATATTATTTAATGAATATTCATTGAATAAATGTATTTTTTCAGAATTTTTACTAGAGTTGGGGAAAGAAACAATAACAAAATAGACATATTTCTTGCCTTCTTGGAGTTTATATTTTATTGGTGCAGAAATAAACATGTAAATAAATATATGATATAAAGTTAGATACTAGTAACTGCTATAAAAACAGGATTTGAAAATTGAGAGTGATATGGTGTGCAGTTCTTGAGAAGGTCTTTATCAGTTCTTGTCTTTGAATCATACTACATATAAATCTGTACAGCCTGTCTTTTCCCAGCAGATGTTATATCTTAAGCTGTTTTCTATGCCACCATTTTTTGAAACTTGCTTGTAATGATAGAAAATAATTAAGTTTTAAAGGGTCTACTAGACTTACTTATTTTTCTATATTTTAGATTTATAGACTTTCTTTTTTCAATAACAAATATTTCAACAGATATCTTTGTAAATAAATGTTTTTCCAAGAGCAAAACCATATTCAATACCTTTTATATATTCCAAAATAACTTACATAAATGATATACCAACTTCTCATATTTGATTGGTATTTTGAAGTGTCCATTTATTCAAGAAAATACACTTTGAGTTTCTATGATGTGTCAGACATTCTAGGTTATGTTGAAAATGATACAAAAAGTCTCCTTCATGAGTTCATGATTTTAAGAAACAGGACAAATTATAAATAGATGCAAAAAGTTGAATAAACATGAGAATAAATTGGTAAGCCCTAATTATGGAAAACATGTTAGAAAATAAAATATTTGAAGACATTAAAGTGTCTCAAGACCATAAATGCAATCTATTTTGAAGTGGAAGTTTGTCTTTAATGACCAATGAAATATTTTTATGCATTCAGAAGTCCATGAATAGAATATGACAAAAAAAAGATTTATAAAGTCTCTGATATAGGCAAAAAAAATATACATTCCCATAGCATTCAGGTCTATACCAAAAGCTGTAACTTGATATTTTTTGGAAATTAAAATTTGATTGAGTTTTTTACTTTGGCTTTTATTACTGCTATTTTAATTATATTATGCAACTCTCCATTCATAAGGAAATTGAAGATCTCTCCAAATATATTTCACAAGTTCCCCCAAAAGAATATCTGATAAGTTGAATATGAGCTGTCCATCATAACTTCCTCATTTTTGGGAATCAATTTATCTGTGTCTCAAGCAAAATTGTCTTAGTTGAGAATGTCTCAGTAAATTGCCTCAGCTTTTCTCACTGAAACTCTTCACTGCAAAGGTCTGCACCCATGACTCAATTTTGTGTTTCCCAAAGATTTATTTGAATAGGAAAAGGTTGAAACCCATGAGTCTAAGTTCCTACACAGCTCCCTATTCTGTTGCTTTTTGGCATTGGAGACCACCACAAAAATCATAATATAGGATATCTTATAGCTCAGTCACCTCTTAGAAAGTCAATTCATTTAAAAACATAAAATTGAATTTCTACATTAAGAACAACTGGTTTATCACAATTGCTGCATTCTTACCATCTCACCTCAACTTTCAATTTTTTTTCCAAGCATTATTTGCACATATATATATACACACATATATATTCTCTTTGAGACTTTTAAAAATATGGCCCCTAAGCTTACTGAGAAACTGAGGTATGGGATTTCCCACAGCAGGATAGTTCTCTGAGGAAGTTTTGTGCAATAGAAAGAATACTGAATTAGAAGTCTAAAAACTTTGATTATAGAACTGTGTCTGTAAATTATTAACGGAGTGAATGTTTCTGACAAAGTCATTTAACTTTTTAGCATATCAGTTTCCTCATCTTTAAATGGAAGTGGTTATGTCCATCCTTGCAATAATGGTATGTATTTTCACGTAATGGACATAAAATATAGACTTTCAGGCAAAACAAGCAAAAAGTTATAATAAATTTTATGTACTATAGTGATTAGATTCAAGCACAATGTGTGGGATAAATCTAATCAATATTGGACTTTGGAAGGTAATGAATTCCTTCTTCAGGACTTTCCAAGGGGGACAAAGGTTTGGACTTTATGGTAAAAATAAAAACAAAAATAAAACAAATGAAAAAAACAAAACATTGAGGCAACCTGTATGTCCAGGGAAAATACGGTCAGTAAGACCAATCATTTATTATTTCAGAATGGTGTAAGTATCAGACCTATAGACATGCCTTTTCTGAATCATAAGGAGAAAACAAGAGATTAAAGGAGAAAGAGGAAGAAGAAAGAAAGAAAAGAAAGGAAGGAAGGAAGGAAGGAAGGAAGGGGTGGAGAGAGGGAGGGAAAGAAAGAAAGAAAAAGAAAGGAGAGAAAGAAGGGAAAGAAAGGAAAGAAGAAGAGACGCAAAAGAGGGATAAAGGTCCAGTAATAATTTGGTACTGGGAAATTCGGTTGGCAGCAGAGCAAGTGAAATCTCTGATTGTTCCAGCTTGTGCTGCTTGCAGTCCCCATTGATCTCTCCACCACAGCTTTCCAACTTCCACTCAAATCAGTAAAGCAGAACAGTAAATAGGCCAAAGTATGATTAAAACAAAAGTCATAAGATTAGCAATTAGCTTCAAGCCTACTTTGAATCTTCTTCTTTTACTGGAGGAATTTCCAGTAAAATAAGTTTATTGGCATGCCTTTTCTGAACATTCAGCAACATTTTAAAAGCAGCATTTCCTCTCTCCAAACTGATTCCTACGTCCATTTCTATGTCTCTTTTTGAAGATAAATATAGATAGACATAGGACTTCTAAAGTTCTACTTTTAAAGTTCTAAGCTTTACACACGCACGCACATTTCCACCTGTGATGACCTATAGGGTGATAAACTGTAGAAAAGACATTGACTATTCTTGCCAGTTAGTTCAGAGGCAGGCAAACAACAAATTCATAATCCTGTCCTGTAACACATGAGACATATTCAGTCCTAAAGACTAAAATAGTGGTTTTTGACATTTCTTAAATACACAGACATATTTAATGATCAAATTGTGGAGGTATTGCATTTCCATACAAAGTGAATAAACAAGTTAGTGACTCTAGACAGTAATATATTTATCAACCACCAATTGTAAAGTATCAGCTTTTAAGTTATTCTAATCAGAGTCTCTGTAATATTTGCTGTTTCTCATTGTATTTTCTTGTTACCCTCAGGACAAAGTGCTAAGATGCAAGGAATTTTATTACATATCTAGCATTTGAATATCAACAAATTTTAGCAACATATTTGAACTTCATGTTAAATTACACACATGGCCTTTGGATCTATCTGCTCAAAGTCTTTGCAAGTCCCAGGAATTCTAAGAGTTAACTAGAAAAAGCCAAACAAAACTCTTGCAATAACATCTAGAACAATATTGCAGATGTGTGGAGCTTACGGAATGTGGAGCCCATTTATTTTGCATGCACATTTAATGTGAAAAATTATTTTTAAGTTCTAAAGCAACCTCTCGGAAATGCTAAGAACTGCAAAGCTACGCAGACCCTGATGCATTCCTAAATATAATGAAGAAAAAACAGAAATGCACCAAGAATTGAAAACCCTGGTTACTCACGATTCTTTTCACCTTTCCACCTTGACCCAGCTTTCGTTCTGTCCGAGACACCCACAGGAGAAGTTATCTCAGCCATCGAGAGCAGCAGCATCAGTAACAGCACAGCCATGCCAGGTAAAAATAACCTCTATTGAGAGTTCTGTCACAGACGAACCTGAAGGCTCTTACTGGGAATGGAAACCTGGAGCCAATCCTGTCATTTTATTCAGCAGAAATGCAAAGATGCTGTTTTTCCCATAAATTTTTAAAAAGCAGGTATATTCTCAACAAGGCTTCTATTTGAATTATCAGGCAAGGTTAAAAAAATTAGAAGAGATGTAATAGCTTCCTTGGTACATAAGCACAAATGCCAGGAGAGATAAGCTGACAGTTTTCTCTGGTCTTTCTGCAGCTACTAGTTCCTAACCTGCTCCTGCCATCTCTCACTTCTTCCATATGTTTGTCAACATTTCTCATAACATGATAATAAGGAAAAGCTGTGATTTCAGCATTTTCCCATCTATCCATTCTGTAGCACAGATTATAGTACTTGACAAAATTGAATATTTAATTTTGGCACTGCAAACACACCTCACTTCATTTCAAACAGAGGTGGTTGTTAAGGAAAGAAAAAAATCCCACTTGTTCACAGAGCTCTGACATCTTGGAGAAAGGATTAGATGTATAAATATCTGCTGCTAAGACATGATAAAAATGCCTCTGGAAAAGGGGGTGGTAAACAATCATCTTTCTTACTTAGCTTGTACTGTGGGATTTCTGTATTCAGAGAATACTGTATAAAGACAGTATGCCAAAAATATTCCAAATTCATGAAGCCGGCAAAATGTAATGTACATTGCACATTCAAGGATCATCTGCAATGCATCATAAACACTGATTTGCCTTGTAAATACATGTTGGTATATTCCATCTCTCCTGTTTTCTGGAGAATGATTTTATTGCCTCATGAGCTGATTTTTTTTTTTTTTTTTTTTTTTTTTTTTTTTTTTAGTAAATAAGAATTATCTGCTTTACAATGAAGTCTACTTCCCATGGGCAAATGGAAATATTGTATTGATTATATTGGAACTATACTAGAACAACATTAGTTTACCTTCTGTTTGGGACCAAATTTATTAATTTTTTAATAAAATATTGTTATGCTTCCAAGAACATTATAGAACAATAATATATATATATTTCTTTTAACAAGCACATAAAGTTATTTTCAGACATTACTAAACACATAATATTCTACAACCTGAGCTATTTCTACACTTAAAGAGCTCACATGGCTGCCAAAATATATTTAAAAAACATGTAACTGATAATGGGCTATTTACTGTTAGCTCCCTGTTCTGCAGCAGAGTGAAAATAAAGTAAGGTCAAGAACCAAATAGGTAGAATAAATGATTAAAACAAGCTGGGTATAAGGCAAGAGGGATAGGAGGAGATTGTGGCCAGGTGCAGAGAAAAGTTCTGTGAAAAGAGTAAGCTCAAGAGCCAAACAGGTAACATAAATGAGTGAAATAGGCTGGGTATAAGGCAAGAGGGATAGGAGGAGATTGTGGTCAGGTGTGGAGAAAGCTCTGTGAATGGTGGCAGCTGCCGGTAGACTTCAGTTGAATGTTACCATATGGGTTACAGATTCAGGATTGCTAGATGTTTCGATTTCAAGGAGAAGCTAGAAATTGCAATTATTATGAGAAATCTCCTAATTTTTAAAGCAAAAAAGGACATAATTTCAAACTTCTTAACTAGGCATAAAAGGCAGACTATTCTGAATCTGTTTCCAACTTGTATTTTGCCAAATTTTTAATTAAAAATATGCTTAAATGCTTATATCTGAAATTTTATTAATGACAAAGATCCATAAAGGGAACTTAGTGGGAGAGACATGTATAAAGAATTTTTTATCTGCCAGGATAAATTCAATGAAAATCCATATACTGTTTTTATGAAATCACAGAGGAGAAAATATCTGACTCCCCAAGGGCATCAGGGAAGGCTTTTTATTTTTCTTCATTCCTTCTAGGAGCCATAAAACCTAATCATACCAAGAAACTTTCCATTTTCCAAAAAAGCATGAACTTCCAGTCTGTCGACCTTTTTATTTACTTTCTCCTCGAAATACCTTTTTCCCATTTCTACTTTATATACTCCTAATAATGTATAATAGCTGAAGAGAGGTTTATCTTCTCAGAGTTTCCCAGGAGTTATCATTAACTTTTCTTAGGACTTATTCACCTGGAAGTAGAGAACTTCACACATTATATTAACAGTCTCTCTCTCTCTCTCTTTCTCTCTCTCTCTCTCTCCCTCCTCTTTCTCTTTCTCTTTCTCTTTCTCTGTGTGTGTATGTGTGCGTGTGTCTTCAACAGTAGGTATACAGCTCATTGTGGGCTTTGCTTTATTATATTTTCTTTATATTCCTAAATTCAGTTATGATTGCTGTACATGAAAGAAAATTGTCAAAAGTTTGTTGAACTGTGGTAAATTTTACTGTTATGGATATTAATTTGAGTTGATACATTTTAACATTAAAATATGACTCTCTAAAACAACCAGGTTATCCTGGTTATTCTTTCATCCTCTGGGTAGTATATATTTATTCATATGTTGTCCTTTGTTTTCCTTGGTAATTAGTATTAGAAGATGTTATAGATAAATAAAGAAACCTCATTACATTTATTCCTTTTTAATTTGAGATAATCATAATCATCAAATAAAAGCAACACTTTAGTCTGCTATAATCCATGGTACACTAGTAAAAGCTCAAAGCTTATATTCAGTATTAATTTTAGGTCATAAGTATTGAGAGATCATAAAGAGAGAGCCATTATAAATATGGGAAACTGGATCTAGAAACACATTCAAAGACTAGCTTTCAAATCTGCAATTTTTTAACATAAAGTACTGAAGATTATCAGCAGATGGGTGTAGTCTGATCTAAAATTATGAATTGGTTCAAAGCCAGTTGTTTGGCAGTCACATCCTAAATTGCACATGTCCAGAGCTATTTCAACTTAAAACATTAAGCAGGCAAACTGCATGTCTGCACTCTCTCTTCCTTCTTGTTCCAAGCAGTTGTCCCACTTGGCTGTGCAAACTCACTCTGGTCTGAGTCCATGGAGTTGAGCAATCTCATTCTTCCTAAGTGAAACTGATCAGTACCATCATGTCACTAACCATATAAATACATCCTGACTCACGGAAGTTAATGTGAGTAGTCGAAAGCCTTCTGCCATTCATTCATTCAACAAATATTTTCTGAGCACCTAACATGTGCATCTTTACACCGTATTTTGTAGAACAACTGCAAGGAATTGCAGTGAAACAATAGATGAAGTTCCTGCCTTCATAGAGCTGATATTCTAGTGAGTAGAAATGGACGCTGTATAATAATATCTTACTTTTAAACACATACTTTTAAATTGCATCTGTAATAAAGTTAAAGAGAAGATTTCCAGACATTATAACCATGGGACTTAATTTAAAGGTTCTTTGAGAAAGTGATGCGTAAGCAGAGAAATGAAGAATAAATAAGTACATGTGGGGCAAAAACGAGACAAGCAGAAAATGGGTGTAGTCAGACAGGAAGCTTACACAAAAATTCCTCAGGCATAAAAGAGCTTGTCACATATTAGGATGAAAGAATAGCGAGAAATATGGGTAGAGACCTTTTCAGTTCAGGCCCTGGAAAGTATGTTAACAATTCTGAACTTCATTCTGTGGTTTTAAGAAGAAGCAGATTTTTGCATTAAAAGGTTACTCTTCTTTCAATAGAGAGAATAAGTTAGAAAGTGTCAAAGTGGAAGCAGGAAGACCAGTTAGAAGACCATCTGATTATTTAGGTGAAAAAATGTATACTGGCAATGATAGAAATAAAAGGAAATGGAAAATGAATAGATTAGAAACATTTTCTGGAGGCAGAACAATGATGTTGGTTGGTGAATTACACATAGAAAGTGGGTAACAACGGGTTTCAAGGTTGCAGCTAGGTTTCTGGGATAAACATTTATCTCGAGGTAGAAATATTTAAGCAAATTTGGAGATCAAGGATGAAAAGAACTTAATGTTCCTGTCATTGGTAAATAACTAAAAAATGTCACTATCACTTCAGATTAGATAGAGAAGGAATGATGAGTGTTGGGTCAGAAAGAAAACAAATATATACCAACATAAAAAAAATAACACTTCAAATCTAGTAAGAATCAGCCTATTTGTCTGCATTCTCATATAAGGAATATTTGAATTAAATAGAACCACGATGGCTACAAAATGGTAAATGCATTTACAGAAGTAAGAGTTGTTAACTAGAAAACTAGTTAAGGGCTATTGCAGCAGTCCAGGCAAGAGATGATAAATGGCTTCGAGTTGTAGTGGAGATAGAAAGAAGTATAGATACGAAAGAGGTAAAATTGGGCAGGGTGCTATGTCGCATGCCTGTAATCCTGGCACTTTGAGGCTGAGGCAAGAGGATAGCTTGAGACTAGGAGTTCAAAACCAGCCTGGGCAACATAGTAAAACCCCATCTCTAAAAAAAAAAAAAGAAACAACAACAACAAAAAATTAGCCAGGTGTGAGGGCACACACCTCTAGGGAGGCTGATGTGGGACGATTGTTTGAGCCCTAGGAGGTCAAGGTGCAGTGAGCCATGATCATGCCACTGCACTCCAGCCTGGGTGAGAGAGTGAAACTCTTAAAAAAAAAAAAAACCGAAAGAAAGAAAGAAAAAAAAGAAAACAAAAGAAAGGGGTAAAATTGATAAACTTGGTGTTGCTTTGGTTGGAAAAGATGCAACCATAGCTATTATTTATAGACAGTAATGCTCATCCATGTGTACCACTAGTTGTTACTTCTTGAGGCGAGGCATCTCCATGCCATATTTTGTAGGATAATGTACTTGTCTGGAATATAATATTCTGAGCATAACCACAGATGTTAAAAGGATACATTTATTCCTATGGCACTCTGCAAGTGGCTTACACAAACATTGCCTCCATTAATCCTGAAATCAGTTTTGTGAAGTTAGGCTGATCATTCATAATTTCTCAGTTAAAAAAGTAACAATAACAAACAAACTCTGACGTTTGAGAGGATAAAATACTTTTCCAACATTAAATACCTAGGTAAAAAAATTAGCAGAACTCGCATGATGGTTTCAAAATATTTCCACAAATATGTTGGTACTCCCTCCTTCAAGAAGTGGATCTTAATTTCCATCCTCTTGATTGTGGACTGAGATTCTATTGAGAAGGGGGTGGAAATGATGCTGTGATTCTAAGTCTAGATTGTAAAAGACATTGGGGTTTTCTTTCTGCTCTCATTCTCTTTTTGATCATTCACCCTGGGGAAGCCAGCCACCATATTGTGAGAAATCTGTTGCAGCCTGTGGAGAGGCTCACATAGCAAGAAACTGAGGGTTAGTCCACTAACCAGAAGGGAACTGATGTTTGCTAACAATCATGTGAGTGAGTTGATGGACTAAAATGACTACAGACCTGGCTTACAGCTTGACCATAACTTTAATGAAAGACCCTGAGCCAGAACCTCTCAGCTAAGCTACTTCTAGATTCCTGATCCTCTAAAACTATATGAGATAATAGATATTTGTTGTTTAAAGCTGCTGAACTTTGGGGGTAATTTATTACACAGCAATAGATAACTGCTATAGTCTGGATCACAAGTAACTACTTACTCTCTTTTCATCCCAACTACTTCCAAAACCATGGTTATAATTTCCGCATTAGCTGGAGGCCATGACTGCAATTATAACTTTAATCAACATCACTGTCGAATCTCTTTTACATCAGTGAGGTCAAGTGAAAATGTATTATTATGGGGGACACCAATTTGCACAATTGCATTCTAATCAATCCTATAGATTAGTTTTGTTGGATTAGAGAAGTATTTTTGTGTGTTTTTAAGTGAGACATTTAGCTCCCAGGTCACACAGTTCCTAATATTTCCTGATCTTCTACTCCAGCCAGGTGGCTATGCGTGTTTAAGTTATAGTTCTGGTTTTAGAATGTATCACGACCAGATTATTACAAAAACACCATCACTATCTCACACAAAATGGCCTCTTCATAAGATAGATAGCCCTATGAAGCCCCTAGCACAGCACTGGACACATTGTAGAACCTCAAGCAATATACAAGTGATTCATTGATATGATATTCACCTAGAATGAACATCAGCATGGTGGAATAAACACTATGAAATGTGTTTTCTTGTGTTTTTACCATTTTTACTTTCTCTAAGAAGCTCTGTATTTATCTCTGGTACCTGCACTGGCACTGGTGTGTTTCTTTCTATGGCTTATGAAACAGAATTTCCCACTCCTTAGAAGTCTTCCATTGATTGTTATTTTGGTATCATATTAGTGTAATCAATAGTATTATAGCACATTAGAGATGAACAAGAACTCAAATCTCAATTGCAATTACTTTTCTATCTCCCAAATTGGATTCAGCAGATGTGATGTATAAAGATATATGTGGCCTGAAAATAATTTTGTAAAAATGAATTTATTGTGTCCCTAATGCCATGATCAATGAAAAAATCTTCAGCCATGATTTCCTCCACTCTTTCCACCATTCAGTAGAACAGCTATTTTTATATAGTCTAATAATTATTTAATTGCATGAATAAATTAACAAGCAAAAATAAAGCAAACTGTTTTATGCAAATAACATTAACACTGTTTATTTAAATTGGGCACCACGGTGTAAAACAGGCTACTAGCAGGCACAAAATCCTTTTAGTAACTATACAAGAGAAAGATAGATACATACATAGACGGATAGATGAATTGGAACACTGTGTTGAGTGCTAAACAGATATTAGACATAACCATGCCCACAAATTCATGATCATGCTGACCAGATAGCAAGAAAACTTAGAAGATAAATAAAATACAAATAAATCAGATTCTAAAAAATTAAATAAATACTTAATTCTAAGAGGGCTTGGGGGATGTATTAGATCAGAGGTGTGTGAGAAGTTCTGATTCAAGTGGAACTCAAAGTCCCCATTTGTCAAGGATGAATGATGACTAGTGTTACGATCTTCAGTCCAGGAGTGAAAAGATCAGGAAAAAGACCTACACGTGCATTTGCAAGGCTGTGTCCAGAGGGCCATGTGTGGCTGGATCAGACAGTATTTGTAGAGAAATCCGTAGTGAAAGATAAGTTAGTTTTACATATTGCAGGATAGTGATTTGAGGAGTATGGAGTTGAGTCTAAGAGCAATGGGAAAATGGTACAAGTTTTGAGCAAGTTTGAGAGAGAGGGAGAAACCAGCCACTGTAATAAATGGAAAGAACAGTACAGTATCAGCAAATTGATAGGTGTTTAATGCTTAATTAGACAAAGAAGATGATCCCTTGGTCATGTATTTAATTAGCCCCTCTTATACACTGGAGTCACTCCAGCTGGAATATCACAAGTGTCCCTCCCTTGAGTATGACATAGTCCAGCCTCCAGAAAGTGATGAGTCAGTTTTTTAAGCAGAGCCGTGGGTTGTGTCTGTGTAAAAGAAAAGCTACACGTTTGACATGTTGAGAAACTAAAGGGTGGTGATAGCTCAGCTTGTGACTGGTGAAAACCACTCTCAGGATCGCTCCCCGTTCTTCCTGCATGCAGAATTCTCCTTAATGTGAAAAAGCCTTATTTTGAATTCTAAGTCTAATTTACTACAGAAAGATGCTATGAGAGGGTTTGGGCCCTCTGATGACAGGAATTGATGTTCATCCTGCCACTTCCCTCAAAAAGTAATTTGAAAAGGAGACTGCAGATATTTGATACATAGGAGTCTCATTAACAAACCCTAGACATAAAACATAAGCCATAAGGAAAGTATATCTAGCCTTTGGGTTTGAATATTACTGATTTGGATTTTTATTAAATAGAGTAATTTTAAGGAAAACTAACTCTTTGAAGACTAACATTTGGAATCTGACCTTAACATCATTTCATAAGGTAAAAATACGTACATAAGGTATGTATACATAAGGTATACATACGATATACAATGTCCCTAGGAATTTTATTTCTAATCTATGAAATTTACTTCTGGCTCTCTAATAAGCTGTTGGAAAACCTGATGGCATTAACAGAAAATGAAGTCTTTTGCTAGAACTTAAATAGAAATAACTGTGATGCTAGAAAGTGCTACTTTGTCTCACATATAATTTTATTTAATCCATTCTATGAGTATCATTATATTCCTACCTGAACAGGTGTTTCAGAATTCATGAGATTCTGCATTTTTAGAACAGTAAAAGTCAAATACCTAATTTTATCATTGACAGGAAAAATTAAAACATTTATATACAGAGGAATATTAAATAACCAGTATTTGTGAAAAAAGAATGCTTTATTCAATTTAATTTTCTGGTTAAATGAGAGTGAACTAGAGAATCTTGCATCCATGTTAGTAAAACCTTCCTCCAATACATTTCTTACCAACGAATACAAAGTCTTCCATATCAAATTTAGTGTTTCATTAATAAATGTGGCTTTTGTGATATTTGAATTTCATCAGCGTTATTTTCTAGGACCGTGAGTGTGGCCATTGATAAGGATAGCATATCCTGGTGAAAGGTTTAAGGTAATGTTTGCAAAGATGACTGCAAAAGTTCCTGTCATCCCAAATGTCCATTTGTGTGTGACTTTGGCGATTCTCCCATGAAGACGTAGAGTCTCTTTCAGCACTACTTGAATCTGAGTTAGCTTTATTATTTGTTTTGACCAATAGAATGCAGTGAAAGCAATGCACCTGACCCTTGAGGTTGGATCTTAAAAGAACCCATTAAAAATTAAAAAATAACAGATGCTGGTGAGCTTGCAGAGAAAAGGGAATGCTTAGTGATGAGAATGTAAATAAGTTCAGCCACTGTGGAAAGCAGTGGACAATTTCTCAAAGAACTTAAAACAGTTACCATTTGACCCAGAAATCTCATCACTGAGTATAGATCCAAAAGAATACAAATTGTTCTACCATAAAGACACATGCATGCTTATATTAATCACAGCACTATTCACAAGAGCAAAGAAATGAAATCAACCTAAACGTCCATCATTGGTAGGCTGGATAAACAAAATGTACATATACACCATGGAATACTATGTAGCCATAAAAAAGAAATAGAGAATGTCCTTTGCAACAACATGGATGGATCTGGAAGCTATTGTCCTTAGAAAAGTCATGCAGAAATAGAAAATGAAATACAGCATGTTCTCACTTACAAGTGAGAGCTTTACACTGAGTACATATGGACACAAAGAAGGGAACAGTAAACACTGGGACCTAATTGAGGTTGGAGGGTGGGAGAAGGATGAGAATTAAAAAATTACCTATTGGGTACTATGCTTCCTAGCTGTGTAATAAAATAATCTGTATAATAAACCCCCATGACACACAACTTATCTATACAACAAACCTGCACATGTACCCTCATTCTAAAATGAAAGTTAAAAAAAAAAAAGAGAGACCTTACAGCATCTGCTTTTGCTCCAGTGGAAATCTGCCCGGAGACTGCCACAAAAGGAATCTGTCATATACTAGTGCAGGGTGAGAGGCCGTGTGGGGAAGAACCCAGGCACAGGAGCTGACAGCACCAGGTGCCAGATATGAGCAAAGCAACAATGGACTTTCCAACCCAAATCATAGCAGCAGTCTGTTTTCTGCAATAGGACTACTTAGCTCAAATACATACAAGCTCAGCTCTGTGTCTTAGCTTCTTTTTGCCTTAGTTTCCTGCTCTGTGAAATGAGGGTAACAATACTATCTGATTTGTTGGGTAATTGACAATATTAAATGCAGGAATGCAAATAGATACATTAAAATATTGCTGACGGTAAAGCAAGCTCTAATAAAATAAATAAAATGTTAGTGACTAATGTTGTTGTTGTTGCTGTTGCTGCATTTTTAATTATTTATCTTTTACAGAAAAGGAAACCAAGACTCAGTGAAACTAAATATTTTGCACAAAACCACATAGCTATGAAACTAGGATTCAGGGCCATATTTATTTGTTCCCGAGTCCAAGTGATTAACCACTGTACATTTTTATATCCACTCTGCAACTCTGATTTATTCAGGGATAGTTGTGTGGCATTAATTGTGACCAATGAGTTAAAATGTATATTTTATATATAAAAATATATATTTTAATGTATTATATATAAAAATATTTTTGATTATATATTTTATGCATATTATATACAATACATATTTTATGTATTATATACAATACATATCTTATGTATTATATATTATATTATATATTTTGTATCATATTATATATTTTATGTATCATTATATATTGTAAATACGTACAAGTGAAATAAATAATATTTTGATTAACCTAGTGCAACTAAGTTAAGCACTTTAATATAACTTTGTCCAATGTGTCAGCTCCTTGCCACCTGCCTGGCATCATCTTCTATGATTCCTTCTTACTAACCCTAGATTTCAGACCATACATCCTGTGCACCTTCTGCGAATGCTGTTAGTAATATACTACGTAACATTGCAAAGGGAAATTGACAAACATTTATTAAAACTCTGTCCTAAAGACTTCGTTGATGTACTAATTAGTTAAACCATCTTTCTGAGGATCCCTGAGTGTACCACTTAATCTTTTACTACAGAAAATAAGAATGAGAAAGGGTAGAGAATAGCAAAAAGGAAATAGAGATTTTTTTTCTAATGAGTTTGGAAATAAGAATGGTCTTATGAGAAATGAGGGCTTTGTTTAATTCCAAATGCATTCCTATGCTGGAATTGCAATTTACTTGAGTTTTAACAGATGTCATACCTAAGTTCTCAAACTGTTATGATCCATTTGCACATTCTTGTACAGAGCAAAAGCAAAGATGTGGTAGTGCAATATAAAAGTAGAATCAAGAGTACTTTATCTTTGCTCATTTTTATTTCTGTGGTACTCACCTCCCACTCACACAGAATTCTTCCATCTCCTTCTCATTTGATTGCACTGTCTTGAACTCAATTCATATTATCTCTGCAGTGCAACCCATCTTTTGATACAACCTTATTTAGTATATTTCCACTACTGTATAGAAAAAACCACCTGGTTGTGCTGGAGAGAATTATTTACTCTGCTCAAACGTCTGATATATCCTGAAATAAACATGGATTATAATGGGATACTCAAAATCAAACAGAATTAAACTACCATGTTAAAAAGACAGCAACTATAAACATAGATTCAATTATGTAACAAACCTGAGAGTATATAAAAAAATGTTAGCAGTCTGGTTTCACCATTCATAGACCAAGAGGTAGTCTGAAAATAGATGAGATTAAAATGGGGGTGAGTCAACCTCACCTGTAGTGAATAGAAAGCCAACCCTCCTCAGAAATGAAGGATCTAAAGAGCTATCAAAATATTTTATTTCTTACTGCTAAGGAAACTTTGAGTTATGCATTGACAATCTTCACTTTCACTTCAAACTGTAAATATTCATAGGAAGTAATGACATGTTAAATTGTTATTACACTTTCATGAAGTGTGAAATCTCAAGCGACAGCTTTATGGTGTTATAGGCCTGCATTCCGATCCTGATAATGCCACTTACATAAATAAATAGGTCCATATTTATCTATTGGCAGGTCAGTCCTCTGAGCTGAGCCTCTATGTTCTCACCTGTGAAATGTACAGATTGAGAATGCGTGACTCATCACATTTTTTTTGGCTCAATTGACTTGATACATGGGCTTATGATTTATAACTGTAAGTCAGCATACCAGTACTATTTTTATTAGTTTTTCTAACAGCAGGCCACCAAAAGATTCAGTATTCAGCATTACTGACGACAAATATAAAGTGTAGTTTTTGCGGAAATCCACTAGAGATTCACAGGTATATGTACAAGGAAACCTCTGGTGAGTAGAACTGCGGGTAGGACTGAAAAGGAGTGAGATAGGGATTCAGATGGAGGAGATGAGAAGCACATACTTTTTTTTCATAATTCTCCCATCTGCCCATATTAACATACAGTTATGTTCATAAGACTGCCCCTCTTTATTGCTGAAGGTACCACCTGGACCTTCTAAATGCATGGATTTAGAAGGATTTGTTTCTATAAATATATGATGTCTTAGACATCATATTTACTCTTGTAGTTTCTTCTTTTAAAGATGTTGCTAAAGCAACATTTCTCGTAGCTAGATGGCTGCATGCGGGTAAAGATACGGTGCCTGAATTACAATTATTTACTTATACTCTAAGCAACTAAGTTAAATCTACATTTTTAATTGTAGAAAAATAAGATTTACTTGACCTGGGAAAAGGTGACTGAGGCACTCAGCTCTGATCTAGATTATTCAGGGGATTTCCCTCAAATTAACCATGCACAAAGTTATTCACTAGCTCTACACATAATCAAACATTTGAGACTGTTTCACACTGAATATGACCTGGACCAGGTTGAATCTCTTGCACACATAACATTCAGAAGTTATTGTATACTCCTCAAGTGAATGAAAATATCATATCATATATATATATATCATATACTCCTCAAGTGAATGAAAATGACCTATTAGTCATTTGTTTCTTCATGTATTCATATTCAATAAACATTCAAAGGCTCACAATATGCCAGGCACTGTTCTTAGAACAGTAAACATAATAATATGTTACAAAGAGACAAAGCTCCGTTTCTCATGGAGCTTACACTGTCATTCTTCTCTTACTTTTTCATGAAGATGGACAAAACATCCCAAATATGGTGCTCCCCAAGACCATAGCCCCTGAAAAAGGAGTAATATTAAGAAGCAATGTATTATAGAATGTAACCTTCTCTGGATGTGGGAACTTGATCTAGGGGATCCCATTCCATAGGTTGCCCAATTTTCTGTTTTGTGAAGATACGTTGGGCCAGTTAGATATTAACTCTTAAAAATATGAATCAAAAATATAAACAGAATGAGGCAGAGAACACAAGAATAGAGACTGAAATCAGGTAAAGAGGAATTCTGTAGGAGAATGAAGTCATGCTAGAAGGAAGTAAAAAACGCAGAAAACCTAAACCCTGAGGCTGAGAACAGTAGAATTTGAGGACATCAGCTGATAGCGACATGCTCCTTCATGCCTAGAACTGCCTGGGATTCTAGAGCTAGGTTCCATCTGACTCACTCGTCAACATTCCTTACAATTCTAGAGGGGTGGCCTGCATGTGATTTCTCCATCTTCAATAAATGCATATGACTATTTTTTTTCTATTTCCATTATATGCCCCTCACATTTTATTCATTTATTAAGATGCACATTTATACAGAATTACATGGAGGAAAAGGTCATGGACAGAAACTTGTTAGAAACGGACCACGCTTCCTTGATGGCGCAGTAACCAATTGAACGGCAATTTATTTCAATTGGTCTATTTAAGAAGCTAGAAAACTATTTTAAAAATAACCGTAGTTCAGGTGACAATAAGAACAAAATGCTTAGACCTCTCTGATCTTCTGAATCCTGAGAACAGATTTTGGAAATGCTATGATAGGTCAGGTTTCTACTGGATTTAGAAGGTCTTTTTATTTTCCACTTCAATCACAACAGTATAAGCCAGAAAGCAGATGAAAAGACAAGTGGCTGCCCAGAGGTTCCAGATTTCTTTGGCTAGCACTGAATTAGTAGACACAAAAAACCCAAGGCAAATGTCAAATTGTATGTAGATGAAGTCTACATAAAACAAAGATTAAGAATCTGTTGAAGGAGCAAAGACCATGACTAAGGAAAACATACAATGAGAGCAGAATGGAACACACACACACATACACACACACACACACACACAGAAATACACACATACTCAAAAAAATGTAAAATTCAGGTGATGCAGACCAGACAGAAAACCGAGTGACCATTTCCCTAGCTACAAATTGGAATAGAGAGGAAATTAGAAACACAAACCTGGATTTCACACGCTCTCACTTGTTATTGGTTGCATTGTTTTGCACTTCTGATAACTGTATATATCTGTTCTCATTCCACATTGTGGCTTCAGCTGTTCTCAAATAATTTTTAAATTTTTCACATAGATTTAAAATTGATTAAGAAATTTTTACAAAAATCTGGGCAGAGTAGCTCCTACCTGCTTGCATTTTTTTAGTATCCAGAAGGAACTGAAGAGGTATGTACCTGCCACATTTGCTGTAATTCCGTCTAGATACACGTGTGTTACATAAGCACAATTCGAAAAATTCACTATTTTTATTTGAAAGCAATAAGGATAAAATATCATTGCATCAACACCTGATAAAAACATTAAACTATGAGAGGAGAAAAGATTCAATAGATGTCTTTTTGTACATCACGATGTAACACAAATAATATACATAATATACGCAAGTCCAGGTCCCTTAGAAACTGACATTACTATTACTTATTTCTCTTCTCTTACTTCCTTTCTTCATATATAATTTTGTTGTTGTTGTTGTTTGTTTGTTTGTTTGAGATGGAGTCTTGCTCTGTCGCCCAGGCTGGAGCACACTGGTGTGATCTCAGCTCACTGCAATGTCCGCCTCCCAGGTTAAAGCCATTCCCCACCTCAGCCTCCCAATTAGCTGGGATTACAGGCACCCACCATCATGTCTGGCTAATTTTTGTATTTTTGTAGGGATGGGTTTCACCATGTTGGCCAGGCTGGTCTTGAACTCCTGACCTCAGGTGATCCACCCGCCTCAGCCTTTCAAACTTCTGGGATTACAGGCGTAAGCCACCGTGCCTGGCTTCTTTCTTCATGTAATTCTATCATGCCTATCTCACAGTAAGCTTTGACAGAACTAGTTTCACTGTTTTTTTTCTTTGAATTCAACTAAATGACAGGAAAACCATCTAAGGTAACTTGAGAAAACATTTTAAAAATTAAGTGATTTAGTGTACACTGTCAAATATAGGTCTTAACCATTTTTGAAATAATGAAAATGAAAAAACAAGTAATTCTGGGCAGTATAAAATTACCAGATTATTTATTGTCTGTTAATTGTTATGATCAGTCTTATATAATCCACAAATAAAAACAAAAAGTCTATTAAAATTATTCAATTAAATCCTTATCCCGGTTTTATAAAACAAAAATGGCCATATTCTATTACTGCTTCAGACTAAATAGAACTTTGTGTATTGGAGACTGACTCTTTCAAGCTCTGTACTTGTTTTCCAAGATCCAAGTCATTTTTCTTTCTAATTATAAATTTAGATCTTTTACATTCAATCAAAACTTCACATCAGTTTATAGAGATCTCTGATTCGAATAGGGATTGTGTAAAAGCAGAAGACCAACTTGTACATATGAACAACTATTGTACGCACATCCTAGTGGCATTTTTTCAAGTACTTGGATGCTAACATTTTCAGTTTATGTTCTGCTCAAGATGCCTTTCAACACCCTCGCTAAAAATGTACATTTTAGAATACTCTATTTTACTTTAGAATAGCCAGCTCTGGATTATTTCTAATGTCTATTTAACCAGCAAATGAAGAGGCAGGAGAACGTTGTGTTTAGGGGACGCAATTCTAATGCCAGCTTATCTGGGCTTGAATATCAGCTCTACCAATTGTGGGTTGAGATAACATGGGCAAGTTCCAGGACATTTTTTGAGTTTCAATTTCCTCATTTTAAAAATGGAGATGCTTTGGCACTGGCATAAAGTCAGACATAGACCAGTGGAACAGAATAGAGAACCCTGAAATAACTCCATACATCTACAGTGAACTCATTTTTGACAAAGGTGCCAAGAACATACATCGGGGACAGGACAGTCTCTTCAATAAGTGGTGTTGGGAAAACTGGATTTCCGTATGCATAAGAATGAAACTAGACTGGTATCTCTCACCACATACAAAAATCACATCAAAATGGATTAAACATTTAAATTTAACACTTCAAACTATGAAACTACTAAAAGAAAACAATGGGGAAACTCCCCAGGACATTGGACTGGGCAAAGATTTCTTGAGTAATACCCCATGATCACGGGCAACCAAGCAAAAATGGACAAATGGGATCATATGAAGTTAAAAAGCTTCTGCACAGCAGAGGAAACAAGCAACAAAATGAAAAGACAACCCATAGAATGAGAGAAAATATTTGCAAACTACTCATCTGATAAGGGATTAATAACCAGAATATATGAGGAATTTATAAGGAGCTCAAACAACTCTATAGGAAAGCATCTAATAATCTGATTAAAAAATGGGCAAAATATCTAAATAGCCATTTATCAAAAAAGACATATAAGTGGCAAACAGGTATATAAAAAGGTGTCCAATAGAGGTATCAGAGATACCAATAGAGGTATCAAAATATCTCATGTAACTTATACACACCTACTATGTACCCACAAAAATTAAAAAGAAATATTAATAAAATGTATAAAAATAAATAAAATGGAGATTCTAGTGTTAGCATCTACCTTATGCATTCTTTTGATAATACAATAAATTAAAAATATGTTGAGTGCTTAGCACAGTGCCTGTGACATGGGAGGTGCTGAAAAGATTCTCAACAATATAGTTATCATTTCAATTATTGCACCCATTGTTATCATCCTCATTATTATTTGGCAGTATATTCTCTGGTATATTTTTAGCGGGAATGCAAAATGCTAAAGCCAGCATACTAAAACAATGTACCAGTTTCTTATGAAGTTTCCTTATTTGTTATCATAGACTCAGCAATTCTGCTCTTAGAAGTTTTACCCAAGAGAAAAGGAAAACACATGCCCACATGAAGAGTGTTTATATCAGCTTTATTCATAATCACCTCCACCTGGTAACAACCAATTGTCCACCGAATGGTGAGTAGATGAGAAAATTGTGGTACCAACATACAGTGGAATATTAAAAAATAATTTTAAGAAATAAATATTCATACATGCAACACCATGGATGGATTTCAAATACTCTATGTTAAGTGAAAAAAAAAATCAGAAAGAAAAAGCTACTGATTGAAAAATGTAATTGATATGATGTTTTAGAAAAGGCCAAGTTATAAGAACAGAAACCTGATCAAAGTTTGCTAGGAGAATGGACTACAAAGGGACATAAAGGAACCTTTGGGGATGACGGAAATATTACGTGTCTTAATTATGGTGGTGGTTACATCACTTTATGTATTTTCTAAAATTCATAGAAATGTACAGCTATAAAGAGTAACTTTTACTGTATGTAAATTGTATCTAGATAACCTGACTTGAAAGATGAAACTAGAAATACGTGCATATCAAGTCACTATGGAGGAATATGTGAAAATACGAACAAGTTACCCTCCAAGGGCCATACATACACTCCTTTGAACAAAACTTAAGCTATGATTGGAGTTGCTGGTTCATCCTAAAGCATTATGTCAGAATCCAGTTACATCCACAAAGTTCATGGGTATTCCTGAGATGTTGCTTTTTGAGCTGGACCGTAAAGCCAGGAAAACGTGGAAGTAAATATTCAAGATCCAGGGTCCACAAGTCTTCAGTTTTGCTCAAAGTCTGACCCTCTCTCACACTCAGGTTCCGGGTCAGCAAATACAACTCATGAGGATGGGCCCACAAACACGCAAAGCCTAATCCAGGTTATAGAGTTATTAACAGGAATCAGTTCAGTGGAGTGAAGGGACAAAAAACAAAATAAACAAACAAACAACCTGATTAACTGGCACTGAGCTAAACAAGAAAGCTCCTGGCAGCAAGTGAAGAAACACCCTGTTGGCTCTAAATTCTTAAGCTATTCAGGTTTGAAGCCAGATAATTTTGTTGTAGTAGTAATCCAAAGACAATCAATTTTTATGTCTGACACGTCTTTGAACTGGCTACTCCATATCCCACCAATTAAGTCTTCTTATTGAATAATGCCCATTAGTTTCTTTACCTTTTTATTTGAAAATTCTGTTTACAAGCAAGTAGCAAACTATAGAGCAGTCTTTTGATTTAATTGGTTCTTATTTTATTTTTTCTTCTTAAATATAAGATATGTCTGATTATTATTATTATACAATAGATGCTCTCATATTTGCTATTATAAATTGTCTGAATTGTTATACCTTCTTCTTTCCAACTAACTTTTCTCTCTCTCCTTTTTTAACTTTTTTATTGTATTTGGTTTTCAAATTTAGCCATAGTCTAACATTTATGATACAATTTTAAAATTGATGATTATAATTTTTAAGGATTGAAAATGTTTTATAATTTTACAAAATAAATAAAAATTAAAGACTTTAACTAAATCAACTTGTTAAGGTACTATAGGCCATGCAAGTTACAAAAACTGGTCTTTTGAAATATCTTAAACATGTAAGTGTAAGCAATATTTATAATTCGTAAATTTTCAGAAATTAAGTTCAATAAAAATAATACTTTACTCTGCTTAATTCATGTTTAATTTGTCCAACTCAATATAATTTAATTTCAAACATTTATAAGGATGCAGACAACCTATGCCAACAAATGAGTAAACAAATCAAAAATTCTTTGGAAGTCCTGAAGGACTATAGCCACTTTTTAAACTTAAATTGATTTCATTTTTGAGAAAATGATGTTTCTCTCAATTGATTAGACCCCTAAGAAATGAACGGTTGGGCCACCCTACCATATAGAAAGCCCCAAATAGCTGAAGTGCTAATTGGGAACAAAAGGAGCACAGAAGGAATGCTAGAGTTGTACAAAAGAATCACAACTTAGTGAATGGTTGCAGAAATGAAAGGCTGTAGAGTCCCATAGTTTTTTCCTTTCTTGGCCTTGAATGTATTTGTGTATAGTAACCAATTTCCATTTTTCCTCTTGTTCCTGTTCTCTACATTTTTTGAAGATTTTACAGAATGACAAATTGGGATTGCAACTGAATGAGAAAAGCTTGAATACATCCCAATGTCTTATTCAGTTAAAATGAGATTATAATCAAATAAGTTATTGATGGGATTTTGAATTTCCATTTTTGGGAAGAGAATGAAGACATTGTGTATGATTTAGTGCATTATGTTAGACTGGACCAAATTTTTATTGTTATTGTTGTATTTGGAAGTATAAGTATTTGTAGTAGGATGTAAATGGATGTTTACATGAAAGTTCTGGATATGAATAGGTTCTGCCAGGTAGGTGTAATTGCATGAACTTTGAAGGGCAAAAGGAGGTAGTGGTTATTATTCTGCTGTTGTGGGTATTACAAAAACAGAGTAGAGATCAGTGTTGGCTGACCCCTGTACTGCATATGTCAGTGTCTTGTCACCAGCAACTTGGCATGAGGGCCAGTTGCGTTAGAGACAGAGCACCAGTTTCCTAATGTACTACAACTAGTATCATATACAAATGTCTTCATGCTGTTTCCCAAAATGGAAACTGAAAATCCCATCAATAACTTATTTGGTTATAATCCCATTATAATCCCATTATAACCAAATGAGACTTTGGGATGTATATACCAACTACAGTGGTGATCTTCATTCCCACCGTGCAAGTGGTCCCCCAAGTTTCTTGGCTGCAGTCCCTCCAGCAAGTTTGTAAAGTACTGTATTCCATGTATACCATCCCTTTCCCCTAAAATAACACTAGTATCTTCTGTTTTCTCCGGTTATCCCTGACTGCGATACCATGGTAATGCAGACTTTTCAAAAGAGAATAAAAGGTGGAAATTAGACAGATTCAGAAGACAAAAACATGGTACAGAAAAAAAGTACAAATCATTTACTAGGCAATGTAATCAGGATTATTTCACATATGTACTTATTTGCAAAGATGTTTCTTTTATTTAGACAAAATGTTTAATTGCAAGGAAATATAGAAAATAAAAAATGACTCAATGAAGCTAAAGCATTGTGCAGGCAGGCATCTTCTAGCAAAACACTCAGACAAGAAAAATAATTTGACATTTTTATGTCAGTGAATTGAAAATGTCTGAATCCTTTATAAATGAGTCCAGCAAAACTTTATTAGCTAAAGCTAAAATGTGTCATGCAATTACCAAATCACTCATTTTTCTAGCCTGCACTGCTTGGGACTAAGGACAAAGTAAATAGAAAAGGTGCCATTTTTGAATAACACTCTTAGTAGATAAAATGACAATGTGCAAAGTGAGATAATCTAATTACTAAATTGGAAGTAACTTTCCACCGAAGTTTGATGCATTTACAGACATTATAAATGTGTTTAGCTGATAATCCTAATTAGAAGAAATTATTTCTTTTTGTTTTTTAGATTTAGCGAAATGTTTTTATTGTAAAGAAAGATACAGAGGCTGCCTTGAAAATCTGAACTCCTTAATGCCATTTCCTTCAGCAAAACAGGCATCTCTTAGAGTGTCAAGACAAGACCCAGGTATAATAGCAAGACAATGTAATGAGTTATATTTCTTGCCCAAACTGCAAACAGACACCTCATATTTATTCCAGTTTACTTATTTGTGCCATACAAATATTTTTATGTGTTCCATGTGAAATGGGTTGAGACAATTTGGTTAAAGGGGAGGGAATAAACTCGAGACCATTACATCACTCATAGGAATTTCAAACCCAAACAAAGATCAAACTATCTTGTTAATAGGTTTCTATGTTGAAAAATAATATATCACATCCTTAGAGTCCTAATCATGAGGCATTTAAAAATATATTAGGAAATAATACAGGTAACACGAGCAAAGCATGATAACATTTTGAATGGCTTAATTCTTTCGCACAGAATTATCTAATGCTTACTAAGCATCTCTGCCAACTCCAATCTCAGCCTAAGAGAGAGATAGAGAGCAAGAGAACTTGTATTAATGTCTGCCCCGCAAAATATACGTTTCACCCTACCCCACTCAGGGTTCTCATCAGTTTCAGGCTGCTTACTGAATCATGCTGTTTTAAGAAAAATCAATGCCACAATATTTCTTTTTAGTCAAGGGTCACTAATAGCATCCTTGCTGATTAAATATTACCAACACATGTATAATTTATTTAGGCCATGTATTATTATTGACTTGGAAATAATGGAAAATCCTGTCTTCAATATTAGTCCAAAGTTGTTTCCTAAGGATTAATATAGTTCAAAAATAAAAGCTAAAGTAAATTATGTATAGTTATTTTTAAAATGTCATTTTAGAAAACATTTTTTAAATGTCCAACTTCTATTTGAAGTTCAGGGGTACATGTGCCGATGTGTGGGTATGTTACATAGTTAAATGGGTTCCATGGTGCCTTGCTGCACAGATCATCCCATCACCTAGGTATTAAGGCCAGTATCTATTAGCTATTCTTCCTGATGCTCTTCCTCTTCCCACCCCTCACCCTCTGACAGGCCTCAGTGTGTGTTTTACCCCCTCCTCATGTGTCCATATGTTCTCATCATTCAGCTCCCACTTAAAAGTAGAACATGCGGTATTTGGTTTTATGTTCCTGTGTTAGTTTGCTGAGAATAATGGCATCCAGCTCCATCTATGCATCTATTGCATCTATGTCCCTGCAAATGACATGATCTTGTAAAACACATTTTTTATTTTTTATTTTTTAGAGACAAAGTCTAGCTCTGTTGCCCAGACTGGACTACAGTGGTGTGATTATAGCTCACATCCTCACATCAGACTTGCACTCCTAGACTCAAGCAATCCTTCTGCCTCAGCCTAAAGAGTAGCTGGCTACAGGTGTGCACCACCAGACCCACCTAATTAAAACAAGGTTCCATGTTCATGGGTAGGAAGAATCAGTATCGTGAAATTGGCCATACTGCCCAAGGTAATTTATAGATTCAATGCCATCCCCATCAAGCTACCAATGACTTTCTTCACAGAATTGGAAAAAACTACTTTAAAGTTCATGTGGATCCAAAAAAGAGCCCACATTGCCAAGACAACCCTAAGCCAAAAGAACAAAGCTGGAGGCATCACGCTATCTGACTTCAAACTATACTACAAGGCTACAGTAACCAAAACAGCATGGTACTGGTACCAAAACAGAGATATAGACCAATGGAACAGAACAGAGCTCTCAGAAATTAATACTGCACATCTACAACCATCTGATCTTTGAAAAACAACCATCTGATCTTTGACAAAAACAAGAACTGGGGAAAGGATTCCCTATTTAATAAATCGTGCTGGGAAAACTGGCTAGCCATATGTAGAAAGCTGAAACTGGATCCCTTCCTTACACCTTATACAAAAATTAATTCAAGATGCATTAAAGACTTAAATGTTAGACCTAAAACAATAAAAACCCTAGAAGAAAACCTAGGCAATACTATTCAGGACATAGGCATGGGCAAGGACTTCATGTCTAAAACACCAAAAGCAATGGCAGCAAAAGCCAAAATTGACAAATGGGATCTATTTAAACTAAAGAGCTTCTGCACAGCAAAAGAAACTATCATCAGAATGAACAGGCAACCTACAGAATGGGAGAAAATTTTTGCAATCTACTCATCTGACAAAGGGCTAATATCCAGAATTTACAAAGAACTCAAACAAATTCACAAGAAAAAAGTAAACAACACCTTCAAAAAGTGGGTGAAGGATATGAACAGACACTTCTCAAAAGAAGACATTTATGCAGCCAACAGACACATGAAAAAATGCTCAACATCACTGGCCATCAGAGAAATGCAAATCAAAACCACAATGAGATACCATCTCACACCAGTTAGAATGGCGATCATTAAAAAGTCAGGAAACAGTGCCGGAGAGGATGTGGAGAAATAGGAACACTTTTACACTGTTGGTGGGACTGTAAACTAATTCAACCATTGTGGAAGACAGTGTGGCGATTCCTCAAGGATCTAGATCTATTAATACCATTTGACCCAGCCATCCCATTACTGGGTATATACCCAAAGGATTAGAAATCATGCTGCTGTAAAGACACATGCACACGTATGTTTATTGTGGCACTATTCACAATAGCAAAGACTTGGAACCAACCCAAATGTCCATCAATGATAGACTGGATTAAAAAAATATGGCACATATACACCATGGAATACTATGTAGCCATAAAAAATGATGAGTTCATATCCTTTGTAGGGACATGGATGAAGCTGGAAACCATCATTCTCAGCAAACTATCGCAAGGACAAAAAACCAAACACCGCATGTTCTCACTCATAGGTGGGAATTGAACAATGAGAACACTTGGACACAGGAAGGGGAACATCACATACCAGGGCCTGTCGTGGGGTTGGGGGAGGAGGGAGGGATAGCATTAGGAAATATACCTAATATAAATGACCAATTAATGGGTGCAGCACACCAACATGACACATGTATACATATGTAACAAACCTGCACGTTGTGCACATGTACCCTAGAACTTAAAGTATAATAAAAAATAAATAAATAAAAATAAAACAAGGTTCTTTTAGAGACGATGGGAGGTGGGTGAGAGGTGGTCTTGCTATGTTGTTCAGGCTGGTCTTGCGCTACTGGCTTCAAGCGATCCTTCCACCTCAGCATCCTGTGTAGCTGGGATTACAGGTGCAAGCCACTGGGCCTGGCTCTATCAAACGTTTTGAATCATATTTATTTCCACATGCAGCACTTTTCTCTGAAAATCTGCACTGTATGCACGTTATTCATTTTGAGCCTACCAGAGCGGCAGTCATATTATTTTTTAGGTTTATTCTTCTCTCTTAAGTAGATAATAAAGAGCAATTTCTATAGCATTTTAGGCTGAGTCTATGTCGGAATTACCATATGTGCACATGATTCTAGACACAAACAACATTACTGAGATTCCTGTAGGAACCACCAGAACTCAGGATTTGTAAAGTATTAATCAAATTGAGTAAAGGAATTTGTTTCAGAATAGTTTAAGACATCCATTATAAAATTCTGGTTTTCTGACATTGGGTATTCTCTTAATTTGAGCAAACTTCCTGTTGAACTTGTATCAGAGGGTTGCCCTTCCTTTGATAGCTCCTCACTAGGCCAAGAGCAAAGTGAATGTAAGATAATTGAGCTATCTCTAAAATAAACTTTTTCTACTTTTCTGAGTTTATTTCTCTGAGGGGAGAAGATGTTTCCTTCAATTTTCCTATAAAAAGCTGATCAATCCTAAAATTTGAAGCCTAAGAAAAGGAAGAAACTATTGTGAGAATCAGAGTCACTCATGAGGAATTTAAACCACTGCAGAGATAAAACCCTGTGTAACAGTTAATAGCTCTATATGCCAGGAAAACACTGGACCCTTGTAAAGAAAGAATAATAAGTTCTCAGTACAAAAGAAAGCTACTTTAGTTTTTAATCCTATAGATCATGGTTTCATTTAAACTAAATTTTAATAATATGTGCTAATGAATAAAATGCCATTTTAAAAATAATAAATGAAACTTAACAAATTGCATATGGTTAGTTTGCCTTTAAAAGACTAAAGTATTTTTCCATTGCAATGTTTGCATTTCTAAAGGGTGGACAAAACCTTTTATTTTTAGCCGGCCAATCTGTACCATGTTTGATTTGTATTTTTTTTTTGTTTTGGTGAACATGAAAATTCTACATTAAAAATTATAATTCCCCTTTACCAGGGAACTCAACTTTCCATCTTATTTCACCGCAGATAGTTTTAGTGTCTTCAGTCTTTCATTTCAAAGTGCTTATATTTAATATTTATTACCAAAGAAATAGAAGGCTTAGTCAACTCAATGTTATTTATTTATTTTGCTTTGATCTGTAGGTTGTCATGTAAACTAAGCAGCATATTTCTTTCTCACTTACATATGGGCTTGCTGACTGACAGAGCTCTCAGATTTCTTTGTGGCTAAGGAAAGTTATTTTTGATACAGTGTGAGATATTTTAAAAGAGTGTTTGAAGTGTTAAAGCTGATATCTGGGCCAACAAAAATGAAGATCATGTTCTTAATTTTGATCATTCCAAAAACTTCAGGCTGAGCTTCCTCATATCAAAAAAGGCATTGTAAAGAGTGAAGGTGGTTATAAAAAGATGGCTTTTAGCTTTTCGGGTTACAGAAATTAGCTTTAAAAATTCATCCCACGCCCCTAACATGATTTTTAGAGTGATTATTTTTTCTCTCAAATCATGCATATATAGGATTCATCTCTTTTATTTCCTGATCAGGCAAATCTCTGAATTTTCTTATTCTGGATTCTTGATTGTTGCCTTTTTGCAAAGAAATTAATTTTGTGCATTTAAAACATGCATCGTAACGGTTAATCCACATGTCATTAATCTCTAAATCATAACATTGGCACAGACTGTACCTCTCATCTTAGTCACTGCTAATAGAAGTATTGAGAATCAAGAAAGGCTGATCTACCTTAAAATGATACAGATAAAAGACCATAGCTTTATTCAACTTTACCAAGAAAGCAAGATCCAATGAAAGACTGAGATAACTGGTAAATCAGGGGTCAATGACCAGATAATATTGCCCAAGTTAATATGAATATCAAGCTGGTCAACATATCTAGCCAATTCTGGCCCTTCTCTTCCCTTCCGTTCCTTTCTGTCCATTCCTTCTTGCTGGAAAAGATATAATACCTGCAATATCTACCAAAGGTGTGCATCTGTGTATCCTACAACCCAACATATATACTCTTTTTTGAAATTTATAAATATATTAAGAAAGTATATTGGCAGGAATATTTATAGAAGTTATATTGGTAATAGCCAAAAGCTGAAAACTTACACAAATGATAATCAACAATAAAATGTGCAAGTTGAGACATATTAATACAATGAAATATTATACAAAACAATGTGAATAACTCTCACGTAGACAATACTGAGTAAAAGCAGCTAAACATCCTACATATGTACTGTATGGTTCTATGTGTATAGAGTGCAATGACAGCAAAGCTAGTCTACTGTGATAGATATTAGCATAAAGGTTGTGTATAGTGGGAGTTGGTGATGAGAGTGGGGCAGAGGAAACACTGCTAAGGGGAAGAGACATTCTATTCCTTGAAAACACACATGAAGGTGCATTTAATGTGGAAAAATTCAAGTTGTACACTTGGTGTTTGTCTACTTTCCTATATAGATTACACTTCAATAAAAAAAAAAGTTCTGACCTTTATGGAAAACTTAGATAACTGTGAAAGTAAAAACAAAACAAGAAAAATCAGAACTTCATAAACATAATTAATATTAATCTTCTTGGTTTTTTTCTTTCCAACCTTTAAAATGAAATCAGTGCTAATATAAAACAGAAACAGAAATTGGGATATCTATTTATCTGTCTATCCACCTGTCTATCTATCCCTCACTGTTTTTTAACTTAATGTCATACAAATTACTTATACTTCATTTATATACGATTTTGAATATTCTCTCATATGAATTTATAATAATTTAAATACCTGCATTTTTATTTGTATAGTCTTAGAAGCATAACGAGTCAAAGCCATACAGTTTTGAAAGTCTTGATCTTGCAGGACTGTTGATACTGCCAACCAAAATGTCTACTCCAATTTATATTAACACTAACATCATGGGTTGTTATTATTACCAAAAAAAGTCATAACAATACAAATCTTTCATGCCCAAGTGCGCTTTTGTAAAGTCAAGTGTGTAATATTAAGATGTACTATTCCTTACATCAAATATGGATGAGAAAAAAGTAGGTGTACCAAGGAGTTAAAAACTGGAATATTTATATTTTAAAATATTCTTATCCACAGAATAAATTATTCTGGCATATGGCCACTGATACTTATAAGTAGCATGTCAAATTACTTGGTGTGAGTTCTTAAGTACCCTCATAGAAACTAAGAAAGAACACTCAATAGTTTATTTTCTATTTCATGGAGAGGAATGATAGCAAATTGGTTTTATCCCTTCAAAATTATCACCATGTGTTGAAGCACACTATGTGAAAAGAATCCTTCATTTCTATTTACATAACAATAAAATATGTGGCCATAAACATTTTAAACCAATTAGGTCATTTTTATTTTTTCTTTTCTTCCACCAGAGTCTTGGTTCCTGTGTTTGCTCCCTGAGTGAAAAATCATGCTTCAAATTGATTCATAGATCTGGCAAATACCACTGATACTAGCAGCTGTTTGCTAATATTCTGAATAGGTATGAAATCCTTCCCTTTAAGCATCAGTTCATTTGCTCATTGTCACCACAATCTTTGGGAGCTTAGAAACCTGGAAAGTATGTTTTTCAATGTTTGGATGAGTGATAAAAACAAATGTATTTTCTGTCTGTTAAATATTTTTGAGACAGAACATTTAGTTATGTTTCTCAGGGTTGATGTGTTCATAACATAATATTTCATCAATACTAATTACTTCTAAGTACGGAAGATAATACCACTAATAAATATATGTCTACAATGCTTATATAAAGGTATAGTTCTGTTTACAAAGTGAAGACAGGCAAATTTCGTACTGTGGAATATTATAACTGACATCAACTCAACAGAAGCCAATGAGGATGTATACAACAATCTTTTCCCTCAATTTTAGGGGAAAAATGTTTCACAGCAAAGCAGCCTTTTGTGCAGAATCTAGTTTTGGCATAAAATTTACATTTCCCCAACCATCTCAAGACAAAAGTAATTTAAATAACTCACATAAATGAATTTACCAAAACTATTATTATCTAAATTATTTTTAGGTATGCTTTTGTTCTTCTTCATGTGCTAAGTTGAGAGGACACATATATATTGTCTTTGCCTTCTAAAAGTAACATTTATTTGATATGAAAGGGATTTCCATTACCAACTGGCATACACTAGAAAACTGAAGAAGCAACAAGATAAATAAATTTAATAGTTAAATATAAACATGATTTAAATGGAATTTCACATACATAGTTTTCAAATTTATCTCTTTTACCGCAATACATCATTTTCAGATTTTAATGTAAATCTATTTTCTTTGAAAAGTAATAAAAATTTCAAGATCTGCAAATATTTGGTGAGTGGTTACCCTGTTTTTATGTTCATTCTTAGTTGGAGAGAAACCTCAGATAAATCAATACTAAAACAAGAGCTAGAATGAAGATGAGAGAGAGCCACAGCTAGGGAGGAAGAGAGAACTAAAGGAATAATCAGGGAAGAGAGTGACAATATTTTAATGGAGGAAAGATCTGAGAAGGCTTCATTGAGGGGTGACATTTGAGCCAGACCTTGAAAGAAATCTGGGACTCTAACAGATAGAACAAAAGGTAGAGGGCATGCCAGTCACAGAAGAGTGAAGAGGAAATCTGTCCAGTATTCTCTCGTTATCTACACATCTAGAGTCTTCATTCTGAACCTGCCACGAAGCCAGTCTTCACGCTGTTGTGAGAGTCATCTTTTGAACAGGCAAATAGCATCACATCACATTCCCCTCCCCACTGGTTTAAAGTACAATAAACTTTTAGTTTATTATATGTCATGAAAGTATGTCATGAAAAGGTTTCTGATCATCTCGACTAAGTTTATCTCACCACCCCTATCCCTCATTACCTGCACTTCCAACACTCACTGCCACTTACCCGTCATACCAAACTATTTGTACTTTCCTAAATACATCATGATCTTGCATAAGCTTCATCCTCTGTCTGGAATAAGCTTCTGCTCATAATTTATGTAGCTGATTTTACACTCATATATCACAGCCAGCTCGACTAAGATGGCAAATGCTAGACAACTCTTACTTTAATCCCTGATCTATTCGCCTTCTGTAGCTGTCCCCTGCAAGAACCAGGATAGTCCTTGTCCTCAAACAAGCTCCCCTTGTTTATATGTGTGTTCCCTATGCGCACTTCTTTGTTCTGGTGACAATTTCAGTTGTCTGCGCATTTGCTCCTCCCTTGAACCATAGATACTGTGGGACTAAGTTTTCTATCCTTAGAACCAAATACAAAAGAGAGGCACATTTGTTTTGGTTGTTAAATTACACAGAATTGAGCAAGGCAAGATGGAAGAATATAGACACTGTTTGAGGAAGAAAAGAGAGAAGCATAAAGTCCTTAAAGTAATGAGAAAAATTGTTGGTGGAAATAAGGGAGTCATGCGGAGGGCTTCGGATGCCATCAAATGGATTCAGATCTCTATTCTATTTTCATAGACATGCAAGCAAATATTTTCAACAGATGAATGACCCAGTTTGCACTTTGAAACCATAAATAAAAAAACATTAATATCAAGTTAAAGTTTGACATACGGAGCAATTCATATCAAATTTAACTAGTCATGCTTATTTTTTTATTGTTATCCAAAAAACATATATGCTAAACTCTTGTTAATTATGATTGTTATTGTTTATAACAAAAGATGCTAAGGTTGAGTTTCAAAAGAGTATAAACACATTTAGAGTATATTACATTTATTAGTAACAGAGAGCTTCAACCATATTTTAAGAGAAAACTATTAGCAATAACACTTAACATAGTAAAATGGTATTCAAGGAGTCTTGACAATTATAACCTCACATAGACTCCTAAATAACAGATCAGTGAATGTTAGTTTCTTAGGTATTGAACACTAAGCTGCATTCTGTCCTTTATTCTGATGTATTACATATGCTTGTCTGTGTCTGTGTGATTTCAAACTATGTATTTCTGTATGGCGGCACTATTAGCATTTCTTGCCATCATGGCCAATCAGTTTTTAAGTAAATAACTAAGTATTGTTTTTGCAATGTCTTTTGGTGATTATGTTCCATTGGCTAGAACATGGAGCTTGAATAGATCTGTTTTATACATTTTTTACAGCGAGAAAATAGAATAAGAGCATATGAAAAATTCATCATTACTCTCCTTAGTCCTTCAAATAACTTCATCTTGAATTTCTATCCTCAGAAAAAGCAATTGGTCATCTTAGATATAATGATATGACTCAGGGGCACTTCCACAAACAGTGTGTCAAAGGAAAAAAACGAATCTCATTTTCTAGAGTCTGCAGAGTGTTAGTGTAAGGAAATGTTAAAAGAAAACTAAAATGATTTAGAAGTCATACTAGGCAGGACGCTCTAAAGGCATGAATCTGTGCTCCAGAGATTACTTCAAAATTGATAGACCTTATAACCACAACATAAAATGATTTCATATGCAACATAGCAGTAGTTCTCTAAATTAATCTGCTATAGATATAGCAGAATTTGATTTAAACAAGTAAGTTATATTGATTTCTGTGACTAGAGAGGTTGACTTCTAAGAACATAAGAGGACCAATTTTTCCAAGAAAGGAAAAAAAAAGTAAAAGAATATAATCTCTCGGCTCCTCAATTCTTATTTTTTTATTTTGCCCAGATGCAAATAAATAAATAATAAAATTCACAGAAGACTGCCTTAAATGTAAGCAATCTGTCCTTAGCTTTACATTCAAGATGAAATCCTTATTCATGTACAACTATTTTGGTCTCTCATAGATTTTTTTCCCCTGAATTGTGTTTTGGTGGAATATTATCAGCCTGTATTGAGTAGAGATATAAGAAAACTCATCTATAATATATCACTGTGCTTATTGTGGTGGTAATATAAAAACATAGTGCCATATATTTCAGAATTTCTTTTTATGAGGAATTTTTTGGTGGAAATTACTCAGACTTTTCCATAGTATCTGTTTTCCATTTATTTCATAGATTTAGAGATTAATGTAACTATCTTATTTCTCTTTATGCATTAATACAGGATTACTAAGAAATTAAGTTGGACTTATGGAAGGCATTCTGGTGGTCCCGTCTGAATCCCTTTGTCTCAGGTGCATCCATACTCTAGTGACAGAGAGGGTTGTGGCTGTGGAAGTCTCACTTCTGTTGTCTCTGAAAATTACCCTTCACAGAATGGAAGGTGCCTCAGTTGGCCACCAACCACAAATGACTGTTTAAGGAGATACAAAAGGACCACCTCCTTTCCTCATGGTGGAACCAACTTTTGATACAAATCAGCTTCAAAACTTTCACTAACACCAGGCTAAAGGGAACCTCCAAGGGAAGACCTCCTCACTCTTGCTTAGAATTCTTTCCTGAACCATCCTGCTTCTCAGGATGTATCATAGAAACATTTTTTCTAAGGGAAAATATGCAGGGTACTTTTTATTGTAGACAAGTTTTGATTGCAAGGTAAAGAAGGCCTACTGATACTCAAAACTCATCTCAATACCTGGAATAATAATCCTGTCCTAAGAATTTGAAACAAACATTCTATTAAGTTCAGATGTCTTTGTCATTAGATGAAAATCATGCTTTTACATTCCTTAGAATCTTATCAAGTTCAAATGTCCTTAGAGTTAGACATTTCCATCTCTGCACATATGTATATTTTTTAAAAGGAAAAGAAGTAAAAAATCCAGCCAGGTGATCACTGGAGTAGGATAACAATATTTCTGTGACTAGAGGAGAAAAATTATGTACCTTAAAACCGAGGTTTAAGCCACTTGAAAAATGAAAGCAACCAAGGGATAAGCCTTGAACTTTGCAATATAACAACTTCAGAGTTGTCATAAGAATTCACTCAGAGCTCCAGCTGAAATACTCGGTCCTTTATAACCCCAATTAACAGGCATTGTAGTTGTTTATTGGTGAATTAACTATCTCGGTTAAATGGATTGACTTCATTAACTTGAGTTGCATCTTTCAACATCCAAAATATTTAGAATTACATAAAAACCATTATAGCTTTTGGATCTCAACAGTGGCAGTAGTACCTCTCAGGGATGAGTGCTTCTTGAAAATTTTGCTTTATAGAAATATATTAAATAATACCTAAATGAATTGAGAAATATAGCACTTTTTGTTAAAACAACAAATATTACAATGATATCTCAACAAATGAATTTAAGATTCAATACAATATCAATGAAAACCCCGTAAGTTTTCCATTAAACTTGACAACCGTATTCTAAAATCCACATGGACAAAGGGATAAGAATAGTACAAGGTGGATAATTTATTCTATCAAATATAAAAATGTATTTCATCTTAGAACAATTTGCATAATTTATTAACGAATCAGAAAAACTGACCTATAGAATGAGATAGAGCACACAGGGTAGACCTATAGAATGAGATAGAGCACACAGGGAAAAAAACAAAGCATATATGGAATCTTGACAGTGGGTATTACAAGTCAGTGAAGGAAAAGACAGATTTTCCAGTAATTGAAGACAGAAAAACCGGGAGTGCACATGAAAAGAAAAAAAAAAAAGAATTCTAAATTTATACCAGTCACAAAAATTTATTTGACAGATTAACAATTTTGTTACAAATCTAAATGATCTTTCAGAATATCTTTATCACCTTGGAAGGAGTTTTTTTAGAACAAACCTCACAGTTACAAATTACATAAATATATTGTTAATTTCAATGATATTGAGAATTTCTTTTCATGAAAACATATCCTTGAAGGAAGGAAAAATAAATCACAAACTGAGAGAAGACATTACAGGCATTAAATTAACGCTAATGCTGTATAAAGAACTCCCAATGTAAAAGAAAATAGCAAACAAAATGGGTTTTTTGAATGGGCAAAAGTCATAAACAGATATATAATTTAAAAAAATCCAAAATGGCTCCAATAATGATAAGAGCAGTAAATGAAATACACAGTAAAACTATAATAGGATAGTATTTCAAATTGACCAGATTGGCAAAAATGTAAAAGCCAGCTAATATTAAAGTGTTTGCAAGGATACTGAGAAGCCGACATTTCCTCTTCTGCTAGTAAGAGTGGAAATTTAAACAACTTTAGAAAACATTTTTTCATTGCATATGGAATTGAACATTCATATGTCCTACAACCAAGCAATTCAACTCCTAGATTTCTATCCTGAAGAGTCTCTTGGACTTGAGCACCAGTAGATAAATACATTAAAAATTCAAGAAGCTTGGTCCAAACTTTATTTTTTTTAAATAATGGCGAATCAAATGTACATGAATAGTAAGATGGACACATAAAATGTAGTATTTTCAGTTGGCAACACAGCAATGACAAAATTTAAATAATGCTATATGCATTAACATAAATGAATATCACTAATAATGTTGAAAGGAAGAAGTTATGGAAGAACATATACAAAGATTCCTTTCATGTTATGTCCTACAACTGATAACAATGCAAATATGTTAAAGCTATAGGGAAAGGGAGGAGAGAGGTTAATACAATAAAAGTGATGAGATTAAGATGGCAGGGATGAATGAAGAAGATGTTATCCAAGAAGAATAGCAAGCAGAAGTTGGATCCTAAATCACTGGTAATCATTGTTTTTTTAAACATTAGTTGATAAACTTTATTAGTGTCTATTTTATGACAATCAGTCCAGTTGTATCCTCTTTGTCTCATTCCAGTTGTTTGCATACACATAAATATCCATCTTACCTACCTAGTTCAGGTTTTAAGTCCCATTCACTATTTTTTTTTGTGTCATAAGATACATATTTGCGTACATCATATCCACACCAATGCATATATTACTGAATATATACATATATGTATATATTCAGTCTCATTATTTAACCCCAGACTGAACATTTAAAGTTTTTACTTTATAAGAATGAACTTGATGAAAACTACAACAATTGATCACACCAGTGATCAGGTTTATCATTAGAATATCATGAGTAGAACTATATACGTAGTAATGTTCACAGATTTTATTACATTTCTGTATTTTTTTTGGTAAACAATACAGAAATTGTTTTTTTTTTTTTTTTTTTTGGCGTTTTGTTTTATTGAGACAGGGTCTTGCTCTGTCATCCAGGCTGGAGTGTAGTGGTGTGATCATGGCTCACCGCAGCCTCAAATTCCTGGGCTCAAGCAATCCTATCTCACCCTCCCGAGTAGCTGGGACTGCAGGTGCACACCATCAGGCCTGGCAATTTTTTTTTTTTTTTTTGAGACGGAGTCTCGCTCTGTCGCCCAGGCTGGAGTGCAGTGGCGCGATATCGGCTCACTGCAAGCTCCGCCTCCCGGGTTCACACCATTCTCCTGCCTCAGCCTCCCGAGTAGCTGGGACTACAGGCGCCCGCCACTACGCCCGGCTAATTTTTAGTACAGACGGTGTTTCACCGTGTTAGCCAGTATGGTCGCGATCTCCTGACCTCGTGATCTGCCCGCCTCAGCCTCCCAAAGTGCTGGGATTACAGGCGTGAGCCACCGCGCCCGGCCAGGCCTGGCAAATGTTTAAACTTTTTCATAGACACAGGGTTTCACTCTGTCATCCAGGCTGGTCTCAAACTCCTGGCTTCAAGCAATCCCCTTGCCTCAGCCTCCCCTTGTGCTAGGATTACAGACGTGAGTCACTGTGCCCAGCCCAGAAATTGTTTTCTCTCTTAATACTTTTGCTTTTCCCCTATTACAACAAGGATATAAATATTCATTTTGCTTCTTATTTTACCATTTGTATCCCTTTAATTTATACAAATCTTTAGTCAAAATAAGTGGCAAATTCAAACTTTTACTTCTGTAGGTAACATCAAAATAAATTATTCAAATCCGCAGATCCTCTAAAATTGTATTTATCATAAATCAAATTATAGGAGTCTATAATTGCAAATCATCTTTCCTAAAATAAATGTCTGAAAGGTTATTATGCAACATGTTTTGTATAATAATATTTCAGTACATTATTTGAGGGCACTTGACTTTGTCACCATATGCATTATAGCTATTTTTTAGTGTTTTGAAATAAATAAGATCATGCTGCAATTAGTGTTGCTTATAATAGATAGGTACAAAACTTAATTAAAATATGATAAATGGAGGATTTTTCCCACTAAGCTGTCAAATTATTTTTGGGGAACATCTGTTTATTTTTAAAGCATGTTATACATCTTGTTCTTGATGTGCATGCTAATGATATTATTACAATATACCTCAGTGCACTTTTAAAAGATCAGAAGTGGGTATGAAATATTTGGGGCCATATCAGTATTTTTGACATTATGTTCTACTCTCTTAGTCTTGTCTTCTTTGCTTAAGAATAAAAATCCAACACTTTCTTTATAGCTCTTCTACATTTCAAAAAAGTTTTAAAATGCACACTTTATTTATTTTTTGAGATGGAGTCTTCCTCTGTCACCTAGGCTGGAGTGCAGTGGTGCGATCTCGGCTCACTGTGACCTCCGCCTCCCGGGTTCAAGCAATTCTCCTGCCTCAGCCTCCCACATAGCTGGGATTACAGGCTAACGCCACCATGCCCAGCTAATTTTTGTATTTTTTTTTTTTAGTAGAGACGGGGTTTCACCATGTTGGCCAGTCTGGTCTCGAACTCCTGACCTTGTGATCCGTCCGCCTTGGCCTCCCAAAGTGCTGGGATTACAGGCGTGAGCCACCATGCGCGGCCCAAAATGTAAACTTGATTACAGGTGTGAGCCACTGCGCCTGGCCCTAACACAGACAGACTCGATTGCCTCTAAAAAGAAAGGCAAGAGATAAGATACAAGCAATAACATGACATCATGTGAGGCTCATTGAAGAAACTGAGAATGTATGGTCTGGACCACAGAGAGATGTGAGGGACAATAATGGAAGGCCTCTCCCACAGCACTTGTTTTAAGTGGTTCTATAGGACAAATTCAACAGAAGCAAAGAATTTTTACAAAACAAATGTCCGAAAATGGAATGGATCATGAGATCTTCACCAATGCATATTTAGCTTCTACCTGAATGAAACAAGTGGTATCGAAAAAAGGATTCAAGTGCTGGATAGAGACTTAACGAAACAAACTCTTTCGCCTTCCTTCAGACTTTAAATTCCTTGCTTTATATCTTAGATTGTTACATCATGCTTATAAAATCTAGGTAATTAAAGACTTTAAAAATTAAATTGATTTGAGTACAGCATGAATTAATTTGAACCTGATGATTATACAGTACTTGAGGATTATAAAAAGTGTCAAAACTAGTCGCTAAACAAAAACCAGTCCATAAGTGTACTAATGTTATGGATACACTAGATAGAGTTGTTTATTTTTCTATTCCTAACCAGTATGTAATATTAATTATAATGTATGAATTAGAAGAGACATCGCCTATTAAGCTGTTTCTACTTCTGTTAATTGTAAAAGAATTTACGTGGGTGGTGGGGTTAACCTACCCATCTATTACTGATGCTGCTGTTACTAGTACTACATCTACTAACTCACTTCTACTACTGCTACTGCTCCCACTACCTACTATTGTTGATACTAACAATACTAACACTGCTAAGAAATAATGTTTACTGAGTTGTTATAATGTAACCTGTTAGTACTCTTTTTGGTATGTTATATAAGTTGAGAAATTTATCCCTTAAGCAACCTTACAAATAATAGTAGGTGCTATTATTAGCTAAATCTTAAAGATAACTATATTGTGGCAAATTTAGGTTGATAAATTTGCTCAAGATCATGCAGGTTTAAAGTGGCAGGACCAGCATTTCATATTAGGCAATGATTTCAAAATTTGTGATTCTATCATGGTATGCTCTAGTCAAGGGAAAGATTCAAAAGTATTCCAATATAAGCATAATTTCTAAACACAAAAGTAATATTCATTTATAGCAAGAAGTTTTCTCTAAACATAGCACATAATTCTCATCACATCTTTACACTATTCTTAAATGTAAACTCAGTCTTTTTGGTAATTCTATTCATTTATCTTTCTTATGCTTTGTAAGGGTCCTCCATAAAACCTAATATTTTTATAGCATTAGTACTTATTATTAATTAGCAGTTTATTTGTTGATAATGTCTGCTATTTGTCCTCCATTATACTGAAGTGTTCTTGCCTATGATAGGGTAATCCCCGCACCCCACCTCACAACCCACATTTGTATTTCTGGAGAGGGTAGTTTTCCTCACCGCGATATGAGCTTGATGTCATCTAAATACCAAAGTTGGTATATGTAGAGACTTTTTCTTCTTTTAGTAATATCAAGAAGAAAGATTAATGATTTAAAATACCTGTCATTGTTATCATATAATTAAGTTAAAATGGAACAGATTCCATAAGTATCAACATGTTGCAGCCTGAGAAATTGTGTTATTGTAAAAGAAATTCTGCTTGAGTGAATTACCCATCATTAACTACGTTCATTGATACCTCCATTATTGGTTGTTTTAACATATTTGTATCCAAGCCTTTGAAGGGATGATAATTTCTACCTCCAAGATTCAGTAACTGGCCAGACATTGTGGCTCATGCCTGCAATCCCAGCACTTTGAAAGGCTGAAGCAGGAGGATCGCTTGAGACCAGAAGTTTGAGACCAGCTGGGCACCATAGGGAGATCCCTGTCTCTACAGAATAAAAAAAACATTAGCCGAGTGTGGTGCCACACATCTATAATCCCAGATACTCAGGAAGATGAAGTGGGAGGCTTGCTTGAAGCCAAGGTTGTTGAAGTTTTAGTGAGCCATGATCGGGCCACTACACTCCAGCCTGGGCCACAGAACAGACTCTATCTCAAAAAAATAAAAATAAAAAATAAAAAGATTCAGTAATATATGTGTAGGGAGCTCCTCAGATACAATAAAATAGCAAACCTCCTGCATTTCCTCAAATATTTTATGAAATTGAAAAAAACACCAAAATGAGTTCTCTGATTTATAAAATAATTTGGCAGAAGAACATTCATTTCACTAGGGGAAAAAATTAAATTTACTAAATGCTAATTCAGGAACAGGAGCTTATTAAAAAAGAATATATTTATAGATATGTTCTGATGAGAAAATAAAAACGACCCTGTGTACATTTTGAATATTCTCAGTAAAAGGGCTAAATCAGATAAATGAGTACATTAATGACAAACAGAAATCTTCAAACAGATTAGTTTCTTAAATCAAGGTGTTCTACAGTGTCTTCATAAATATTTATAAAATCTACTTAAAATATTTGAGTTTTTTTTCTGGAAGGAGTCAATAAAAGGAAAGTCATGTTATAGTTTGATGATAAATATCTAAATAGTTAATACATTTATCCTATAAGCTATGGTTTTAAAAAAGGAAAGTTTAAAAAAGTTTATGGTGCCAATAGATTTAAGCTCTTCATTAACAGCACACACATATGTGATGGCCATAGTGTGTCAGGTACTAAACACTCATGTCATCTTCACAACAATCATATAGAATATAATTATCATCCTTATTGTACATATGAGGAACTTAGGCAGAGACAGGTTAAGAAACATACCCAAGAGTGACTTCAACATCTGGGCTGTGAATAGATACCTAAAATAGACGATTCTACAGTTTTCCCCTTAAATTTCTTTGCAGGGATACAAACATTTTGTTTTTCAAGATTCAGCTTCTGACCCAGTTCTTAGCAATGGATTTGTCACTAGTTATTGGGGAAAAAAAATGAAAAAAAAAAAAAAGACTGGGGTAAGGATAGGCATATGATTCAATACAGACCAACCTAAGCTAATAAATCTAATTTTACAGACTTTTACTGATACTGATGAAAGAGTCAAATTCCTTTTACTGAGTCTTTGAAGAGAAGTGACTGTAAATCTGGGGAGAATGTGCCTGAGAAGAGAACTAAATGGCAGAGACAGACAGACAGGGTGCTGGGGAGAGAGGGAGGGATGAAGGGAGAAAGGAAGGAAGAGAAGGAAAAAAGAAAGGGAAAGTAAGAAAAATAATAATAATAATACTGAGAGGTGAAGACAAGTTATCTGAATATATCCAGTCTGAATAAATAAATACCCAGAGACTTTTCAGTTATACGAATAATGTATTAGTTTTATGAAAAATGAGATAGATTTCTATTACATACAAATAGAATTCATCGGTGAATTAATTTGTTTAGGATACAAAACTAAATAGAGCACTTTGATGGCTTATTTGACACTGAGATTTTCATATTGATTGTTTCTGTTATGAAAATGCTATTCTTAATCTCCTTTCTATAGTGGCATTTTATAAGATTTATATAAGAAAGATGAACAACTAAAAATGCTTGAAAAACTACAATTTTAAATAATTTCTTATATTAACACTCTAACATTCTATAATACCCTGAATTTCATTTTTTGACAACTAAATGATAAAAATATGTCCAATGATTATCAGGAAGTACTTTTTCACATTGCAGTAAGGGGAAATGAAAATAGTAATTATTCAGTTCTGATTTTATTTCAGACACTATGCTAGGTCTTTTGTATAAATTAACTTGTATTTTCTATTAATCATTTTTTTCAGATTATTTTCCATTAGATATATTGAATTTCTTCCAACAATATTAAAGTTGTGAATTCTAAGTTTGTATTTTCTCCTTTCTTTTTATTTTTCAATTCTTGTCTTTTTAGATTATTACTACACTTTATATGACATATTTTACCGTAGACTTAAAATGAATAGCAGCCATTTGAAAAATTGTAAGATGTGTACAGTATCTAAAGTCAATATAGAATTTTCATTAAAATAAGGAATTTTCATTAAAAGCATAATATATTTATAATCATTTAAAATGCTGGAAACTTCACAAAAAATGTCAAAGATCATTAATAAGCAGCTTGACTTAGGGAGATGAAGCTCAAATGAATAATGGATATATAAAGAGATGCTTAAGGTCTCTAGTAATCAGGGAATTGTGAATTTGAACAAGAGATACTACTTAACCATCTGAATGGTGAACTTGCAAAAATGGAAGAGCCTTACCCCCTGTAGGTGAAGTATAGGTTGACTAGGACTCTCATGAACTGCTAATAGGAGTGTAGACTGGTAAAGTTATATAAAGCACTCTGGTAATAATAAGTTAAATTAATTATGCACATGCTTTAAATCTAGCTATTTTACCAGAGAAAAACTCTTACATCCATTTGTGAAACAAAATGTGTGGTAATATTCACTGCAGCTGTGTTTAGTTTAGTGGATTGATTGGATGATCTATCTGTTTCAAATCAGGGAAGTGAATAATTAAAATATGGTGAAGGTTACTATCAAACAACCAGTACGTGGTATTTCGTTACAGCATCTCAGACTGACTAAGACAGGGTATTAGAGGGAGTACCTATAGGAGGTGTAAAGGAAACATAGAGAAAGGGAAAAATAAGTAAATTAAGAGAGAGGTCTTGCTGTAAACAATGATATTGGCTTACATTTAACAGAGGAGTATGCTTAACACAACTTTCTGCTGTTAGGTCCGTCCAGAAAAAAAAAAGTTAAGCAATAAAATGATGGGGCATTCAATTCCACATCATGCTATTATTATTATTCACTTATTTCCCAATTTCTAATTCCTTATGCAACTTTTTTTTATTTTAAGACTCTTAAACTTCTTTACAATTTTTCTGCTTTATCTCATTTTCAGGAACATTGTACATGTCCCAGTTACCATTGTCTTTAATGACATAGATGTCTCCAAATCCACCTTTGTCTCACTCCAATTTATTTTCCATAACTGCATTCAGATTAGTTTATCAAATAAAAACCTATAATCATCTCACTATACATGTCTTTTATGTTTTCCCACTGCTCTTAAATAAATACAAAGTTTTTTAACTTTTTAAAATAAACCACATGGGGCCCATCAACCCTCGTATCTTCATATCACACCACTCATATCCACTTTCAGCTCTTTCTTCCCCCATCTGGAGCATCACTTTTTGAGAGAGGCCTTCTCTTATCTCCTAGAATGTGCCATGTCTCCATATTGCATACTCTCAGGGCATAAGATATCACCCTCCAATAGAACGTATATTGGACTTTCAGTTTTGCATATTTCATAATTGATTACCATGCATGTCACTATTAAATCTAAACTCCACAAAGACATGAGTTGTGTCTGCTTGTTGCTGATTTTCTTGCTGTACTTGGTTCACAGTAGGTATTGAATAGGAATGACTGAACTAGTCAATTACCTAAATTAAAAACAAAAGCACTTAGTTTAATATTTCTAAAATTGGTATATTAATAAGTATGTAGATTTTATATACCTGAAGAGTTTTATTTAGAATGCAACTTAGATTTTTACTTGAAATATATATGATATTAATATGTATTTTATTCAGTTTATTTTTCCTCCCATATTTTCTCCAGACATATATCCAGCATATGTTTCTCTAGTCTTGGGGGAGAGATTTTAGCTGTGGGGCATAAAGCAGAAGTTATGAGTTGATAATGTGCATTTGTGGCTGTGGTTTTCTAGAATCTTGAAGTTTTGTACAAAAAGGGAAATGATATAAAAACCAGAGGAACAAGAGAGTAACAGAGGGTACAGCCAGAATATACATACATATTGTACATAAAGAATGTATACACATATTGAAGGGAAGAGGCTAAAGTTGATTTCCAAAGAATGGGAGGAAGAGTGTGGTGGGCAGGTATCTTAAGTAGCCAAATCTAGAGTCCACGGGCTCTACATCTGTGCCCATCTCCCAAGCAGTACAAGGAAAGAAGGCAAGACTTCAGTGAATAGAGGCTGCATGGTGCTCTGAGTGAAAGTAGATTCTGACTACAGGGCTTTCAGACTAAGCAACACCTGAGCCATCAAATGCAAAAGACCATTTAGCATTGCCAAGTAGGACATTATTGGTCACCATGATTAACTGAAAAACCAAAGCCCTTCTTCCATTTTCCTTACATAAGTTAACAGAGGTTAAATAGAAAGAGAGTGATGCTTGTCAAACAGTGGCTTTTAGACCACACAACTATTCAGTATTATAAAAATGAAGATTTCTGGGACTTAACTCTGACAAATTAAGACAAAATCCTAGGGGTTATAGCTCTAACTTAGGCATTTTCACGAAGCCTCACTTAGGCATACTGAGATTAAAAATTACTGAAGAAGAGCAGGTTGGGCAGTCACAAGGTAGAGAGCCAGGAACTGCTAAAATTAGTAGCTTTGGGGAGTTGTTCATAATTCTAACTGAATGTAGGTCTCAGTAAAGACTCACATCAAAAGCCGAGTGCTGAAAACCTGGGAAAATGAGATGTTGTTTGACTAGAATAAATCACAGCATGAGACATCAGATAGTCAAAGGGCCAGGCCAGAATAGGAAACTTGGAAAAAACACTATCCAAGCACGAGACAAGGTAGCTGTCCAAGAGACTGCACTGAATCTCACTAATTAGTTCATTGTCCTGTAATGGGCAAAGTCATGGGAGAAGAAGGCTCTGACAACAGCAACAATGAAAGATTGATTTTGCAGAAAGTGTTGATTCCAGGTGCTGAGCCTCTTCTAGACTTTTCTGTTGTGATAGGAACTCCTCCTCATACTTGGTCAGCCTAAGCAAATAAGTAGGAGTGTGTTACTGAAGTCAGATATGAGTTTGTAAAGAAAGAAGACTCTTATCTATAGTCTAATTGGCTTCTTAAAAATTAGGTGTTTTGGTGAGGAAAGTTCTAGATTAATTAATTTCATTCCTTTTTTTTTTTTTTCTCCAAAACATTACGCAGAGCTTGCCACAGAGAGTTCACGGATTTAAGACATACTTGAAAAAAATTTGAAATGATTTCATTACATGAAGAAAAAAATAGGTATTGCAGCATCCTGTTACCAAGAAATAAAGATAGAAAAATAAGCACTGTAATGTTCATTTTTATTTATTTGTCAAGGCATGTTTCCCTCACTCAAGTTATACTATTTTTAAATGGGCGTTCATTCAGTTACTCTACTTCATGTTAACGTGGGACACCTACTACACTTGACATGAGCATTGACTTACAGACGTAAACTGAAGAAAAACATAAAAATGCAAGCATCAGACACACAGAAGCAATTTATTTAACCTGCCTTTCAATTGACAGACCACCTTCAAATTTCTAGTGATGCATTTTAGCATGAGTTAAAGAGATGTCATTCAATGGTAAAGAAAGAATAGAAAGTGAGGCCAAAAATAGTGATGAGAAACTAAAATCTCTTAAAAACTAGTGCCCAATAAAATTTCAAAGTACCTCTGTGGATACTTTTTTCTTAAACTATAATTTTCCTTTCACTTATTCAATTCTCTTTTTTTTGTTTCAAATTCAGATTATTTTATATCCATGCATCTCATCTTTACATTTGTTTCTTCAGAATCAGTTGAAAATCTTCAACTAAAACACATACCTCATGCCCAGAATGCTCTGACAGGGTATTGGAAATGAGGTAAAACACAGAATTTGTTATCTAACAAATGGAAGATCAGTATAGCCCTTCTTTCTGTTCAGACTATTTAGCTGGCTGAATAGATGCCCATAGGCAAAGTCAGCAAAACTAGTTTTCAGAGGTTGGCAAGAGTTTCTTAGGGAACATTCTAAGTACCTTACTTCTCAAGAGAGATTACAGTTTAATATGCTCACTCTGAATATCTGTTCTTATTACCTAATTGGTTAAAGTTATTAAAAACTCAGCGAGTTTAGTTTCAATTCACACCTTGTAAAAAAAAAAAGGCTAAAATATGCACACAGAAGACTCTTGTAACAGAAAGAGCAGTGTTGCTCTTTGGAATGACACATTAGAACACAAAAAGGAGGGCCTGAAGCTAGAGTACGAGATTTAACACTTACCTCTGTGGAATGGGTGAAATGCCACATTTAACATCAATCTTTAGTTTTTGGTTAATACAGCTCATTATGGACCAGATGGCTTAACTGTTCTGCCATTTCCTGCCTACTTTTTTATAGGACAAGAAATTTGCCTTTTTTTAAAAAAAGAAGTTAAATGTCATAATTGTGAGGTGTGTAATTTTAAGAAGAGATGCTAAAGGTAATTTTGGATTCACTTTAAAAGTTTCTAAAATTCAGGTGAAATATTTCAGTAATGAAGTGTTTAAAGGAGACATTTAAATACTCACCTATAATTCCTTCATGTGTGCTATTATAATTACCTCAGTTGTAGTGCTCTGAGTCATTTTCCGCATTTTGATTGTAGATACAGGGAAGAACTATTTGACTCGTGGGTTGTTCAAATTAAACCTCCAAAGTCTGTGCCTAGAGATGCATGCACTGGCTGTTTCTTCATCCCCTCCACATATTTTTTGAAGTATTTAGTCCTATACTGCACTTTTCTGCCATGAAGTCTAAGTGGTAACAACTGATAAGTTGTAATTATTAAAAAAGAACTAGCATTTGAGCATGGCACATACATAGCTCTAAGAATGATTACCGAATACGAAACATGACACTCTGTAAAATATCTAGAGACTGCATATAACTAAGCTTCCATCTGTATAACAGAAATAAAGAAACCCGAGTAGCTCTACATTTACCTTTCTGTCTTTTCTATGTATCCTGTGGGCACCATCTGTTGAACACCTCTGGTTGGTATTAAGCTTCTTATGCCTAAAGCTGCTTTTGGTGTTCATGCTCAGGCATTACTTAAGTACATGTTGAAATCTTCCTGACCATACGTGTTAGTTTGATTCTCTTGATATAATGTCCTTCATTTCTACCACCTTCATTGAAATGAGAAATTTTAATTAGAAGTTCAAATATCTAATGGAAAAGTAAGATGGCCTTGCAAATTAACACAATCTGTCAAGCATTTGGTCCTTTATAACAGTTTAATCAAAAGATTTTTGGTGATGAAATCTTAAGTATTTCTCAGAAGCTGTTAGAGCAGTATGTTCACCTAACATCAAGCCTAACTCATATCAGTGAAAACATCAAAATATTACTGAGAATCAAGAAAGTCACAATTTTACTCAAATACAAAGTGTATCAAATAAAAGTTCTGTGTGTTAGCAATGGAGTATTTTCTGGAGGCAGAGACACTGCATGACACGTGGTTGGATAGCTTAAAGCCCATTTCTGTAGAAGGAAAAGCTATGGATCAATAGTTTTATTCTGTTATCTCCTATTTTTATTTTGAGTTGATTGCTGTACAAAGTACAGTGATTACAAAAAATACAGTAAGAACCAACATGAAGTTTTCTCTATCTGAATCAATTACAACTTCTTATCATACTCATTTAGTTTTGCTTCGTATTTCTTGTGTCAGACCTAGAATATTAGGTCTAGCCCCTAGTAAATATTCAACAAATATTTAATAAATAGCTATTTTTTCTTTAGCGACTTTTAATATAAATTTTACATGTCATTTTAATCCTAATAATATTCTTTCCTCCAAATGTTTAAAATCCTCAAGCTTCTAAATCTTACACCAAATTTGCCCCTAAATACAGACATTTCTCCAGGAAAGGTCTTGCTGTGTTCTAGATAACCTTTTGCTATTTGTGCATCTTTCTTTCAAGGTAAATATATCCCTACACTCCAGAGTTAATTTTTTCTTCTCAAGACCTACAAATAACAGCTTAAAATATTTGTACTCCGAAGACTTTAACTCCAAGTAATTTAATACTGGACACTTAAATTCTCAAAGCATAAACTCACAGACTCCAAAACGAATGATGAATTTTACTTTGGAAGAATCAGTAGGAAGCAGTTGATTTTACTGATGACATTCAAGGCATACAATCACAGAAAATTAAAATTTGAGAGCACAGTCATTAGTACAAACAAACAAAATAATCAGCATTCATCAACTGAACTTTTGCAAAATAATTTTTAAAGTTAATTTAACATGAATTATTATATAATCTGTTTTACCATACTGTTATTAGTTATAAATGTTGCTTTCATGTAATGAATATTATCTGTATGAGGGGTACTCTAAGATAAGATGAATGAAACACTGTGTGTGTGTGTGCGTGTGTGTGTGTGTGTGTCTATGGGAGTGCATCGCTGAGTCATTTTCTCCTTTGTTTCCCCAGGTCAGATCTTTGGTACAGATGCTGCCATCACAATCCTAGAAGACTCACCATTGCTTCACAGAGTGGAGGGTAATATGGTTTGACTGTGTCCCCACCCAAATCTCATCTTGAGCTCCCATAATCCCCATGTGTCATGAGAGAAACCTGGTGGGAGGTAACTGAATCATGGGGGCAGGTATTTCCCATGCTGCTGTCATGATCTTGAATAAGTCTCACAAGATCTGATGGTTAAACAGCAGTTCCCCTGCACATGCTCTTTCACCTGCCACCACGTGAGACATGACTTTGTTCCTCCTTTGCCTTCCACCATGATTGTGAGGCCTCCCCAGCCATGTGGAGCTCTGAGTCCATTAAACCTCTTTTTCTTTATAAATTACCCAGCCTTGGGTATTTCTTCATAGCAATATGACGATGAACTAATAGAGAAGAAAGAAAGAATGATACAGGGAAAGAAGATGGAGGTGAAGGTCAGCTCTGATCTGGCTCACAGTTTGGGGAGTAATTACAAAATTTTAATTAGGGCCTTGAGAAACAACTCAATTGAGTTTTCTATCACCCAATTCCACATGAAGGAAAGAAAGCAGCTTAATGATTCTAGGAGTTAAGAGGCTTTGGGGCAAAAAAGAAAAGCATCCTCACAGATTATTTCTCATTTTAAATAGCAAGAAAAAAAAATGTTGATTATGCCTAGAAGATGAAATAAAGGGGAGGGAGTCAGTCAAAGCGGCATAATAAAGATAGACTTATTTTCAGCACAATGAGATTTAATCAGCAGTAGAGGCAAGGAAATGTTAACGGGCAGAGAAGGTAGACCTCACAACAAGAACTCAGCCTGGGTGTGGCAGTAAGGCAGGGCAGAAATGTTTGCCAAACAATGTTCTTTATTCCAAGATACCAAGACAATTGTTTTCTACTTCTTATGAAACACAATGCTTTCTCCCCAGCATGTCTTGTTCCACAACAGTGAGTATGAAGGATCTGGAAGAATGGGCCACTCAGAAGAGTTGCTGGTAAAGGATGCATGAGGGGATGAATGCTCAACAGTATCTTCACCCTGACATTTTTTATCATGTGTTCACTGGACAAGAAAGACGCCACTCTAGGATTTAAGATTTACTGTGTTAAAAGGAAAAAAAAGGAGAAAAAAGCAAAAATACGAATCTAAGAAAAAATATATGGAGACGAGGACCTTCTAAGCATGAAAACAAAGATAGAAATATTAAAACGAAACACTATGATTTTCCATAGGAAAAAAAAAACTGGTGAAAAGGAGTGGGGAGCATTTCCAACCTAACAAAATGTTAATACTTTTTAGCATAAAGCAAAACAAATACAACATATTTCAGCATCAAATCACACAAATAAAATGACCCCAATAGAAACCAGAAGAATAGGTACATATCCAATTTGCCAGAGTAATACTTAAAAAGGAAAAAAAAATCAAATTGAAACCCAAACAAAACTTTCTTTACTATTACTAGGAAAGCAATAAATTTAAACTAAAAAATATTTAAAAACTGAAAATTTATACTATCATGACCCTATAAAACTGTATCCAACTTTATGCTAACTTATTAAACGTTTTTAAGTGGTGACATTGAATTATTTTAACTATGATTATGTTGGTAATTTCCTGAAGTACAATATCAATATGCATCACATTTATACTTTACTACTCAGGAAAAAAATGTATACCTTGCTTACAATAAACATGTTCCTATGTTCAATTTTCCTCTAAAAATTCCTTCCTATGGTTTACTCATTTTGTGGTTGCTTAATATGAACACAATTCTCTTTAAAATGTAATCAATCAATTGATAGGTATCATGCTTTGACTTGTGGTCACACAAAAAGTGCTAAAATTAGTTATTCTCTACAAAAAATCATAACATTTGTATTTTAAGTGTTAAGTGTGTGACACTGAATGTTCATTTGTATTTGCATGTAATTTACCACAGGCATTGTCAACAGATTAAGAGAATTAGTTTTGATAAGGACTATATAAGGAGGACAAGGAAAGAGTATATAGAACCAATAATATTTTCATTGAGATTAACCAAATCTTTTGATTTTTTCCCCAATGACTTATTAATTCTCCGCATGCATTTTTTCTCTGAAAATGTTACCATTTAAAAGTAATCTTTCAATTAGAAAAAAGAATATATTGAATAGAAGTCTATATTCAGTAAAATGTCTTTTCAGACAATGGAAAACTGTACAGATTTTCATAATAAAACCAGAATAAAATGATCTATATTTTAAGAATAATGTATATGTAATTCATTGTTACATTAATTCACTATTTTAAAAAGCAATAAAAAGCATTTTCACAAGGTATTATTATGAATAAAATAATAAAATAAGGTACTTTGACCCGGAACCTGGCAGCCAGGCAAAGCAAATGTTGGTGAATTCTTTTTTTTGCCATTACAAATGGTGGTTACAAATGGTGAACAAATATAAATACCTGAAGTTGAATAAAGCTGCATTAGTAGTAAGCTTAGGATTTTATAATTTTTCTTTGAAGTGATAAATAATATGTAAGTTATGTGATGTATTACAGAAAAAATAAAACAAAGCATCAATTTTGATTCAAAAATTTATGACTATCATCAAGACATCAGTTCCTTTTATAAATTCTAATTCTTACCTCATAAAACAATATATCTATTACTCTGGCCAATTATCTTTCACTTAAACGAAGTGCCTGGTTAGAAGGAAAGAGGAAAGTTGGTAATTTTGACTTAAATTGATAAATGTAATATATACTTCCCATTTACTGAGAGGCATTGCCATCAATATATGGAGACTACAGTAACACTGATTGTAAATATCCAAATGTGTTTTAAATTTACCATGTAACATGTGGCCCAATTTACAAAATCTATTACCTATCTAACACACTTTCTCCAAACCGGAAGAAAAGCTTTTCATAAGTTGAATATATTTTAAGTAGTATTCTGATGTGAGTACATAATAATTTTATACCAGTAAAGCAAGTGCTTATACAAAGAAAATAGCCACAGTGAGGAATAAACCAGATGCCTTTCTATTAAAATTTAATGATCCTTGTCAAGAGTATTTATAGATCTGAGAGAGAAATCAGAATATAGCATCAGATAAAGCACTTAAAATTATGCCAATTTTTCTGACCCACCCAGAAAATTAAAATTTAGCCTTTTATAACCCTAATGGGAACAATCCGTTAATACCAAATATACAACAATATAATAGCAATTTCACCTGCTTTGATTTCCCTAGCATGTTTAAGCAGTATTTTTTTCTTTTTTCCTTTTTTTCTTTTTTGAGACGGAGTCTCGCTCTGTCGCCCAGGCTGGAGTGCAGTGGCGCGATCTCAGCTCACTGCAAGCTGCACCTCCCTGGTTCACGCCATTCTCCTGCCTCAACCTCCCGAGTAGCTGGGACTACAGACGCCCACCACCACGCCCGGCTAATTTTTTTGTATTTTTAGTAGAGACGGGGTTTCACCTTGTCAGCCAGAAGTAGTATTTTTATTAAAAAAAATTAATTGCACATCTGCTTGGCTTAGCTATATTAAAATCAATAAGGAATTAATAAAATTTTAGTTTATCAGAGATACAAAGCATTGTAAGAAATTACTTCACTGAAATTAAAATATTAAAAAGAATTTTAGTCTGACTACAACTTTCATCAAGCTAAGTTGTAACCAAAAGTCTGTCTTATTGGCAATTATCGAATCATAATTTGGTGGACTCATAGGGTCACATTCTTTGACACTCTAAGAGAAGAAGGGGTCTATTTCTGCCCTGTTGCATCTGGGCTTGCCTGTGGTGCTTTAACCACCACAGTGGGACAGAAATGACAAGTTGTGAAATCTGGGACTACTCCTGAGGTGAATGGGGGTTCCCATCTTGGCCTTTTGCATCTTGAGCTACCACATAAAATGACTGACAACTCTGCTGAGGGATTACAAGAAGTGGCCCTGAAAATACAGGAAGAAGGAGAGGGGCACAGCTGAGCACACCCTTCTAGAGGTCTCCCCTAAGGCATCAAGCATGAGAGTGAAGCTGTCTGGATTGTCATCCATACATTATTGTATCAGCCAAGTTGCCAACTGAATACCATCCTGACTCTAATTGGTACCACATGGACTAGAAGAATCACCCAGGCATGTCCTGCTTGAATTCCTCACTCACAAAGTATGACACATAATGAAATGTTTGTTGCTTTCAGTCCCTAAGTTTTAGAGCAGTTTATTACACAGCAATAAGTAACCAGAAAACAGAGGATCTTAGAACTAAGATGCCATGCAACAACAGCAAGCATATTCTAATACTGGCACTTCTCTATCATTTTGACATAATGTTTGAAAATGGCATAATGTTTGAAATGGCAAAATAGGAAATGTTTCCAGAGGCATAAAAATTCTCCTAAGATTTGTCAAAAAAAGGTTGTGTAAAGAATTTTTCCTAAAAAACAATCCAAACTAAGCAAAAAATGTTGTTGTCCAATCTATCAATCTATTTATATCATTTATATATTAAGTTAATATTGGCAAATATAATAGTAAAAATAAGGTTATAATTAAATAAATTATGATATATCAGTCAAGGTAGTATTATTATGTGGTAAGTAACATAAAGTTGAAGATTATAGCCAAATGAAAGGTATTTATGGATTTTATGGATTGTAGGGTAGAAAAAGTAGACACTTTTTTTCCAAGATGAGAACCCTCATTCACCTCAGGAGTAGTCCCAGATTTCACAAGTTGTCATTTCTGTCCTACTGTGTTGGTTAAAGTATCACAGGCAAGCCCAGATGCAACGGGGCAGAAAGTTTCTAAACACCTGTATCTATTTTGTCATTAAACATACGTGCAAGTTATATGAACTACGCTGGATGATAACTTTGAAAAATGGAAACGACACACTTTCAAAGGCATGTTGGAGAATGTAAAGTTTTTATTTTGTTCTATTACTTGTATAGTAGATTTTAAGAAATCATTGTTTGCTAATAGAATATGAGGTGACACATCAAATGACAACGGAGAGTAGGGACTATATGTGTAACCTTTTAAAAGACAGGTAAATTTTTAAAAGTTTTGTAGAATTACTAGACAATGAAGCACTTTTGTGTAGAATTACTAGACAATGAAGCACTTTTGGAAAGAAAATAAAGTTACCTACGAAATAATATAAAGAATATAAAGCTTTTCAAACAAATCTCCTTCAGTGCACCATTAGGGAATCAGACATAACTTTGAAGTTTGCTGGCAGTGTGAAAACAATATCTACACTCTAATCATCTTGTATTTTTTGTACCTGTCTGATTTTATCATGTAGTTAGTATTCAGAGTTTTGTGAATAAACAAGTGAGTAGATGAATTAATGAAAATCTGTGGTGTATTGCCACCTTTGAAATAGAAATCAATGTTACTATTTACACAAACTGCGTATAGTATACGTAGATACACTATTGCTATACTTTAGACATGATTCCTGATTTATCTAACACTTTTAAGATACAGAATGTTTTCATGTCAAGTTATTTAATGTTCATGTTATTTTAAGTTTGCTGAAAACTATTTCGGAATTTTCTTGGTATGTTAACTTTCTTTCCTATTGTCTATTCACTGTCAGAACCTTTTCAAGGCCGGGCGAGGTGGCTCACGCCTGTAATCCCAGCACTTTGGGAAGCTGAGGTGGGCGGATTGCGAGGTCAGGAGATCAAGACCATCCTGGCTAACACGGTGAAACCCCGTCTCTACTAAAAGTACAAAAAAAGTTAGCTGGGCGTGGTGGCGGGCGCCTGTAGTCCCAGCTACTTGGGAGGCTGAGGCAGGAGAATGGCGTGAACCCAGGAGTCAGAGCTTGCAGTGAGCTGAGGTCGCGCCACTGCACTCCAGCCTGGGTGACAGAGCAAGATTACATCTCAAAAAAAAAACATAAAACAAAAAACAAAAAACAAAAAACCACAAACCTTTTCAAGCAACTGTAATAAAATGTGTCATTACTCAAGTGATGTGACCCTCTCCTGCAATTTAAGAAATGTAGACAGTCAGTTAAAAGAAAAAGGAAGGAAGTTGTTTTTAAAATTTGATTTTTTTCTGCTGGATTATTTCCACATAGATTAGCTTGAAGCCAACTTTAGATGGTAACTTTATTATAGCATAGCATTTGGAAGAATCTGCTAACCGAAAAAGATGGTACAAATCAAACAGTGAATAATCCTTCAGTCCATGTTAATAATTGTTCTCATTAAAGGAATACTGAAATAGTTGAACTGATGGTTGTCTTCAAATGTATGATATAACATTTTTACAACTAAAATGTTTTATTCTTATGTAATTCACAAACCTCTCAATTCATCTAAAGTATACAACCCCATGGTTTTTATTATATTAAATAATTGAACAATCATCACCATGATCAATTTTTGATCACTTTCACATGCTAAAATGAAACTCAAACTCATTAACACTCATTGCTCATTCACATCCTTTCCCACTAGACCTAAGCAGCCAGTCATCTCCTTTCCATCTCTATAGATTTGCCTTTTCCGAACATTTCGTATAAATGGAATTATACAGTATAAAGTCTTTATGTGAGTTGCTTCATTCACTTAATCTAATATTTTCAAGGTTCTTCCATGTTGTAGCATGCATCAGATCTTAATTCCCTTTAATTGGCCCAAAAATACAGTATACATATATATTTGTCCATTCACCAGTTAATTGATACTTGGGTTTTCACTTTTTGACTATTATGAATAATTCTGTTATAAACATCTGTGTAAAAGTTTTTTGTGTATTAACACATATTTTCGTTTGGCTTGAATATATAACTAGGAGTGGAATTACTGGGTCACATGGCAACTCTATATTTAATCAAGGAACTGCCAAACAGTTTTCCAAAGTGGTTGCACTACTTTAAATTTCTACCAGCACTGCATAAATATTCCAATTTCTCCACCTCTTGCTAACTATTGTTATTATCTGCCTTTTTCATTATAGTCATCCTAGTGGATGTGAAGAGATATCTCGTTTGGGTTTGGAATTGCAATTCCCTAATGATATTAAACATCTTTTCATGTGCTTATCAGCCATTGTGTATCTTCTTTAGAAAAACATCTATTCAGATCCTTTGTGCATTTAAAAAATTTATTTGCATTTTAAGTATTTTTTATATTGTTTGGATACAAGTTCTATATCAGTTATAGATTTGCATATATTTTTCCCATTATTTTTCATCTTTTATTTTCTTGATGATATCCATTATTACACAAATTTTATAATTTTGATGAACTTAAATTCATCTATTTTTTGTCACTTATGTGCTATGGCTTTTGAAGAAAGGATTATGATCAATACTCTCTGTGAAAAATTTTACACAAGCGGGCATTAATTCTTTCATAGGTGCAGGTACTCTACACATGACTCCAATCTTCCAGCAGCTCTTCTGGCTTTAATCACATAGCAAAGTCTTTGGGCAGCCATAGACTCATGGCACCTCCTCGGGATTAGAAAGCAAAGAGGAGAGAGGGCCCTAATCCTTAAAGAATGTGTGACATTTTTGTTGTAGTTTAGAAAGTAGAATTCTAAGGGCACTCCTAGTTAAACTTGAATCGTATTCTTAATAACAGATACATAGAATTCAGGCTGGACCAACTGCTTTTTTTCCTGTTGTATTGCATAAACATTTTGAATAAATTATATTTTATGCACTTACTATGAAAATACTGAGGTTATCTTTATCTGTTCATAGATGTAACAGGGGTGCTTATTAGAAACAAAGAACATTATTTATTAATAGTCTGTTTTAACGGTGGTTGTCTTGGAATGCTAGGTGGATCTCTAAACTGTCTCAACTCAGAACTATCGCAAAAAAGATCCCCTTAAGCATTGTCATTTATCTCTTCCAATTTAATTTTCTTAGTAGTGTTTTCCTTTATTTTGTTGGTTACGCATTTTTGTCTACAAGATTAACCAATTGCTCAGAAACTTTCATGTTACTCTGCTTCAAACTGTGTTAACTTTTTGAATTCTCAAATAATATAATGGTTTTATATCAAATTGAATATTTACTTCATTGTTGGATATAATATACCTGTCCAGTAATTTGGGATTCATTTTAGTCAATTCTTTGAAGTATTCTCATTATTTATCAGTAGATTTTGAGTAAGATGGTTTACTAATTTCACTGTGACCCTGACTGCTTCTAAAATATTTTTAAAGTAGTTTGCCCATTGCAATGTGGAGGGTCTTTTTTTAAAATTATTTAACTGACTAAATTCTCCAGACTCACAAGAAAATGTTTTTTCATGTACGTAAATTTTCTTACATGAGCAGGGTTAAACTCCTGGAATGTTTCTTAATGGAATGGAAGACTCTCATTATTTATCATTTAAAGGTTTATCTTTTTACTCTTTCATTAATATTTCCCTCAGAAAATTATCGGCTTCCAAGAATAAACTACAACAATGATCTTTAGAATGCTCTTTCATTTTTCTTATGGTCATTTTAAAACAATCTTAACTCTAGGCAGCTTTTATATATGATAATGAATTAGTATAAGTATTTTCAATCTCCTTTAAAAAAAAAAACACTGTGTCTAAATTTAAAATGTTGAGATCCACCCCAAACCTCCCTGAAATTGACAATTATTTATTTTCTCTGTGACCAAAAGATTGTCTTTACTGCTGAAGGATATGAATGTATATTTGACAAAATTTATCTGCTTAATATACATACATATTTTTGAAAGAATACAGACTATAATTAGTGACATTTAAAATAATGTATGGCTTCCTTTAAGAAATAATGTTTTCAATGATATTGTCTAAATGGCCATATGAATCTTAGTTGAAAAACTCATGTCATTTCTATTTGTGTGGTACAATTATTTGTCCTTGTATTTTAGTTATAATTCTTTTTAAATTTCTTCAAAGACAAATAGCACCTACGAAGCCTAGAAGGATTGTCCCTTTTAATTCGAATGACAAAGAGATCGATACAGCTCATTTCACAAGTTAAATGAGCTAGCTTTTTATTTAAGAGTACAATGAAGCTCAATAATTATTGTTAAATTACAAGAAGAGTTCTATCAGGCAATATATTAAATCTAGAGGCAAGGAGCCTGATATATCCACCTAATTAGTAGATTCAAGTGGATCTTAGAGGTTTTTTTCAATAGGGCAGGTACTGGAGTAATAAAGGATCTCAGACATGAGCCATTTAACAGAAACTGGTGGCATAATGAGTGACTGTATGCTATCTTTCAGTGTTTGCCAGAAAAATGTTAATTCACTTAAAAATGATTTATTAATTTACTTAGAGAAATCAATTAGTACAATTCATAATACTTGGTGTCAATATCTACCTTTGCAAAAGGGTATCAAAAATAGTGTTCTCTGTATTCTTCAGGAGCAGACTATTTCAGGAACTGATTGGAATATATCCAGAGGAAGCTTGGTCAAAATGACGAAGATGGTGGAAACTATGATACTAGTAAAGGTTAAGGGATGAGAATCAGTTCATCTAAAAAAGAACACAAAATGAAGGCTAGTAATACCAACCCAATATTGGAAGACATGGCTCTGGAAGAGACACGTGGCACTAGTGGGAAAATGCAGTAATTCCCTAAAAGCAAATGTTTGCTCTTTGTAGGGAAGTTAGAGCCTCTTAGGCATGAAAGACACATCTCTGCAACAGCATAGTCCCAAGAAGCATACAAGAAAATCCAGGTGGCAAGGGGTTTGATAATGGATATTGGCCTGAATAATGTACATTAGACCATGATTCTAAACTGTTCTTGGTTTACTTTGGCACCAGTGATATAGACAGAAGACAGAAATACTGATTAGAAGAGGGCGGTTCCCTGGCAAAGGCCCCACCCTCAAGCCTGGAGACCCATAGCCCTAAATGAGAAGAGACATTCCTGTTTTTGTGCCCAAATATTGTCCTTTGGCCCTCCACAAACCCCTCTCCCATACCCACATAAACCCCAAACACCAGGCTCCACGAGCAGACAAGCAGAAGAGCAAAGGAACAGAAGGGAGGCATGATAGAGAAGGAGAGAAGAGAAGGAGTGTCTGAATGTCAAGAAGATGGTTGGAGAGGAGATTGGCTGTGGGACAGCCGAACTCCAGAGAAAGATCATCTTCCCACTCCATACCCTTTTGGGCTCACCACCCATCCCACTGAGAGCCAACTCCATCTGGCAATAAAATCCCTCACATTTACCATCCTTCCATTTGTCCGTGTGACCTGATTCTTCCTGGATGCCAGGCAAGAACCTGGGTAGCAAGTGGGCACTGAGCTTAACACTTAAACTGTTCCTGGCTGGCAGGGCTAAAGGAACATTGTAACACCCCTAGACTGCCGTGGGGCTAGAGCCTGAAAGCACTCACCCTGGCTCACCTGCCTGCTCCCCCTCCTGTAAGGAGTTTGAGCACACAGACAGAAAAACAGATGAACAGATGAGTCACACCCCTGTGGCATATCCTGTGAGCGGAGGTTAGGGAACTCTCCCATCTCACCAGCACAAACAGCCAAAGGGTTCATGGAATTCCTGTAATATACCGCCTACTGTGCTTAAGCACAGGTGGGAGCAAAGTCTGGACTAGTTTACTACTTCTAGAAGCTTAAAACATTGATAGAAAGACAGGCTAGACTCACAAAACAAATATATAATGAAACAAACCAGTAATATTTAAGTGGCAAACTAAAAGTTCCATGAAAATAAGTACACTACTGATTTCATTCATTGTCATAGCCCCAATACCTAAAGTGCCTGATGCTGAGTACATCCTTTGTTATACTATGTGAGACTTCCTTCTAAGCCTCTTAGAGATTATTACTGCTTGGTTAATCTTTTTAACAACTGAAAAGTGTACTATAATTATCCATATTCTACACATGAGGATACTGAGGCACAGGGAAGTTAAGTGGCTTTTTCAAGTCACATGTCACAACAAGATTTGAACAATCGGGTCAGAGGCCGTGCTCTTAATAGCTACCTACTATGCCCTATATTTCATAGTAATTAAATATGTTAATTATTAGAGGTAAGTCGTATGTAATCAAGAGAAAGATACCTCTATTTAAGTGGCAAGCTTAATCAAAGAAATAGAACTTGAAACTAGAGAGAATTTGAACAAACAATGGAAAGAGCATGAAGAAAAAGAGCAATCATTCATTTTTTTATTGAGCACCTAAAATAAACATATACTGTATGAAGCAATCAGAAAATGTGAGAATGACCAGTTCCTGCCTCCAAGGAGAAAATATGAAATGAGAAGAACCTGGAATTGGATTTGTACAGACCTTCATTAGACCAATCTCAGTCTTTCACTGATTGCTTAGGGAAGCTCTTAAACTTCTCGGAGTTTTAGTTTGGGTCATATTGAGGATGGAAAGAGATAATTTTAGTCTCTCTTAATTTTAAAAGGTAAATATAAGAGTATAATAAATGTTAATTACCTTGACCTTTTCCTTTGTATCATAGAAGTGTTGTGAAGACTAAATGAGATTATGCATGCAAATTTCATAAAAAAATGTATTTGGCACTCAGCAAGTACTTAAAATCTACTTAACAACCTACTAACAAGACAAAATGGGAAGGTAAAACAGCTCAGTGAATGTGGACAGGTCAAAGTAGAAATCAGTTTGATTATCAGTGGCAAATATCTCTTGGAAAATAATGGGGCATACATCTAGTTGAGGGAGAAAGAATGGTTTATAAAGAATTTAGAAAGACTAAAGAGTGAGTATGTAAGTTATCAAGAAAGTTATTAGAAATTATAGAATCAGAAAATTAATTAGCAAAAAATCAATATGTAGGTTAATCTGGAAGCAATACACAGAATGAATTGAGATTAGTATAAACTGAAATAATGAGAAGTAATTGGAAATTATGATTAGGTTAGAAGCCACGATGGTGGTGGAACTATAGGAAACAAAAAGCAAAACACCAAACAAAAACAAAACTTAAAAGGAGGGATTGCTATGGGTTTGCCTTTAAAATTGAATGACCTGAAAAAATTGACTTTAAAATTAAGAAGAAATGTAGGTACAACATTCATGTATATTATGAGTTTTGAGTAGAAATCAGCAGCCGGATTTAAATCTCAACCCTGCCGTACAACTGTGCTTGCCTGGGCAGCTTTCTTGGTTACTCTAAGTTTAATTTTCTTTTCTATAAAATGAAGAAAATAATTCCACATGACTTGTGAGGAGGAAATGACTGAAATAACATACAACCAACACTAAGATAGTTAACACCTAATAAATGTTGGTAATATGTATTATATTTTGGCAAATCTACTTCATTTCAAAATATAAGTGCTTTTAAAAGAAAGTTACAACAATTTGAACTAAGGACAACTTTTTCTTCTTTTATACAGGTTAAAAAAAAAGTGTCAGTACCAGGATCGAAGCCAACTATTGGTCATTTAAAAATATAGTATTTTGGAATAGGACATCCATATAAAGTATCCAGAATGGAGAAGTGGCTGAGAAGGAGCAACAATGAACTATGAGAAAGAGTTTTTAAAAACTGTTAAATATATTTTTTTAATTATTATACTTTAAGTTCTAGGGTACATGTACACAACGTGCAGGTTTGTTACATATGTATACTAAATCGTGCTGCTATAAAGACACATGAACATGTATGTTTATTGCAGCACTATTCACAATAACACAGACTTGGAACCAACCCAAATGTCCATCTATTATAGACTGGATTAAGAAAATGTGGCACATATACACCATGGAATACTATGCAGCCATAAAAAATGATGAGTTGATGTCCTTTGTAGGGACATGGATGAAGCTGGAAACCATCATTCTCAGCAAACTATCTCAAGGACAGAAAACCAAACACCACATGTTCTCACTCATAGGTGGGAATTGAACAATGAGAACACCTGGACACAGGAAAGGGAACATCACATACTGGGGCCTGTCGTGGGGCATGGGGAGGGAGGAGGGATAGCATTAGGAGATATACCTAATGTAAATGACGAGTTAATGGGTGCAGTACACCAACAAGGCACATGTATACATATGTAACAAAAACTGTTAAATGTTTTTAAGGGAATTGATGTGGTTAGGCTGTGTTCCCACCCAAATCTCACCTTGAATTGTAATAATCCCCATGTGTCAAAGATGGGGCCAGGTGGACATAATTTAATCATGGGGGCAGTTTCCCTCATACTGTTCTTGTGGTAGTGAATAAGTCTCAAGAGGTCTGATGGTTTTATAAGTGGTAAAAGAGAGCTTGTCCCCTACACAAGCTCTCTTGCCTGCCACCATGAAAGATGTGACTTTGCTCCTCATTCACCTTCCACCATGAAGCCCCCGCTGCCATGTGGAACTGTGAGTCAATTAAACCTCTTTCCTTTATAAATTACCCAGTCTTGCGTTTGTCTTTATTAGCAGCATGAGAACAGATTAATACAGTAAATATTTTTAAAAATTCTGAGGATAGTTTTCTTCAAGAATTTAATGAACAATTATAATAAAATGATATTAATTTATTGTGTATATACTGTAGAGTGGAATCAGCAGCCAGTTGATTTTCAACAAATGTGATAAGAACACACATTTGGGAAAGAGCAGTCTCTTCAATAAATGGTGCTGGGAAAGCTGGATACCCATAGGCAGAAGAAGGAAACTGCACCCTTATCTTTCACCACATACAAAAATCAAATCAGAAATATCAAAGACTCAAATGTAAGACCCAAAGCTATACAACCACTGGAAAAATATCATAGGGGAAATGCTTTATGACATTACACTGGGCAACGATTTTCTTGGATAAGACCTCAAAACCACAGGCAATAAAATAAAAAATAGATAAATGGGACTATATTAAACAGGCTTTTGCACAGCAAAGAAAACAGTCAACAGTGCAAAGAGACAACCTATAAAACAGGAAAAATATTTGCAGACTATACCACATGCTTCAGCATACACTGTTAATTTCTATCAATATCAGATATATTATGAATTCATTGATTTAATAAACTAAAAAAGATATCTTTTTTCTCACTATACTATGTTAAAGAATTATCATATAAGTTTGCATTAGTGGTGCTTTGTTAAAGGAACAAACTGGAGGTTTGTTATTAATGACTAAAATGGTTTACTCCTATAAAAAATTATTTTTAAAATTTCAAATTTTCTTTGATCAAGGTCTTCTGAATTTAGACAAAATTTTGATTCCTTTTTGTCACGCTTAAAAATATCCATCAATGATACACTGGATAAAGAAAATGTAGCACATATACACCATGGAATACTATGCAGCCATAAAAAAGGATGAGTTCATGTCCTTTGCAGGGACATGGATGAACCTGGAAACCATCATTCTCAGCAAACTGTCACAAGAACAGAAAACCAAACACCGCATGTTCTCCCTCATAAGTGGGAGTTAAACAGTGAGAACATATGGACATATGGAGAGGAACATCACACACTGGGGCCTGTTGGGGGTTGGGGGGCTAGGGGAGGGATAACATTAGGAGAAATACCTAATGTAGATGACGGGTTGATGGGTGTAGCAAACCACCAAGGCACGTGTATACCTATGTAACAAAACTGCATGTCCTGCATGTGTACCCCAGAACTTAAAGTATAATAAAAAATAATACTAATGATAAAAAATTTATCCAGGAAGAAACACTGAGTAGAAAATTTGTGCCCAAATGAATGCATGGAGTGTTTTTTAAAGAGAAAACCTATTAATCAGAAATGGCCTGAATGATATGGATTTCTCTCCCTCCAACTTCATGGGCAATTTCCCACAATCCTGCCCAATGTCACACTTCCTAGTGTTTAGGATTAGAAATTCAGAGGGGGCCAAGAAATGGACAATTTTAGAACAACCCAGAAGTCAGATGTCCCTCTTTAGGCCCATCCAAGAATCTAGGGTCAACCGTTAAATATATCCAATAATAAATATGACTTTTGGTGTCTGAGTAAATTATTCTTCTAAGTGGGACTCACCTATTTTACCATACTAGGATATATCATACAGACATACTAAAAGTAGTCATTGAACCAGAGCTAAGGACTTCAGGTATTGATGAGAGAAGAGGTACTACTTTGGCACATTTCAAACTTTAGGAATTGGTGAGCTCCTTAAGCAAAGAAGGAGAGAAAAGCTAAAATGCAACTTTATTATTTTAACTCTAAAACTAATTTTTTGGGGACATTCGAAAACCAATTTTATTTGAGTGTCATTAAATTACTACAGATAGAGTCCTTGCTTGGTGCTTGGCTTTCAGCTATCACAAGCAATATAGATGTGAGATGGTTCCTGGCCAACCAAAGCTTCTTTCTGGAGAAGACAATCATTAAAAAAGGAATATTATAATAATTAAGGTTTGATGGCTTAGAATTTACTATCGTGAGTTATCAATCAAATCTGGGGGTTAGAAAGTTCTTCTTGAAAGAGGAGCTTTTAAACTAAGAGCTAAAGGAAAATTAGATATTAGCTAGGTGAGGGGAAGGTGCTAGGGAGTGAGAGTGGATGTGGGAGAGTGTTCAAGGCATAAGTGGAAACACTTAATTAAAAACACAAGTGGGTTGAATTGATTCCTCCAAAAAGATATACCCAAGTCTAACCTCTAGTACCTGTGAATGAAACCCTATTTGAAAGTAAAGTCTTTGCAGACATAATTAAGATACAGGTGTCTTGTGTTTAAGCTGGGGCCTAACTCCAATGACTGGCATCCTTTATTAGAGAAAGTAGGAGATTGGAGAGACACAGGCATGTGACAGATACAGAGAGAAGACCATGTGAAGACTGAGGCAGAGACTGAAGCTATGCAGCCCAAGCCAAAGAATGCGAAGGGTTGCCAGCAGCCACTGGAAACTAGGAGAGAGCCATGAAGTAAATTGTCTCTCAGAGACTCCGGAGGGAACCAACCTTACCTATGGTTGTATTAGCATGTTGGGTAAAAACAAGAACACTAGCCTAGCAAATCATATTTGTTTTTTTGTTAAGTTCTGTTCCTTAATTGCTAGGTGATTTTCGACAAGGCCTCACCATCTCGAAAACTCGGAGAAATAATACCCGCTGAAATGGTCTCAGCAGGATACATCTTATATTTGAGATCCAAAATGAATCATTTTTAATACCTCCTACTGTATACAACAAAATTATTTTCAGTGATAGTCATGGAATGAATAAATATTCCAAGACAATAATAGCATTAACATAATTTAATTCCTTTTTGAACTTCTGGCCTTCAGAATACTGAGACAATAATTTTCAATTATTTTAAGATACAAAGGTTGTTTTAATTTGTAATGGCAGCCCTAGGATACTAATACATTCTTGATTTAGAATAAAAATCCTAGATAGTTGAATAAGAATACCCTTAATAAACAGAAAAAAATTACTCTTTATATCAAGGACTGCATTATGCATTTCATACCGAATACCAACTTCCTATTAGCCAGAGAGCAAAAAATTATGTCTAAGAAATATGTGAGTTCTGAAAACAGTAAAATGAGTAAAGCAAAGCTCATATGTGTGAAGTGTTAAATAGTTAAGTATTTTTATTTTACAATTATTAATATGAACAGACATATTAAGAATTACTTCATTTTACAGATAAGGACAGTGACCTGTTCAAGCTTCTCTAGTTGCAGAAGCGAGATACATGTTAGTCAAAAACAGATGACCTCATGCTCTTTCAAGCTTTATACAAGATCCCATTTAGATATCTGTAGTAAAGACAATTCCTCAAGTGTGTACAAATTCCAAAGTGTTAGTGAGTCGCTCATGTGCTAAGTGAATCTCTAAGTGACTGTATACCACAAGAAAAAGTTTACATAGCAACAAGTCAGACATCATAAATTTTGAAACAATAATTGAAAATCTGTGAAGCATGATGGCTTTTTAGGCTGCAATCTTGTTTTCACTTTTATTTTTTCTCTGGAATTGGACAAGTCCTATTACTTCGATATGCCTCAGTTCCTTCCTTTTTAAAAGTTGAGGTAATAATAGCATCAATTGCAGATGGTTAGGTGAGGGTTGAATGGAAACATAAATGCAAATTTCTCAAAAGAGTACATGGTAAGTGCTCATTGAATGTTAGGCAGCATTAGCTATTAAAACATCTCCTTACTTTGTGCTTTAGGAGGGCCACACATAAATTTTAAAAAACATTTTGTTTATTTGTTTTATGCATGGTGCTAAACTAGATTTAGGAAATTATTTTTGAAAAAAAGAAACAATTTGTGGTACAAATAAGTTGGTGAAACACCAACCTACTCCTTGAAGATTTAGAATATATAATACATTTAAAGACTCCTTAAACTTTATTGTAAATAAATTTGTTTAACCTTGCATTTTCCTAATTTATTTGACAACAAAGTGCATTCTCTATGAAAGATCTATTAGAATGTTGTATAAAAATAACAACACTAGCCTAGCAAATCAGATTTGTTTTTTGTTAATTTCTGTTCCTTAATTGCTAGGTGATTTTGGAAAAGGTAACGCTATCTAGGAAAACTGGGAGAATTAAAACTGGCTGAAATTGTCTTAGAAGGATACATCTTATATTTGACATCTGAAATTAATCATTTTAATATATCCTACTGTATACAACAGAATTCTTTTCAGTAATAGTCATAAAATTAATAGATACTCCAAAGGAATGATAGTATTAAAGTAACTCAATTGCTTTTTTTTTAAAAAAAAATCTTTATTCTCACTGAGTTACAATTGTTTACATCAAATCAACTTTCAAATGCAGGTATGTTTTGAATCATAAGGGTCAGAATCACAAACTACAACCAAAGTGAGCTTGGAAATTTCTGAACTATTACGTACTTTATCTCAAAATGAACACATATTGTTTAGTCTACATGTAGATAAGTCTGGGTGAGGTTCTGCTTCTGTAACTGGGAGTTCTTTGTATTACTGTTCATGTTGAATACTTTGTTTATTAAAGGGTAAGAAATAAAAATGCTCTCATTTTCTGCTTCCAAATATATTATTACAACTCAATAAAGTCTGAATAATTTAGAGAAAATTCCTCAGTTATGCACTAAACTATAATGGCAATCATAGAAGAAATTATAACCACAAATATTGATTAGAATAGAACAAAAAAACTTGGAGGAGAGTATTTTGGAATATTTTATTACTATATTACTTAAAATGGTCAAGGTATGGTGACAGTAGTAAGGAGGATGATTTTTAGTAGGTTTTATTATTGTGTTTAAATTCTCTACAGAAAATGCCCTTTATTGCTTGCACCCTATGGTCCTCCCCACTAGTTTGAACAGAAAGTTTTAATAACAAAGGCATAAAATGTGCATAAGAGTTCTTTGTAAACCCCTAAGTACAACAAAACAGTAAGGTATCATTAAGAGTTTGGCAATTGGACTTTACTAGGGAGCTTGCTCCATTAGCAGAGGTTTTCTTACATGTCTTTTTAACCTACAGACTCTTTGGAAGATTAGTGAAGCCTTTGGATCTCCTTTTTGGAATGTTATTATTAATGGATAAAATAAAATAAATGGAGTTAAAATGATATTAAAAATCTGTTGAAGGACTAATCCACAAGGAACTGAAACAAATAAGCAAGAAAAAAATAACAATCCCATCAAAAAGTGGACTAAGGACATGTATAGATAATTCTCCAAAGAAGATATACAAACGGCCAATAAACATATGAAAAAATGCTCAACATCACTAACCATCAGGGAAGCACAAGTCAAAACCACAACGTGATACCAGTTTACTTCTGCAAGAACAGCCATAATTAAAAAATAATAGATGTTGGCACGGGTATGGTGAAAAGGGAACACTTTTGCACTGCTGGTGGGAATGAAAACTAGTACAACCATTATGGAAAACAGCGTAGAGATTCCTTAAAGAACTAAATATAGAACTAACATTTGATCCAGCAGTCTCATTATCCGATCCAGATACTCACTACTGAGTATCTACTCAGAGGAAAAGAAGTCATTATGCGAAAAAGATACTTGCACACGCATGTTTATAGCAGCAAAATTCACAATTGCAAAAATACAGAACCAGCCCAAATACCCATCAATCAACGAGTGGATAAATAAATTGTGGTGTATATATATATACCATGGAATACTACTCAGCCATAAAAAGGAACGACATAATGGCATTTGTAGCAACCTGGATGGAATTGGAGACCATTATTCTAAGTGAAGTAACTCAGGAATGGAAAATCAAACATCATTTGTTCTCACTCATAAGTGGAAGCTAAGTTATGAGGATGCAAAGGCATAAGAATGATACAATGGACTTTGAGAATTCAGGGGAAAGGGTGGGAGGGGTGTGAGGGATAAAAGACTACACACTGGGTAAGGGGTACACTGCTCGGGTGATGAGTGAACCAAAATCTCGGAAATCACCATCAAAGAACTTACTCATGTAACCAAACACCACCTGTTCCCCAATAACCTATGTAAATTTAAAAATAATAATAATAAATAATTTTTTAAGTTGAAGAAAAAAATTTGGTAATGAAAATATCTTGTCTATGTTATGTAAATATGTGCTTTTTTATTAACACATTAATTAATATGTGGCAGAACGTCAAATTTCCATGATATTTTGAAACATCTACAGCAACTGTAATGTAATAAAAAAAAATCCGTGATTTTGGTTGGCAACAAAGTCACTGGTACTGCTAATACTACTGTGGTTTATTGTTATGCTCATAATTGGAAAATGCTATACTTCAAGCAAGGTAAGTGGTAATATAGGCATATCATTATTTTTATTCAAGTACTCAAATTCACTGCACTGTATTCAAATACCTTTTGAGGATCTGTGGATTCCAGGTAAATCACCCTGAACAGCTTAAAATGGACTTAAAAGTATCTAAACATCTCATCTCAACCGTTGAATCTGCTCTTTTGCTTGGGAAATTCCCACCAACAAGCTTGTAAATCTCTCAAGTTTGAATAGGTATAATGAGGATTTATGAGGGTAAACAGTAAGTCCTTGAACATTAAGTTTTCTTTTTTATTAGGTGCAGATGAGAGGGATGATTTATGATATGCAAGAAGATGCTTTTAAAAACATTTTCCCTGAAGAAACTAAACAAAAAACAAAAAACAAAAACAACAAGTGGGAAAGTGCACAAAGATGAACATATATGTTTACCAAGTTGGGTAAAGGAGGAGAAAAGCTGTTTTAAGCAGAATTTACCATAGGATTTGGGCATAATTTTTCATTTTGAATTTGAGATTTCATAGGCAAATGAAATACATAATATTAAGATCTAAATAACCAGACAACTTTAAAACACACTTTTCTTTAAAAATCAAGTTTAGGTACATTATGTAATTATTAAACAAGATTCATAATTGTACATTTACCAGTTTAAGGTCCATGGATTCAATTTCCTTACTGATTTAGGATTATCTGGAATATTCTTGTCCAAAGGCCTATGCATGCTTTTAACATTAGCAAATTAAACAATCAATCTATATTAAATTATTAATCTATATGTGACTGTACCTTGATCTAAATAATTAAGTCTAATTTTAAAGACATTAGTGCATGTTTTCCCTTCTTCATTTTGTATATGTCATAACCTTACCCTTTATGCTACAGAGAATACTTATAATAACTTGGTTGGCTGTAATTCAGTCTACAGTAACCAGGAAGTGAAAGCAAATGGAAGCACCAAATATGGCTGCAAGTGCCCTGGGATCTACAGAAGAAAATAATCAAGTGAAGGTCTAAAACTAGTATTTCTGATTAGGAAAGGTGAGTTGCCAAACGATCGTCTTGGAGTATTAGAGAAATGCCTTGATGTTCTTATGGGGCTCATATCCTGATAAAGCTACCTCTGATTCTAGATGGAAAGCATTCAGCAATAACCAAGGGTTAAGAAATACAGCTTATTCAACCTGGAACTGAATCTGCAGACCAACCCCCCCACCCCCCAAAAAAAAGACTTACATGTTAAGCTTGTTAATATAAGACAGTTACTGAACTATGTGCCTGGAGGATTTCAACATGTGCGGTCTGACCTTCTCCCACTCCATTATTTATATGTCGATTGTGCATAAAGCACCTTTCCAATCCCATATGCTGTTCAATTCCCAGAAAGCCTGAGCTGCTTGGGGGAATTATTTAAATTTTTCAGAATGTAATGTGTACTTCCAGTTTCTGCCTTTTTATTTTACTCATTTTTCTTCCCTTCATCCCCATACCACCTTCCAAATCATTTCCAGTGTTACCTGTCTTTATGAAGCCTTCTTCATTACTGTTCTCTACCTGCCAGTAGAACTGATGAGCCATTCTGTAGCTCTCCCAGGAAGCTTTGCTTAGTGCTTTATAACAGGCTTTCTCTGACCCATGCGTGACTGTGTAACACCACAGAAACTTGAGATTTTTTAACTGCTAGGTATGCAATGGAGCAATTCCTGACTTGGCAACTATTGCTGAATTAACTAAAATCCAGAATAAACTACAAATAAAAAACAACAACAAAAACAGAAGAGTATAATATGTACTCCACTAAGCTGAGGAAAATGCAGAGTGCTCTAGAGGTACATCAGGAAAGAATCTGAGAGTCACGCTGTATTATAACACTTACACATCTGTATTATTCCCCTTTTTAGCATAGGCTCTAAGCAGAACTTAATAAACAATTATTGCACAAATCAAGAAATAAATGATAATGGAATGTAAATCACACTCTGTAAATAATCTATGATCTAGAGCAGTGGTCCCCAACCTTTTTGGCACCTGGGGCGGATTTCGTGGAAGATGATTTTTTCCACGGATGGGGTGATGGGGGAAATGGTTTCAGGATGAAACTGTTCCACCTCAGATTATCAGGCATTAGTCGCATTCTCATAAGGAGTGTGCAGGCTAGATCCCTCGCATGCGCACTTCACAATAGGGTTCACATTCCTATGAAAATTGAATGTCCCGCCTTTCTGACAGGAGGCAGAGCTCAGGCGGTAATACTTGCCCACTCACTGCTCACCTCCTGCTACGTGGCCACGTTCCTAACAGGCCACGGACCTGTACTGGTCCACAGCCCAAGGGTTGGAGAACCCTGATCTACAATAGGAGCGACGCATAGGAGAATGGCCCAAAGCTGGTATCTGGAAGTCACTCTGGTAGAACTTAAATATCTGTCAAACCTTTGGAAAGTTACCTTACCATGATGGGTAATGGATATAGGAAATCTACAATATCAAAAAAGCCTTAATTTTTAATGGACCTGCAAATAACTCATGGATTAATTCCTATTACTTTAGTTAACAGGATGTTATCCCTTAAAATTTATAAATACGTTATGTCAGTTACATTATAATTAGTCTTCTGGAACTAGATCTTTCATCAACAATATTTTAGAACCTGAGCATAAGTAGCATAAGACCTTCCATGATGTTATTGTGCTATATTTAGTCCAATATACCTATACCAACTCAGGCCACCTTAACATGGAAGTTCGCATTCCCTAGTTTTCCTTTTAAAAATTCAATAGAAAATTTGCATTTACCTTAGTCATTTTGACTACTTTGACACCAAAGTCTAAGCAAACCACAATGAGAAAGGAAAAATAAATCTAAAAACATACACAATACCAAATACCGAAAAGGCTTTTTGTACAAAATTACAACTGATCTTCATAGTCAGTGTTACCTGGTTTTAACTACAATTGTTTTACAAAGTTTTGAAAGGGGATTTTATTGCCAGAATGCCAAATACTCTCTTATTAAAGAAACATTACAAATATTGAAAAGACAGGAATCATTTTCAAAGTATTTTGATATAATTGGGCACATTTTATATACACATTTTGATTCTTTGATGCAGTGAACTGGGTCTTATAGAATATGTTAGAATATATTATTCAAATGAATTTAGTCCTTGGTTTAACATTTATATTACTATTTCTCAAGTATATCTATAGGGGATATATTGAAATCAATATGGGTCTAAAGAGCTTTTCCTTTCTAGATGGGCACACTTCATGTGCATTTATTCCCCTGATTATGATCAAGCTCTGCTAGATGGGCTAGGTAAATTTTTTTTGTCTCACTTAATGCATCTTATTGTACACACTAGGATTACCTTTTGTTTAATATTGCTCTAATTTTTCTATAGAGATTTCCAGCAAATATACAAAAGAATTTGTGTGTATGTGTGTGTGTGTGCCCATGTTGTTGGTTTAACAAATATAAATTATTAAGATTCTCAATGTCATTTTCAAAACTTAAAACTGCAAAAGCTAGCTGTGGAAATCAATGCATATTCAAGAAATTGGAGCTTGGTTTAGTTTATGTGTGGGGATATTATCAGCTTTACTTTAACAAAAGAACCATTTACCTTCATGGGACTATGGTTCGTTTGTCTTTAGATCATTCTAAATCATCACTATTACATATGATTTCATTTTATTTCTAATAGGCTATACACATGCTATTCTAGGGTGAAGCATAATATAGCAATTTCTTTCCAGCACAGAGAAGACATGTGAGATCAATTTTTTTTCCTCCATACATTTCCTATTTTAACACACAGTAACTAATTTTACTTGCCAGATTTTATGGCCTTTTATTGGTAATGCAGTTTTATTTATATTCTTGCTTGCTACTAATTATCACATTCTGCATAATTTATAATGTATTCTACTGATGGTGAAGCCTGAATAATGAAATCCATCTATAGAAAGAAATCGACTGCCTTGCAACGAAAATGCCAAGGAGAGTATGAACAGAAATTGTAAAAGACTGAGGAATTTATATTTAAAGTGAACTCACTTCCTTTGTTCTGCAAGCGAAAAATAAAGATATTAGTAGAATGGAGCTCAGCTGAATTTTGTCGAACACAATTTTATCTACTTTTTGTAAACTATGTGATTTCTTGCACCAGCTAATTAAAAAAATAAAAATAAAAAATAAAATCCAGGTATAAGTGCACAATTTATCAATGACTTCATCTGTAGAGATGATTCTGTGAATAGCCTAGGAGCTCTTTTGTGACTATTATTTACATTACAAAACACTGGCCTGCTTCAAAGAGGTAGAATTAGTCTATTAATGCATTCCTTTCCCATGTCTATCAACCAGCTTGACCTGCTAATATGGGAATATGCCTTATAAACAAATGTTTCTCATACTTAATGGTCAAGTTTCTTGAACTGGCCACTCTGTGCTACTGGTATTTAAAATTTTCGAACCATTTTTAGTGCCAACATTGATCTTTATTGATCTCTAGTTGTCATTTTGTCCCCTGGCAATCTTATTCATTTTGCCACTTGGACCTTGCTTTTAATCTTAGAGAAGCTGAACATAGTTCAGAAGAAATTTTGGTATTATTTCTATCAAACTTAAAAGGAATGTGCTATATTGCCTTTTCTTTTATTAATATGAAAATATGGACACTTTGCTAAATAATAAAAATTATGTGAAACAAGAGATTTACAGAAATGGAAAATAAACTGATAGATTATGACTCTTAAGTGAATTTAACATAGAAAATGTATATCCTATGCTTTTTCCTACTATTGCCTTAAAAGTTTTCACATCTTTGTAATCTGTATTCCTATAAATTTCAATTTATAAATAGTTGGGAATTATTCATACATTCATTTATTCAAATATGTATTATATTTACGTCTCGTGTACTTTGTAAGGACACTGCCAAAAATATTGATTCCATCAGTATGATAAGCAAAACTATGTTTTGTGCATAATTTCATTACTTATTTTGGATAATACACAGATAGGCTCTACCTATGTGAAGATGTAGAAGATGCATTCCCTGTTACAAGAAACTTAATATTTGTTTGGGAATTGATATGGTTTGGCTGTGTCCCCACCCAGATTTTATCTTGAACTGTGGCTCCCATAATTCCTATGTCTTGTGGGAGGGATCTGGTGGGAGATAATTGAATAATTGGGGCAGTTTCCCCCATACTGTTCTCATGGTAGTGAATAAGTCTCACAAGATCTAATGGTTTTATAAGGGTAAACCCCTTACGCTTGGTTCTCATTCTCTCTTGCCTGCTGCCATCTAAGACATCATTTACTCTTCTGCCATGATTGTGAGGCCTCCCCAGACATGTGGAACTGTGAGTCAATTAAACCTCTTTCCTTTATAGATTACCCAGTCTCTGGTATGTCTTTGTTAGCAGCATAAAAACAACTAATACAGGAATGCATATAAATAATAATAAGGATCACTTATAAAGAATCTCACAGCTGCTAAGTAAGACAGTATAAAATAAGTGCAAAATAAATGGGTAAGCAAATGCTAAAAAACAGATCTTCTAAGGACCGTGATAACCATAGAGGGATGTAGAATTGGATTTGACCTTGAAACCTCAAAATAAAGATAGGATATAATATTTATGTCTATTTAGGAAATAGCGTTTGACCAGTGGAATAAATAGTTAATTTTATCCTCAAGTCCATTTTCCTCTTCTTCTATAATAATTGTTCTAGCTATGCCATCAGCTGCCCAGCTGGAGATCTGCAACATGGCCGAGTCAAACTCCTCAACAACAACAGGGTGTGTTGAAACGGCAAAAGGGAATTACATGGAGAACTCTTTTGGAATAGAGCGACTTCTCCACCCTGCTCTGTCCACTGACCACAGTTGTGTCATGTAAAATATATAAACTTCCACTTTGTTTGAACCAATATTTATTTTTTTATGTCATGGTATTATAATTTTTGCACTATCTAATGTAACTTCTAACACAGACAACAAAGACCCCATCCAGAGACATTGTGAAAAATGGCAGATGGCTGAAGTGGAACAAAAAATGAAAGATTGTTAATTCTGTCATGATACAGAGCAAGGTAAAGGGGAAAGTGAAAGGAAAGTGTTAGAGTGTACTAATTGTGGTCCCATTGAATGGGGCTCAAAGTGAGTTTTCAGTAAGCCTTGCTTTGGGAAAAGCTGAAGATTTTAGTTTTTGATAAATTGCCTCTGAATAAATGACTGCATTCGGATGAAAATGCAGTCATGTATCTCTGAATGCCAAGGATATATTCTGAGAGATGTGTCATTAGGCGATTAAGTCCTGGGAACATCACAAAGGGTACTTTCACAAACCTAGATGCTATAGCCTACTACATACTTGGGCTATAGGATGTAACCTATTGCTCCTAGGCTACAAACCTGTAAATCATGTTACTGTACTAAATGCTGTAAAGAATTGTAACAAAATGGTAAGTATTTGTGTAGGTAAACATAGAAAATGTGCAGGAAAATTGTGATATTATGAAGAATCTTATGGGACCACTGTCATGTATGTGGGTCTATCATTGATGGAAGCATTGCTAAGATGAGCATGACTGTGTCTAGCAGACAATCATGGATCTGGGACGGGGTTGGGGGTGGGGGAACCAAAAAGAAAGCCAGTAGAGAAATCTCTAATATGGGAGCAGTTCATGCAGAAGGAGAGTGCAGAACTGGGGAAGGAAAGCTTTCTCAGTGGGAGAGTTGAAAAGAAAAGCGTGGGTCTGACTGAGGATTGAGCCTTGAGGTACAAGGCATTTAAGCATCAGGAGACCTAACTGCTTTCAAGGACATAACCACAATAGAGAGGAACATTTAATATACCACTTGTTAGCCAAGGTCACTCTTCCCTCTAAGGATAGAAACAGCACTGACCTTGATCAGATGACCAAAATGTTTGCTTTGTCTTAGAGATCCCCCACGGGGATCAGTCAAGTTGCTAGTCTTTCTGAGCCTTAAAATTTTTGTCTGTAAAGTGGGGTGATACATGTTTAAAGTGATCCTGAGGTGCTAGACTGTACATTTCTCTGCTCTCTGCTTGATAAAAGGTCTAGTCAGTTTTCAAGAAAACTTTCAGATGTCAGCACTTCCGTGAAGCCAGAACCCTGCGGAAAAATTCATATCTTTTGATTTTGGTATACTTAAAGCTTAAGTGTTGTGGGAAAGATGCTATTTATTCTTGTAGATTTAAAGTCATTCTGTTACATACTCACTATAATAACAAAGCTTACTTATTAAATAAATACCACAAATAAGGATTTCAGGCATATATATATATGTGTGTGTGTGTATATATGGTGATAAAACGATTGAAATATTTTAATAATTGGCTGAGATTTAGAAATAAGGATTCTTTTACAATTTAGAAGCCATAATTTGGTATGTTGTCTGCTGCTAATTTGAAAAGCCATAATATGCACGTGATAGTTCTCTCCTGTGCTCTAATATACTTGAGGGCCAATGGATAAATATGGGTTAAGTATATTGTGATAAATCACATGGTTTATACACCACTATCATTGCACTATCTTTTTTTTTTTTTTTTTGAGACAGAGTCTCGCTCTGTCACCAGGCCAGAGTGCAGTGGCATGATCTCGGCTCACTGCAAGCTCTATCTCCCAGGTTCAAGCAATTCTCCTGCCCCAGCCTCCTGAGTAGCTGGGACTACAGGCGTGCACCACCATGCCTAGCTAATTTTTGTATTTTTAGTAGAGATGGGGTTTCACCATATTGTCCAGGATGATCTCGATCTCTTGACCTTGTGATCTGCCTGCCTTGGCCTCCCAAAGTGCTGGGATTACAGGCGTGAGCCACCATGCCCAGCCGACTATCTTTACTCTTAGAAAAGACTCTGAAATCTTTCAGGGAGGAGATTTTCCTATATTAATTGTACTAATCTTACTATAGTGTTGAGCTGTGTAGCTGCTATATAGTAGCCATCAATAAATATTTGTTGAATAAAAAGATGTTTGTATGCATGAGTGCTTTGGATAAAATAAGACATTTTATTAATTCTTTTGTTAGTATAGTTGCTATTAAAATGTACACGTTAATTCAAAACATTGAATTACTTAAAATCATGTATAATTCTATCTAGTATTTCTCTGATCAGTCTAAGTTGGTGATATTTATTATAACTTCAAATTGATAATCACAATCATATATATGAAAACGGAATAAGTAATGACATTATTACAAAAGATTAAAATAAAAACCATACATAGTTCCTACACTAAATGTTAACAAAGTATTTTCAAGTTTGAAAATGGCCTTTCCTAATACAAAATTTAGTGTTCACTTCTGTTCTTTTTAGAGGCAGTTTGAGGCTCATATCTGTCATTTTTTTGTTAACCCACAATCGTAATAGATACCATGAGTCAGATACTGTTCTCAGCGCTTTAAAATTATTAACTCATTTAATCCTTACAACAACTCCATCCCCATTTTGCAGATACAGAAAGTAAGGCACAGAGAGGTCTTGTGTTCTACTCAGGGGCCAACTGCCACCACATATTGTCAACCGCAGACACATGTTGGCACTTAACATGTCCCCAATTTAGTGCGTAGTCTTCTCTCTAACACCTTACTGTCCGATTCTTTATACTGTATTAAATAAAGTACCAATTTTACCTATCTTTGAAGACGGGAGTTTGGAAGTCATTTTCAGTCTGTTTCCCATGTCCCATATCCGAATGTTTTCCTGTCTTCAAAGGTTTTCCATTATTCTTTCCCACCTTGTTTTCACCACATTCACAGCCTTATGTATAGACTTTGGAACCACTTAACCTGAATTTCAATTCCAGTTCTGATGCTAATAATCACATGTCCTTGAAAACATGTTATTCTTTATTATTATCTCAATGGCTGTTTCTTCATCTATAAAACAAGGATAACCTTAAAGATTCAATAAAAGCTCTCAGAAGAGTGAGCAGCATAGTAAAGTCTCACAAAGTATTGTCTTTTTTTTAAGTTTATAATTACATTTTATTTTTTATTTTATATTGTATTATTTTTTATAGTTTGTAGTATATCCTCTTATATAAAAACAATTTTGATCTCCTTGTGGTGTATTAAACACATCTTCTTTAATGTACAAAGGTAAACATAAAGAGATTCCTTTATATATACCGATTTCTTTGCCCTGCAAGACCTTTCTTGGCCACCCCAGAGAGTGTTAAACTTTTATTCTCTACTTTCCCAGAATAAGTACCTCTATTTTAGTACATATCATGATCTATTGTAGTTACTTGCTTATTTTCTGACTGTGAACTACTTCCACCTCTCTATCCCCAAGAAAATGCCTACTTTTCTAATATAGCTTAATGGGGAAAAAGGTTACATGAACAAATTAACAGCAGAATATCTCTTTATTCTAAATAAATCAGTTCCACAATTAAGTGCTAATATTGGGTTGCCCAGCAAAATTTTTAGGTAGGGTTCGGGGCATACCTATATTCACAATAGTTTCAAATATGTATTTACCAGTGAAGGGCAGCAGAATATGCCACCCCAAAATATGCCATTTTGGCAAAAGAAGTATTTTGAGCTGAAGGCAAATAAAAAGAAGCAAATATCCAAAAATGCTCTCTGCCCTCTCCCTATCTGCCCAAAAGTAAGACAAAATTTACAGAGCTATCCCTCCTCCCCTCTCTACTAGGAAGGACAAAGGTTGATCAGCAAAGACAACTTTAGACCTTTATCATCCAGGAGACAGTACCTGAGGGATCGACATAACAAACTCTACTAACTGGCCTTTATCTGCCATTTGTTTCCCATATATTTGCCATCCCACAATGTCCCACCCCTAGAGACTCAAGGTCCTTTTCCTTTGTCTTGTCACTCCTCTAAAAGTGTATTGTTCTTTGTTGAAAATGATAAAGAGAGTTCCCAGGAACCTCCTGGAGAATTACTAATTCCCTGGATATTGCCTATGTAATATACATAAAATGTATAAGAAGTTAAAAAACTTCTGTTTGATTTCTCTGGTTTAATTTATTTATTTTTCGTTGTTATAGAGGTCCCACCTGAGAAATCAGATGGGGTAGAGTGAAAATTATTTTTTCTTTCCCTGTAAAGCATGTGCAACATTTTTGGTTGAATGGATATTATAGATAATGACCACAGTACTGTTTGCAATGGCTTTCTGTGTGTGTTTGTTTTGTTTTGTTTTAGTAGAGACGGTGTTTCACCATGTTGGTCAGGCTGGTCTTCAACTCCTGACCTCATGATTCACCTGCCTTGGACTCCCAAAATGCTGGGATTACAGGCAGGAACCACTGCGCCGAGCCAACTTTCTGTTTTATAAAGCCCCTTTATTCTATTTTATCTTACCCTTAAAGAGTATAGACCAGTGGTATAGCTAAGGTTTGAATTGACTCTTTAATTTTCATTCTCCTAACACTATGTTTAGGTTCTATGTTATTAAGACAGCTTTAACTCTTAGCTTTCACCTCAGCCTTTTCTTGTGTCACCTCTCCTACAGGCTTCTGAAGCTTTTCTAAGCCCATAAATAAATATGGGAACATACCATTACTCCACTAAATTAACTTATGAGGTCAAAAATTATTTTAACATATACAACTCATTTCTCAAGATTTAACAGTGGAGGACTTTTATTAATGTGAAATGATTATTTATATTTTTTCCCTAGATAGAAATAGAAAATGGGAACAATAACTCTCCAGGTGTTATAAAAGCAATACAATTTAAAATTGAAGAAAAATTATGAAGATATTAAAAAGTTAGCCAATGAAAACATGAGGCAATTGAGAGGTTAAAATGAGTCATCTAAGATGGATTATTATATTTTATTGAACTGAAAGATATATATTCAGACTCTGTTAGCTGTTCCTGAATTAAAAAAATAATGCTTTCTTTTTAACTGAAAGAAAAATGGAAATAAAAACTTGTCAAATAAACTTAAAGAAATCATGAGACTTATTCTGAATCTGAATGAAAATGACCAAAATGAATCTTTGAGAGGTAAAATTGTATAACTTTAAATATAATTTGCATGAAATAAATGAATTAATATCCAATATTCTCTGTCTCTTCCCCTCCGTTTGCCCAACAAATGGAGGGGGAATTTTTTTTCTTCAAAATATCATCAGATCATTTGAATACTTATAGAGCACTTTAATGGGTCATAACAAATTGGACTGCTTATTGCTCAGGCTAACTTTGGACCAAATTGTGCAAAAGAAAATGTGCATATGAAGATAGAGACTGAGAATGACATCAAGAATAAGTCTTCTTGTGGTGAATATTATTAAATGCCATATGTCATAATTTCCAGTGTGTGATAAAACAACTGTGACCAATAAAAAGAATAGAAATCATAAAAACCAAAGTACTCGTCTATGGTATGATTTTTAAAAATCTGAATTGCTGTCTCAGCATTATACCATACAATATTTTCAAACTCATTAGGAAAATTGACATCTTTTTCACTTATAAATACTCTCTGATATTAATATTCTTGGGTTGTGTTATGGTTATATGAGTCTAATGGACATACACTGCAAGTTAGGAAAAAAGCAAATACTAAAACCTGGCGCCATGTACTTTGGACAAAATGTATTTCTTAGTGTGGACCAATGTCTACATGTATGTGTAAAGTGACAAGGAATTAAGTTTTAATTTGTTGTGGGTCAACTTCTGCCCTTGGATGCTTTATTTATAACTTTTGATGAACTCAGTAAGATTTAGCCTTGAGTCTCCAAAGTCAGAACTGATTCTCCCCTCTCCTCCACAGTAGACAATAACAAAAAACAAATGACCAAACATTTCACTTAATATTCAATTTAGATGGGTCATTTAAAATGATTTTATGATATTATTAGTGAATAAAAAATTAAAATGGAAAATATACATATATAAGTACATATATATATATATATAAAACATGTGGTAAGAAGATAAACTGATTTTTCTCATAAGACTTCAGACTAATCAATTTAAGATAAAAAACTGGCAATTACAATTGTGGAATTCGAAACTATTTAGCTATTTCTTAACATGAATGTGAAGGTATGGCATAAACATTTGAAAAAATGGAATGGCATTAATGAAAAGTTCAAACACATGTCTAAAATTACAATTATTCATCATAAACAGTCACTTAATGTTAAGAAAATAGGTAATTATTGGCCAGGCGCAGTGGCTAACGCCTGTAATCTCAGCACTTTGGGAGGCCGAGGTGGGCGGATCACGAGGTCAAGAGATCGAGACCATCCTGGCCAACATGGTGAAACCCCGTCTCTAATAAAAATTACAAAAATTAGCTGGGTGAGGTGGTGCACACCTGTAGTCCCAGCTACTCGGGAGGCTGAGGCAGGAGAATCGCTTGAACCAGGGAGGCAGAGGTTGCAGTGAGCCGAGAACACGCCACTGCACTCCAGCCTGGGGAGAGTGAGACTTCATCTCAAAAAAAAAAAAAAAAAAGAAAGAAAGAAGTAACAATTTCTGTTTTAGAAAAAAAGGTAATTTTCTACTCTACAAACACCATACAGACAAACAAAATATGAAGAGGTTTCTTTAGGTTACTTGTAGGCTGTCTTTTTTTCCCTGATATTAGCAACATATTTTCCTCACCCACCATTTTCCCAAGTCAGCAATCCCAGTGTGTGCAGCTGCAATACAGTATTCATAAGTGTATTTTTACATATGAAGATTTCATATAATATGTATTTCAAAGGAACTATTCACACACTAATGAAGAATTTGGCATCTCTTCTGAGGATACATTTGTTGATCTTTGAAAGAGACTCCTTTAGGGACAAATCCAAATAACCATTTTTGCCTTGAAGCCGAGGACTTTGAATACTACTTAAAAATTGAGATGCATTGTTATTTGTTGTCATATAAATTCCTCGTCTCTGTACTAGCCTTGGAGTGGATGCTTTCCTATAATTTCCGTGGTTATATTATTCACTGCTTTTTTATCTCTTACTAGAAAAAAAAAGTTAAAAATTGTGTATGGTATATGTGGCTGTTCTTATTTTGACCTCTTCAAGGCACCCGTTGCCTGTCCTTGCCTTATACTCTGGGCTTCAGTCAAACCTTAGCCTTTGTCATCCCCATGGACTCAGCCCCTTTGTATGTGCTGTACTGGAAATCCACTCATTTCCTCTACCCTCCAGTAGGTGGATTCCCCTTCATCTTTGTATAAGAAACACTTTTTACCTCCTGGCCTTAAATCTTCTCTGAACTATTCCAGTTGTTTTGACCAGTCTCTGCCCAATAACATATATATTTAAAAAGGAACAGCCAGAAAACAGGCGCAGAAGAAGCCGAGAAGGAGGAAATGGGAAGGGCTAGAATAAAGGAGAATGAGCTAACTGGGTGAAGAGTTCGGCTTCTAGTTAAAAACCTAAGTGTGATTTTTCAAGTCTGACCATAGGCAATTTCGAAGTGTTGCTTGGCAGGCCTCCCAGGAGAAAGTTGCCTTCCCTGCAGCTGACTTGGTGCACAGCCAATGAATGCATTGCAGTCTCTGAAGGAAATGCGGTCAAGGACTCAAGCCCCTCTGATTGGCCTTGTGCTTATGCATATTTGCATTCCTAGCTGAGACTCTTTTATTCAGAGACCTCTTTATCTGGGGATTTTAGCTGAGACCTTCTTTAGGGAGGGTGACTCGAGGGGGACGCCTTGAAGACTTATTTTTCACTGTGACCTACTATTCAGTAATTTTAAACTCCCAGTCCTCTTCCCTCCCCCTTCCCTTCTCTCTCTCCCTGGATCCCAAGTACATAGAACTGCAGGAGCCTTTAAAAAAAGTGTCTCTATGGTAAATTTATTTATTTCCTATATTATTATTTTTAAACTGAAAGATAAAATTGTGTGTATTTATTGTGTTGTGCAGGAGCCTTTTGTTAAAGGGCTTCAACAGTGAAATAACTGCCTCCAAGTCTGGGCTAATCTACCTGGTCCTAGACAGAGCAGTGCCATTGCTTGGGGGGAAAAATGGAAGGAAAGGGGTGGACGGGGATCGGCTCTTTTTTTTTTTTTTTCCAGTTTTTAACTTCTTGCCTATACTACTAAAGTAAGTGATTAAATACTTGACTACAAACTTTCATTTTTGGCTTGCTGCTTTAATTGATTACTCCAGCATCTGGAAGCTGGGTTCTCTTGAGCTCAGCTGAGCTGCTGACAGTCGGGTTGTAAGAGTAGTCAGCTCCAGGGAGCTTCCCTACAACTTGCAGATGCTAACAAATGGGGGAGCAGAAATAGAACTGTCAGTGAAATACGACCCTGGCTCTAGCTGTCATGAATCACTGTTGTCAGGAACAGATTTGTTAAATTCATGAAATTCTAGAGTGTTCAGCATGTGCATAAAATCTTTGAGAGCAAAGTTGAGAGATGCCAAAAATTTGATTAAACTGCTTATTCTTTTTATCTTCTAGAGTGAAAGAATTCTGTAGCTGCATTTATTCGGGCCATCCTTAGAGTAGTACATTTTGAATTCTGATTGCATCTTTCTACCACAAGAGAAGTGAGGTAGGAAGACGGGAAGAATTCAATGGTTACATTTTCTTAGAAAATGATTTAATCTGACTTTTTTTTTTTTTTTAATTTTGTGGGCAAAATGAAATCTGAGTGGACCAATGACCTCACCATGTCCAGTGTTTGGTTGCTAGTTTGAGATTTGGAAATGGCTGTTCAGGTGAAGAGGTAAATGGATCCAAATGCCTTGTTATAAGGCATTTGACAATGCTTACAGCAGTAGTGTGAATAGAGGGCCATTAAATTCTAGCATAAACATTCCGGGCTACTGGTTATTTTTTGGTTGTAACTTACATTTGAGGTTTTCACAAGAGACAGGCTCTACAAGATACCCTACATGTCTAAAGGACTAAGAATTGGAGAGCCCTGACATTGAATTAGGACGTAGTTTTGCACCACAAAAGAGGCCGTAGGTCAGGCACGGTGGCTCACGCCTGTAATCCCAGCACTTTGGGAGGCCGAGGCAGGCGGATCACCTCAGGTCAGGAGTTTGATACCAGCCTGATCAACGTGGTGAAACCCCGTCTCTACTAAAAATGCAAAAATTAGCCAGGCGTGGTGGCTGGTGCCTGTAATCCTAGCTACTTGGGAGGCTGAGGCAGGAGAATCGCTTGAACCCGGGAGGCAGAGGTTGCAGTGAGCTGAGATAGCGCCATTGCACTCCAGCCTGGGCAATAAGAGTGAGACTCTGTTTCAGAAAAAAAAAAAAAAAAAAAGAGACTGTAGAGTTTAATATAGAATTATATATTTTAAATTATGAAAACCATTTATGAGTTATTTTCTCATAAACTTAAAGATATAATATATAAATATACACACATAGGCATATGTAGGTATGTACACACATATATAAATAAATGTATTATGGGAATACTATAAAAATGGCGTTAGCTCAAAGCCAAAGAAATAACCCTACTAAGAAATTCATAAATTAAGCTAGATCCTATAAACACAAAAAATATTACAGATTCAGAAATACGTACTAAATACACATCTGACATATAATGTATTAGCATTGCATGAATTTGTATGAGATCCACAACTTACAAATTTTCTAATTCTACTGGAATTAATGTATACATTTGTGAAATTGATAGGATAATTTCAAAATAATTGCTTGCTAAAAAGACACACAACTAAGACCTTAACACTATTATTCTTATTAAAATTCCCATATCTAATTCCCATAGCAGTCATATCAAATCAGAAATTGAGAGCACAAGTCAACACTGTATTACTTTTATTAACTGAATACAATCTAATTTAAGATTCTTAAACTATAAAAGAGAGTCAAAATATAAATAATAAGAAGCAAAAATACAAAATATATTGGAAAACAAAATACATCAGGCTTTATTAATTAAGAGATTTGGCAAATCACTCTAACATGAATGTTTAAGATAAAATATAGCTATTATAACATATTAAAAAGGTAAGATATTATAATTTTTAAAACATATTATTCTTGGTTTTAATAGCTGTTCACACTTCCCATTTTTATTGCCTAAATTTTAAAAATGCCCTTGCTACAAAAACATAATTTTTGATTTGCAATTTTATAAACTCTAAAAATAGTAATTATTAACATATGTTAGAATTTATAATATGTGATGAATTTCTATGGTGGATGTATCCATAACAGAAAAACTGATAGGTATTAACTAAAATTAAAAATGATTCATTTATTTAACAATTATTTTAAGGTCATTTATGCTGTTAGACACTGTGCTAAGACCTAAGGATATCAAAATAAATAAAAGTATGTAATTTTTAAAGGATTACATTGGAATGGACATTGACTAGTTTTTGTTTTGTTTTGTTTTTTGTTTTGGTTAGTTAGGTGTTCATTTTTACTGAAAATATTTAAAAGTTTGTTGAAAAAAGGTTTTTTATTTTATTAATTTGATAAATAATTTAAAAAATCAAAATAATTATGAATTTTATACCAAAGGTAAGCTTTTAAATTTTTTATTTTTAATTTTTATGGGTACACATTAAGCATACATATTTATGGAATACTGGAGATATTTTGATACAGGTATACAATGTGTAATAATCATATCAAGGTAAATAGGGGTATCCACCACCTCAGGTATTCATCATTTCTTTTGTTAGAAACATTCCAGTGATACTGCCTCAGTTATTCTAAAATGCAAAACAAATTATTACTAACTATAGTTACCCTGCTGTACTATCAAATACTAGATCGTATTCATTGTATCAAACTATATTATCAAAGATAAGTTTGAAGTTCATGGCAGAAATCACAAAATTCCTAGTTCTGTTTACAATGGCTTTTTGAACTATTTGCTCTAAAAGTCATGTAAGAATAAGACTGCTTATTAGAAATCTCCTGAAGAATGCGTGCCAAGTACTATGAGATGTGGACTTTGGACTGCTCCACTGTCTCCATCTCCACACTTTTTTTCTCCCCACGCCCCATGCTCCATACTTTTTTCAGCAAAAAAGGTGAATTCATCTTTTTTGAATCCACATCCAAAGGCAAATTTTAAACATTAATAATTCAGCATGAGACTTATAGAAGAAACCTGTAAAACACACAAACAATTAAGGAATAAGCCACAATAAAAAGTCATGTAAAGGTTATATATCATAAAAATTACATAAAAATAGGTTCTTTAGATAATTTTCCTTAACCTCAATGAAGTTTTATAATTTTGTTTAAAACACAAGGAAACAAATAAAAGGGCTATCTGCAAAAAAATACAATTTTTTAAAAGTAAGGAAACTAGCAAGGAACAGACTTGGAAGACAAAGGATGAAAAGTGAACTACAGAGTTAAGAGAAACAAATGAAGATGAAACAAAACAGAAGAAATACACATTAACAGATTCAGAATCCAGAGATGTGAGGAATCCACATAAAACAAATTCAAAAAAGAGCAAAGGCAATTGCACAAAACACAATAGAGGAGAATAGTAAAGAAAGCACTTTTGGCATTAACATAATTGGTTTCCACAAAAAAAGTGTACAAAATGAAGAACGAATAGAAAACAATTTCAAGATATAACAGAAAAAAATATTAAATGAGTATTTGAATCCACAAGTTGAAAAGAAACAGTTACTGCAGGAAAAACTGATGCAAAATGATCACTGAGTCAGATATTCTCAAGACTAATTTATCCATATGACCCCTAATAGGGAGGCTTCCGATAATGATCCTACCTGAAAATGCATCAGCGCTTACACCTAATCCAATATTTCTACACTTTGTTTTACTTTCCTCTAAAGAATGGATCACCATCTGACATAGATAGATTGACAGATAGGTAGATAGATAGATAGATAGATAATTTGTTTATTGCCTCTTACCCTGATTAGAATGTATACTCTGAAAGCCAGATTTTTAAAAGCATGATTATATCTCTAGATACTATATTTAGTAGATGAGTATTTAATAAGCATTTTTGAACAAATAAATGTAATTTAATAAATAATCATATGGTAATTGGGACAAAGAAAGAGCAGATCTCATTCAAGAGGGCAATTCTTACCTATCAGAATTCTCCAGAGTAACAATCACATAAAGAGGGGCGAACAATAACAACAGTAATTCAAAGTGTACTCTGACAATTGGCTTCAAAGTATAAAAATAATAGACAAGAGTCACAAGAATACTTGGGGAATATGTAATTCCTTCTTGAAAAGAACATTTTTGAAATACATAAAAAAACCCAGAAATGAAAATAAATGTTTCAAAAATGACATCCTGAAAAAGATCTATTTAAATACATATCTAAGGCTAAGCAACCATATGGATTATGGTTACAGAATTAAATGGAAAGTCTTAAACTTTGACATTAAAATATTTATAAAACTAATATAATTAAGACATAAGGGGGAAGTGTTATGTGGAAGGGTGCTGATTTCTGCCATTCATTGTTGAGAGTTGATATTATCTAACTTTGATACATGCGGTTAAAATGATACTTTCCAAAACTTCTTCATAATCTTATATATTAATTTTAGAAGTACTATTGAAAATGAACATTTCTTTCTGTATCTCTTTTTCCTTATATCTCAGTTTATAAATCAATATATTCTTCTAATTTTCTGTTTTGCTAACATCAATATCTATTTCGCTAACATCAATACCTCAGTTTCCTCACTTATGAATGGAGATAAAATAATAGCACTTATTGCGTAGGGAAATAGGAATGTTAAAAAATGACATAGGTAGGCCAGGCACAGTGGCTTACACCTGTAATACCAGCACTTTGGGAGGCCAAGGCGGGTGGATCACCTGAGTTTAGGAGTTGGAGACCAGCCTGGCCAACATGGTGAAACCCCGTCTCTACTAAAAATACAAATATTAGCCAGGTGTGGTGGTACGTGCCTGGAATCTCAGCTACTTGGGAGGATGAGGAGTGAGAATATCTTGAACCTGGGAGTTGGAGGTTGCAGTGAGCCAAGATCACACCAATGCACTCCAAACTAGGTGACAGAGCAAGACTCTGTCTCAAAAAAAAAAAAAAAAAAAAAAGACTCGTAAAGCACTTAAAACCTCTTACAGGTATATTCTTTCTATGTATATAATATGTAAGTAAAAACGATAGTTTATCTGGATTGTGATTTGACAATAAAAAAAAACAAATCTTTGCTGGTTACATTTTTGGTATAATGCTGCGCACCCATCTTTTTTTGAGACGGAGTCTCGCTCTGTCGCCCAGGCCGGACTGCGGACTGCAGTGGCGCAATCTCGGCTCACTGCAAGCTCCGCTTCCCGGGTTCACGCCATTCTCCTGCCTCAGCCTCCCGAGTAGCTGGGACTACAGGCGCCCGCCACCGCGCCCGGCTAATTTTTTGTATTTTTTTTTAGTAGAGACGGGGTTTCACCTTGTTAGCCAGGATGGTCTCGATCTCCTGACCTCATGATCCACCCGCCTCGGCCTCCCAAAGTGCTGGGATTACAGGCGTGAGCCACCGCGCCCGGCCGCACCCATCATTTTTATACCTATCAAAATAGCCTTTAAATGTAATATTATTAACTCAGTAAAAATTATGGAGAAAATGTTACTATTTCATTGCAATAGGTGACAATTATGTCCATTACTGTATAATATCTGTCATAGGGAATTAAAGTATACTATCACATATGTAAATCATTGTTTCTAAATATGATTGCATTAAAATGTACATTATCATTTTCCAAAACTGGTTGTTTATCTCTTCCCAACCTGTCAATGTTGCTTTGCTCTCTTAAGAAAAAGTTATTTGCAAACAAAAGAAGATAAAACATTATGCTCTCTCTAACATCGCTGTCTCAGGGACAACTACTCATATTTAGATTTTTTTAAAGTGTAAATATTAAAGAATCTGAGGAGAAGCAGAAGGTAAGAGAGGACAGGCTGTAGTTAGGGTGATGTTGCTTGGAAAGACTTAAAGAAAATGGCGATGCTGCAAGTTTCAAGCAGATTCTATTTCTCAGAAAAGATTGAGAATTGTTCGTCTGATACACATTATTTAACCAGTTTTTCTTTTTAAAATGGTCTCTGAGAATGTGTAATGAACAAATGCTTTTATTTTGTCAAAACTGAATTTCAAATTTACTACCAACATCTCCCAAGATTTTTTATTTTATTTTTCGTTAACCTGTAACTCCTTAACATATTTATACTTTAAAACACATATGAAATTATTTGATTTAAAAACTCATTACATATAAAATAATATCTTTTTTGTTTTGTGTTTTGTCTTCTTGTAATTATGGTAACTGGAAAAGTATTGATTAATTGAAATCAGAGCAACATTCACAATATTATCTTTTATAAGTGAGACAATATTCACGAAGAACCACATGTGCATCATAAAAATAACAATTAATGCTGACCGATGCTAAATATTAAGTAAATGACATTTATTGATGAAAAAAGATTAAAATTTGATTATCCCCCTTGAAACTGCGAAGGGACAAAAATCTTGGCACATGTTGCCCTCTAGTGGAACTTTAAAGATAGGCAGTTGAATTATATTTTGGTGCTTTCAATATGTGCAATTCAGTTTACTATTACAATTTTAAAAACAAATTAATATTTTTCTTTTAAAACGGTAAGTACTATAAAATCTTTTCAATTAATTTGTTGTAGTTGATAGGTTTGGTATTTTTAAAAATCAAAAATTTGAAAATAAAAATAAAGTGTCTCATAGCCATTAAAGGCCAAGAAGGTGTTGTTAGTCATATAATCATATAACAAGAATAGTAGAAATAATAAATAGCTCAGGAATATAATTTTATTTGCTTCGAATTTTTGCTGAGCAATGTTACCTAACCTGATTGTATGAAACTATCATCGAATCTCATCTCTCTACAATTAGAATGACCAACACAGTATTTTATGAAAAACGATAATTTGAAAAGCTTTTACTATCAACAAATAAGAACCAGTGTTCACAGAAATATGAAAAAATAATTTTTCAAAAGCATTTTTGTCATCTTTTGATTTGCTTTTCAAAGAAAACATTTTATTGTATTATATCTGTTATTTTTTATTTTATAATTTCAATACATATTGATGTAGATCGATTTTCCTAATTTATACCGCCATATGGAAGAGGTGTGAATGCATGATATTGTACAAAATACAAAATATATTCTATTTACGGTAGGCACTTAAAACTATGTTATTATAAATTCAACAGTTTGCATCATTTGTTGATTCTTACTTTAATATTACTGTTGCTTATCTTTTACAATACCTAATTTAAGCATATATAGGTTTAAGATGAGAATCTTATTTCTGTAATTCGACAGTATACCTTGTCCTAAAAAACAGTTTAAAAATATGGTAGCGCAACTAATAGTATAAAAAATATGATTTGTGGCCGGGCACGGTGGCTCACGCCTGTAATCCCAGCACTTTGGGAGGCCGAGGCAGGTGGATTACCTGAGGTCAGAAGTTCAAGACCAGCCTGCTCAACGTGGTGAAACCCCGTCTCTACTAAATATACAAAAATTAGCCAGGTGTGGAGGTGGGCGCCTGTAATCCCAGCTACTCGGGAGGCTGAGGCAGGAGAATCACTTGAACCCGGGAGGCAGAGGTTGCAGTGATTGAGCCATTGTGCTCCAGCCTGGGCAACAAGAGCGAAATTTCACCTTTGCCTCAGAAAAAAAGAAAAAAAAAAGATTTGTGATTCCACTTACCATATGAAAAATTATAAAATGAATATTTAGTCAACTATATCCCTTGTTTACTCATTAACAAATGCTTACATTTCAAAACCATTCTTTAATTTTTTAAATTTTTATTAACTTTTGTGTATGTGATGGAATTTTGCTTTTGTCGCCCAGGCTGGAGTGCAATGGCGAAATCTCAGCTCACTGCAACCTCTGCCTCTCCGGTTCAAGGGATTCTCTTGCCTCAGCCTCCTGAGTACCTGAGATTACAGGCACGCACCACCACGCTCAGCTAATTTTTGAATTGTTAGTAGAGACGGGGTTTCGCCATGTTGGCCAGGCTGGTCTCGAACTCCCGACCTCAGGTGATCCACCCACCTTGGCCTCCCAAAGTGCTGGTATTACAGCCTTGAGCCACCGCGCCCGGCCCAAAACCAGTCTTTAAAAACAATTTAAGCTGGCTAAGTCTATCAGAAATTATAAAGTAATTAAAAATAGTCCTAGGCTATTTAAAGAATGCTAAATACATCTGTAAAGCAAACTAAAGCTAAATGAGCTAAAATAATACATAAGACAATTAGTCCAACCTGTAGGCTATTTTTGTTATTTCTTATAAATATTTCAATTTCATATTTTACATTGTGGTATATACTGTCTATGGATTAAACAATCACAACCTTTCCCCTTATTCAATTTTTCCCTTATTCCTTCAAAACAATGACCACAAGCAGATCATTAAACACAGAATAAGATTCGAAACTTCTTTTAAAATTAAAACATTAACAGAATAAGAAAATAAATATTGTGTTATGGTAATGTGAGTTTTGTCATTGGACATATCAGATAATTTACACTAGGTACAAGAGGCAGCTTTTGTAGCTACCAGTATCTCCCGAGATTGGGAGATCTTTATTAAGACCTTCATTAAGATCAATGACTGGGCAAGTTTTAATTTAATTAATTAATTGATTGATTTTATCTGTTGCCCGAGAGTGATGGGGCGCAATCTTGGCTCTCTGCAACCTCCGCCTCCCTGGTTCAAGCAATTCTCATGCCTCAGTCTCCCGAGTAGCTGGGATTGCAGGCGTGTGCCAGTATGCCCGGGTAATTTTTGTATTTTTTACTAGAGATGGGGTTACACCGTATTAGTCAGGCTGCTTTCAAACTCCCGACCTCAGGTGATCCACCCACCTCAGCCTCTCAAAGTGCTGAGATTACAGTCGTGAGCCATCCCATGCGGCAGTAAGTTTTCTCTTTTTTTTTTTTTTTTTTTTTTTTTTTTTGAGAAGAAGTCTCGCTCTGTCGCCCAGGTTGGAGTGCAATGGTGCTATCTCAGCTCGCTGCAACCTCCGCCTCCAGGTTCAAGCGATTCTCCTGTCTCAGTCTCCGGAATAGCTGGGATTACAGGCATGCGCCACCACGCCAGGCTACTTTTTGTATTTTTAGTAGAGACAGGGTTTCACCATGTTGGCCAGGCTGGTCTCGAACTCCTGACCTCAGGTGATCCACCTGCCTCGGCTTCCCAAAGTGCTGGGATAACAGGCGTGAGCCACCGGGCTTGGCCCCAGCCGCAAGTTTTAATTTGTCCTCAGTGAGGTGCTGAGCTCCATTGTTGTTGATGTCTTTCTTGTTTTCCTCTTTCATTGCTCCTGTGACGCACCTGCCCTTGCAAGACTGTCACCGTGCTTCTCCCTCTATCATCCTGTCCGTGAAGACCTGATGACTCCTCTTTACTAATGAGAATTCAAGGTCTACTCTTCAAAGCAACCTCTAGGAAACGCCTTTTTCATTAATCAATTTTCAAGTTGAGGAGGACAGAAAGGAATGATATTAGCGAAGTACATGGTCACATAAGCTTGAGAAGCTCTGGGTGCTTTCCATACTTGCCTACTTACCACTTTTTCAGAGAGGCTAAATTTAAATGGGGGATAAAGGGCTAATATATCATCTATTCCAATACCGTATGCATTTTAGCAAGGGGGACCTAGCAACACAATAAAGGTGTGATGTGAAATGTCAAACCAGCTTTGTTACGTTGGCATATTCAGAATATAACCTAACTCTCTTTCTCTCTCTCTCTCTCACATCACCCTTTCCTCCCCCACCATCACTCCTCCACCTCAGATGAGCCTTCCACACCCCTCACCACTCACTCACACATTTAGCAAGATCTTGGCTGGTCAAGTTTTGGCAACACCATACCTCTAAGGCAGGGTATGGCAAACCATGGAGTGGACCTTCACCTGTTTTTTATAAGTCATTTTTTATTGGAAAACTATCACACTCATTTGTTTATCTATTGACTATGGCTGTATTATTTTCAAAATGTTGCTGTTCTATGGTTTTTGAGATGTAGTAACAGAGAATGGATGGTCCTCAAAGTCTAGCCAATGTTTGCCTACCTCTGCCCTACAGAATTTTTATTTTCTTAACTAGTTCACGAAGCACCACCTCAATGACTTTTTCACTGACCCGGCACCGTTCTAGTGACCCTGCTTTTCATCTTTCAGAACAGAGCAGAGCAAAAAGCTATTTCTTGGCATTGATGTCTTCTGAGGGAATAAAATATTAAATGCAAATGTGATTCCATGACTACTAAAGCTAGTAATGGTGATGACCCTTAGAAAATGAGTGTCTCTATGCCAATTTGTTCATTCTTTCAGTGGAGAGAGCAGCTCTGCAGATCAAACTGAGGTGAAAGAGAATTCTTCAACAGGGTTGCCTCCCTAGCTATCAAAGCTTTTAGAATAAACCAGAAAAAACTTTGTCATGCATCTGTCAAATTCAGTTAAAAGATTAGTTTTTTATCCTGTACTGATTAAATTATTTTTGAAGTTAGGCAAGAAATCTTCGTAATCCCATGATTACATCCACAAAAGGCTTTTTTTAAAAAAACAAATCTATGTCAAACCAATTCCTATTATTCTTAAATCCATCAACATACATGCTTCCAAGGCCATGTGATCTCCACTTATGAATAACGGCCAGTATCAGTTTTGACTGTATTGAACAATGTCCCTCTTTATTTTAGTCCAGGAAATGTGTAGAATTGTTTTTGTTAACAACACTATACTGAGATTAACAGCTAAGGCTGGACACAGTCGTTTGAGTAAGATAGCTCTAACTGTAACATATATCGGTGTAGAGAAAGCTTAGGCCTTTCCTTACCTTAGTGGAATGAGGCTAGCAAAGCCCACAGGAATACAAAGTGAGAGGTGACAGCATGCTGGCAGCCCTCGCAGCCCTCACTCGTTATCCGCGCCTTCTCGGCCTTGGCGCCCACTCTGGCCGCGCTTGAGGAACCCTTCAGCCCGCCGCTGCACTGTGGGAGCCCCTTTCTGGGCGGGCCAAGGCCAGAGCCCGCTCCCTCAGCTTGCGGGGAGGTGTGGAGGGAGATGCGCGGGCGGGAACCGGGGCTGCGCGCGGCGCTTGCGGGCCAGCGCGAGTTCCGGGTGGGCGGGGGCTCGGCGAGCCGCACTTGGAGCAGATGGCTGTCCCCGCCGCCCGGGCAGTGAGGGGCTTAGCACCTGGGCCAGCAGCTGCTGTACTCGATTTCTCGCCGGGCCTTAGCTGCCTCCCCGCGGGGCAGGGCTCGGGACCTGTAGCCCGCCATGCCTGAGTCTCCCCCCGCCCCTTCCCCACCGCCATGGGCTCCTGCACGGCCTGAGCCTCCCAGACGAGCGCCATCCCCTGCTCCACAGCTCCCAGTCCCATCCACTGCCCAAGGGCTGAGGAGTGCAGGCGCACAGCGCGGGACTGGCGGGTAGCTCCACCTGCCGCCCCATGCGAGATCCACTGGGTGAGGCCAGCTGGGCTCCTGAGTCTAGTGGGGACTTGGAGAATCTTTATGTCTAGCTAAGGGATTGTAAACACACCAATCAGCACCCTGCATCTAGCTCAGGGTTTGTGAATACACCAATCAGTACTCTGTGTCTAGCTCAGGGTTCGTAAATACACCAGTCAGCAGTCTGTATCTAGCTAATCTAGTGGGGAGGTGGAGAACTTTTGTGTCTAGCTCAGGGATTGTAAATGCACCAATCAGCACCCTGTGAAAACGGACCAATCAGCTCTGTAAAATGGACCAATCAGCTCTCTGTAAAATGGACCAATCAGCAGGATGTGGGTGGCACCAGATAAGAGAATAAAAGCAGGCTGCGTGAGCTAACAGTGACAACCTCTCAGGTCTCTTTCCACACTGTGAAAGCTTTGTTCTTTAGCTCTTTGCAATAAATCTCGCTGCTGCTCACTCTTTGGGTCTACACTGCCATTATGAGCTGTAACACTCACTGCGAAGGTTTGCAGCTTCACTTCTGAAGCCAGCGAGACTACGAACCCACCAGGAGGAATGAACAACTGCAGACGCCCCACCTTAAGAGCTGTAACACTCACCAGGAAAGTCTGCAGCTTCACTCCTGAGCCAGGAAGATCACGAACCCACCAGAAGGAAGAAACTCCGAACACATGGGAACATCAGAAGAAACAAACTCAGGACACGCCACCTTTAAGAACTGTGCTTTTAAGAACTGTACCACTCACCGCTAGGGTCTGCGGCTTCATTCTTGAAGTCAGTGAGACCAAGAACCTACCAATTCCGGACACACAAGCACAATGTTATGAAGTGATACGGCAACTACCAGAAAACTCTTAGGGAAATTGATGTTGTGCACCCTTGGGTAAGTCACTTTAATGTGTCTTTTTGTCTCATCTCTATAAACAACAAAACCACACAGCTCCTGTGTTGGAGGATAGGTCTGTGTCGAAGGAGCAAGATGATATAGGAAGATGAAGAAATAAATGAAAAAGCAGCAACTCCCAAAGTCTGTTTAGACTTCATAATTGTCTCTGAGAAATCTGTTTTCAGTCTACTATATAAAATGATGATAAATGGAACCATGTTTTTCCCATTGTATTTTAAGACAATGGCTATTGTCTGGATTTGTCTATAAAAACTTTTCAGAAATTGCTGCAATCCGTTCAACAAAGACTCCTTTCAATTAGGATAAACTTTGGCAAAATGGCCGTCTTATGGTTTAGGAAGGAAGTTTCATATTCTTATTATCTACATTTATCAGCCTTACTTTACAAGGCACAGAAGAAATTTACTCCTGGTTGACAGAACTCCCAAGGTCTGGACTCTTGAGTTTCAATAAAACTGTCTTTTTATAAACTCACATGCAATAGTACTCTAAAAATTCTCAATCTTGGCCATATTTTTAATATTAAAAAATTAACAATTATAACAATAACATTTTAAAATCTAAGTTAAATTTAGATGTAATACTATATGTAGCATTGGTTACGTTAAATCAAGGGCATTATATTTGAAAAGATTCTACATATATCTAATTTGCCCTCTGATTTGGAAGATACATTTTTATTATCTTCAAGGCATAACCTTTTGTGGAAACATTTTTGGTTTAATAAATGCCTGTTGATAAAGTTAGAAAATATTAGTAAATCTCCAGACTAATATAAATGTATAAATATATATTCATATTTTTGTTAGAAACATAATTTGCTTTGTAAAATGCTGAAAATAAGAGACCTATTTTTTCTGATGTTTCCTATGAAGAATGTATTAAAGGTAGAATCTTAAGCCAAATATGAAATTATGAAAAATAAATTGAAAGATATATTTTTTAAGCTTGAAAATTGGATAGACAACTAAATACATGATGTCCGCATTTTCCAATGAAGAGTTTAAGTGAATTAATTTAACAATTATTTTAGATAGCTCATTATATTTCAGTATTGTTTTAGGTGACCATTGGCAGACTCATAATTTGAACTAATACTTATCTCTTAATTACTTTAGTGTATTGGAATGGAAAATGCAAATTTTGTATTTCATGCTATCTCCCCAATTTGTTTGATTTTTTTCTTACTGCCTAGTTAACAGGCAGATATCCATAACTGCAACAATTTTACCAGTAATACATAATGTTTCACAAAAAGGAGAAGCCATAGTTGGGCATATGTGTGTGTATCTTTCTATGTGTGTCTGTGTGTGTGTGTATGTATGCGGAGATACTTAGTAGAGCATCTGAAGTTCTGGCATAATTTTCTTCATTCAATAAGGCAAATAGTTATATGATTGTAATAGAAGGTATATCCCATTTTGCAGCTCTTAAAATACTTTATAGATGCTAAGAATACCTCCCTGAAAAAAAAAAACTTTTTGAATATTCAATCCCTTAACAATTATGTTCTTACTTATATTAAAATGAATTCCTGTATAATTTATCATGGAGGTGAAACTGGTGTGAATTTGCCGCATTGGAAGACAGCATTAACTGAAGAATTCAGCTCTAAACAAAGACATTTTAATTTATTAAACTTCTTTCTATATATTTTTTTTTTCTTAAATTGACTTTCTACTTCTGTTCAGACCATTTTCAGTCTTCCAGCGAAGAAAAAAAAAGAGACAAAGAAAAGTAAGAGGAAGCAGGTTGAGGAAGGATAGAGAGAGAAAGAGAAAGAGATTTCATCTCTTGTAAATTGCCAAATTGCGACAATGATATAAGAAAGACACAGCTTAGATCGAACAAAGCAGAAGTCTAAAACTAAATGTCATGCTGTCAGAGTTCAGGAAAGCAAGGTATATGTTCTCCAAAGCTCAGCAGGCAGGATGAACTTTTTCCTGATTTAAGGACCATGCTGAGAGAGAAGAAGAGAGGAGTCTATTTTAGCATCTGAAAACCAATGATTTGGAGAGAAAGAGGACATGGCTGCCTAATACCAGGGAAAGCTTACAATACTTTGCAGTAACGATCATTGGCTTGACAGTCTCTCCACTACAGACGAGGTGTAAGAAGGACAATAAAGATGAAGAGCAAACGTAGATTACTGTCTTGTAGGGTAGGTAATACAGGCAGACAAATAATGATAACATAAGGTAGACTGTTGCAAGCAATGTATACAGTGGTAGGTTTACAGAGCAGTGAAGTTATTACAGTTGTAATTTTAAGATTTAGCTTCAGGGAAGAATTAATAGGTGAGGTATGCTTTGAATGATGGGTATGATAGACATGGGTAAGGGAGAATTACAGGCCATGACCACAGTGTATGTAGATGCACAGAGGGATGATCCTATCAGTGGCATTTGTGGAAGAGCAACTAACTGAAGTAAACCAAAATACTAACTATATTAAGAGGGTTAATGTTAAGCCTGGACTGGAAATACACCTAGACAACATCTTATCTGAATGAATAAAGAATCTGCATTTTATTAAATTGAAAGAGAGATCACAGGTTTATTTATTTATTATTATTATATTAATTATTTTTAATATGGCAAGTGTTTTGAGATTTTATGATGAGAAATATGCTTTACAAAAAAAGCCTTTCGTAGCAGTGAGGAATAACTGAAATAGATAGTAAGTGGAGGCAGCAATATCAATTAGAAGATTTTTAAGGATATGAATGTCAAATCGTAAGATGCCTAACCAGCAACGGGGTGAATAGAAGTAAGAGATAATGAAATGACAAATAATTAGAATTTATCTGTTTATTGAAGTAGGAACAGAAAAAGTTACTCATCAGATGCCAACAGTAAGTTTCAAAGAAAAGAAATAGAAAAACAATGAGATGAAGCAATTTTTTTTTTTTGAGATGGAGTCTCACTCTGTTGCCAGGCTGGAAGGATCTCGGCTCTCTGCAACCTCCACCTCCCGGGTTCAAGTAATTCTCCTGCCTCAGCCTCCTGCATAGCTGGGACTACAGGCATGCACCACCACGCCCAGCTAATTTTTGTACTTTTAGTAGAGACAGGGTTTCACCATGTTGGCCAGGATGGTCTCGATCTCCTGACCTCGTGATCCACCCGCCTTGGCCTCCCAAAGTGCTGGGATTACAGGCGTGAGTCACTGTGCCCGGCTGAGACAAAGCAATTTTTAAAACAAGTGGATGAATTTGGTGTTAAGTATGTTGAGTTTCAAGTGTCATAAAAGCATATGTGCAACTTACATATTAGGTATGTGAAAGGTTTAAACTGGCAAGTAGGAAAGAGTGTGAATTTGTTATCCATTAACCAAATATCCAAACCCCAATGGAAAGATTACAGAGTTCATAGGAGGTTACTGGAAGGCAATTTGTGTCAGGTTACAACACACTGCCAGTGCTTTATGCAGCCACATCACCTAGATTCTGGAAGTGTCAGTTGCCCAATCAATCAACATACATAATAGAGCTCCTCTTGAGCCCTGGCACTGTTTTACATAAGGGGATCAAACCTGATGATAGATCATGATTCCTATTATAATGCTTAGAGCACATTAGCCGGTTTATTAAAAGCAGGAGAGTGAGGAGCATGATGATGTACAAAACAAGAACTACATCCCTTGTGACCTAATAGGACAGCTACGAAGAGGGTTCTTTGATAAAAATGTAGACCACAAATAAATGCCTACCAAGGTGTCTACACACTCTGAGAACAACTCTATGTGAGTCCCCGGTATACACAAACTATCGGGACCATTAGAAATAAATGGGGGCAGGGGTTTTTGTTCACTGACTTTCCTCTCTATTGAAATAGCTGAAGAGCAGTACTGCAACTTACTACAACAAAAGGCCATATCAAGAGGATGCAAATTTTTTGTGGAGGTTCTTCAGAGCCTTTCAGTAATCTTTCCAAGCATGCTTTCCTTTGTTTTGGGAATGAGAAGTGTAGAAGAGGTTTTTGGTGGTCCTTCTATGCACTTTGCCATTTTATTGTATTGTTCATCATAAAGAATAATTGATCTCTTAATTTTCTAATTTTGCAAGTCTGTGTATATCCACATTTTACTTGGAAACAACATGGGTGTGTTTCTGTGGTATATGCTGGCGGTGTCATGGACTCACCAGGCTTTAATTTTTCTTCACAATATAACATTTAGCAACATTCAGGAAGGTATCCATGATTTTGTGGGCTGAATGGTCCCTTCAAAATTCATATGTTGAAGTCCTAATATTCGGAACCTCAGAATATTACTGTGTTTGGGTATCAGGTGTTGAAAGAGATAATTAGGCTAATATAAGTCTGGTAGAGTGAGCTCTAATCCAATATTACTAGCTTCTTTATAAGAAGAGGAAACTAGTAATGTTGGATTAGGGCTCACTCTACTATTCTCAGCAAAATATCAGCAAAATATCACAAGGACAGGAAACCAAACAATGCATGTTCTCATTCATAAGTGGGAGTTGAACGATGAGAACACATGGACACAGGGAGGGGAACATCACACACTGGGGCCTGTTGGGGGGTGGGGAGCTTGGGGAGGAATAGCATTAGGACAAATACCTAATGTAAATGACGAGTTGATGGGTACAGCAAACCAACGTGGCACATGTACACCTATGTAACAAACCTGCACGTTGTGCACATGTACCCTAGAACTTAAAGTATAATAATAAAAATCAAAAAGAAGAGGAGATTAGGACAGAGGCAAACACAAAAGGAAGACCATGTGAAAACCCATGGAAGAAGATAGCTATCTACAAACCAAACAGTGAGGCCAGAGAAGAAACCAATCCTGCCTAAACGTTGATCTCAAACTTCTAGCCTCGAAAATTGTAAGAAAACAAATTTCTTTGGCTTAAAACCCTCAATCTGTGGTGCTTTGTTATGGCAGACCTAGCAAACTAATACACTCAGTAACAAAGATCTTTGAACTACCATTGCTCAATAGAATGCAAGCAATTTCATTAACACTTTTTTATTGCTTAAATAAAAGCAATTTCCACCAAAAACCTTATGGCTTTTCATTCCCCCAAAAAGGAATTCTCAGAAATTACGTTTGATTAAAATTTGTGTTAGTATTGTAAAACAGAATGCAGGATCTGGCATCCGTTTTCTAATTATCTCTGAGAAAAAATCAAAAATATAAATGAAGCAATTAGAGTCTGCTCATCAAAATAAGTGACCTTCTTCTATTTAGCATGGGTTTTGTTGGAGGCTGGTCAAGTTAATTACACATTATTCTCTTATTCTGTAGACAAACATTTATAATATGTGGGCTTTATTGGCATATAATTGTTTAGTTTACTTTTCTTAGAATCATGTATTTCATTTAAGATACAATCTGACAAAACAAAGTATAAGTCTTATAGAAATAACACAGTTGAAAAGAATTCATAGTTGAAGACAAGATTAGCTTTTTTTCAAGGTATAGGATAAGCATATTTGATGACACATTAGTAAGTCCTTAGCAAAAACAATTTTTATAATGTAGGAGCACATAGTTAATTTATTGCAAAAAGATAAAACACTATTTTTGGGCAGGGATATAATTTCCAACATGGATTCAGATCTATTATGTACCTAAAGGAATCACCTAGACTTGTCTTTTTCCTGTGAAAAAAACAACATATTCTGGGATTATAGCTGGTTCTACTTTATTATTTTTTTTTTCTGGAAGGCAGCCAAATTTCAGTGCTTAGCAATATTTATGGCGGAATTAAATCACATTTGCTGTAGTTTAAACACCTCTCTTTTTAATGTTCCTGCTTATGCTCATTTTAAAATGTTTACCTCAAACTTAAAGACTGTATCCTGTCTAAAAAAGCTGCTGGGATATGGGGTTAGGTATTCAGAGAAATTGGGGAAATTCAGAACATCATTATTTTAAAACTTCATCCCCTGCATTGTCACATTCTATAATTCTAGGAACAGTCTTGAATTTATCATTTTAAAAATATTTCCGCCTTAATACATGTGTCAATGTGTAGCTAAATATTCATTTGTGTGTTCATTTGATTGAATTTTATCTTCCTTATATATATTACCAAATCATGCATATTTCTGTTTAACATTACCCCGCACTTAACACAAGCTGGATGTGTGACAAGCACTCAATACATCTTGGTTTCTGAAAGGTACTGCAGCTTCATGAATAATGTCAGACTCTTCCTTAATCTTAACCCCCCTCCATGAAACATATGAATGTGATTCTGTGAAATAATGAATAATATTTGAATATTGGATAATATTTTGATACTTCTGCTTCTTATTAATAATAAATTTTCTGATTTCCATTGTCAGGCGTACTTACCAGTGTAATATTACTCTTCCCAGTCATTAAATATTTACCATATATCAGGCATGGTGCAAAGTCTTTATCATCACATGCAACTTCTGAGATATGAACTACTATAATCACAAAAAAAAAACCAACCATTCATACAAACAAATAAATAGGAAAGGCTATTGATGCTTACAAAGAATATGTAATACTTAAGAATGTATATCTAGGAAATGGGGGCATTAAGATGATATGACATGGTTTGGCTGTGTCCCCCCACCACCAAATCTCATCTTGAATTGTAGTTACCATAATCCCCACGTCATGGGAGGCACCGGATAGGAGGTAATTGAATCATGGAGGTGCTCACCGTCCTGCTGTTCTCATGACAGTGAGTGAGTTCTCACAAGATCTGATGGTATTATGAGGGGCTTTGCCCCCTTTACTCGGCACCCATTCTCTCCATGAAGAGGTGCCTTCTGCCATGATTGTAAGTTTCCTGAGGCCTTCCCAGTTATATGGAACTGTGAGTCAATTAAACCTCTGTTCTTTGTAAATTCCCCATTCTCTGGCATTTCTTCATCGCACCATGAGAATGGACTAATATATGGTAATATATACACATCCTTGCAATCCACACCAGATTTTCATGTTGGAGTACATGGTTATTTTGAACATCCTTTCTTCTTTTTTTTTTTTTTGAAAGGGTCAAGTTGGAGGATATTTTAAACTACTTTATGATTCTAGCCATCTCATAAAATGTTGCAGTGATTAGGTCATTTTATCCTAGGGAAAAATTATCTACACTAATTTGGGAGAAAAAATATGTGTAAGGTATGAAATGTCTATGCGACAGAGAAGTCTTGAAAAAGAAATGAAAATTATACAAGTTATTCTTGGCTCAATACAAAGATTCCAAGATTTGGGGGATACTGTATTCTGACATTTTTGGATTTTAAGACCCTCATTCCAACACTTCCTAGAAAATAACATCATGTATTTACTTTGGAATTAAAATGAATTAAAATTAAATGATGCTTAGAAGTTTCTGTTGTCTCCTTGAGACACTAGGGTGCCTGAGTTCCTCAAAATCATAATTGAGATGCATGATTTTCAATCAAAGCATTTAACAAATCTGCACATTTTTTTAATTTCACAAATTTGTGTTATGTGCCCACTATATATCAGTGACTCTTCAAGATACTCGGGATGACCATCAGCACAACACACAAGATTTGTTAGAGCCTTCATATTATAGAGCAGAGGTAAAAGAAGAGTATAATCAAGAAAACACACAGCAGTTAATTATGATATTAGACTTCTTAATGGGCTCACAAAAACTTAAGTTAGAAATTTGGCCTAGTGTGCTGCTCACTTAGAAATAATGGACAATTAAATGATCGCAAATTTTTCAACTTCATCAGTAAATTGAAAATAAGTTTAAATACTACCCAACATTATTTTTCAGATTAAATAAGATACTCTACTCACTCAAGGAAGAAAATTTGGATTCCTTTGGATGGATATATTAGTAAATTTCTCTACTTACTTTCTACTATTCTCGAAGGATATGCATTTTCAAATAACTGGTTGTCTAATTCAGTTCTCTCTGTAATTTTCATCATCTTGTTTCCACCCATTCATACACTCAGTCTGTAGATAGGACACCTAGCTCAACAGGTTGGCCATAGAGCTTAAATATAAAAGTTTATTTAAGCTTCAATACTGGCAAATTATATCAAAATTCAACTGGCAAAGCTAGCTCAAGACCAGAGAGGTGTCAGAAGCTAGAAGGAAATCAACCTAAATGCCCATCAATGATAGACTAAGTAAAGAAAATACTGTACATAAACACCATGGAATACTATGCAGCCATAAAAAAGAACAAGATCATGTCTTTTTCAGGGACATGGATGGAGCTGGAGGCCATTATCCTTAGCAAATTAATGCAGGAACAGAAAACCAAATACTGCCTGTTCACACTTAGAAATGGGAGCTAAGTGATGAGAACACATGGACACACAGAGGGGAACAACACACACTGGGGCCTATCAGAGGGTAAAAGGTGAGAGGAGGGAGAGAATCAGGAAAAATAATTAATGGATACTGGGCTTTATACCTGGATGATGAAATAATCTGCACAACAAATCCCCATAACACGTTTACCTTTGTAACTAAAATGCACATCCTACACATGTACCCCTGAACTTAATTTAATAAAAAGAAAGAAAACTGATAGTAATGTCTACACATCGTCTGGTGCAACCCACTTTTTCAGGAAGACATTGAGGCCCAGAGAAATTAAATAATCTGTTTATATCACATAGAATTATTAAAAAGAGATAACTCGAAGTGATTCTACTTTATACGTGAATATAGCTAGCATGAGCTGAATTCCCACCAAGATTTTATTAACTATGAAAAAAGACCCAGTATTATGCTGTATTTAAAAATCAATTATAAGTCTTGTGCTATATTGAATTCACCATTTTTTTGTGATTATGCCTTACTTCTAAAATTAGAATAGCTTATCTATTTATTTTGGTTTACAATTTGCAAAGGATCTTACATACAGTAACTAATTTGGTTCTCCCAAACCTGCGAACTCGTTACGTGCTGTGCAACTAAACTTCTGCTGCTAGAATTCTTTATGCTATATCTAATTCCTTTTTACATATTCGAGTTGTTACTATTTATTGATCTTAAAAAAAGGAATAAACCAGACATATCCTAGAGATAATTTCCTTTTTCTAAACAGGAAATATTTATCACATAGACTTTAATTACCATCATCACAATAGAATAATACATTCCAAAACAAAGAATTGGCATTGCACTGAAGGAACAGAAACAAAAGATTGAGAACTTACAGGGAAAACCTGGTGTTAGACATTCAGAGATGAACAATTCTAAACATAAATAATATCATGGAAACAAAATACACAGTGTAGGATTTTAATGCAAGCCGTTGAAAAATATGAATTGCTTTTCTTCCATAATGCAGAAAGCAGATCTTCTGAGTTAAAGTGCCCATTATGCATAAAAAGAGAAACAGAAAAAGTCATGATTTAAAGGGACTGAAAGCTGCTGTTTGTATCAAGCACAATGAATCAATCCTAACCTGACCTTCACATGGAATATTTAATATCTAGCAAAGAACCTGAGGTTTGAACATCAAAATCTCATTTCAGATTACTGATCTGTGAAATTCTAGGAGACGATAGAAAACCCCATGGAAGATAACAAATAGCCAAAAGGAAATATCAGCAAACAAACCAACAGTATATTTAATGAAGTGTAGGAAGCCATTTTTAACTGTTCTGACAGATCTGTGGAACTTTCAGTCTCGTATTTTATGAGAAAACATTAATGTAATAAAATGTAATATATTCTATCATAGAAAACTAGTAGATGACTTAAAATAACTAAACTATGTAATAATACATCTATATATCTATAAATAGAAGTATGTTAATATATTTTTAAGGAGAAAAAATAATATGCTCAACCATATTTTTAAAAAGCAATCTTTATGTTCCAAGGAGCAGCAAGAGGGGAAAAAAAAACTTTCAGATGATTACCATGAACTCACACTATACCTTCAGTTACAGAAAAAGTAATTAAATTATTCTTCTCATGAAAGTTCCCTCTTTCACCTCCCCCTACACCCTAGTAAATTCACAAGACTCACTACATAACTGAGAAGTAATTCAATTTATAATGACATCTTTTATAGAGCGATTAAGTCACTTTTTGACCTACATAAGCCAAGGAGAATGTTGCCTTGTAAGAGCCAGCATTTACATTGAAGAAAAGTTAATAAAAATAACCTGAATTTGCCATGGAAAAAAAAAAATCCCATTCTTTGTGCACATAGACTATTGTGTGATTTGTTGATATGCCAACTTCATTATAACAGTGATTTTAAAGGTAATGTTATTGCTTAATCTATATGAAACTTAAAAGCAAAATTCAATACTGCTCTGGCAAAATTATATTGCTAAAATATCCCCAAGAAATGAACATTTTTATCCTTTTATTTCCAAAGTTTTAGGATAAAATAATGTTGGTATAACACAATTATATGTATGAATCACTCAGAACTTCTTCTGACTATTTTTGCTGATGACAACAACTGTGATTGAAAACCTTTTGTTCTCTAGACCGTTAGTCACCACTTCTATGATCCCAACACACTTACCCCAATGTTGGGGAGCAGCACGGCCATTAGGAAAATGAACCAGAGGATGTGGGGAACACAGAGAAAGAATAGCTTTCTAGAGGAGCAGCAGGAATAAGGCAGGTTGAAGCTGAGGACCACATTCACAGAGAAAACTCAACTATTTGTTTGGAAAGCCAGGGGAAGATTACAGAGCTTAACTTTTATTTGGGGCCTCAATTCCAAAAGGCACATTTCTCTTAGAGATCCACGTGGTGTGCGGGGGTGGAGGAGTCAAATGAATTTCTCTCATATTTTTACAGCCTGGATTGCAGTCTCTTCTTTTCAAAATACTTCTTAAAGAATGTAGATAAGGCACAATGTGATAGCACATTGGTGGACAGGATTGAACTGTTGAAAATTTCTTTTGGTCAATATCATTTTTTTTCTTTTAAAACTTAAAACCTTTGGGCTGGACACAGTCTCTGGTTCTCTGGGGTCCAATGCATTTTTAAAATAATCTGTACTGGTCCTTGTCTATATTAGGGTTTGAAGACTGTGAGTTTTTAATCCCTTTTGGAAAGTACTGGACAAGGAGTCAAGTGTTACAGTGTATTAACACTATAAACACTATTATCACCAAAAAACCTTTTAACCTATTGATGTGTATGTGTCTGTGTGTGAGTGTTTATGAAACTGTAATGTTTTCCATAAAATTGTAGCTTAATGTATACATTCAGCAAATTCAAACACAGACACTAAAATGAACACATTTAAAATAAACACTTAAGTATTATGAACTACTCATTGAACTTTTATGGAATCTAAGGAAACATGCTTTTGTTCTTAAAGTACCTTTGCTGTCTATCAAAAGAATTTCAACATTTAGAACATTTTACAAATATGGAATCACATATTTTACTGCATTTTCCCATTTTAGAGAAATGTTTCTGTGTAATTCAAATGAATGATTGGACACAATTATACTATTTTTTTTTCTTGAGTGTTTTTGGTTGCAAAAGAGGTTGGCTCTACTAAATGTAAAATTCTCCGAGCCTTGTTTGCTGATTTCCCCTTCCAAACACAGCCTGGAGAGGAGTGGCTTCATGGCTCATGGCAGCATGCATGCAGTCAACACAAGCGGCTGAAAAATAGCCCAAACCAGTGCTCATGCATTATGAAAGCCAGCAGAGCTTCCTGCACTGTTGAACAATGCTCACTGTCCTCCACCAATGAATCCAGTCCTCGGGCATTCTGAATGTTCGCCAATGCTCTGTGTTGCCTGCACATGGCAGATATAATTGCCAAAATGAATGAAGAATTTCCTATTCTTACTAGGCAGTATTCCAGATAGAAGATAAGAATAGCTTGAATAGCTGAGCTGGCATGTGAAAGGAGCTCTGCTTTTCATATAACACTTATTATAAAGATGCAAATTTCCTCTCAACCACCAACAATGTTTGTGGCTGCTGAGCAGACGTTCCTTTAACTGTTAACAATTCGTATCCTTAGTGTCTTATTTTTCCATAATATCCAATGCCATTTTGAAATGATCTAACATTATCTCAGGATTCTCTCTATATATAGATTTACAAATATTCATAAATAATATTCTCAGTGTTGTACAATTTATATGTTCAAAACACTATATCCAAGTATTTGTCCTATTCAATATTGATTTGACTGAAACCTAGGTTCGTGAACGTGAATATAGTCTTTGGGTTGAAACAACATTTTTCTTGGGTAATATCCCATAAAAAGAATCATAAAATGTTCATGCAACTTTCTAGCTAGTTGGTATGTAGTCATTTTTAAAGGTATTTGGTTGATGTGTTCACATATTCACATCTTTTGCAACTTTGCATCAGTATATTTTACTTCATGAATAAAATATATTTTACTTCATGAATAAAATATACTGGGTCATATATACTGTGCATATATAGCCTGAAATAATTACAAAGCTTTAACAAGGAAAAGGAAGTTTCTGTCCCACACTTGACTTTCAGTCTCCAAGTTTCTTTCCTCCAGTATTAACAGATCCTTCGCTTTCCTTCTAGAAATGATCAATGCATATGAAGAAAAAAAAAGGTTTCCATACCTTAAATTTTTCACTGCAACCGCTTTTGAAACCTGGCAATTGATGATTGAGTTGATAATGTGGTTTACTGTTAGTATAATTAAAATAATTCAAAAATAATTTTAAATAAAGATAACATAAGTTCTACTTGTCAGAAAGCTCAGTACTCCTTCCACTAGATCAAATGCTTTTAAAAATATACAGCCATACTCTCACTTCTTCATTCACAGCTCTCAATTTACCTATATTTATATTTTAAAAATGCATATTTTCACATTTTTGAAAAGGAAGCATATATAATTTCAAAAGAGAATAAAAAGTTATGCAGTGGAAGGTCTCCTATTCACCGCTCTTCCTCTCTACCCCAATTTTCACACAATCCTCCCTACTGCCACACTGATACACAGACTGCCATTATTTTTAGTTACTTTTTAACTTTGCCATAGTCTCTTTGTTTATACACAAACAAACATGGATATATATTCTGATTCCCTTTTTATTACACATAGTATATTATACATATTATTATGTAGTATTTAAAACTTTAATATGTAGAGATCTTTCCAAAGTTGTTTCTAAAAGCTGCATGCTATTTAATTGTATGTGTATCAGAATTAATTAAATCATTGCCTATTGATGGATATGCCAGTTGTGTTTGAGTACAAACAAACAATCTTGAATATATATTAATTCACATGTATTTGAATTTATCTACAGGATAGATTTCTAGAAATGGAAATGATTGACAAAGGTTTTTGTGCATTTTTTACAAGAAAGAAAGATAATGCACTATTGCCTTCCTGTAAGGCAATACCAATTTATACTCCCGTAAGCACATGAGAGTAGGTGTTCCCCACACTCTGGTCAAGAGGATGTGTCATCAGACAAAATGTGTCATTCCAATGAGTGATAAACTGCATCATAGTGTATTACCCTCTCTTTTTACCATACCATAAGACTCTTTCTGTTGAATTCTTTCCCTTAGTGTAAAAATCATGCGCAGTCATTCCTCACCTTAAACAAAAGAAAATATTTTCCTAACCTCCTTTCGATTACTGGTTATCACTCGTTCTCATTTTTATTGACTTCCTCACATCCTGTCACTCCTGGGTTCATTTCAATTTGACTAGTACTCCATTATGCCATAGTTAATGCTTCAAGTTACCAATAACTGAATTTCCAGCGAGTGCTTCTTGTCTGTATCTAACTTGATCTTTCTGGAACAGTCGACACTGACCATCACTCTCTCCCTGCAGAAATTTCCTTGCCGGTGGCCTTTGGGTGTGAGGAGAACTTATTTTTCCTTATTGTTCTCTAAACTCTTGGCTGGCTCTGCATCAATCTCTCTGCTAGGCTCCTTTCAGCCTATTAACCTTTAAATATTAGTAGGTCCTAGGATTTATTCTTGATTCTTTTCTTATTTTAACATTCTTTCTGGTCCACCTCCTTCATATCTGTGACTTTCAAAGTACTAATGTAATAGCACTAAATGGCTCCTAAATCTTTATCTGCAGCCCAGATCATCTTTGTTTACCCTCTGTTCTGGGTATAAGTAACATATAAAGAGAGAGGCAAGAGACTGAAAATATTCTTTTAGAATGTTCTTGTATGGCCCAAGGTAGCTAATTATAGGTGACACTTATTGAATACTTGCTGTGTGGCAGGGGCTAAAGTAATAGTTGTAGACATTTTATTACTCTACTATGAAATAAACTCTGTGGCAGTCTCATTCAAACCTTCAATTGCTGATGGATTAATGAGGGAACAATGATTGAATGAATGAATATGTGGTATTCCAAGAAATAATCATTTAATCCCTTTCAGGAAAAAATCTGGTATTATACTGACATTTTCCAGGGTGTTAGGGTTTATTGACCACGTTGGCTTGGAGAGCCATCTGGTGGTAAGAGAGCGGAAGGAATGTGTGAAGAATCCTGGAGCTTGCATTGCTGTCTGAGTGGCCTTCTAATTTACCTACAATGATTAGGGTCAGAATGATTAGGAGCTGACTAGATTTCATATAAGGTTCTACTCTTACAACCTATTTGGTTTTGAATGTACATTTCTACAAAAGTATGCTAATTTTCCTATAAGTGTATTTAGTTTATCAATAAACTAATACTCAGATATTCTGTCTCTGAGTAGATACTCAGATTTGGGAGAAAAAAATGCATAGGGTAAGGCATGTTAAGAAGAAGAAGGAGAAGGAGGAAAGGAAGGGGAAGGGAAGAAGACAAATATGATGGCCAAGCTTATCTACAACAGGAAATAGAGATGCAATGGCACATGCTGCTCCTACCAGCCTCCCTCCCTCCGTGCTTCTTTTCTTTCCCCTTCTTTCAGTTCTCTCAGGTAGTTTTAGAGTTGCTACTTCCTAAAAGGTCTAGTTTCTCAGTATATATGTGAGCAATAGCTTTAGAATTGTCCGTGAAACAACAGTAAGTTAGAAGACCTAGGAGGATTGCTTTTCAGAATTATGAATGGGGAGAAGGAGTGATAACAGAACATAAACGAAAATGTAAAGCTTTTTCTATATTATGCATAGATAATAAACATTCTCCAAATCTTTTATTATTATTATTATTATTATTTTTAGATGGAATTTTGCTCTTGTTGCCCAGGCTGGAGTGCAATGGTGCGATCTCGGCTCACTGCCTCCCGGGTTCAAGCAATTCTCCTGCCTCAGACTCCCAAGTAGCTGGGATTACAGGTGTATGTCACCACGTCTGGCTAATTCTGTATTTTTTTTTTTTTTAGTAGAGACGGGGTTTCACCATATTGGCCAAGCTGGTCTCGAACTACTGACCTCAAGTGATCCACCCGCCTCAGCCTCCCAAAGTCCTGGGATTACAGGTGTGAGCCATCACGCCTGGCCAAATGGTCTCCAAATCTTGCTGTTTCTTAACAGCATGCATTTGTCATTCATTTTACATGGTGGCCAGTTATTAATAGCTGTTAATCTGCTTTCTTCCTGAATGCTTCTCGTTCCAGAACCCAGGCTGAAGAGAAAGCCCCAATGTCTCCTCAGCCTGGATTCTGGAATGAGCTCCAAGAGCAAGAAGCATGCTATTCTTGTGGTAGAGGGAAGAGATGATAAGATCTTTAAGAAACTCTCAATGGCGCTGAAAATTTCAGCTCAGAACCCATATTGATCTTTTTCTTTCATCTTTTACTGGTCAAAGCATGTCACGTGGCCAAACCTGATATTGATGGAGACAGAAATAGTTCTCACTATAAGAAGTGTGGCCGGGCCTGGTGGCTCACGCCTGTAATCCCAACACTTTGGGAGGCCGAAACGGGTGGATCACGAGGTCAGGAGATCGAGAGCATCCTGGCCAACATGGAGAAACCCCATCTCTACTAAAATACAAAAAATTAGCCGGGCGTGGTGGCGGGCGCCTGTAGTCTCAGCTATTCGAGAGGCTGAGGCAGGAGAATGGCGTGAACCTGGGAGACAGAGGTTGCAGTGAGCCAAGATCATGCCACTGCACTCCAGCCTGGGTGACAGAGCCAGACTCCTGCTCAAAAAAAAAAAAAAAAAAAAAGAAAAGAAAAAAGAAATGTATGCTAAGTATAATATAATATGTTGTCCCAGCCAGGAGAAGGTTGAGAGTGAAAGTGTTTTTAAATAATTAAGCCAGAATAGTGGGTCTGATGTCTTCGCAAAATTAGATGCATTATCACTTTCTTACAATCCTCCTCTAGGCAAAGGTAGGCAAGTACTTGAGAAGAATAATTAAATTGATCTTAAACTTCAATTAAGAGACCTTGCAGCTGGGCACCGTGGCTCACATCTGTAATCCCAGTACTTTGGGATACTGAGACAGGAATATTGCTTGAGCCTGGGAGTTTGAGACTATTCTGGGCAATAGGAAAAGCCCCGCTGTGTAGAAAAAATTTTAAAAAAGAAAAAATCAGTTAGGAGTGGTGGCACAAGCCTGTAGTCTCAGCTACTTAGAAGGTAGGAGGATTGCTTGAGCCCAGGGGGTCGAGGCTGCAGTGAGCCCTGTTTGCACCACTGCACTGCAGCCTGGGTGACTGCAAGATTCTATCAAAAAAAAAAAAAAAAGAGAGAGAGAGAGTCTTTGTGTACCCCCAGGATGCATGCACATATGCCGAAGAAAGCAAAGTAAAACAGGCAGAAGGAAAACTAGATCGGGTGTCAGGAAGTTAGCTATTAACCTTAGGCTGTGAGATCTCTTCTAAAACACAAGTGAAGACAAATGATAAGAAATTAAGAGTAGTTCAATTCAATGATGTCCCTCATCTCAGAATGGTAAGAAAAAGGAGAGTCTAGAGTACAAATTTTCTGGCCTCAGTAGTTGACTGGTAAGCTCTGGGTCTTAAGGCATTAATGAGTATAGAACTCAGGAGATAATATGATATCCAGATTTGTTCCTTCAGCCATGGCAAATGTTTAATATTTAACACAAAGTGTTATTCAGTTATATTTCCATATGGGGAAAATTGGAGTAGTTTATGAATAAGACATATTGTGAAATTAAGATAAAGATAGAGAAACTCATATCTTATGAGACAGCTTTTTAAAAATTAGGAATGCAAACTATAACAGAGATTACACGGATGATATAAAAGTGGAATAGTAGCAAGAACTACCTGAGGGAAAAGAATTGGGGAAGTTAATTGATATTTGTATCCAACATATGATAATGAAACTAATGTCTCTTGGTTCAAAAATAGTTTTGAAACACTAACCTAGAAGCAAACCAGAGCCAAAAAAAAAAACACTTTTATTTATGAGAAAAATACTTTGAGTGAGAGATTAAAATCAATTTTTAAAAGAAATTTAAAGTATAGGACAAAACACTTGAATCAATGTAGAGACAGACAATATTTAGTGAAATTATCTAGACCACAACTCAGTGTTAAAGAGAAAATATGCATTTTAGATAGTCTGTAGACATTAGCTACTTTCATTGAATAATCTTTGAGACCCCATTCAAAGTGCAAGCCTACAGATGGTGGCTGGAACCCCTTGTGAAAGCAATCATCTCCTCTCCCCACAATTGCTCCTTTTCTGATTGGAGTGCTTAATTATACTGGTTTCCTGTCTTTAAATGTGTTCCAGGACTATAAAGATTATTTTTTCCCCATCACTTGCTTTTAACTGAAGTCAAGCAATTCAAAGAAAGCATCATCTTGCCTTAAATGTCTGACTATTTATCAAGAAAATATATACACAACTCCAATTTTCTTAGGGGTTCCTGTTTAGGAAACACAGGGATTAATTTCCTTGAGGTAGAGAATACACACTTGTTACATTATTGGTGTGATGGAAATTTGTGTTTTAACCACAAGGTGGCAGAATAAGCTAGGAGTTTCGTGCGCCCCTTCAAAAATCACTGGTTACTTCCGACATCGATCTAATTCAGATGAAAAATGCTATAATAGGTGTGTCTTCGTTAGCCTATATGCATGTGTAAGACAAGTGACTACATAAGTAACACTATCGAAAAAAGGTTAAAATGACTGAAGCCTCTTTCCTACCCTCAAGACAAATCCCACACAAAAGGTATTCTGAAGTTGATTTGTAGTGAATACTTATTTAGCTTCAAATAAACACTTTTAGCAGATGTTTTGAAAATGAAGTGGCCATATTTGTCACCACCCCCCACCCACACACACACTTCCTGCATTGTGAACCCCGAGACTTGTCCCATCCACGGTCTGCTCCTGAGATTAAGGGGAAGATGTGTGGGGAAGCACCTGGATGCTGGTTCCAGGATGCTACCTTGAATGTGCCTTGGATATCTGTGTCAGTAGAGAGAGGTGATGACCTTTCCCTCTTCTTCTATCCAACATTACATGGTTGGTTTACATAGATAGGTAAAATATATGCTTAACTGTATGCTATAATCCAAAGGAAGTAGGATTGTCATGTTAAGACAATTATTATGACTGTCAATATGGTCAAATATATGAAGTTAATAACAACAAAACAGATTCAGTATGTCATCTATTAGTATTATAATTTAGTGTATCTGTGGCTGTGCAACTCCAAAGAAATCATATTTGATAATTGTTTTGGTATAATAAATTCTGTATTTTAATAACTTACTGGTAATTGTATTGCTACAATGGAACCCAAACTTCTGAGGATTGCCTTCAAGACCCTTTGCTATCTGTTGTTTTTCTGCAATAGTCCCCTATTATTATCTAAACAGACCATGGTCTTTTATACCACTGTCTTTCCCAAGACTGTTACTTTTTTTTTTTTTTTTGGAATGTGCTCTCTGCCTCTGTTCCTGCAACTGGCAAGCTTCTATTTTTCTTTCAAGAAGTGATTGAGAGACCACCTCTCTGAAATCTATTCTTCTGAATTCTGCCTTGAAAGCAGAAGTAATCATCGCCTTGTCTGAAATCCTGGAGTCATCATTCCTGTATTCATCACTTTGATCACTGATTTCCACTTGCTTTTGTGCATTTCCATCCACCCAAGGAGAGGAACCTCATTTCATTACTTTTGTATCCTTGATACCTACTGGGGAGCTTTAAATGGAAAGGGAACTTAATAAACCCCTTTTGGAAGGAGGAAATAACACCAATAGATTCCTACGGTGCATATAGTAATGTATCGATACGTCATTATTTCTGTTTAAAGATAGCATTTATATTCAAAGATGATCGTGGTTTTAGAGTTTAAATTTAACTGATATATTTTATATTAAATTCAGAAAAAACTTCAAGTTATGTTTAATTGTAGAGCACGAACTATGTGACTATCAGTATTCAACTCCACTCATTGTCTGGGAGGTCATACCTATAAAAGGATTCAGCCTTGTAAAATTGGAACCTAAATAACATGTTTTTGAGGACTATTTCTCTTAAGGTAATTCCTTAATATTTGAATTAGACAAAGCATTTATGAAGTGCATGTTAAAGGTCTGTGTCAAGTGTGCTTTACAATCAGATGACAGTTATAATTATCTAATAAACAACAAGCTGATCTAGTTGTTTTAAAAACAAATTATCTGATCAGTATTGATGGGCTTAAAACAATAGAATCAGTTCCACCATTGTAAGAGGCTTCATAAACCACACACACACACACACACACACACACACACACAAATTAGTACATAGTGATACAGTTACACAATTCTCAATCCTTTAGTTAAAGAAACTACAACAGCATGCATATACTAAGATATCTATGTGAGGTAATGTATTTGTTAATTGGCTAGACTTAATCATTCCACATGCATATATACTTCAAAATAACAGGTTCTACATGATAAATATACACAATTTTATGCGTCAATTTTAACAAATAAATTTGAAAAAAAAATTGTTCACCAAAAAAGCCCACAAAAAATAGACTTTGCATTTTTCTTTCTTTTTTTTTTCTTTTTTTTTTTTTTTTTGAGAAGGAGTTTTGCTCTTGTTGTCCAGGCTTGAGTGCAGTGGCACACTCTCAGCTTACTGCAACCTCCGCCTCCTGGATTCAAGCTATTCTTCTGCCTCAGCCTCCCAAGTAGCTGGGATTACAGGCGCCCGCCACCACACCCAGCTAATTTTTTCTATTTTTAGTAGAGACGGGGTTTCACCATGTTGGTCAGGCTGGTCTTCAACTCCTGACTTCAGATGATCCACTCGCCTTGGCCTCCCAAAGTGCTGGGATTACAGGCATGAGCCACTGCGCTCGGCCTAGACTTTGCATTTTTCATGCAAAATGCATCTAAAAGAGAGACTACCAAGAAAATGATAGAACACTGATTTTGTGCAAACAGAAAATTATTCAGTATTGTTTCAGAATTATGTAGTAGACATGACTGCCCAGAAGAATTATGATTTTCATAAGCTTATGACTGTATTTATGGATATGTGGTGTGCTTATTTTAGATTTTGGGGGTGGAATTTATCATTATGAGAAAGTAATCTACCTCATGAACGGCATCAACTACTTGCATGAAAAAACATTTTGATGTTATGAAGGAAGATATACCTAAAGACGCATAATGGGATAGGAGTTTGGGACCAGCATAAAGAGTCTTCGTTAGAGAAAGTTCAAATGCTCCCACTATTCTCCTTCATTTGAAGTAAGTGTGTGTGTGTGTGTGTGACAGAGACAGAGACAGAGAGAACCCACTATTTAGAAATTTTTAATAATATAAATAAAATTATAATCATTAAATTTGAACTGTAAACATCATAGAATTTTAAAATTCCATTTAGACAGCATAGCATAAAATTTAATACTGTAAATATATAAAAATCTAAACCATCTCAAATGAGCCTTTCTTTAATTTTTGGTAAGCCTTAGATTAAGCATACCTAGAAAGAGTTAGTGATAGTTTCTACTTGAATCAGATAAAATACTATCATAAAATTGAAAAATCTGAATTTTTATATATGTATGTGCATATGTCTACAATTTGTTAAAGGTTAATTCTTTTCTATATTATACTTGATAAACATAATTATTCAAGTAACAATTCCAAGGGGCTTTCAGATTTTTAAAGCTAAGTATTGCATTTGTCTAAACAACTCCAAACTTATATTAACTGTGAAACAAAGAGAAGAAACTGGATTCTAAAGTAAACCATATTTAAATGAATTGATCAATGTATGTTTGTTTGTATCTCCCATGCCAGACTTGAATGGTCTTCAAAAACAGAGAAAATGACGTTCATATTGTATCATAATGCTTGATCATAAAGGTTGTATATTTCTAATTTTAATTGAATTGAAACAAAATTTGTTCCTCCAATGACAACAAGTTAGAAAGCTTTATTATTTCTCTGGTCCTAGAAATAAAATAGTTGAAAATTATATGTGTGTGTGTGTTTTTGTATACATATAAATATATACATAGACATACATATACATATATATAGAGAGAGAAACAGAGAGCCACAAAGACTAAGAGAAAAAGAGAAGTTTCAGACATATCTATTAAATACTTGGAAACCTGTCATAAAAATTCTCAAACTTGGAACAGTATACTTTCTTATGTTATATTCTCCCTTCCATTCCAATTTCTTTAATGAAAAAGATCCACATTATCACATTATTCTGTTTATCAAACAAAAAAATTGGAGAAAGCTATAATAAATGTAGAAATAGTTTATTAAAATGTCTACTAGAATAAGGTTATGGTTAATTTTTTAGTCTTATTACACTATATGTATAATGTCTGTATAATTACATATATATTTAATTATGTAATACATATATCTAATATATGTAAAATGGTTCTAATAAAATATTAAAATAATTTTTAAAACACTCATTGTACTGATTGTTATTGAAAATATTATGAGAAATAATAACAATTTCCAGCTCCTACCATACCAATATGATATTAATCTCTTATGTATGTTTTATGACAATTTTCTATGTGGATAATTTTATTTTACATGTATATTTTATCCATAATTTAAACATTTATTTTTTCATCAATTTATACTTCAGATATATATATATATATAAATATATATATATTTTTTTTGGTATGTGTTTAGTGTCTTTAGAACTTTACACTTTTTTTTTTTTTTTGAGGTGGAATCTCGCTCTGTCGCCCAGGCTGGAGTGCAGTGGTGTGATCTCGGCTCACTGCAACCTCCGCTTCCCGGGTTCAAGCAATTCTCCTGCCTCAGCCTCCTGAGTGGCTGGGATTACAGGCATGTGCCATCACACCCGGCTAAATTTTGTATTTTTAGTAGAGACGGAGTTTCGCCATATGTTGTTCAGGCTGGGTCTTGAACTCCTGATCTCCTCGTGTTCCGCCTGCCTCAGCCTCCCAAAGTGCTGGGATTACAGGCATGAGCCTCAGCGCCTGACCCCAAAACTCTACACTTATTTAAGGCTCTAATTATCTAAGTTAATTTTCTCTCTTAAAGATAAGAGTATGCAACTAATAATAAAATTGCCTTCAGATGTTTTGCATTAGACCCAATGAAATCTTAGAGATAATTTCCAAAGTACATTCATTAAAATTCAAGTCCCTTAGACAATTTCAAATGCCAGAAACTTAAACAGGGTAGCTAGTCTTATCTTCTCATAGGAAGAATTTATGTAATTGCAAAATGTTTTAAAGTATTTTGAATCTTATTGTTTCCTTAAGTAAAAAGAAATTATGAAATGTTTAAAGTTAACATTTTGCTCGTATATGTGTTGCAGAATGAAACTAACAAAATTGGAAATAAATATTCTTTATAGATTTTGCTACTGAGCAATAGGGCACAGGGAAAAGTTCGACATGGGTTCTAAAATCTGTCTCTGTTACTAGTTTTGTTACCACATGACAAGTACTTACATTAGGTAACAGATAGAGCTATGTCCTGAATTGAGTGCAATTATTCTTACCTTGTAGGGATTGTTAGCTTCAAAAAGAGTATGAGTAAATAAACAGCACAGTGCTTACCACAGAGCAAATATTTTTTTAAATGGCACCATGCATCATACATTTTCTGTGACCTGAATACATACGTCATTTGACTTCCATAATTCTGTGAAGAAACAAAAGTTCAGAGAGAATGGCTTATTTACATCTTGTAAAGGTGGATATAGGCTTTGAATCCAAGAATTTGTGAAGTTCACATCACTAACTTCTCTACAATTCATGAGAACTGAATTTTTGTCTAAGTATTCACTGATCCAGTGACTTAGCTTTTTCGACTTTTAAGGGCTTTAATTTGTAAAGCAGTAAGACTAAATTCTATAATCTTTTTGCAATTATGATTCTAAGAGACAAATAAATTTAGAAGATAAATAAAATCAGTTGTTAATAAAAATGTGTCAAACAAGAGAACATTTTTCCCTATTCTGTATTCTAACAAGTTGTCTAAATGGTAACAGAAATTTGAAGCCATTTAGTAATACAAATTAGGGTTTATCACTATTCCTATACAGATAAATCATATTTTTTCTGAATACACATGAGGCTTCCACGCAAAACTTACATGAAAGTTAATGACAATTATTTGAATAAATGAGCTTTATGGTTGTCTGGGAATATATTTCCAAACCAATGTGAGTAGATATTATGTTATTTAATTTTATTCAAAGAAACCCATTCAATAGGAAGCAGATTTTTCCAATAGAGGTAAAATGATATCAATAGCTCAATGTTTATTTGATCATTTGCTTTTTATTTCAATGTAAGATTTACTTTTCAAAAAAATTTTGGAAAGTCTACACTAATAATTAAAAAGAAAATTTGGTTAAAGTACTGTAAAATATGTTGTTATATTTTGATTCAGATGTGTTACTAGGATAACCCCAAATAATCTAGCACTAAATAATTTGCTAACTTTACTAATAAATGAAGTTCTTCAAATTCCTTTAAAAATCCTGCACATGTACCACCGAATCTAAAATAAAAGTTAAAAATAAAAGACAAGTGTTCAAATTTTCTATGGTTAATATTCTCTATACAGTGTCAGGATCTACAACACTACTTTAATTTATCTCTAGATAGAAAAAGAAAATTCAGACAGCTAAACTCAGCAAAAGTACTAGTGACATTTTTAGAAACATTAGCAAAAAAAAAAATCAGGTTTACTGTAATAGAACTCTGTTGTAAAGGAGCTCAGTGCAGATGAATTGAGTGGTATCTCTCCAAGTATACTGCCCATGCCAAAAGAAAACAAAGCAAAGCAAAGCAATAAAAAAGAGAACCATGTGACATGGACCGCTGAGTTAGTACTGTTTGAGTTCTCTCATTCAATTTGATTTGCTTACGTTTTCTTACCTCTAAAATAGAATTTGTGGGTTTGTTTTGCATCCAGTTGAAGTTCAGCAGGAAGGTCAGTGATGGGCTGGAATGGAGATGTAGCAGATATTGACACTTCCGTATGAAAAAAATAATCGGGCCCCTCTACAAGGTGTGTGTGAATACTGACTCTCAGTAACCAAATTGAGAAGTTATTTTACTGCCATTTTCTGAATGTGAGAGTTCAAATTTTGCTTTTGAAGTTTTTGCTTGATGATTTGGTAGAGAATTAAATTATATGGCTCTTTTCATCACCACATATGAATACACGTCCAATTACTTATATCTTAGAGCAGATTAATGAAGTGTAAAAAGCATTTTTGTCAATTATATTAAAACAAAGAAATGAATAGCAAAAATCAATTATGTGAAATCACAAAGCTCATTTTATTACTGTTTAGAAAGCAGAAATCATATTGACCTGACATCTCTTGCTCTTTCCTTTTCTTTTCTCCCTTGATTTACTTTGCAAAAAATGCTTTCTGGGTTATCATAAAACCCTTTGTTTTCATTACATTGCAATGAGATTTGTATCGGATGGAAATGTATTAACTCATTTTCCTGGCAATCTAAAACACCATTACATTTGCTTCATCTGCATTTTTCACTATTTGAAATACCTTAGGTAGATGGCAAAATAAATATGCATACACAAATATATGTGATTTTATCAAAATATTGCACATTGAAACCCTTCAATCTCACCACTGAGAATCTCTCGTCTTTAATGAGAATTTGAGACTCAAAGTTTAGTGCTTACTAGTGTCTGTGCAATATTGGAACCATGTCAAAAGTAAGTGTCTGTTGAAATAAACAGACTGTGACTTCTAGATCATTTCTTAGACCAAATGGCAAGGCTTAAAATGATTCTCATTCATAACCATGTAATTTTAAAACCTGTTAAAAGTAAGCAGTTTCACATGGTGCCTGATAGAATTTAATGTCTCTTGGAAATACGGTCAGCGATGCAGCTGAATTCCTCAACCACAGAAATTTGGGGAAATATCTCAATATCATAAAGAACAAACAATTCATCTTTCTAGAAGATTCCGTGTTTAAAGACAATATATGATAAGCCTTCTTGACACATTATTGCATCTATAGACACATAATGCCTCTATTCTGCATAATTAAATGCATAAAATTATTTTTACAGCATGTACTTGAAGTCAATGACAGTAATCTCAATTTTGCAATACTTTTTGTTAGTTTATAGACAATGCCTTGTAAGACTTTTATTTACTGCTTAATTAACATTCCATAGTCTCTACTAGTTACAAACAATAATGTCTTGCCATAACAATGGTTTGAAAAAAGTTACTTCTTATTAAGGATGTTATTTTAAACAAGAAAAATTCAGGCCAGGTACAGTGGCTCATGCCTGTAATCCCAGCATTTTCTGAGGCTGAGGGTGGCAGATTGTTGAGCCCAGAATTTCCAGGCTAGCCTAGGTAGCATGGCAAGTCCCTGTCTCTAAAAAATTAAACAAAAAAAATTAGCTAGGCCTTTAATGGTGCATCCCAGTAGTCCCAGCTATTGGGGAGGCTGAGATGGCAGAATCCTTTGAGTCCTGGAGGCCTTGTCTGGATCGTGCCACTGCACTCCAGCCTGGGCGACAGAGTGAGACCCTGTCTCAAACAAACAAACAACAACAATAAAAAAAAGAATTCAAGAATTCAAAGATTTGATTAGGTTTTAAGTTATTAAGTAAAATAAGGGTTATTTGAGCACAAGCACTGCAACACTGTGACAGCAGATCTGATAACAGAGACAGCTAATAAGTGACAAACAGGTGGGTAGTGGTAGTGTACACACACTGGAATAAGGGACGATTCACAATTTTAGACTTCTGAAGTATTTATTTCTGGAATTTTCCATTTAATATTCTCAAACCACTGTTGACTGCAGGTAAGATATACAGAGGGGACTACTGTATGGAACCAAAATATGTAAATTGAAAAACAGCCTTCAACATTTCTATGAAATCAGAACAAAGTAGTGAAAATGTATTGTTTAATTAGAATGTAATAAATAAATGTATTAAAATATTTTGATATCTAACTTAAAAAATGGATCCACAGGCACCTGTTTCTTTGTATTCATAGAACAAATTCTGTTGTTAACCTTTTTAAGGTAAAATAGTTAAGCGCATGATATGGCTACTTGGAGAACCTTTCCTTCCTCACCAACCTAATAGGAGAGATGTCTTTGACAATCAAAAGTTAAAACTCTCACGTTATAATTTGCTTTAAAATAATAGCAAAAATAACATAATAACACATAATAAAACATTTAACAAAAATAATATAGTAATCTTCATAATCACATACTTTTTCTAAAACAGAACTATTTTAATATTACATTTTATTTCTGCCAAAGCGCTCATAACAGTGACACTTTTTTGGTTCTAATTTTATACTTTCTCCCTGGTGATTGCATCAATAGGTATGGCATGAGGTACCACCGACAATGACCCTCAAATATATATCATCAGCCAATAACTCTCTACTGAGTTCGAGAGAGATTTTTTTTCCTGTCTGCCAGTTTGACATTACTACCTGGATTTGACATTCAGAACTCAACAAAGCCAAAATGAAACTCAAGATCTGTCAAAATGTACATTGAGAGAAAGGCATTGCTATCTATCCTGTAATACAGGTAGATTCCTTTAAGTCATATTAGCTCTTCCTTGATCTTCGCATTCCATATTCAACCATAACCAAGTCTGCTCAATTGTGCCTACTAATCCCTTTCAAATCTATCCATTGTTAAAAAACCTAGCCATGGCTACTCTTGTCAAAATTGCTCAGTGGCTATCGCTTCCTAGCTGACTTGGCCTCTACTCTACCCCACTAAGAGTAGCCTGCATGATGTTTTTGAATTACAAATATTTAATTCACCCACACCTTGTAACCACACACACACACACACACACACACACACACACACACACACACACACACATCCTTCCCTGGATTCCCAGTGTTCTTAGAATAAAGATGGAAGTCCCTTAAATGACTTACTTATAAGACCCTGCATGATCTGTCCCCAGTTATTCTCCAGAGTCATCTTGCGGGACGTGACCCCTTGCTCTGTGCTGGATACATCATTCTTCCTCCAGCTAAGTATTTTCTGTGTGTGTTTCTTCCTTTGCCTGGACATTTTTTCCACCAGCACTCACACACTATTTTTCTCATAAGTCAGACTTCATTTCTCCTGGAAACCCTTCCTTGAAATCTTTGACTTGGTTGGTAGCTACTGTTTTTCACCTGCATATCACCTGACACTTGCCTCCGTAGTATGTATCATGCCTCCATTTGAATCTATTTGAGTGATTTGTTGATTAATTACTATTTATTTATATGTCCTAAATTCCTTAAAACAGCCATAGTAGGTGCTCAATAAATATACTGAGCACCTACTAATTTATATTAATAAATTAATAATATATTACTCAGCAGCTATGTAAATATTTGGCACATAACATTACATTACATTGGCCAGGCATGGCGGCTCAGGCCTGTAATCCCCAGCACTTTGGGAGGCCGAGGTGGGTGGATCACTTGAGGTCGGATTTCAAGACCAGGGTGGGCAACATGTCAAAACCCCATCTCTACTAAAAATACAAACAATTAACCAGGCTTGGTGGTGTGCACCTGTAATCCCAGCTACTCGGTATGCTGAGGAATGAAAAAAATTGGTTGAGCCTGGGAGGTGGAGGTTCAAATAACGTAAACTTTTTTCTGTCTTAATATTTAAATATACACATGGCTTGAATTTTAAGGTAGTATACTAGAAACGCTGGCAAAAATAGCAAATTGATACTTAAACTCTGTTTCACGTTTTTCACAGGCATTAATAATCTCTATGCCTATCTCAGTAGCCTAGCAGAATGAGACACTCGGTGTTGATTCATATGCAAACACATTTCTTAAATTTGGTATTTGCTTTAAGGATGACACATTGCTTAAGGAATATCAAACCAACTCCAAGCATGAAGTCCGAATCATAGTATGAATTTAAAAGCATAAATCAAAATTATTACCAGGAAAGACCTCTGTAATTAGGAGATAAATTGTAGAGATAGTAGGAACAGGAGAATTAAGAGAGAGTAGAGAGTTTAGAATTTGGGAATACGATCTGTTTGAGAGAGAATTTGAGCTATTTCCTGAAACATCAAGTTGCTTGACTGGTGTGGATCATTTAGTCAAGGTAAATGGTATGTAAAGAGCAGGTCTGACCAGAGCAAAGGTAAGGCGATGATGGTTAACTCTGAAAGCAAGTTTGAGTAATGTAATTTGACCTAGTCCTAGACATGTTGAACATTTTTCAGGGATTTTTGATTTGGATAGCACAAATTAGATGTGGAAGTGACTTACATGAGGCTATTTCAGTATCACTAAGTCCACGTAAAGTGACACTGCTTATAGTTTGTCAGTAGGAATAAAAAGAAGAAAATAAAGGGAAGAGATTAGAATCAATAGGAGAAAGAACTGACACTGAATTCTACCTTAGCACACAAGTTGACCCAAAGTTTTATGATGTTTATATTTTTCTAAACATAGAAGGAAAATAAATTTAAATTCAATTATGAATGTATTATAAAATGACAAGGTATGCCATCACTAGAAAAATAAGTCAAAAATGTAGTTAAATAGGTCAGGCGTGGATGTGCTATTGAATATAAAATAGTCAATCTGAATCCAGAATTTCTCAAACTATAGAACTGGTACAGAGGAAGAGCAACAGGCAACACATATTTAAACTACTGATCTTTTCTCACATATTATTAAAAAAATCAAATACAAATGCACATCTCTTATCTTCTCTGAATCTTGAATCACAGGAATCCCATTTGCTATTGTCAAAAAGCAAACAAACAAACTTGGAGGTTTTAAACAATCTAGGGATTCAGAGATAGAGCGAGGGAAGCAAATATCAGGAGCAATTCAGACAAGAGCTGGCTTCCAAACAGAGAGGCCTCCTAGTTTTCCCTGACTCCAGAAGCCATCTCACTTCACATCCTACACTGCGAGCAATTCCAGCATGTATGGTTTCACTTGGATTAATCCTTCAACACTGAATCATGTTTAGGGGACTGTCAATTAGGCATTATATGTAATAGTTAAATTAATCATCTGCTTTAAAAAAAAGTATCTTGTAATTAAGTACCTTGGAGAAGAATTGATCCTTTAAACCATTAAAAAGGGTGGAGACGAATTTTATTGTATTACAGAATTTTTCTTGGTTCTTTAGTAGGCTTGAGCCCTGGAGGGAGAATAGGGAGAGGGCACTTTTATAATATGGAGGCTGCAGAAAAGGGAAGGGAATACAGTATAAACTCTATGATTTAGATCTTTGAGGACTACACTAATGGTTTCTCCTGGTGAATACCTAAAATATTTTTTACATCATCCATTGCATCATTAAGTAGTACCTAGTATTTTCTTTTGATTTACTATGTAAAATTATTTTTAAACATTTGTCTCATGATTATTTCACTTTCTACAGAACTTCTAAATCAATATGATGACCTGATGGGATATGAATATTTAGTTTTTTCTTTCTTTAAGTATGTTCCTCTTATAGTTAGCCAATAGCTGAAGTGACATCAAATTAGTAGTAAATATTTAACTTTATTTACTAGACTAATATTCTAATGACTTCCTTTTATCAAACTGCTATAGGTGATTGGAAATGTGATACTTTTGTGGGCTCTAGAAAGATGAGGATCAGGATTGGGTCAATTCTGAACTTCCTTTCTGCCCTTTAAGTGCATAAAATGATTCTGAAAATAGAGAACACCCTCAGTATATGCAAACTTAATTGAACTAAATGTTTTTGCCTCTGCCCCTAATCATTAATATATTTTAATCGATTTACAAGCTCTTTTGAAATGCAGAAAAGTGTTTTAAGTATTAGGACTGTACTGTGTTTACTATCTTCTATCCAAGCTTCAAATCAATGTGTAATAGAGGCTTTGCAATACTGATAGTTTTTTAGTGGTAAGCAGAAAGATGTCCATATCCCAATTCCTGGAAATTGTGAAGATATTTCCTTACAGGGCAGAAGAGAATTAATGTAGCAGATGAAATTAAGCTTATTAATCAGCTGAATCTATTATAGGGAAATTGTCCTGGATAACTAAGGTTAGTCCAGTGTGCTCACGAGGGTCCTTAAATGCAGAAGAGGAAAGCAGATGAGTGAGCAGCAGAGTGACGTGAGAAAGACTCTAATAGGTATTGTTGGATTTGAAGATGATAAGTAGCCACTAGTACCTAGGAAGACTCTAGATGCTGGGGAAGGCAAAAAAAAAAAAAAAAAAAAAAAAAAAAATCAATTCTTCACCAGAGCATCCAGAAAAGAAAAACAGTCCTGCTGACACCTTGATTTTGGCCTGTCGAGAGTTATTTTAGAATTATGACCTACGTGACTTAAATATACTTGTGGTTTTAAGTCACTAAATCTGTGATGATTTTATACTACTGAAATAGAAAACGAATATGCGACCATTTCTATGTAGAGAGCATAGTTGTCGCTGTCTAGCCTAAATTTGTTAATGTCTTTCCTAGTTTCTCTCTGGTTATTAGTTTCATGGTTCTAGAAGAAACTGTTCCATTTCTTAGCTAACATCATGAAAGTCAAGACCTTCTGAGTATATTGTTAGATTCAATTCTCAGACAAAGCCTGAAAATCTCTGTAACGCTGTTTTAAAGAATGGGTGAATATATGTTACTTCCTGTTGCTTTCTCCAAGGTAAGAAATCTTAATCATTTCTTTTATACCAATGCTTTCCTTTTGGGTGAGTTTCAAAAGAACTAAATGTATAGCACATTCAAGGTTCAGTCCTCAGCCTCCGGGGCTGTTGTTCCCTCATCAAACTGCCAATCCATCTATTGGCAGATTTATTAAGGCTATTTTAAAAATTAAGCCTCCTAGATTTCTTGTCTCCAAATAGAATTTGAATCTGATCCTGCAGGCACTCACCTGACCTCCCCTTGAACCTCTATCCAGGGCTTCTTATTCTCCCTGCGTTTGACTTCTTGGGTGACGCATACTAACGACTGCAGCTTTACCTCTGACACTGGCTTAGTCAGTTCTCTGCTTAGTTTGATGTTTGCAAATCATGATCCACTGCAGTGCTTGTCTGTGCTTTCCATAGTTTAATGTTAAGTCATCTTTTATACGATCTCTCCTAGAAAACAATTTGTAGGACTAATCCCCAAATGCCTTATTTTTTTTTAGTTCACTATTTTTCATAATTAAGAAACAGTTACAGAAGAATTATCCCGAGTCTTCAATTCTGATTCAAAAGAGAAATATTCCCTTTCAGCAACAAATCTTCTGGGGATACAGCGGGAATCTAATTCGTATCCATTTAGAAACACTAGGATGTTCACACACATGAATTGGGACACATTTTTTATAAGTCCAAAAAGACACATTATTGTAGAGCCTATGTCAGATTTTCCACAACACTCTGCAGATGTCCCTCCTCTAAATGTGCCTGTAACTAATGCACCACTGACAATTAGGACACCATTTTTTAGCATGAGCTACTGAGTTCATGAGAAGAAAGGGAAGTGTGGTACATTTTCCTCTCAAAGTTTATGTTAAAGTAATGAAAATGTGGTAGGCACTGCTAGTGCCCTATGTAAGAATCATGATCCACTCCTTTCTTGGTGACAGAGGTTGTCTGCAATAACAAAGATAGGAATTTTCAACTACTTTCTTTTCTGCTGTTATTTTGGCAGCAAAGTTATGAGCATGATGTCAATCCTAACCAATGGGATTTTAGGAAAGGTGTGTTGGACACTTCTCAGAAATGTATTTTTTTTATGTAATAAAATAGATTGAGGAGATTTACTCCCTGCCATTTCTTACATGAATGTTGACATGCTAGGATGTGACGACGAGCTGTGGCAAAAATCTTTGACCATCAAAGAAAGTTACGAGACCAGAGAAGCAGTCACTCACACCCTTGATTTCCTCTTCTCTCGATCCCATTCCTTTTACCAATATGAGGATTTTCTTCAAGAGGTTTTTTTTTGTTTGTTTGTTTTTGGTCTATATTTGTATGCATTTATTGCACATGCACAAATAATTTTTAATGCACTGAGATTAAATAAATATCTGCCTTTCCCTGGATCTATGCCTGGATCTTCCTATTAACAATACATCTTGGAGATCTATCATAACAAACACAAAAAACACCTTTTAAACCGCTACATAATATCTCTAAATAATTTGTACAGGTTTATAGATGCAGCAAAATAGGTGAGAATTTAATTTTTCTGAGGATTGCTCTGAAATGCTCTTCACATTTCAGACTATATATATACATATATATATCCCATATATCCCAGATATCTTTCCAAATTTATTAGTTTATATATACACACAAATACACACCTATATACACAGCCAAAGACACAAATGCATACACACATGATCACATATACATGCAAATAGTGATCTAGCTGATTCCAAGTCCTATTTGTGTATTTGTTCATTCCAGTGTATCATGCACTGTCGCCTTATGAAATGTTTCTGGAAGAGCAAATTATATTCCATCGCTTTCTGTCAATAGATTGATAATTTCTGCATTTCTTCAAGAAAATAAATTAGAAAATAGCTTGTAACATTTCATTTAAAATTTCTATTGGGATTTCAATTTGGATCTGATCAAATTTATGTATTAATTTGATTGCACACAGATGTTTAGAAGAATTTTTCAAAGCATTTGTTGTAAAATAATAATAGCCTGCTAACTAATCAAGTACAGTAAAAGTTTATATCTATATTAGTGATATTCATGAAACAATATCAATAATCAACAAATTTGATATAATTTTTTTCTCAGTTGCTGCAAATAATGAATCTTTGATGCCATCTGAAGACACTTAAAATTCTATGATAAAACTGTAGACTAGTGGAAAAAGTATAGGACATAAGGTCAAAATACTTGCTCCAAAATTTGACTTTGCTCTTACCTCCTTTGAGATCTCAGATAACATTCTTAAAGTCTGTGTCACTTTTTTCTTCCAATGTGTAGTAAAGAAGACTATTTCTAATTTTACAGGGTTGCTATGGGATCTAGTGAATCTATTTAAGCATTTTGGCATTTAAGTAAGCATTCAATAAACAAACCGGCATGTGTACCCTTTAACTTATACTCACAGTAAAAGAAACAATATTTTTTTTTAAGAGGAAAACCTAGACATTTGCCTTAGTGGTCTTCATTTATCTTTCCTTCTTTTTTCCTTTTTTTATTTTTTTTTTGACTCAACACTTTTATTTCCAAAGATACAGAGAACCTGAGAGATTAAGTGATTTTGGAAAATGACAAATATAGTTAGTGGTATAGCTGGAACTTGAACTCTAGCTTCTAGGGGAAGAAGGTTGTCTTGGGTTAGATTCCTCCAAAAACAGATCCTGAGCGAAAGATTTGGGAACAAATCGTTTATTTGGAAGGGGAACTCACAAGGCATTATGAGGGCATGGGAACGTGCAGGAAGTTACCCTGTGGATATCTGGAGCTCAGTCTTGCTGGGGAATCTCTGAGAGACTGTGGATAACTGAAATGTCCCACTATGGGACAAAGATTCTATGGAATTTCTCTATAAACTTTTACTCCCCATTGGCTATGGGCAGCTCTGTCGGGACTAATTCCACTTCCTGTCCATCTTCAAAATGGCTGAAATATTTCTGCACCAGAAATGCCCTCAGAGAGAAGCCATGGGTGGGTGTACATCAAGCTCGTCCAATCCACGACCTAGGAATTAACACAGGAACAGAAAACCAAACACTGCATGTTCTCACTCGTAAGTGGGAGGTGAACAATGAGAACACGAGGACATAGGGAGGGGAACATCACACACGGGGTCCTGTTGGGGGAGTGGGGAGAGGGGAGGGAGAGCATCAGGAGAAACAGCTAATGCATGTGGGGCTTAAAACCAGGTGATGGGTTGACAGGTGCAGCAAACCACCATGGCACACGTAAGCTATGTAACAAACCTACATGTTCTGCACGTGTATCCTGAACTTAAAGTAAAAAATAAAAATAAAAAAACACAAAAAAATACACAAACACTGATAGCTGATGAACTGAAAAAAATAATTGCAAAAATGTTTTAAGAAAGTTTACAAATTTGTGTTGGGCCACTTTCGAAGCCATCCTGGGTCGTCGATTGGACAAGCTTCATGTATCTTTCTTTTTATCTAAATATAGCCAATTTATTAATTCTACAAACTCTCACCAGAACCAAAACTACGAATAATAGCCCGACATTACATATGCTATATAATTTTAGGTAACATTATTACATGTGTGGCTGCTAGCCTTTGGATTTTGGATATGTAACACTTTTGTGTCTGAAGAGTTAATACAGATTTAATGTATCTTTCCAATCATGAGAGAGAAGTAGCACAATGACCAATATTGTATAGTTCATTTTCCAAGAGATACCCTTCCTTTGAGGATGTTAAATGTTTAAGGCAATGAAAAAATACTTAACAAAAAAACAGTACAAGGAGATTTTAAAAAACAGTATCTTATTTGGTAGTGCTAATAAAATCCCCAGAGATTTTATTTAGTTGTAAATGTTGGGCATATTATTATTGATACTATCACAAAAATGAATGCCCCAAATATTGGGTTGTGTCAGCTGTGCTTACTTAGTCACTTGCCTCTCAGCTACTCAAATGTTTACTGTTGGTTACCTGCAACCGAAAAGGTACATGGCAGACCCTGGCACATCAACAATAGCAAGGCCACCCATGGTATTACTAAATGTTTATTTGATAGCTTTCTAGGATCTGTCTTTTCAAACTGGAGACATTTATATGATTGTTTTCTATATTTTCCTACTGCTGTTTGGTTACAATGTTGCATTGTTTTAGAAATTGTTATTCCTAGTGCTAAAAAATCTTGCATCTCTTAAATGCCTAAACCTTATTAATAATGATTCCTTTTAGAGTTGTATGTAAATGTCATGTTAAATTTTATTTTTTGTAATCACTTTAATCAGAAACAAGGGAATTAGCCAGCTGTTTGGAACTCATGTTAAGATACAATTAAACATCTGATTGAATTTCCGTGCATAGCAAATAGCAGAGGCTAGAGTTTGTACAGAAAATAGACCACACTCAGCAGAAAAAAATAAGGTCCTACAAGATGACAATTGTGAGGGTGATACTGAGGGGTTTGTTCCAATATTTTGTATCTGTCATAACTTCCCCCAAAAAGAAAATCCCATAGGTTCCCAAATAACTTAGCATAACTTGTAAATCATGGCAAACAAATTCCTTATCAATTGAAACATTACTTTAAGCCTGTCAATATATTCATGCAATCTGTTCAAAGGAGAAGTGCACATTTAATACATTTTACAAGCTGGAATTATCAGATAATTTGTTATGGGATACTCCTTAATACTTCCTGCCCTTTAGGGTAGATAAAAAGGAACATGCACATAAACGTTATTTGAAAATAAGTTTAAGTTACACAAATGCAACATGGAAGCACACACGTAAGTTGTTTTACAAAAGAAATGTGTGTTTTAAAAAAGACTTTTGGGTAAATAGGCTATATCCAGAATAATTATGAAATGACTTATATAACTTTAGATCTTTTGCTATACAAATATGCCTCAATATTATTTTCATTTTCAATTATATATATTGAAACATGCATATGAAGAAATGAAAAATTAAAACTTCATTTTAATATTATAGTACTAGTATTAAGTCTTTGCTTAAGTGACATTATACTCTGAAAAGTCAAGGGTGTTTATTCAAATCTCTTGCAGTTTAGAAAAACAATTAAAAACTTTCAATCTTTGAACTTTATATTAGAATTTGTGTAGAGTATCACACTGTTAATCGTTTTCATCCAACATTACAGAGTGGACAATTTTTCATGCTTAAGAAGAAGATAAAAATCCTCCATAACACATATGCCCAATCATGCAGTGAAATTTTATTTCCTGGACTTCTTCAGCATAAAAATTGTCTATTAATCATTATGTTGATTTTATGATGTAGACTATTGCCCAGAGGAATTCTGCAGTGATCCAAAGATTAATTTTATATGTGACCCCCAAGTTGGACTTGAATCTAGACTTTGAAAATTATAATAATTCACTTACTAATATGATTATTTTTCATAATTCCTTGGAGGTTACAGTGATTCTGGTATATTGGTTAACATTGTTTGATAAGTTGCAGAAATGCTACATTTCAGGGCATTGAAATTTGGCACATTATAACAAGAATTTTCAAAGTCTAATATTACACCATTAGAAAAGGTTATTGTAATAGAGCAGTTCAAAAAGTTCCTATCTTACATTTGCATCATATAAGATCATGGAACCAAGAGTTCAACAGTACTCGGCAAAAAATATGATTTTGTTTCGAGCCCAGAATATAGAAGGACATTTATAGTCACCAATTATGAGTTCAAAAGGTTGTCCAAAGACTGTCTTGTAGGTTCAGTTGATAAAATCCCCTGTACACATTAAGTGAAATTATCTTTTAGTTTTATAGGTTACATTCAATCCAAACTAATGGTGAATGTTTTGCAGGGTTTTGGCATTTTCTAACTCTCTGACTGTGTAATTATATCCAATCCTATTAATATGCTTTCAACATCCGCTCATAACCCAAGCTCCAACTCCACTCCCCATCACGAATCTCATGTTCTACCGATAATAATCTACTCTGTTTCATAAACAACACATGCATTTCAGACTTTCCTTCTGATGATCTCTTTCCTGATATGCTTTTAACGTCTGAGTTCTTCATTCCCAGTTCAACAAACTCAACTGTCCGATTTCACTTTTATCTGCTTTGAGAAATGTGATCTGAAACTAGGTTTCTTCTTTAATCTGTTCCCACAACATTTTGAAGTTATTTCATTATCTTTTAAATTATACTTTTGTGTGCACCTCTATGCTCTCATTAGGTGGAGACTACTTAAGGCCACGAAGATTGTCATGTCTACGTAATATTTTTTACATCCTGTGTATAATCTTAGATTTTAAAAATATTTGAGCAAATACTACCACAAGTATTCAACACATAATTATTGCATTTTGCAAAATAATGCACATGAAATTTCTACTACTTTTTTTAGACTTAATAGATGAGATGAAGTCTTATTTGAGTAAATTTCTATTAAGTAATGTTATTATTTTTAACCTCAATATCCTGGATGGAATGAAATTCTAAAAGTGTTAACTTCATACTGATTATAAAAACATATAGGTAACCATATGCATATTGGTCTCATGTAAATCAAAGTTTACGTTTGGAAATTGTACTAAATCTAAAAATGCATCAGCAACACCAGTTACAGAAAACAATCACGTTAATCCACACTCATTCACCCACACTTCAACATCTGGTTCATAGGATTATTGAATTTTTCTTATAATTTAAGTGACGTGACAGGCCAATTCATGCCACTGATTTGACGTTGTTTCTGCTACTGACTTTTATTGAAATTACCCACAACAGCCAGTGTTTTGACACTGTATTAACATGCCCCCCTCCCAGCGGTGTGTTTGGCACAGCACAGGGACAGAAATTCAGAGGGATTTTAGAGAAGGGAATGAGGCTAGAAGCACAGTCTATCACAATTCCAAGAGAGAGACAGTATTTCTTTAAGGACAGAAATATGGTTGCAGTTGCATATATGCATATAAAATATTCCTCCCTTCTTAAGGTAACTTGTCAAATTTTAAAAGTAAAGTTGAAAACTCCACCATAATATTTTGTTAAAATCTGTCAACTTTCTGTGGCCCTACCCAAAATTTTAGTTGTGCTTTCTACAGCTGAATTGTATCTTTATATGTGACATCTATAAGATAGTTATAAGATATAGGCCATCAACTTAAATATTACACACACATATGTGTGTGTGTCTATATATGTGTGTGTATATGTATATACATATATGTGTATATATATGTGTGTGTGTGTGTGTGTATATATATATATATGGAGAGAGAGAGAGAAAGAGAGAGAGAGGTAATATAGTAGTTCAAAATGTTCCTTACATTTGCATCATGTAAGATCATTATATATATAGTAAATATATATAGTGTATATAATTTAACCAAAACGATGATTTTCAGTGGTTGGATTTATAAATTACATTTTACTCTAATAGAATTACTAGGGACATTAATCAACTAGGTCATCAACTCTGATTTTACAGGCTTTGCTCTTTAGTTAAATTAGATCATCCACTGGTGAGGAATAATATTTTTTCACAGCCATTGGGGCAAACCTGAAAATATAATGATCTTTCATCTCCAAAGGACTGTCAGTAGCAATTAACAGGATTTATTATTAAAATGTCTAAAATCACAGACTCTAATTTTCTGCTTCAGTGTATGAATCTGTACCATTATATTTGCTAAGAAAATCTACATAATTTCCAAGTTTAAAGTACACATGAACTTCAAGTGTTTATTCTCTATTATGGCAAATGTACAATCACATTTTTTGTAATATGTTTTTCCAGGTTGTAAAATTATGGCAAGAAAAAGTATAATTGTCACTTTCTAAATAAAGTTATTTTTTCAGAAATGCATTAGAAAAACTGACATATTTTATTTTTAAGCTAACTTTAGCTAATTAGCCTTAAAGAAACTCAAGCTTCAGCTACATCTTCAATTCATAATATATATTCAAAGGTTTGTAGCAGATTCACATTTTAAAAATAAATAACAGTAGTAATAGAAATGCATGATTTTGATTTAAAATTAAAATACCTTCCTAGCAATTAAATGGAATGTCTCATTTAATCCTCAGGAAACTGGTATTATTTGCATTTAATGAATGTGATAACTGAGATTTAAAGTGATTGAGTCTGTAATCACTCAGCTAGTAAGCGGTTGAGCCAAGAGTTACAGGTTGATCTACTGAATTCCATAACTCGGTTCCTTTCCTACTTCTTTATTTTTTAGTTGTCAGGAAGGTGTGTGATTTGCTCTTTAAGGTAGTAATATCTGCCACATTATTAGCATAAATTTCCCTTTAATATAGCAATTCATTTTAATTAACAAAATTTCTTTAAACATAATGGAATTTCACAAGAATATCACATTTTATTATAAAATATAACACTTCATAATGATTGTATATGACAAGGACATAAAATGGGATTTCAAAGTTTTTAATATTATTTGATTAAAATATGTGCATTTATCTCATACAGTGAACTGAATAATGTCTGACTTTCTTGGAAAAGCATTTGTTCATCACACATGCAAGAGGGAGAGAAGCTATTCATTAGCTGTCATCCTCCCAAGTAATTATGAACTACAGAACACGCTTGGAATCACTTTGGGTAATATTTTTGGAAGGGAAAAATAGACAAATGTGTTTGTAATAGCTAAGCAATTGTAAAGGGTAAGATTCCAGATTCGCTTTTTTCAAAGCTCTCGGTTTGGTCTTAGAAACTGACATTTTTCTTGTTCTGCATAATCTATGGCATTAAACCAGACATACTCTTCCTTTCAAGTTGATTTGTGTTGCCTTGCACAGGGGTATGAAATTACTATGGGGTACCTCCAGCCCTTGGTTGCCTGGGAGAATAAAATTGGTAAAGAGATAGTGCATCACTAGAGAGCCCAGTGGAAAGAAAGCACAGTGCAAAATCACTGATTATACCTGTTAAACGGATCATCCGAGCAGCATATAAAATTTTCTCATATTTTTAACATGTCACTAAATTGATTTACGATTAATGCTGGGTGAATAGTTCAGAATAATAAATCTGAACTTAATCCATACAAAAGCATACATACATTTTTTTCCTCCAACAGAGGCAAGCCCTTTTTATTAGCTGTATTCAGATCTCACTTGTGAAATCCTTCACTCTAAACAACTTACAATTCAAAGAGAGAATTCATCTAGCTCTTACTATATTCATTGGCAGGCCCCATGAGATTTTCTAAATGCATTTGTAGAAATACTCTGCAATGCAAGGTACTTATGTGTATGCAAATGTGTGGTATCCTATACAGTTTCATCACCTAGTTCCTCTGTACATTTCTTGTGTTTCCTTTTAAGCTTAATGAAAGCAGAAATAAGCAAAAATGTTTAGACTAAACAAAAAATGAGGAATGATTTCAGAAAGCATGGTAATTTCACACCATAAAAGTGACACCCTGGGGTACAGGCTGCATTGAAGGATTTTTAATACAGTACAATACAGTATTCAACTGAGTTTTCATTAGGCTTATCCAACAGAAGACTGAAAAAAGAAAACAAAGATTTTTCATATTTAATATAAAGCCTTTTTTCTTTAGCCCACTTAAAGGCTATTTTTAAGTCAAGAGCATATAAAGAGATGTTTTCATTATTAGATTATCTTTCAGGGCCGCTAATCTACATTAATATATATATTTTCTAGGATAAATATTTTATATCTCACATTATGGTTTTAATTTTTATAATAACATTTTTTCTTTTTATGTTTCTAATCATTAATTTCCATGAAATCTGAATATTTACACTTAAAATTTAATATATCAGCCACAGTTTCTGATTACTGAAATTTAGATAACTTTTAAACTTTCATGTATATTAAATTGTCTTCAAAACTGATTTGAAACTAACTAGATAAAGTGTTTTCAAATAACAATATATTCTAACTTTGAATGACATTGCAGATATTAATACCAGAATAGTGGCGGGCATATTCACAAAATGATTGTACCTGTGCTGGAAAATTTTTGTAATATTATCGATTGTTTATATTGGGTAGAAATGATAGGATATAGGTTTATAAAAATTTTTGTATATATATTTTTCTGATTAAAAGTCTTCCTAATGAACATTTTCAAGTTTGCTGAAATTTAAACATTAAAAAAGTCTTAGATATTGCAAATTGCATTTTCTTTATCAGAAGACATGCATCTACATAACCATCTGTATTAAGGTACAGAATGAACATTAAGGTAGGAATCATGGCCTAATTTATTAGGCTTGGAAATTGTATTGTTATTTGACATGAACTTAAGGTTTCTTTTTTCTCTAAAAATGATAAAATATCCATCCAACTTAACTAACAGGTTTTTCTGAAACACAAAGGAAACTCAAGGAGATGAAATAATACATGTTCATTCATTTTCTAACCTCTAAAATGCTATTTGATGATGATTTCTTAGAAATTGATATTTAATATTTTTTTACCTTACATAGATACTTAAATAGTATCCCTGTAAAAAATGGATAGAATTAAAAAAAGAAAAAAACAGTGTTACTCAATGAGCTGCGTATGATCAGAAGATTAAATAAACTGCAGAGTTCCAAGGAAATTGCATGTGGACACATCGTGAATTCACTGCTACATCGATGAAGGCAATAGCAACTGAAAAAAAGTGATGGATGAGGAGAAAAGTATTCATCAAATAAAAGTCACGTCCTGAAAACCACATCCACATACTCTCCCAGTCTATAACCACCTTCTCAATCACTAAAGCAGACAGTGTGAGAATACCATTTTCCATTTACTTAGAAATGAATGGTTTGTATAGTATAGACACTAAATAGACAGTCCCTGCATTTCGACATGACCATTCTTGCTAACCTTGCCAGAAGGTGACACAGTGGCTTGAATCCCAACTCAGCCACTTACTGATTCTATGATATCTTCCTGCACAAATTTCTTCATCTGTGAAATGGAAGTTTTATCTTGGGAAATAACCCTAATGAGTTTTAAGTCCAATGCTTTGCAGTATTAAATATGTGATAATTATTTTTAAAAATATTTAGTAAATTCACAGATAAAGAGTGGAGAAATAGGCCTGCATTACAAAATTACAAGATTCGAGATGGTAGGTAGGTTTTTTCTTTATTTTAGTAGCAATTATACAGCTGATGCTGATATTAAAATGTGGAGTATCTCTTTACTTTTAGAAAAGATTGTAATTCATTAAATCAAAGCAGAGTCTGGTAATAAAGTCTAAATAATGTTTGCATGGGTGGCCCAGGAGGGTTTAGAGTTAAGCATAAGATAGAAACATCCTAGGATTGTATGCAGTTGATTCTTGATGAACATGGGTTTGAATTGCATGGGTCCACTTATTCACAGAGTTTCTTCCACCTTTGCCATCCTTGAGAGAGCAAGACCAACACCCCCTTTTTCTCTTCCTCCTGGCCCTCTTCAGTATGAATATCATGAGGATGGAGACCTTTATTATGATCCACTTCCACTTAATGTATAGTAAATATTTTTCTTATAACTTTCTTAATAGTAATGTATGTATAATACATACATTAATATTAATAGTAATAGTAATTTAATGTATAGTAAATATTTTTCTCATGACTTTCTTTCCTCTAGCTTACGTTATTGCAAAAATACAGCATATAATACATATAATATACAAAATATGTGTTAAGTTGACTGTTCACATGATCGGTAAGGCTTCCAGTCAACAGTAGACTATTAGTTAGGTTTCTGGGGAGTCAAATGTTATATGCAGATTTTTGACTCTGCATGGAGTTGGTGCCTATAACATTCACGTTGTTCAAAGGTTAAATGTACAGTGAAAGAGTACAGTGTTGCTCTCGAAAGACAAAGATAAGAGCTGGAACGTTAAAAAAATTCATTGACTTTTTTTGTCAAAACGAATATACATGATTTGTAAGAGTTAAGCGCTTTGGATTGGCTACATGTTTAGAAAGCCCTGCTGCTGTATAGGATACACTCCACTTTTCTCAGAAAAAGAAAGATGAAAATCTCACTGACCATGGCAACTTCTCTTTGAAAGCAAGTTCCAGGACAATCATTACAGACCATGTACACTCAGCATTATGTCTCACTTCACGGGCAGCACATTGCTGTAACTGGTTATTTAACAATGGCCTCCAGTACTTGCAAACAGGTTATGTTTGGCATGCTCTATTTAGAATAATTATGTTTATAAATACTTACCAAGGGCAGTTAACATAGAAAAAAGTGCTGATTCTTTAAGTTGAATACTTAGCTATCTGTAATCTTGCAAGATTTTACTACAGTGTAAAAAATACGGACTTGAGGCCGGGCGCGGTGGCTCACGCCTGTAATCCCAGCACCTTGGGAGGCCGAGGCGGGCGGATCACGAGGTCAGGAGATCAAGACCATCTTGGCTAACAGGGTGAAAACCCATCTGTACTAAAAATACAAAAACAAAATTAGCCGGGCGTGGTGGCGGGTGCCTCTAGTCCCAGCTACTCGGGAGGCTGAGGCAGGAGAATGGCGTGAACCCGGGAGGTGGAGCTTGCAGTGAGCCGAGATCGTGCCACTGCACTCCAGCCTGGCAGACAGAGCGAGACTCCGCCTCAAAAAAAAAAAAAAAAAAAAAAAAAAAAAGACTTCATTTTGACAAAACAAACTGAAGCTGTTTAGAATATAAGGTAAGAAACACAATCAGTTGATTATGGCAGATATTAATGTGGATTTAGAAATAAATGAAACAATCAATCATAGCTGGACTTGAGTTTGGAGGAGTCTGCAGATTTTATATGAACGTGAGGAGGAAAATGAGAACTAAGATGATTGAACATAGAACAAACTTTCTCTAGAAGTTTTTACATTTAATTTCTGTTCATTCTGATATAGTTAATTATAATTTTAACTTCTAGATGTTGAAAATAAGATTGTAAAGTTTTAGGAAATTTCCAAATATATATAATTTAGCCTGACTGCAAAGATCATTCTCTACTGTGCTATTCTAAAGTTCAGTATAAGTAAAATACTATGAGATGATATTTAGGTGTGGGAATGTATGTGATACTTGTGCAGACATGAGCAGAGAGGATGGTACTTATTCAGGATACAGCATATTCCTTAATGATTTGGGAGGATTCTTGAAAACCTTATAAACATTAACATTTCTAGAAAAATTCTTGTTAGGATTGTGGGAATCCAAGAAAATAGAAATTTATCTCTTTGTTTTTCTAACTAATGCTATCTAATGGAAATAGGATGTCCTGGGACTACACAGACATTTTAACAGGGGTAAAGTGGAATAATAATTAATATGCTAAAAACTCAAGAAGATAAATGCCACATGATGTGACTTATTTTTCCTCTTCTCCTTTTTTTGATGGAGTAAAGACATCTATAGAAAAAAAATGCATGGCAGTTTTACTGATGTTGAGGACATATGAGCAAGTTTCCCCCATGTCAGGTGTCGGGTGTGTGCAGAAACAGTTTTAAGCACCCATCGTCATTCCTGGTTGAATTAATAGCAAAATGCAGAAAGTGTGGCCAGCAAATCATCTGAGAGAAAAATGCTTGTTAGGAGATAGTAGCAGGTAACTTCCTCACCCAAGGAGACATTTCCTACCTCTTTACTCCTGACCCTCGCTGTGCAAGTTCATGAGCCTATGATGCTGAGTGAAAGTCAATCACCAGGTATATCATTGATCCTTTTGGAAAAGTTCCATTAATTAAATCTCTTAAACAAATGCTATGTTGAGTAACTATAAGAGGGAAGCATCCCACTCTTCAATCATTTCCCTGACTCCACGGATACCCATGCTAGAGAATGCATAAATAATTGTTTGTGAAGAGAAATCTACCAACATGGGTTACATAAAATTAGATAGTTAAAGTGGAACCACACTGATAAGTGGATTGTAAGGATTAGAAGAATAGCATTCAACATGAATAGAACAGTTGCTTATTATATAGTTATGGTCACATTCGTCTGGTAGGAAATAATACATTGAAATGGGCACTTATTTCATTAATAATTTTCAGTTCATAAAATATATTAAGACTTCTTTTGCAATAGGTTCAAGTTTTATTTGATGTGAACAGAACTATGTGGTATATTATATGCACCTATCAACATTAGATTGTGTGAAAAGAAGTACGTTCTCCACATCCAATGTAGTTGCTCCTGAGTATGAGTTCTTGATGCTCTGGGAGAAGTGACCAATGATAGACACAAATAGATACTCTCTCTTGGCAGCAGCAGGGTTTTTGAATCATTGCTTGCTCCATCATTGAGCAGCAAGTAATCAGTGCACTGAGAGTACCAATCAGTACACAGGCAGGAGAAAAGGCTTCCAAAAGGGCTCTTGTTACATGCTCTTCTCCTCAGTAGAGAATCTGGGGTCATTGCCAGTGGATGAAGACACAGGTTTTTGTACTCATTGCTAGTGACTGAATTGTTCCTTCAAGGGATGTGCACTTTAGGTAGGATTTCGGTCTTCCATTGGGTGAAAAATCCTGTTAAATAATCATGGTCTATCAAAATGTTTGAAGGGGAAAATTGAGATTTCAAGCAGAGTAATTTTTAGCAGATTAATTTTACTTGCATTAAATTGTTAATTCACTGTACATCTACTGAGTACCATTTATGTTTCAGATAGAAAAACAATGGGAACTGTGACAGAAAAATCATATGGCCTTCAAGGAGCTTATGATATATAATGTGATATACGACATAAAATAAATATACATGTATGTACATATATATGATACACAAACAATAAACATATATAAATGAGGACATGGCATCTTATGAGAGCACTCAGAAAACACAACCAACCCTTACTAGGGAGATCTGGGTAATACAGTCGGCCCTCCGTATCTATGAGTTTTACATCTATGAATTTAACCAACTGCAGATTGAAATTATTTTTTAATAATTGTGCCTGTATTAAACATGTACAGCCTTTTTTTCCCTGTCATTATCCCAAAAGAATATAGTACAACAACAACTTACATAGCATTTCTATTATATTAGGTATTATAAGTAATCTATAAAAGATGTAAAGTATATGGGAGGAAATGTGTAGGTTATATGCAAATACTGTTATTTTTCTATCAAGAACTTGAGCATCCACAGATCTTGGTATCCAAAGGACATCCTGGAATCCATCCTCCGTAGACACAAAGGGATGACTAGCTCTGCAGAAAAAGAGGGTAGCCCTTATTCTTTACCTTTAAAAGTAAAGGGAATCTCAGTTTGGTGCAGTGGTTCACCCAGCTGAGGTGGCTCACCCAGGAAAGGTGACCTCATCTTTGGGAGGTTAATATGGCAAGATCGCTTGAGGCCAGGAGTTTGTGACCAGCCTGGGCAACATAGTAAGACATCATCTCTATAAAAAAATTAAAAATTAGCTGGACTAGATGGCTTGAGCCTGTAGTCCTAGCTACTCAGGAGGCTAAGGCAGGAGGATCACTTAAGCATGGGACTTCAAGGTTGCAGTGAGCTGTTATCAAACCACTGTACTCCAGCCTGGGTGACAGAGCAAGACTCCATCTCCAAAGGAAAATTAAAACAAAAAGAAAGGAAGAAAGAAAGAAAGGAAGAAAGAAAGAAAGAAAGAAAGAAAGGAAAAGAAAAGAAAAGAAAAGAAAAGAAAAGAAAAGAAAAGAAAAGAAAAGGGGATCTTAAAGTTAAGGATATATAAGCAGTTTTCTTTCTCTCATTTTTATAAGAAGCACTACTCCTCAATTGACACTAACACCTTTCTAATGGCAATCTAACTTCACTGAAAGGCTATCACTCTTACCAGCCATGATAAGTCAAAGCACATGGTAAGCCAGGATTACAGAGAATTCTCTCAAAATCTAAGGAGCATGCGATGCACTTTAGTAAATAGCTCTATGCAAGTTATATGACAACACTTAGAGAGGAACATTTTAACTTTTGTTGAATAGTCAAATTTAAACCCAGTAACATGAACAGATTTAATTCTTTTGGAATACATAAACCACTTTCTTCCTAAGATTGGCTTATGCTTCAACATATGTTTAAAAATTTTAGTTTATTGCACAATGGTGAATTATTAGGGAGAAATAATTCCCAGCAAATACCAAAGCAAATAATTCAATCACTTTAAAACAGTCACCTTTGGAATAAGAATGAGTGGGACACATAAGAAGATCCTTCCAATGGGGTTGATGGTATATGAATAACTTCTAATGAAGAACTGGAATTTGGAGATGTTGTGACAAAACGGGATTAACTTTGCTATGGTTTGAATGTGTCCTCCAAAGCCTTAATCCCCAATGCAATCTTGTTAAGAAGTAGGACCTTTAAGATGTGATTAGGCTATAAGGACCATAATCTCATGAATGAATTAATGTTACCATCATGGGACTGGGTTAGCTATAAAAGAACCAGTTTGATCCCCTCTTGCTCTTGCTCAGCTTTTCTATGCCCTTCCAACATGGTATCAGGCAGCAAAAAGGACTTTGCCAGATGTTGGTCTCTGGATTTTGGGCTCTTCAGCCTCCAAAACCATAAGTCAATAATTTAAGTTTATTATAAACTTACCCAGTCTGTGATACACTGTTTTTTTTTCTTTCAACTTTTTTTTAAATTTTAATTTTATTATTATTATACTTTAAGTTTTGGGGTACATGTGCACAATGTGCAGGTTACATATGTATACATGTGCCATGCTGGTGTGCTGCACCCATTAACTCGTCATTTAGCATTAGGTATATCTCCTAAAGCTATCCTTCCCCCCTCCCCCACCCCACAACTATCACAAGGATACACTGTTAAAGCAGCACAAAATGAACTAAGACACACCTAATAAAATATATATTTACTTTACAGTTAAATAATGAAAGTTGTTTTGGATTCAAATCATTGTAAGTTTTGTAAAATAAAAATTTGTTGTGAAAATGTCCTTACTCAGCACTTTTATTTAAGAATGAAAAGTGTGAAGACATTTTTGACAGATAAAACAGCAAAGCTTTGATGTCGGTGGGGGCTGTGAATGGGAAGAAAGAAAATATTAATCTAGGCGAAGAGAAAGCTCTCAGCTGTTCAAGATTTATGCTCCTATCCTTGATGTATCTAGCAAATGTCAGCACAGCAAGTTCCTAGTGACTGTGATATCCCTGGGGTGGTACTTCATCATGTCATTTATGTGACAAAGTAAATGTAGAATTTTATGTGAACAGGGAGAAAAAGGACCTTTCAAAGGATGATCTTACCAAGTCTCTCTCTTCAGGCACATAAGGTAGAATCACCCCATTTTATAGGTAAGTAAACTGAGCATGGTCAGGAATTAAAGTATTTTCCTTTTTTTGCACTTTAAGGATGACAGTATAAGAATAATGGAGACCTCTTCAGCTCCTGTCCTTTGATCTCTCTACAGAGTTAAAAAAAAAAAAAAAAAAAAAAAAAAAAAAAAAACAGAGCTCGAGACATTTTGCTACAGGAAAAAAAAAAAAAGTAAGAAAGAAAGAAGTCTTCTTTCATCTTAAAACTGTAGCCTAGCTCAAAAGGCTACCTGCTGTAGTAAGGAAGTTATTAGACAGTGTTACCCAAAACGTGTTCTGCAGAACAATAATCACACACATGGGCACACAGGCGACCTCTGCTGTCAAATACGCTTGGACAACAACACATACTATATCTCTTGAATATTCATTCTGAATATTAACATATTAAAGATGCAGAAAAGATGCACACATTTTCTTATATGATTCAAGGTTTTTTTCAGTTTCATATGTTAGATTCAATGTAGCATTCACATAAATTAAGGCAATGATTTTTCCTTCCAGTGACTTGTGCAATAAAAGCATTCATCTCATTACTCTCATGTCATTTCTTATGCATTTTGTCTTTTTAAATTGAATGTGGACATAGAGGGAAGACTTTCATGAAACTGAGTTTTATAGAAGCAACCTTCATTTTCTTGCAGAATAGTAAATTCATAAATTTAATAGATAGAAAAAATATGCCTGAATTTCTAATGTGCGAAGTATAACCATGTGGAAACACTTTAATGTTCATTCCCAACTGAAGTTCTCTGAACCAATACAAATTATTTTCCAATTTAATAGTTCAAGCTACACAATTATTAGCCTGGCATTGGCAGATAGATGGCAGTTTATATAGGGAATAAGAAGCAGATAATTTCGGTTTGTTAGGCTTCAGTTCCTGCCTGGAAGTGTTAAATCCCAAGAAAATGCAGCATTGCTCATATGTGCATTTTGTAAACTTTCACACTGTAATTCCTTATGGGTTCAGGTGTTTATTACTGCAACAATCCATACTTAGTTACTATGATAACACAATTTATAGGGGTATTAAACACATAAATTGAAAATTTGCTATTGCTAAGGCCATTATGGCTCATGTAAACAAATGGAAATATAATCTTGTGCATTATTTTTCTAACCTCTATAACCAAAGAAACATACTGCTAGTTCAGTAGGTGTGAAATTCTTCTTTAGGTACAAGCTACTCTAATTTCACAGTTGATTTGTAGTTGTCAGAGAGCCCTATTGAGTAAATTTCACATTTGCATGCATTCAAGATCATTACTGAATGTGATCACAGTGAGATTCGACACCTCCATTTATTTGTTGTCAGGGAGTGGATTTTTAATTTGAACAAACTCTAATTGTGCTTATTCCATAAGCAAGCTAGGGTGATTTCAGCCCTGTCTTGCCTTGTCATAACAAAATTTCCACTTCTAAAACAGCACTTTCAATGATTCTGCTCTTTGATCAGATTTCTGACTCTATTCGGATGCAGATACTGAATGTATATCATTTCACATAAATACACAGGATACAGTTTCATCATTTTAAGTGATTTCTCTCTGAAAAGGTAATAATATGAGTTTTCTCCAGAGTATGCATAAAATTCTCATTCAAGAGAATTTCAATATCAACTTCCAGGAATATGGAACACAATATGAGAAAAGTGTTTACTGTGTGGTCATAAATGACATACACATTATGTACAGATAGGTATCAGATAGGTACCAAGTGTCATTTTTTAGAATAGTATGAATGATTATGTAAACATTTTCAGTAAGAAAGTAAACATTATTGGAAATTTTATTAAATCCAACAGTTACTAAATACCATAAAATTTTAAAGTAATGGGTGCTATCAGCACAGAAATACTGATAATTGCTCTTTCAATTATCACTGGCCACGGGCCCATGTTGAAAATTCAGTTCAGAAACCAAGAGATCTGTCTGGATCCAGCACAGATCCTGTTTTGAGGAGGAGAATGGCTGTTGATTTCTGGCTTTTTAAATATAAATTAGTTCTTATTCCATGTAGTTATAAAACAAAACCAAAATATGGATTGACTTTCTCTCTCATTATAAAGTTTTTATGTGGAACTGCATAAACAGTGAGCTGATGGGAGATAAATTAATACATTTAATGTCTTTCGGCATTTTGGGTATAATAGGTGAATAATAATGATGGTTATATGTCATTTCATACCAACATAATTCAAGATTCACTTTACTCTAGTTCAGTACTTATTAAAATTAAATAATCTAAGGTATCATTATCCTTGATGTCTTAATATATACATTTATTTTCAGATAAACTTTCTATCCCTTATATATGTATTAGTTCTATGCAATTTCATGATACTGAGTTAGAGACCATGGGACCCAGAAAAGGGAATAAGACTGGTACTTAAAGAGCTTATAATTCTATAAGTGGTAATTTATCAATGTAAAAAGTGTAATTCTTTCTAAATAATATAGCATTAAGTATCATAAGCAAAGCACAAATAAAATGTTTTAGAACCACAAAAAATAAAATATTACTACCTGTTTGCAACAGATTGCAAAGAGAGTGAACATTTAAGAATTGCATGAAAGGATGGTTAAAACTGATACACAAGGAAATGGAAATGTACAGTAGGTGATCTCAAGTAATCAAAGTGACCTTGGAAAAATAATGGCAACAGAAGGCTATGATCCATATCTTGGCAATCATATGTATCCAAAACTTGGAATGTGCTGTAAGAGATAAATTTTTAAGGTATGTTGAACAAACTCCTGAAAAACTGGAATGACAAAGTAGGGAGACTCCTATTATTCATAATGCCAAAGAGCTGAAAAAGGAAAGACTTTAGGAAGATATTTGATACAGTGGAAAGAGCATTTTAGTTGGAATCAGAAGAAGTATGTGTTAATCATCTTGGAGATATGGACAAATCCCTTAAACGTTTGAACATTGCTTTCTAATCTATGAAGTAATCAATATCTAACTCAGAACTTACTGTGAGAAGTAACACAGAATAAAGGTTGACAATTCTAACATCAATCTGGCGTGTAGAAGATAAATATTTGTTGAAAATGTCTAAGAGCTTAGCCTGAGAACAACTAAACTAGCAGGATACATGTAATGACTGAATTTGGGTAGAGAAAAATGTTGAGGTAAGGTGGTCCTAAGCTTTGGAGTGACAATGGGAAAAGAAAATGAAAACACTACTGAGTGTCTCCAAAGACTTTTAGTCATATGGTTTCATGAGGAGTTTGAAGACAGGTAATTTGCTACTAATTATATTTAATATATTGTTATTTGCAGTGCTTTACATGATTTAAAACTATAAATTGGACTATATTTGAGATTGCCACTCATATTATTTGGTCAAGTCTCAGATTGCTTGCTGCGCTCCTAATCTTAGTTGAGTGAAATGCTAAGGTTGGCCATGTTCTTGCTGACCCTGGCCAAAGCTCTTTGAACCAGGAAAGTTACCGATTCCTGAGAATTCAAACTACAAGAAGCATATGATTAATTAGAATAGTCATTCTATTTATTTAATTTTCAGTGTGATACGTAGATCATGTTAGCTGGTAGAGGGAAAAGCAGCAGAAAAACATAGAGAAGAAAGAGAAGGGAAAGTTGCCGATTTACATTTATGGAACAGTAGAATGGAGATGAATGAAATTCTGGTAGTAACATAAATTAACTTCCAAAACTGTGTTGGATTGAGACAGATCTCCTAGTTTCTGAACTGCATTTTCATAGGTGCGTGGCCAATAAAAACTGAGATTTCTGCTTTGTTATGGAGCTTTTGATAGTTTCCTGTGAGGCTTGGTTACATGGTTAAGATTACTGCCTATTGCCATGGGTTTCTTTTCTGTAAAACTTTAAAGATTTCATATAGAATCTGAATCATTTCCTTAGCAAAAGAGCCTAACCAAAAGTAAAATTACAACTCTCAGCAAAAGTCATTCTATTATGTCATCTTGAGTGACAGAATGGTGATGTTAGAGCTAATGTACTGGGAATTGCATATATCCTTCAATTTATCTCATCAATGGGCATATCCAGTGGAGTGTGCCACGCATGCTTATGTGATTTGCCATGTGTGTTGAAGCAGATCTAAATATGTGCTTCTTTGTTATATAATTCTCTAAGAATTAATATTATTGTTTGATGAATTCATGCAAGAGAATGTATTATAAATTTACTTTTATAAAATTACATATTGAGTCAAAATGCCTTTAGTTTAGTAAACTATACCTTTAATCTTTTATCTTTTATTCTTTAAATATATAGAATTATAAATCTTTAGTTCTTAGAGAAATTTTAATATGCAGTATTTCATCAAATCTAAGTTATCACTATTTGTAAGATACATTATTTTATGTATGCCCTTTGACAAATAATAATGCCAAATATGATTGTAAAAGTCTGCTGATTTAAGAAATGTAATACATGAATAAAAATGTGTATCTGATAATTGTTTGAAAGTATATAAATAGATCCGCTAGTTGTTCATTTTCATTTTGATAATTGTAGAAAAAAACAGCATGAAGTATGTACTGGTTTGCTAGTTATTGGTAATTAGGACTCACACTTGAGTCTCCTGAACCATAGACCATTGTAATTTCCACTCACCAAACTGCATAAAATTGTATGTAACCTACAGTCAAAAGTGAAGGTAATTACTTTTTAGAACTCACTCCAATAAGTTGAGCTGTATTCATCTACTTATTCATTCAATAGACATTGACAAATTATTTTATTGTATATATGTATTATATTGTATATATGTATGTATGCACATATATTTATATGTACTCATGTTTACTGATATAAAAATTAGTAAAACACTATCATTTCATCATTTAATGGCAGCTACTTCTCATATCTGTTGATAGTTTTTGTTTCAGATTATTCATATTTTAATGAATACATTTCACAAAAGGTAATTCCACTAAAGTAGTAATCAACTTTTTACTTTGCTCTATAGAGGTAACATTCAGCAACATTCTCTTCTACACTTACTCTCACATGCAATTTTTATTTTTTAAAATAAAAATTTTTTACTTTATTTTTATTTTTTATCTCATTTTATATTATTATGGACTTCATCTCCCACCAATGACATTTTCTCTCTTATACTCTGAATTCCTTTTTTTGTTGTTTTTTTTTTTTATTTTTGTGGCAGACTATGACTTTTAATTCAAATAACTCTAATGATATGTTTCCCATACATTTTTAGAGAATAAAAGAAGTTCCTAGAGTTGAGTTTAAGCCATTTTATTTTGTGTTTAAAATTATTAAATTAATCTTAAAGCTTAGTAAAATTCTTGCCTGTCTCGATACCCATTATTTTATCTGCAGATATCAAGTATTTGATCAAGTAATAAATTAAGAAGTAACAAAGAACTGAAGTTTGACTTTTTAATTAATTTAATGTCTCTTATTTATCCGTGTAAATACAGAGAAAATGATGTAGATTTTTAAAACATTAGTTTGACTATCATCTTCATTCACTTCATTTTAAATTTCTTTTTCAGATATGAATTTGTGACTATAAAGAATTTAAGATACATAATTAAAAAGGATAATTTAGGCCAGGCACAGTGGCTCATGCCTGTAATCCCACCACTTCAGAGGCTGAGGGGGGTGGATCACTTGAGCCCAGGAGTTTGAGGTCAGCCTGGCCAACAAGGCGAAACCCTGTCTGCACTAAAAATGCAAAAATTAGCCAGGTTTGGTAGTAAACGCCGGTAATCCTAGCTACTCAGGAGGCTGAGGAACGAGAATTTCTTGACCCTAGAAGGTAGATGTTCGGTGACCCGAGATCGCGCCACTGCACTCCAGCCTGGGCAACAGAGCGAGACTGTCTTAAAACAAAAAAAAATATATATATATATATATATATTTTATTGCAATTATTGCAATTGTGTCTGTATTTCCCATTACACTTATAAATGTAGTATTGCTTTTTGCTACGAAAGATTGCTTTCCAGAGCATGACATCATGGCAAATGAGGAAAAGAGAAACATGTCTGTTAAATCTCATCTTTGATAAGACTATGGAGCTCATACATTGAATCTATATAGTTAACAGACATTGAGTGCTTCATTCAAGCCTCCAGTTAATGTTTGTTTCATTGTTATGTGGTTACTGTACAATAATCAGCCTGAATAGAAAAGCCTGTCAAATTTGTAAAAATATTTTAGATAATTTGTTTCTAATTCATTCTAGTACAGTTGAGCCTTGAAAAACAGGAGTTTGAACTGGGCAGGTCCACTCATTTGCAGATTTTTGTTTAATAAAATTTACACCAAGTGTGCCTGCCTCTCCTGCCTTCCCCTTCCAACTTCTCTACCTCAAGTTTTCTTCCATCTCTGCCACCCCTGAGACAGCAAGACCAACCTTCTTCTTCCGCTTCAGTCTACTCAACGTAAAGACGATGAAGGAACACTCTTATGATAATCCACTTACACTTAATGAACAGTAAATATGTTTTTTTCTTACGACATTCTTAATAGCATTGTCTTTTCTCTAGTTTACTTATTGTAAGAATACAGTGTATAATACTTATACAAAATATGTATGAATCGAGTGTTTATGTTAGTTATTGATAAGGCTTCTGGTCAACTGTTGGCTATTAATAATTAAGTCTTTGGGAAGTCAACAGTAATACACAGATTTTTTACTATGTAGGAGAGTGGTCAGCACTCTTTTTTCCTCCATTTTTCATGGGTAAACTGTATTAGTTTTAAGTTAACTGGTACTTGGAGATAAAGTTGGATTTTAAGATCTGGACTACATTAGGTATATTAAACTAATATTTATTCTATTCTGTTATGAATGTTGTCTCGGATTAAATTAAAACTGCATGATAGAGTTACTTAAACATTATTTTAAAAACAAAATCTAATCACAATAGCAGAGTATGTGCAGAAAAAAATCACATAGTAATTTTTTGACATAGCTGCATAATATATCTTTATAAATAGCTGTTTTTTATTTTTCCTTGAGTAAAACATCTGTTTGGGACACAGCATAGGAACTTCAAATTCAACCACAGATCATGAATATACCAAATAAATAAAATAAACAGGAGGAATTAGCTTGTGGCTTTTTCAATAATTGAATCCCCACATAACAAACCTAACGTAGTATGTAAACAAGCCGCAACTTAACCTAGTAGTATATTTTTGTAACAAATAGCTGAGGTTTAGCAATCACAGGAAGCCAACCGATCAGACCACGCCCCAATAAGGGAAATGCCTCGTCACACCATGCTGAAATAAAGCAATTGTCTAGCTCTAGCCAGTCAGCTGATGTACCGACTTAGCTTTCATGATAAGCCTATAAAAGCTCACTGCCTATGCTGCACAGTAGAGCTCTCTGACCCTTACCTGGTTCTGAGTGCTGCCTGATCCATGAATTATTTTTTGCTCAAGTAAACTCTGTTACATCTAATCTGTCTAAAGTTTTTCTTTTAACATACCTGTTGTTCATATTTTAATATAAATATTAGCATTCCACAAAACTGTAATATGTCTTAGATAAAAACCTACTATAGGGAAAAAAGAAGATGAAGTTAAATGCTCTTGGGCAAAGATTCAGTTTATCCTTGCTGCACCATGTCTGTAATCTGTAACTCAGAGGTGGAAACACTTGTTCTTTCGATTTTAGAATTTTTGTGAAAATCAAAGTGTAAGCACCTATGCCTTCACTATTAACACACTTGTCAAACACAGTACCTTGTGTACTGCAAGCTTTAACAAATATTTGCTGGCTGGGTGCGGTGGCTCACACGTGTAATCCCAGACCTTTGGGAGGTTGAGGCGGGCAGATTACGAGGTCAGGATTTCGAGACCAGCCTGACTAACATGGTGAAACCCCGTCTCTACTAAAAACACAAAAATTAGCTGGGCGTGGTGGTGTGCACCTGTTATCCCAGCTACTTAGGAGGCTGAGGCAGGAGAATTGCTTGAACCCGGGAGGTGGAGGTTTCAGTGAGCTGAGATCGTACCATTGCACTCCAGCCTGGGTGAGAGAGTGAGACTCTATCTTAAAAGAAAAAAATGCTGATATTTTACATAAGTAACTTCATGGGGCAAAATGTACCCTAATATTAATGTTTTCTAAAACCCTCAGATAAGAATATACTTTATGTTAAAAAGAAGGATACTATTGTCTTCAGCAATGGCAAATAGTTTTTAATCTTTTTATGATTTTATTAACACTTACTCACGTTAAGTGATTAATAGAGAATTTCTATATCAAGGAGAGAATGAATGTCAGGACCCATTAGAAATACTTGCCACAACACATATACACCATGGAATACTATGCAGCCATAAAAAATGATGAGTTCATGTCCTTTGTAGGGACATGGATGAAATTGGAAATCATCATTCTCAGTAAACTATCGCAAGGACAAAAAACCAAACACCGCATATTCTCACTCACAGGTGGGAATTGAACAATTAGAACACATGGACACAGGAAGGGGAACATCACACTCTGGGGACTGTTGTGGGGTGGGGGGAGGGGGAGGGATAGCATTAGGAGATATACCTAATGCTAAATGACGAGTTAATGGGTGCAGCACACCAGCATGGCACATGTATACATATGTTAGTTACATTGTGCACATGTACCCTAAAACTTAAAGTATAATAATAATAATTATATATATATATATATATATATACACATACACATACATAAAAAAAAATACTTGCCACAAGTACACCAGTTAGGTAGTGACAGTCAATTAGTCATCCGAGACCTAGTGGCCCCCTCATCTTCACACCGTAGATCTCACAGGATTAGGCATTAGAATTATAAAATCACATTTAGTCTGTCATCATCAACAAGAAATGTAGCAAGGAATTTCATGTGTATATAACATGCCTTTTGCAAAGCAAAAATGTACAAATGAAAGAAAAACTAAGTGCTTCGCTATTATGTCAGTTTTAGCAAAGGAATATTAGCTTGTTATTTAAGTTGTCATGTAAGAAAAATGCCAACAATTGCTATGATATGTATATACAATTCACTGTCTTTGCTTTGTGCCCCCAACTGCATTTATCATTGTTCACAAATGACTTTCAATCTGCTGTTTTTTTTCCCAACCGATATTTGACTAATAGCAGTTGTTTTGTAATGGAACAGAACGTCTCAACTAGTTTGCCTGACAGCCTTCTTTAAGTGATTTCTAGACTTTGCATCGTGGCTACTGTCACCACCAGAAAAAAAATATATGACCTTCTTTCCATCCATTCCTTTACTTGACTTTTCCATTTCCTCTGAGTCTTTCTACTAAAACACTATCTTAAAGAGAAGTTAACCATGACACTTATCCTTAAGTAGTTTTGAACCAGTTAAAAACGTACACTTTGAGCATATAGAGAGATTTCAGAGTATTAAAGGGAAATACTTGGCGTGGCCTCCTAAAAGGAGTTAAGATAACGCTGGGAGTAAGATTTCCTACAATAAAAGTAGTCAAACCTGAGTCTTGTGACACTGGGAGCATGGGCAAGATGTTCTAGGCAGAGTATAAGCACCTATGTGCCCTAAAAATTGATAAGCATAAAGTTGGGTCTCAGAGCTTTCAACAAGGTGCCGCTGTTGGAGCTGGAATTGAGGGACAAGAGTAGATTTAAACGTGGGCCAAATTATAAAACACATTGGATGTCATGCTGTAGATTGTAAATTTTATGTAAGGCTCTGGAAAGCCATGAAGTCTTTTTAAACAGGAAGGCAACTTGGTCAGATTTATAGTTTTAGAATATTAACTGTGATGTTTGGAGAAGGAGTTAAAGTTCAAGAAAGTGGGTGGTGAGTTGCTGCATCTTCCAATTAAAAAATGATAGAGGAGTTAAGCAAATTAACAGCACTATGGATAAAGAGAATTGGACAGATAACTGCTATGTTTAATAATGGCAAGATGAAGACTGCACTGTGGACGCATAATACGAATCACTGGGTTCAGAAAAATTCTACATGTCTATTAGACATAAAATGCCTGAGGTGAGAAGAAAGAGGAGACAGGAGTGGTACCTCGAGGATGATTTCTATCACCTTATAGTTATTTACTGTTCTCCTGAGGACAAATGTCACTTCTGTATGATTTGAATTAATAATTCTTAGGTGACAAATGATAGCTGGTTTTACTTCTTAAATTGTCACTCTAAAGTTTTATACATGTGGCCTTTGTGGACTAATTCAGCAATTAATCTTACTTTTTGACAAATGGCTATTTTTTTGTGAGGAAGTTCAACAACAAAGTTCAGAGTTCAAAATGTTCTGTCTATATAGTCTATGAACTATGTCATGCACTATTGTTGTAAAGATATCACTTAACACTAAATACAACTTACTTTTTCCTAAAATCATGCCTACTTTAATATTATAAACACTATGTGCACACACACACACATACAACAAAGAAGAAGAAAATGAAATAGTAAAATAGTAAAAGTAGTAGTACAGCAGAAAGCACAAATATTTGGATGTTAACCATTATTTATTAGACTTTAAGTTCTGGGGTACATGCGCGTAACTTATGAAAAAATGCTCATCATCACTGGTCATTAGAGAAATGCAAATCAAAACCATTATCTCTTTGTATATATCATTGGGAAATCATCTGCCAAAAGATAGTATGACTTTATTGTAAACTTCAAGCAAGATTTAGGTTGAAATGTGCCCAAGAGAATGAATTGAAGACTAGAGAAATGTTTTATTGAGCTGAGGGATGAATATATTCAATTCATACTCAGTTTAATTAAATAATAAGGAGATGAAATTGAAGTACATAGTCATAAAATCAAAACAACAACCTGCTGTTTTATCATATTATTTTTCGTTATTTTTACCTTGCCAAATTTATTTCTTATTGTTTTTCTCAATATCCCACATTTTCCTTTATGTTTTTATACTAAAATAAAGTGATATCCATTCAAAAACCAAAGCAAATGAAAACAAAACCTCCGGTAAATTCTGCCCTCTCAATGTACCTCAGATAATTTATTTTTGTGAAAATACCTAAAGCATATTGATCATAAATGAACTAAAGACACTTTGACATATTTGAAGAAATTCATTTTAAAAAATAACAAAGTTATAAAAATGTTTGAGATTGCATTCCCAGTATCCAATTTATTTCATCAATATGTGGTATCTAATATTTCATACACTTTATCCTTGGAACACACATATGGCTAGGGGTGAAATACTATATAAAGTGTCAAAGCATAATCATCTATGAGTAAAAACATTGCACGTGGACATGTCATGTGTTTTCTTTGTGGCACTATTTGTTTTGTCCTATTGCAACCCCCTTCAACTTGTAGCACACAAAACTACTTGAAAAGTATGATAGATTACATAAAATTGACACCATGAATGAAGTTTCATGAAATGATGCAGATAATTAAATCATGTCTTCTAAAGACATAAACTTCAACTACAAATGATAAGATGTAATCAGAAACACCCCATAAAAGCGTGTGTATTTCTGCCTACTGCCTCATTTCTCTTGCTATGTCTTTGGGTTTAGTAATTTATTCCTTTGGTATTGAACAGTCATTTTAGTGAAGTGTGTTTATGCCACATGGCTTTTTACTATCTTCATTCAAAAAATAGCTATGTTTGGCATATATACTCTGTAAACACAATGCAAAATAATGAATAGGGGAGAAAAACAGCCATAGTCTTTATTAATAATGTATGAAGGCATCCAATAAAAAGAAATTATTTGTTTGTAGTTTAGAGCTTGATGATAAAACCTAAAGATCAGTGGTAGAAAATGTAATATTTTTGTGTGTCATAAAGTTGCTTGAATTGCGTATCTTTCACAGTACATCAGAGAGCTAAATTTAGACAATTTTACATAAAACATCTCACATGAAAGTGAAAGATGTGAGGTAAATCTATTTAATGCAGAAAACTGGAACTTAAATTCATGCAGTCATTATTTCTTCTACCATAAACATTACTTAAAATATTTCTATTTTATAGAGTGCATATTAAATGGAACTACATTTATTTTGATATAACAAAATTTTTCAATTTAAGATTTAACTTATGTAAATTGACTCTAATATAGATTATAGGAATTTAATACTAAATTTTCAAATCAAAGTTACGTAGTGGCCTTTTTTATGTGTAAATGGTAAAATTAAAAAAAAAACATAATGAAAGGTGGATGACAGTTTGAAAAGACTCCAATTCCAAGATAAACACTCTTGTTTGAGTGGAAAATTATTGTTCACAATTAGAAAATCCAGACTGAATAACAAAAAAAAAGTAAAATTGAAGAAAATTATATTTTTGTGGAACTTCTCATTTGAAAAAGCATACTTCTAGTGGAACTCCAAGGTTTTTCTGTGTGCATTGGTTCTGTCAAATATCCACTACCTAAGAGTGTAGGCTAGCCATGGTTTAGCACAGGGCCAGTGGACTTTCAGTGCTGAGCATGCTTCACTGCACTGCATGATACTGTACCTATTTTGGGAGGCAGTAATCATATGTCATCCCGTGATCTACTGCTGTGTTGTGCTAGTGGTTTCATAAATAAACTTGAGAGGTCATTTCCACCATAAATTTCTGTTTGTCAGAAATTTTCAGTCAAAAGAAAGTATGTAATGGAGTATGGAAGGCTGAAGTCAAACAGTAATTTATCAACAAGGAGATATTTTATGAATTGAATGTGGGTGAACTTAATGATGCTATTATAAATGCTGTATTATAATTATTTTTGTTATAATTTTGAGAATTTATGAGTCAAACTTTCTTGATTTTGCAAGAAAGTTTTCTAACTTTTTGTTTAAAAAGCCAAGTGTGCTGTTTTGTATAAGCTATCTGTACAACTAAAAATATATTGTCAATGGCTTGGTATAGTAATACTGATAAATTAATAAACTATTTAAATGCTTCATGCTTTAGAATTTGATAATTAAAGGAACTTATCAAATAATATTAGCATTGATTACAGAAAGAAGAATGTCTTGATAATTTTTCTGAGAACAAGCAAAGCCTATGAAATACACTTCATTTGATTACCCAGTATATGCTCACTTCAAGTATTTCAGTATATTTTTAGTAATGGCAAAAAGAAGCAATCAATTAAATTGATAAAATACAGATTTCAATTCAAATTGCTAAAAACAACTATCATGTGAATATGCACTTATTCAATCATGAGGTTGATAAAAATTAATTGCAGGAAGGTATTGAAAAATCCACCTTTTGAATTTTAGAGCTTGAACTATAAAGATAATGGCTTAGAATCATTGCTAATGGTAGAAAAAAGCATTACACATTCATTTCCTTCTCTACCAACAACAATAGCAAGCTGTGAGAACATTACGTTTAAAGAATTGAGGCACAGTCTTAACCATCAGACAGAACTGTTTACATTTGGCTATTCCTCTTTTTCTTTGTGTGACCTTGGCAAGGGACACATTGATTCTCGGTGTCTTTAACTGCAAAATTTAGAGAATACTTAATATATGGCAGAAATTTGAAAATTAAAGTGATACTGTATTACTATTTGAAAGTACATTAAGAAATTAAATAATCAGTAACAGCTATACTATTATTAGATGGTGATCCTAAAAAATGAAATTTTTGAGATGACTTTTAGGCTGCCAAACCTGTATTTGCCCAAACTTGTTTCTTTCCTTTAGGAATAACTCTCAGTCAATACATCTTGAAAGCATTTTCTTATCAAAGATCAGATAATAATATGAATATAGCAAAATAGGAAAGAAACCGCCAAGATTAAAATGGATTTATGAGAGTGAAAGCTGACCTTAAGTCCTGAAGGGCTGACCAATTGTAGGGTCCTAGTGAAAGCTTCACATAATACCAGTAGGTCCCAAACTTTTTTATTATGAGGATACTTTTGAATGTAAAGATATTTAGCAAGCTCTGCTCTGCCATGAAAATGTGGTGCTTTTAGTACTATCAATGGAGAAAACTGAAAACATTTATTTCCTATGAATTTGCTTACCCTTTTAAATGAATATATATAACTTACATATTCAAGTAATAAATTAAATGAAACCACAAGTCCAATAATTAGTTAACAATACGGTTCCCTTCCTGGTGGAACTCTTTGCATTAGCCTACAGCAAATATATAACTATTGGACTCAGAGCACTTGTTTCCTGGATCCATTTAACTAATGAAGAAAGAACTCTTGAGTCTTCCTTTTAGTATTAAAAATATTTAAAACCTACAGAGCACTATTTGGCTTTGAATTTTCTTCTGAACAAGAAAGAGAGTTGGACAACAAGGCTAGACCAAAAAGAAAAGTCTTTTCTCTTTTGCAAGATAATCACAAACAACTTAATAACATTAGTTCTTTTAATTTACATCATATTGTTGCCAACTAAAATTCTAGTTTAAGTGTAACTTAGCATCGTGTGTCTCACAGCGGATATTAACAAGTTTATGCTTGGAAGAACATTGTAAACAGGTAAAGAAGAAAGCAAAATAAATTATAATTTGCATTTATTTCTCAGTTCATCATTATTTGTTATAATAATATGACTAATCTAATAAATATTTTTACCAAGTCTGGATTTAGTTAAATGTAATACATCAAAAACTAATTGTTTAAGAAGAGGGACAGTGATATCAGCAAAACTATCACTTAAAAAAGTCTTTTAAATATTGGTGCAAATAAGTGTTTAGATGGCACAAAACCAGAGAGGGGGGATCCCACAGTTATATTTGTGGCATCATCATCTTACCATTGAGCACTTTAAAGGCGTGACACAAACTCCGTCATGCAGGAATGTTTAAAAGATAATATAAAACAGTGATATGCCTGATCATTAGAGAAATGCAAAATCAAAACCACAATGAGATACAATCTCACTCCAGTCATATAGCTACTATAAAAAAGTCAAAAAAATAACAGATGCTGGAGAGGTTGTGGAAAGAAAGGAACATGTATATACTGCTGGTGGGAGTGTAAATTAGTTCAACCACTGTGGAAGACAGAGTGGCGATTCCTAAAGGACATAGAGACAGAAATACCGTTCAACCCGGCAATCCCATTACTGGAATAAATCGAGACACATGCACGTGTATGTTCAGTGCAGCACTATTCACAGTAGCAAAGACATGGAATCAACCTAAATGCCCATCAATGATATACTGGACAAAGAAAATGTGGTATATCTAGACCATGGAATACTATGCAGCCGTAAAAAGAAGAATATAATGTCCATTGCAGGGGCAGGGGTGGATCTGGAGGCCATTATTCTTAGCAAACTAATGCAAAAACAGAAAACCAAATGTCACACATTCTCAATTATAAGTGGGAGCTGAACGATGAGAACACATGGACACATAGAGGGAAACAACCCACACTGGTGTCTATTGGAGTGTAGAGAATGGGAAGAGGAAGAGTATCGGGCACTAGGCTTAATACCTGGGTGATGAAACAATCTGCACAACAAACCACCAGGACACATGTTTTCCTGGGTAACAAACTTGCACATCTATCCCTGAACTTAAAAGTTAGAAAAGGAGAGAATAATAAAATAAACAGTAACATGTACATTTTGTTAAAGGCTTCTAAAGTGCAGATAGCATTCCATGTTACTCAACAGAAGCTGAACTACTTTATTTTTGTTGTCTATTTGTGCATGTGCAATCTTTATATGTCTTCCTGGTATTAATTATTCATTTCGTTTATCATTCAAAAGGTTCCAGCCAATAGTATTGTTACATATTATACCTCTTTTCTTGTCACTAATTTAGAAGCTTTGACTATTAAAAAGAAATTAACCGTACCCATATGATATTCCCTTTAAATATGAGTGCCATTGAATAATATACTTTTAACTGGTATTGTTTCTACTCTAAAATACATTGAAAAACTAAAGTTGTTATTTTGGTTCTCCCTTAATTTAAATTATTTTCATTAGTCCATGAATTATTATAAATTTGTGAGAACTTATTATAAGTTCTCACAAGAGAAGACATTTGTTGCACTTCCCTTCAATGTGTTTAATTCATAATTTTCAAATTAAGAAATTGATCAAATATTGCTTTCTAAAAAAAGTATGGATTTTATTATACCAATCTTTCTTAGATATGTTTTCTAAATTAAGTGGCCCATGACTTCTTCTACGGCTAATGAAAATACCATATCCTTTGGCAAGTTGGTGCCGTGAATGTAAGGTTCCTTCCCTAAATATCCACAATCTCACCTCTCTTTATAGACGCACTTTGGAGAGCAGATGGGTCGATTCAGACATCATTGTTACTATTTTGAAAAAGAAACAACCAAATCTGCAGTTAACAACAACAACAACAAAAATCTTTAAATATTTTATGTGCTAAAAATTGAAGCAAAGATAAATGATTTTGTAGGGAAAATTGCTTGTCAATCAGCAAAGTTGAAACCGTCTATAGAGTACCCTTATAAAGGGGCAAAAGGAAAATTGATTTGAATGTCTTAAATCATCACCATATTGTCTGTCTCTCCATATTCGAATCTTCAAACAATTAGAAAATAAAAGGCTGGAGTTGTTGACTGTGGATGCTTGAACTTTAATTGCAGCCTTTATTAATCCATAAAGTTTCTCTTACTATTTTCTACATTGAAAAAAAAAAAAAAACAGATTGATTGAATTTTTTTCTTTTTCTCATTGGGACGCTTGCCTTCTCTTTGTCTCATTGACTAAATATGGAGCTAGTGAATCTACTTTAGGACAGTCTTTCATTCTCTTGAAATTCTGTGCAAAATTTGGTTTGTTCATGCTTGTCTGTCCTTTGTTCTTGGTGGGGTGCTGGAGAAAAACAGTGTTAGAATTCAAGGGGAATCATTTTCTACCCAAAAGCCTAGATAGTACTTTATTAAAATTATTTGCCATATCACAGTGCAAAGGCAAACCCCAAACAGTCCCCAAATACAAATTATTTTTAAGTAAAATGGTGATGAATATAGTATGTTACATTAATATTACGTTATACTCTGAGTTTTAAAAAATAGGTTCTGCTGAAATTTCAGGAAACTAGTTCACAATCTACATATAATTTTGTTACATTTTTATTTTATGTAACATATTTAACTCAATTCTTTCGACAGTATAATACACTAAGAGGAAATAAGTTAGCCACATAATTAGCTATCAGCTGTTTTAGAAAAAAAATGTAGTACTGAATTTGTATTTTTCCCTCATAGCTTTGTGTTTGGTGATCCAAACTTTTGTGCCTTATTAACCAGACACGCATGCGCGTGCACACGCGCACACACACACACACACACACGCACGATTTGTTTAAAGTTCAAAGTAACCTTTAAAGGTATTGATTTCTCTCGCTGACAATTTATTAAAGAACATTCCTTAAACTAACGCTGTCAAAGGCACTTTTATTAACACTAGGACTAACATAAATTGAGAAAGGTTGAAACTCAAGCTAACAAATATAAAAACATTACTAATAGCTTTTATGTCTGTGCTGATAAAGAGATTAAACTATTAATATTTCCACAGGCTAAAACTTTAGCTTGCACCTTAGTCAAATTTTTCTTCCATTTATAAAGTATTGCTTTCTCAATAATCCAAGGTGAGATCATAGTTGCTATATGAATTTTTAAGTCATTTGAATATACAAGTTTCAATGTTTTCATGTATATTATTTTGTCCAACACTGAACACATTAATAGGTCAACTCAAGTAAAAATGAAATCTGTCAACATAGTAAATGCGAGAATTGGTAAGTATTAATAAGACCAATGCACCGGAATGATTATATGTATAGATATGTGTGTGTGTGTGTGTGTGTGTGTGTGTATATATGTGTGTGTGTATATATATATGTGTGTGTGTATATATATATGTGTGTGTATGTGTATATATATATGTATATAGACAATTCCTGAAGCTTTAGTTTACCAAAATGCTTTGAGGTAAACTGAAAGATAATGAGGTATTCGGCCTGGCACGGTGGCTCACTTCTGTAATCCCAGCACTTTTGGAGGCAAAGGAGAGACGATCCCTTGAATCCAGAGGTTGGAGGCGAGCTTAGGCAACTTGGGAAGACCCCATCTCTACTAAAAATACAAAAAAATTGGCCTGGCATAGTGATGTTCACCTGTAGTCCCAGCTAGTGGGATGCTGAGGTGGGAAGATCAACCTGAGCCCAGGAGGTCAAGGCTGCAGTGAGCCAAGATCGCATGACTGCACTCCAGCATGGGTGAAATGTAAGATCCTATGTTAAACACAAACAAAAAAACAATAAAAGCATCCAACAATGATGGCAAGCACAACTGCATTACTAGACTTAGTATTTAAATAGGTGAACAATTTCCTATTACCTCTAGGAAATTGAATTATGGAAGTGTGTGCATATGCCTGTGAAAGTGAAACTGATTGAAACCTACAGATAAGGGATTTGAATTATAATGAAAAAAAAAAAACTGTTTTCTAATTGCAGTTATTTTTACGTCCCTGCTTAGGCTTCCAAGAGAGAAAGTTTCAATTTTTTGATCAGAATCACTATCCTAACAAACTGGATTACTAGAAGCACTCTCACATCCTCAAATATTGATTGTCATAACATGCAGAAAGGAGGCAAATGTTGAAATGACTGACAAGTGAAGCATGGACAAGGGAATGTGACTAGAAGAGATCAGAGTAGTTGTGTACATAGCTAAAACAAAATAAGAAAAATTTCATACAAGTTAATTAAAATATAAAAATTATTATAAATTGTAAAAATGTCATAGTAGAAAGACAAAAATGCAAAGAATGTGCATCATACATTGTTTTAGATTAAGGAAATGTGATTACAGGATAATAATTACAGTCAGAAAAACAATCGTGCTGTGTATTAGGTATGATATTCCTTAATACACTTTTCAGTATTAACTTAGTCATTTAAAAAGTTATACTGGTTATCTTTAACTCACACTACCCTGTGAAAATATAATAGGGTGATTGAAATTTAGAAACTTTTGAATCAAAGGAAAAATTAAAGTTCATCATTACAGTGGAAAATTTTAATAAGTGAGTACTCTGGCCTGGAGCAGGACTATTTGAGTGATCATGTTAGCAACATTTCTATCTATAAATTAGAGAGGATTATAATAGTGCTAAAATAAAATCATTCAAGCAGAGTCTTGTTTTCATAAACAGTTCCACAAGCTGAGTGGTAATATCACATGTATATTATTGTTATGCCTGCAGAGCTGGGTGATAATGGTTTTGACAATAATTCATGGTATGTTTTAGGATGTAGAAGCAATAAAATATTGATCATCAGCATGTACAGCCATTATTCAGAAGATTAGATCAATTTATGAGAGGCAATAACTTGTAAACGAGTGACCTTCCAAAGGCCAAAAGTAATTCCAAGGTAAAATCCCTGCATATCTAGGGCTCCAGATGAATCCCATGTTACTAAAAGTCAGATATTTAAATAAAATATAGTTTGAGCTCAAATCTTACACTAAGTTATATGAGACTTGCTCCTCTACAAATATAACATTAAAAATATTGTAATTCTTCAATAGCGTATATGGGAAGTTAAAGATTTATAGTTAGATTTTTAAGATAAATACCTTTTAAACTCAAAGGGGGGAAAAAGCCAAGAAAGACAAAGTTTTAAATATACCATTTAGTGTGATCAAGTGAACTAATACATTTATAGAGGAAAGGACTTATCTAAAAACATGAAAATAAAGACAACAGATGACTGAACAAAAACTATTACTGCTTCTTCATTTGTGAAAATCAAAAAGAATGGCATTTAGTTTTCAAAACATAAAGTGATGTAAAATACTTCCTATGTGTTTTGATTCAGTGTAAACTTTTAAATTGATTCATTAGACAACTATCTACTTTAAATTATAATTAACTCATATATCTATGTGAGATAGTCTCAGTTATCAACACCCAGAGGAAGGAAAGTCTATTTAACTTACTTCTGGCAACAGCACTATAGTATCTACAGACAGACAATTCATTGAGCATTCTATTTTTTCTGGGCTTCCTAAATTTAATGTTCTCTTCTGGCCTTTTGTAATGATTTCAGAGACTAAATTGCTCAATACAAGTTTGCAGACTAGAAAAAAAAAATTAAGTGGAATTAAAAAACACTATTTAACATGGAAGTCAAACTGTAAAATGAAAAATACTATCCTTGTTTTAAAGTCATTCTTAATGAAAAGAAAAATTTATTAGTGGGTGCAGCGCACCAGCATGGCACATGTATACATAATGTAACTAACCTGCACATTGTGCACATGTACCCTAAAACTTAAAGTACAATAATAATAATAAAAGAAAAATTTATTTACAAAGATGTCAAGATCCATACATTAAATATTAAAGACCTTTGTTAAATATATACATTTGATACCTCAAAGAGAATAAATATTCAAAATTCAATGAAAACTAATCTTATCTGTCAGTATTTACATAAACATAACACATCCTTTTTCTGATTAGATGAAACACTTCAATCTGATGCACATAGTTATAAATAATAAACTGAATATTCATGACATAATTATAGAAATGTTAAATTTTACCTGTATTATATAATTTTTAACATTGCCATGTCAAATTAATAAAAACTAAGAGAAGGTGTGTTTAGGTAATATATATATAATAAACATGTATTGTCCATTTATAAAATTTTAGCTGAAACTATGCTTATCTTTTTTTAAGACAAATTATCACATGGCATCAAAGAGAAAAAGGATGGTCTTCTGAAATAATAAAATGCAATCTTAATCATAACTATTTTATGACATATGTAGATTATATCCTCAACTATGAAACCATTTGTCAAGTTAAGGAAGAAGTAGTAAAACAAGAGTAAAAGTTAGAAACATAGAAATTAATTTTTAAGCAAGAAAAACAGAGAAAGGCCAAATTCATAATATTCAGTTAAATATCTGAAATGTAATTTTTGTTTTTCTGGCAGAAAATAGACTGGTTTGGTCCGGGAGGCCTCGTACGTTTTTAAATCACACTGCATAGACCATGTCTTACCTAACCTACAATCAGATACGCAATATAAGATTAGAAAAATCCTGTGGTGGGTGCAGCGTGGAGGTAGAATGGATTAGCATAGTGTGGGAAACATTATAATAAGTTTTCGAGTCAGACAATGCAAAGTGGCTTCAAATCCTGGCTCTGCTCATTTTTAAAATATAAATAATACACATGTATTTTTTTGAGACAGGGTCTTGTTCTGCCATGCAAGCTGGAGTGCAGCGGCGAGATCATGGCTCACTGCAGCCTCCATCGGCTGGCTCAAGAGGTCCTCCTGCCTCGTCTTCCCGAGTGGCTGGGACTACAGGCATGTGTCACCATGGCTGGAAAATTTTTAAATATTTTGTAGAGATGAGAAACCCTATCTTGCCCATGCTGGCTGGTCTGGAACTCCTGGGATCAAGCAATCCTCCTTCTTCTGCCTCTCAAGTTCTGGGATGACAAAATTTTTTTTCACAATTTTTTAAGGGTTGAGTAAAATCAGTGTAGAAAACAAATAGTGAGTGCTCAATAAATGGAATTTATTGATAGTAAATGTATTATTTGTCACCAGAAATTAAAGATACAGTAGATTAGATATATGACAGTCTTCAATTATATTTATTATTCATTTATTACAGTTTGCTTACAAAATTTATCCTCAATTATCAATGGCTAATTAACGCAACAGTGAAGGCAGATTATTAAAACAAATATTCATATGGGACAATTCCACAAAGTAGTTCTTTAATTAAATATAAATGTGAAATTATCGATGGTTTAAAGAACATGACAAATTACCAACACATTCAATTAGGGGTAGCTTTCAGCTCCAGTTTAAACCAGTTCATTTTTTAATTTCTGCAGCCACCTCCAAACAATCTGCTGGTCACTTCATTAAAATTACCTTAACTCTTCAGTAAATACTTGCCAAAATGTCTCCTTTGATCAATCAAAAACCCAAGATATGATAATTTTAAAAATATTACAGCAAATTCAACTAAATAAAGACTCAATGAAGAGCAACAGGTAAAAACAATATGCTATGGAATTTGGCTTTGTTTGGTTAACCCATGGTGAACATGTATATATTACCTACGATCATGAAGCACAAATTGCAACTATCCAGGGAAACTCTAGACAGAGGATCACTTGTTTCCATTGAGTCCATGGATTTCCTGTACTCAAAGAATTGTACAATGAATATATCTTTAAAAAAATTTTAGGGTGGTTATGTTGAAGCAGGTCGCTTATAAGTGTTGTTGTCATATAATCAATTTTTCAAGTAATATGATATATTCATATAAAATAATGATATATCTCTGAGTCTATCAGACATTTCTGGGCTCAGTGTTTCCTCATTTTAATACAGCACTTTCAATATTTCCTCTGGTTCCATTGCTTCTAATCTTTCAACTGGATCACGCGTTTACATACATTCTACTTGTCCACATTACTATCTGTTTGTGTTTTTCGTGCACCTAACCCTTTTCCTAGCTTTTATTCCAATTTAATGACTCTTGAAATTTTGCTACCATAAATTTTGCTACCATAAATTTTGCTACCATAAATACTATAAAATTTTATTTTTCTTTTTTTAGTAGTCAATCAAAACATACTATAAATTAATAGCCTAACATAACTAATATCATCATAAAATTCAATTAAGTCAATTAAGTCCAGTGGCAATTCCGCTTACCAAGTATTATTGTAGTCATCTTTACTTTTACTTTTTATTGTTTACTTTAATCAGACTGCATATATACATCTAAGGTTATCTAACACTATGTTTTGTTTGTTTCCATTAATAATTTCTTTAGTTGATATTTGTGGATCTGTGACTTTTACATCAAGTTAGTACACTCAGGTTTACCATATAATAAATTTAATTAAATGTATCCCTTAATAAACTATAGTTTTATGTTCCACCTGTAAATCAAAGTGCATTATGACATATCATGATAGTGAATCAAATTTTATTTATAATTGAACTCCTCCAAAAGTCACAATCAACTAAACACAAACAAAAAAATTATGCTTTTTTAAAACAGACAAAATAAAACTAAAAACATAACTTCCTACCAGACAGCAACAAACCAAACTTTCTCTTGGCCAATTCTAGTAAACATTTCAATATCTCATTACATGTTTCCTTAGACCACTGATTTTCAAATATTTTTTTGCAATCAGCATACATTTTCTGTCTTTGTGTTTTTAAACAAGGAAATGAAAACAAATATATATATATAACAAATATATATATAAATATATATAACAAATATATAAATATATATATAACAAATATATATAAATATATATAACATATATATAAATATATATATAACAGATATATATATATAACAAATATATATAAATATATATAACAAATATATATAAATATATATAACAAATATATATATAAATATATATAACAAATATATATAAATATATATATAACATATATATAAATATATATAACCAATATATATAAATATGTATATAACAAATATATATAAATATAGATAACAAATATATATAAATATAGATAACAAATATATATATAAATATATATATAACAAATATATATAAATATATATAACAAATACATATATAAATATATATAACAAATATATAAATATATATAACAAATATATATAAATATATATAACAAATATATATAAATATATATAACAAATATATATAAATATATATAACAAATTTTATATATATATATAATTTTCTTGTTGTAAAGTACTTCACCAACACTGTAGAAACAGAGGAAAATTCTCCTTATACCAAGATGCCTAAAGGAAAAAATGTTAGTGAATAGGCATTCTTCTATTTGTTTCATGGCATTCTTCCAAGTACTAGATTATTTTTGTGACATATTTAAGTGTTTTAACATAGTCATCTTGCTAAACAATCTCGTAATAATTACAATAAAATCATCATTGTAGTCTAAAAATATATCACAGTGTTTACAACAAGCATTCACAATTGTCATATGTTTCCCTTGTTTGCCCTGAAGCATCATGTCACTGTTTGAGTAGAACCAACAGTTGTAACCTGGCTCTCTTACATAACTCCAAGGCAAATTCCTACATATTCTGTTGAATTTTAGTTATTTTCTTTGATTTCTTTGATTTGAATTTGATGTGAAGTTATATCACATCTGTTTGTCATAACATATTATGACTTCTCTATACAGCTTAAAATTTTCTCTCACTAAATACTGTATCACCTGACATTATACATTGAATAGTCTGCTGAGACATTTGAACGGGGTTAAATACAGTATGTAAGACCCGCTATTCTGAAGAAGTTAATTATATTTATATTCATTAACCACATTAAAATTTATCTCTTGCATGCCATGATGTGTTTTCTTTTAACTCCTCCATGAATCTGGAGCAATTCTCCTTTCCAAACATTCTATTTTCAGTCATTGACTTCATCATCCAGGCTCAAAATCAGCAGATAATCTTTCACCCATCTACAATTTTCAATCCTGTCCATATTTCCAAAATCTTACCAGTATATACGTTTTAAAAGTAATAATACCTACTCTTTATTCATTGCCTTCAATATACAGGACATTGTATTAGATACTTTACAATCTTTATTTAAACTGTACACCACCAGCACAAAGTAAATATTGTCTAGTTTAAGAAAACAAAACAAAGAAAAAAAAATCATTTCAAGTTTCCCAAGTTTAAACATTTCACACGGCTGGTAGAAGTATGACACTAAAACCAATGCTTTTGGTTAACATTGCCCAGTTTATTTGCTGTAAATAAAGTAATCTGTTAAAATGGATGATCATATACACACTTGGTGAAAGCTTACAAAAATGAAATGGGGAAAAAAGGTAGTTCATCTTCAAAAGAGACAGCTGGGTACAAATAGAAAATGAATTCAGAAAAAGATTAATTCTAAACCTTGTGTTTGAAACTTGAATAAATCATCTGCCCTATGGTCATTATAAATTAGTTCCAGATTATTCTATAGTTTGTAGAGCTGCTTCTGTGAACATCCAGAGAACGTTAACAATTTGGCCAACATCGACTTGTTCCATCTATAACAATAACACTTCTGAATTGGCCCACCTATCCTCATCAAACTCCTTGTTTCTTAAACATCTTTTCTTTTTACATAAATTGTCTCTGGTCTATGTTTTCAATCGTAATTTTTGTTTGTCCTGTTTTAACTATATTTAATATTTTAAGACTTCAAGACTGAATTTTGTGATTACACAATACATAGTTTACAATTAACATGTAAAATAAAAAAATGTTATTTGTAATGTTGACAAAAATAATAGGAATATTACCATTTTCACATTTGATTCTCATTCCACACATCAGGGCTACAAAAGATATTCTTTTTAGCGTCATTTATTTACACTGAAGACATTACAAGGGGGCTTTTATTCTACATGTTCATGTCTTATGTAAACTATATTATGTAAAAAGAGAAAATATTAAGTATTTAAAATTCTTGGGAATAAATCTAAGTGACCTTGTGTTTAGCGAAGAGTTTTTGGTATAACACCAAAAGCATGATCCATGAAATAAGCAAAATTGATATATTGGACTTCATTGAAATGAAAAAACTTCTGCCCTGCAAAAGGCAATGTAAGGAGGATAAAGATATAAGGTAAATACTGGAAGAAAATATTTGCTAAAAAGGTATTTGGATAAAGGATTTGAATGCCAAATTTACAAAGAACTGGCTGGGCGTGGTGGGACATACCTGTAATCCCAGCACTATGGGAGGCCAAGGCGGGCAGGTCACTTGAGGTCAAGAATTTGAGACCAGTCTGACCAACATGAAGAAATCCTGTCTTTACTAAAAACACACACACACACACACACACACACACACACACACACACACAAAATTGCTGGGCATGGTGGCGGGAGCCTGTAATCCCTGCTACTCAAGAGGCTGATGCAGGAGAATCGCTTGAACTCGGGAGGCAGAGGTTGCAGTGAGCGGAGAGCGCGCCACCGCCCTCCAGCCTGGAAGACAGAGGGAGACTCTGTCTCAAAACAAAAAAACAAAAAACAAAAAAACCCAAAAAACAAAAAACTCTTAATAAGTAGACAACCAACCCCCCAAAAAGTGGGCAAAAAGTCTGAACAAATAAATACCTCACCAAAGAACAAATACAGATGACACATAAACTTAATAATATTATATACAATTAAGGAATTAAAAATTTAAATCACGAGATACTACTTACACATCTATTAGATAGCTAAAATCCCAAACACTGACAACACCAATTTCTCAGAAAGATATAGAGCAACAGGAACTTTTATACATTACTTGCAGGTATGAAAAATGATACATAAACAGTTTGACAGTCTTATAAAGCTAAACTTAGTCTTACAATAAAAGTATTTTGGTGGAAAAATACAATAAAACTAAAGTTGTAAGTGTATGATGCCAAAAATAAGATTCAATGAAACAAGTTTCACTTTATTAGCAAAATTGATTCAGTGAATATAATCAACATATTAGTCAGTTGCTGGTTGATTAAGGAGTAATATTGCCTTCTCATTAGTATTGGTCAATTTTTATTATATCCACCATTTAATTGGGAAATACTTAGCACTATTTAATTGACAAATCTCCTGTCTGTATATAATTATGTTTTATTACAGTTTTGAAAGTAAAGTATAATAAAGTCAGTTGTTGTTATTCAATTGACATTACTTAGACCCAGCAAACTTGTGGTGAAACAGCACAGTGTCTACTGGAGCTATATTTTTTCTACCCAGAATGCCTGCAGAAAAAATGTATACAGCTGCCTAATAATCATAATATGCATTTCAGCTCAGTGCATACTAAAAAATTTCCTGTCACGATGGTAAGATTTTAAGAGAATTTGCTTGGTTTTCTAATGAACAGGTTTCTGAACCTGAGAAAGACACTTCCATTTGGAAGAAAAAAGTGAGCTTGTAAATGGATGAATTTTAACCACAATTGTATCACTATACTACATTTTTCATTATGTTTGCCACGTTTGTGGCTTTAAAATAATAATCTATTAAGAACTAGTTGCCAGTGAACATTCGTACGCTTATGTTTAATAGCTTTGAGGAGCTTGCGGATTATGTCAGCTCAATTTCCCTCTATATATTGTATTTTATCAATACAAAGACCCTTCCTTAAAAAACATTTTGACTCTGAAGTCTTATATTAGATGGCATCTTGCAATCACTATGGGCCAGGCAGTAATTTTGATGTGACTGGCATTGACTGTGATGTGATTACTTGGTCATAACTGTTCATATTGTCATTTCAGTTATGTGCATTATTAGGAATACACAAGTTGAGCTTAATTGTCATTTAAAATGTATTCTATAATTCCAGTATAATTGAAAATTGTCGGTAAATGTTATTGTTATTTGAAGCTTAGAAACAAAATTTCAGCCTTAGATTTGACATTTGTGAAGGAAATATTTATTGTTCAAGGGATGGTCACAGACTTACAGGTTCTTGTGAAGCAGAAATTATGCTACTTAAGAAAGGAAGACACCCTTAGGTAGAAGAAAGTGTCTATTTCCTGAGAAATTTCAAAAGAGTTGCTTGTCATCTACCAAACTAGATGCAAGAGAAATTGCCAAGTCTTTTGGAAAGGATGAAAGAAACTTCAAAGCAATGAGAGATTGGTCCGACTAATGTATTACATGGAAGTATCCTTAACTTACTGTGTCATGGGTTAATTGGCAGTTATATTCTTTTCTTGGCCATACATAATGATGCATCTTAGAATCATTGTCTTGTATTCAGTTTATTAAAAGAACATGGAATCAGCTTTCTTTAAATTATTAAAGAAAAGTAACACAACTTTTTACAGTAACTATCTAGAAGCCTGAATTTCTCAACATATTAGAAAAGAAAAAGGCAAGAAAAGAAATAAAATGTGCAGTGAAAGAGATAGGAAAAAAGTGATTAGAGTCACAAAGTTACGAGGAAAACCTATGGCTCCAGTGAGCAATGATACCTCATGGACAAGGGCAGCAGCACAGGGGATGACTTAGCTCCTCATTCCAGTTCATTGTATTAGTGATGCTATGCTTGTATGCCTCTGCTTGAGTTGCATGTCAAGCTAAGAACTTAAACAAGATAAAACATTGAAATAAAGTTGAAAGGCCATTTAGATGGAAAAATGATAAATTATATATTCTATAGAGTTATTTTCATATACAAGGAATTCAGTCATTTGTGTAGATACATCGCCCTACTAACCTGGTAATTCAGAGAATGACTATTAACACTGATGGAAAAATGTCATGTCATAATAAATCTTATCCCAGCCAGGCTCAGTGGCTCATGCCTGTAATCCCAGCACTTTGAGAGGCCTAAGCTGGCAGATCACATGAGGCCAGGATTTTGACTCCAGCCTGACAAACGTGGTGAAACCCTTTCTCTACTAAAAACAAAAAAAAATTAGCCAGGCATGGTGGTGCACATCTGTAATTTCAGCTATTCGGGAGGCGGAGGCAGGAGAATCACTTGGACCCTTGAGCCCAGGAGGCAAAGGTTGCAGTGAGCCGAGATCACACCATTGCACTCCAGCCTGGGCAACAGAGCGAGACTCTGTGTCAATAAATAAATAAATAAACACACAAACAAATAAATAAATAAAATAAATAAAATAATCATAAATCTTATCCTCCTTTTAAGAGAATAAAAGTTTGTTACTTTATATCAGCTTGTGTATATTAACTAGATGTATATAAGGAATTTAAAATGAAAACATACTGTTTTATATATAAATGAATTTAAATATATTCACTGATATTTTATATATATGTACATCCGCACACCCATATATTGTGACTATGTATTTACGTAAGTATGTGTCACTATATACATGTGGTCACATCCTTCAAAATTTGTAGTGGACACTCTCTTGGGAAGAAGGCCAGTTACAATACGTTTTTATATTTTCAAGGCCCATACATTCAACTTCTTCTCAAGTTTTTATATACATTTCTCATTTTAATAGTCAAGAATACTCATTTTATTTATGAATTATTGATTCAGCAATGGAAACGTTTTCCAAAGCAATTCTTCCACGTGAAATCAGAGCACAGGCTTGTTTATATAACAAAGGATACATGCACGTGGCAAGAGGAAGAACACAAACAATGAGAGAAAGCAGAATAAATGAAAGCTCACTAGGAAATATAGAAAAAATAGTTGAATGAAGTAATGACAGTGTCTCTGGAAATAGTTTTGTTTTTGTTTTTGTCTTGTTTTATTTATTTTATTTTTTTTACCAAGGCTTTCTCTACCCTCAGGCACAATTACAACAGCTGTACCATATAGCCTCCATCAGTCATCATCTAGGTTAGCGCCTCTTTCTATTAACCAAGCAATAGAGGAAAAAAATTACTTATACCCGTCCATATGAGGCACTCTGTTTGCTGCAATGCATTCTGATGGCTTAATTAGGTGGACCGTGTGGCACGTGGGGTTTTTCTATCCAGTTTAATCACAAAGGCCATATCATCAAAGTAGAATAATCCTGGTCTCTACAGCTAGATTACAAATACGAGTTTCTTCATTGAGTATCTTGAGGCTGATGTGTCTGTTAGTTTGCTTCCATCTACTTAAACAATTAAATAAAGCTTCACATTAGAAGACCAAGGCTAATAAAGAGACACAGTACCGAAGTACAGCTGGCAATTTCTCTAGTTATTAAGATCTCATCTTCAACTGATTGATAGTCTCTAGAAAGCAACTAACATGCTATTTTTTCCCTTAAGTATTCGTTCTCTTTCAAGGCTTGCCACTTCTACTGACAGAATTTCCAATCATTTGTAATACCACACACAAATTTATACATATAAACACACACAGATATGTATATATTTAAGTAAAAGCTCAAGAAACATATAGAATGAAAGAACTTTAAAAAAATTACTGTTTCAATAAACAAATACAGGGTACAAATCTTAAGCAATATATTTACATTGAAAGAACAAATCATATATATACAACAAATATGTTTGTAGTCATTTATTCCAGTTTGGTTGTAATATTATTCTTCTGAGTGTTACTTTTAACTTGGTTAATTGTCTAGAATATTCTACTAGTGTTAATATCTATACAAGGAACAAAGTAAAGAATATATACATATGCACACATATATATCTATTTGTGTATGGTAAGTTTAAGTGGCATTTTCAGTTTATTATGAATTTAAGTTAATCAAGAAATGTAAACCAAATACAGGTTTTAAAATCAAAAAGAAATCCTATAACTATCATGCTCATATATTTTCTATACAATATTTAGAATCTAATATAATTTATAATCTATGATATTTATATTCTGTTATTCCTTTTTCATCTCTATGGTCCTATTCAAATGTTGCCATATATTTTTATGCAACCTCTTCTTATATATTCATTCATCAACAAACATTCAGTGAATAATTTTTAGCTCCCCCTTACTCTTTTAGAGATCAAGAACCTATCTGAATAACTCCAGAAGTTTTTTTCTATATTCTATTATAATAATAATTTATTGTAATTAGACAATTTGATGTGTAATTTGGTTTTTAATAGTTTTCATTCACAGAGAAGGAAAACAAAAGAGGACACCAAGATTGACTATCTCATTGACACGGTCTCCTCCAAATTTACAAGAGAAACTTGCAACAGTCAGTTTTAAATAAACATTTGTTAAATTAATAAATGAGAATAGATAAACTGAATTTACCACTTTTCTACTTGAATCACTCTTCTAAAATATAATCTTATTAGGTTACTCTCATTTAAACTCTCTCATTCCTTCCTATTGTCCAGAGTTTACAGATAAAGCTGCCCAGCCAAGTACATATGGCTCCTCCAGATTTGAACTTTGTCTCTTTCTGAGAACATTTCCAAACATTTTTCAATATATATCTTTACTTTCTACCAACCAAATAAGTTCTCATCTTATACACTTAGCACTGCACCTTGGCATGAGCCTGGGATTCTCTTTCCTACTCACCCCTTTTCAACCTTGTAAAACTCCTAAAGCTATAGTGTAATAAACAGCAAGCTATTTATTAGGCACCTAATAAATATGAGTGTTTCAATGGTTTATTATCTGCTTGTTTACAAGATCTGTGAAGTCTTTCATGCCCTCCTCAAGTTTTTACTCTGGGTTCTAGTGCACATTTGGCAAAAAGTCCTATTAACATCTAAGACAAGACCTCATCCTTGCTAACGTGTATGTTTTCTCCTCTATAAAATACTTATGGATAGTGGTCATTCTAATTAATATGGTGTTCCTATTCTGAACAGTTTTCTTTAAACTTAGTGATTAAGTTTTTAGTTACAAGCCATTAAGTTTATTATGTAGTTATTAAGTTTGAATTAACTACTCTGTTGACATCATATCTATTCTCAAGGGGAAAAAGAATGTGAGGACAATGACTCTTACATATGCCATAATGATTAACTTCGAATACTTAAATTTGAGGAAATGTGTCTAAGGGTGGATATTTAGTTCATATTATCTACAAATTATGATTTTTCTTTTCATGAAATTGAGTTTTAATGAAGGACTATAGTACAGCAGATAAATATAATCTCTGCCCATTTATTCATGAATTCTGGAGAAATATCTGAAAAAGATATTTCTTCCTAAGGAAGAAGAAAATGATGAGATCATAAAGAAACCATCTATAAATGTACCCATTTGGAAAAGATCTTGAATCTTTCTTGAGTATCCAAGAAGCTGTAATATAATTGTAATATTGATTTAAACAAAATGTAGCATAAATTAAGAGACATTTGGTATCATTAATCTACTAGTGTTTTTTTTAAAGATATCCACATTAGCATAGGAAATACAAATGATGTATGAGAGTACTCTTGTTCTAAGCAAAATGATGATCACAACGATGAACTATGCAAGTAATTTTAACAACTGTGAATTGCATGTGCACATAGCTGGTCATCATATAAAATGTAAATTTAAAACAGAAGAATGCACCTTTCGGAGCAGAGCATTACCTTATCTGAAGAACATTTCTATTGACTCTAGATATTGCCAAGGTATAGTGTTTCCTCACTCAGGCTGAATATAACAGAACCCAAACCAAAACAAAGAAAAAAGTAATTGAAAAGATAAAACATTCTGTCATTTTTTACAAACCCATATATTTAACAATTTATTGCTAACAATTTAGAAATTAATTCAAATAAGCTCTCAACCTGGCCTTCACACAAATACAGTCTGTATCATTATTTCACATCGGTGAAAGAATGGATAGATAGAGTCTGAGTCAAGATGAACTTATTTTATCTATATGTGTACATATATCATATATGCATATATTAATAGATATACATGCATATGTTACATAGGTACATGTAATATATATATATATATATATATATATTACTACATATATATATATGCTGTTACCTGGACAGATCCCTAAAGTACTGTTGAGCAGTTTTGTGCAGAACACAAATAAATAGGAACTAAGTAACTGACTTCCATTTCTCACCTTTGGGGAGAGTTTTATTTTCTTAAAACAAACAAAATAACAAACCAAGGAAGAAAGTGCTTGCTCAGGTATTTAAAAAATGATTGACACTATGCTTGATTACTAAATCAATGAGCAGAGTGGGAGGAAAATAAATAAATTCATCAAATCACAGGAGTCTAACAGTAGATAAATGTCCTAAGTATGTAACAAGAGACCTCCATGATTTGTAGGTGGGTGAGTGTGTGTGTGTGTGTGTGTGTGTGTGTATGTTCATACACACACACACACATACACGTACACACATACACACACTCACATACACATGCAATGTGATTAGGGATGTGGGGAATGTGATTAGAGATGAGCCCTCTGCAACCTTCACTAAGCACCACAAGCAGAAGATCTCTTTCATGGGATCCATTAACCCACACCTGGCACTAGCTCATTTAACTTTGCAGAATGATGGGGTATAGGAAACACAGCAAGTCACTATCAAGTGAGTCATCAGCAAGAGAACACCCACCTGACAGCTTTTTGATCTGGTTAAGTCCATTATTATTGTTGCTAAAATTATACTATAAAAAGTAACACTCAGAGAATATTTGATTTATCTTATATTATGATTTTCTTCTATGAGATTTATATAATGTGTAAAGGTAAGTTTTTGTTACATTTTATTTGTAGTGACTATTGTTTTTAGCATCACATTTGGGCATAAGTCATGTTGATATCAACATACTTTTAAGATAATTTTATGGAAAAAGGGGCCCATAAAGGCAAAATTGTCTAAGGTTTCTGTAAGTCATAATACAGCCATGGTTATTAGTTTCTTTTTATAGAATATTTGCATAATTAACATATTATTCTAGTTTATTATAAAAGTCCAGCTACTTAATATCTGAATTAAGATTTTACTAACGCTTTGACAAAATTTAGGGGGAATTGTACCCACTAGGCAAACTTAACTTTGAATTTTGTAAAGTCACTTTCAATAATATAATTTAAAACCCACTGATCTGCTTATTAGTTCAGTGGCTTTGTGTATTGAGCTAATGCCTTTCATCCAACAGGATATATTATGTTTTTCAATCTAGAAATATTTATTATGAGATGAAAATAACAAGAAACATAAGCAAAACCAAAGCGAAATAAACCAGTAGTGGCATCAAATCTGCTCCTCCAAATCCTTGCAACATAGAAAACAAGTATCTCCAAATAACTTTTTCCCTTTGTCATGGAAATCTGTCCTCAGAGAATAAACATTCTTTAAGTGTACTCAACATTAAAATAAAATCAACTCAAATGTCTAAAGCAGAGGTTCTCAAATTTTCTGCCTGTTAGATAATTTGTAGATATCTGTAGAGCAGCGCAAACTCTTTATTTCAGTGATTCTGCCATGGGCCCTGGGAATCTTTACTTTTAAGAAGCATCTCAGGTGCTTCTGAATGTTTTTCAAAATAATTGACTACTTTCTAAATAGTCAGTGCAGTTAAAAAATTGAACTGTTGCCTATGAACAAGCAATCTCTACAGGTTTTAAATGACATATATTTTCCTAATATATGATTCTTCGCCATAGAAACTAATCACAAATATTGGAAAAAAAATACCTGTGGATCATAAACTTTGTAAGAAGCACGCATGCAACATTACTTGTTAAATAAAGTATCCCGAAAGAAATTCCCAAATATTCTGTCACATTTAGATTTCTGGAATTCATTTACTTTCAATTTGTTTTCACATGTCAAAGGAGATTTTTTAAAATCTGAAATAAATCCTCAAGTCTATTCAAAATGTATTGAGCATATGAAAGCAAAAACAAAAACAAAACTTAGAAATACATGGGGGTTGTATGTATATTCATTGTAATTTCTAAAATTTTGCATAAGGAATTCTTTTCACAATTTATAATCTATTTATGGATGATTCAGACCCAGTTAACAGCTCTTTTCAGTTATCTTTTGTGGGGTATAACAGCAAGATACTGAAGTGGTGGTCAATGGATGGGTGGGGCAGATAAGCAGTAAATCATTTCAGAAAATTTCACACTCCAGGCTTGTTGACATGAGTCAGGGACAAGGAAATAACCCAGTCAGCACTTGCATCTTTAATGAAGGACAACACTGCTGCACATTTAGAGTATGGAGAGGAAAAGATAAATCATGCTTAACTTTAAAGTGTTCTGTCTGATTTATTCAAATAGAAATACAACCTTGTGGGTTTTTCTTCATGTATTTTCATTTAAAATATTGCAATATAAACCTAGAACTCAATTTTATTTTTTTTTACCATAGAGGTTTTTTAATTTTTTAATTAAATTCCACTATATGTGAAATATATGCTTTAATAACAGATCATTTTACATTTGCTTTTCATTGTCTTCCTTACATCCGTGGCAATAAAAGGTAGATGCTTAAAATGTAAAGATTAGTATCTGTCAGATTCCTTTCCTAGCAGAAATTAAGTCAAGACGTGGCATAGTCCAGATACAGCATGCCTCAAGAGATAACCTCACATGGTTTAAGAATATATTTCATTTGTCAATTAGAGATGAGGTAAATTAACATGAAAAACATCTACCAGTGGTTTTCATAAAAAAGAGGTGGGCTTTAATGGGCTCAACATGCAATGAAAGCAACAATTCAATGGCTGGCAAAGCCCAGTTATTCTTAGAATCCATTTCTTAATTATTTCTTTTCTCTAAAACAGTTTATTTTCAACAATAAGAGTATTCCTTGATTTACTAAATACAAGTAATTTGTTTGCCTTCTCATATACCAACCATTTCATTTGCAATATTATGAAACATAATAGCAGTTTTAAAAATGTATTATACAGGGAGACAAAATGAAAAATGAAAAAAAAAATTGAGCTGGGCAATCCATCAGTTCCAGACATTACATTCAAATATTTTAATATTTACTTACACCCAGTAACCTAGCCACAGCTTGAAGTGAAAACACTTTATTGTTGTGGTAATAAAATAACTGGCATTGAGCCAATGTTTTAATTGCTCTTTTCTTTTGTACCCTGAGAAGTCTTGTTCCTGTAGACACCTTGGCTGATGATAACTCACTGAGTCAAGTACTACAGAATATAAAATTCTCCTTATTTTTTTAGAAGCATGTTACATTTTTTTCATTTGTCTGATTTCCTTATCTGATTGTTTATTATTAGAAATACATTTCTGATGAAGGAGATTTTTTTTCTTAAGAGAAAGAGTGGAAAAAATCAGTTGAATAAGAAATTATGTTTTTTTTAAAAGACACTAATATTTTGCCTTCAAAGCTAATCCAGTTTTTGCTTCCTCTGAGATATGCTCAATTCAATCCAGATCCAAGGTCTCTAATGAACATACTAAAGCTAGAAAAACAATTAGAAGAATCAAGACTTCTCATCATTCTGAGATTAATGAAAGGAGGGGACACTCTAAGGCCAATGAGTTCCTTCAGTAGATTTTCTCCCTAGCCTGAAGCCAGTGCTCCTAGATGGAGGCAGTTATGAAAATGACTTCCACTCTGCAGGTGTTCTTTTTGAAAAGCTAACAGCATATTTCTTTTGACAGGTAAATTACTTTGAAATGTTTCTTGAACTCTGTAGTCCTGAAAAAAAAGGCATCTAACTGTATGCATCCCATTTGAGGTTACCCTTATTTCTTTTTAAGACAGTGTTGCCTCAAAATGGGCCCTGAGTAATCAATTTGTGCGGTGAATTTTTTAACTAACTGATAACCAAACTATCACCTTTGTAACCAATGTACATATTAAATTAGACAATGAAGTCGTATACTGTAGATTTACAAGTATTTGCATGTAAAATAGTAATGACAGAGGTTTGACAGCTTTTGCACCTAAGCGTTCAAGTTGATTTTTCTTCTCTAAAATTATGCAATATCCTTTTGAATAAAAAGGTAACATTTTTTATTCCCTAGATAAACCTTGTACCTTCCCACCATATATATTCATACATGCATTCCTTCTTCCACTAGACAGACACAGGTGGTTCAAACCTCACTTAACAATTTTGAATTTTGATATCCTGCTCAATAACTGTATCATGGACTAAATTTGTTGACCTGTAGGAGTTATTAGCTGGCCATACAGTTTAATGGGAATTATACCTAGGCTGTATCTGTATCTGTGTCTATCTATAGTTGTAGTTTTAAAAACACTTTCATATAAGTATCCTCTTTATTCTGACAATTTACAAAACAGTGAATTAATTTGTACCTATATTTGCATTTTCTATATATTTAAGAAATGTATGATGTTTTCTTTGATTCATACACTAATCTTAATACTCAACAGAGTTGTGGCAAGAGAAGGGAATATAGGAACAGGCTAAAATAAGAATACGTAGTAATTTTAGTGGGCTAACCTAATTTGATACAAATCATTAAATGTATTTTATTACAACAGACTTAAAGTTTCTGTATTCTTCAATCATGTGAAAATGTTTTTAACAGATATATAAATCATTTGTTTTTGTTTACAACTCCCTTATCTTCTAGGTCAAAATGTCAATCTTAACCCAGCACAGGGAAAAATTGAAGCCCCAGGATTTTTTGAAATCTTTGATTTTGTGTGGATGAACATGACAAGTTACATATAGTTGCTGAATATCAAAATAAATATAACCATAACATAAATACAGACAAAGTTTCATAGTATGGTCTAACAAAACATGGTATGTTATTCTTTTATGAATAACTTGGCTAAATTTTGACATATTAGTTGTATTCAAATTAACTTCAATTGTTTCTGTCTTACCTAAGAGGAAACTTAAAATTATATTTTCATTAGTACATCAATATATTTTTGTATTTTCTGCTACCATACATTGGACCTAATTAATTCCTATTAAAACAGTATAAGTAAAGCATTTTAAAGAAATGCTATTCTATACCATTAATGAAATTATGACTTCAAGGAAATAGGTTTCTAACTTCACCCAAAACAGTGGTAACTATGGTAGCAACACAGCAGCATGTTGCTTTTTTATTCTTACATTGTTCAGCCTGTTAATTAACATGTTACTACGCTAAGAAATGTCAGTTTTCAATGTTTCACTTTTCTGATGTTCCTTTTCTATGGTACCGACATGCACTGTGGCTTAGGTTTCCTTTGTGTGTTACACACCTTTTCCCTACTGTAATTTTTCTTCTGCCACTCTAATTCACTTAGTTAATATAACACTCCTTACATGTTTCAGCACAGTGACTTTTTCTCAATGTTCTGATTCTCTTGGGAATTAATAAAGTGCTCTCTATTCAAGAATAATAATTTGACCCCTGAAATTGATCAGCACTCATACTCAAGAAGACATTCACACAGACTTACAAGTTCCAAAGAAAATGAACAAACTTGATTTGCAACACACACAATAAAAAGTGAATTTAAAGCAAAGAGGGAATACTGGTTAAGTATTGATGAAACAAATGCACAGCACTTACCTGGAATAAGCTGGGCCAGAAACAGGTGATTTGGGGATAAGCTGAGGAGTGATATCATGACCAAAAAAGGAACATGTTTCCATTTCATCTTTGTCCCTTCCTTGCATTACAACCAGCCAGTGACAGACAATGTGTTATCTGGGGAGATTAAAAAAATATTATTTTGTAATGGTTAGCTATGCTGAGAAACAATTATTTTGTGAAACATTGCAGTTCAAATAGATTTGAAATGTCATTTTTTGAAATAATGAAACAAAATTATTACATAACTAAAATGAATATGAATTGTATAGATATATTTCATGATACACATTTCAAACAAATGTGGTATTTATTAATTTTGAAAACTCATTTTCAAGTTAGATATTAATCATAAATGATTCCTGGTTTTCTCTATTTTTTAGAGGATGCCAGATAAGTGATTTTTGCTTTGATTTCCCACCAATTTAGTTGGAACACTCTCATCACATTTAGAAAACTGAAATTAATCATTCATTAAACAAATATTTACAAACAATTTATAATGAGTCAAGCACTATGCTGCTTTGGTGATATAGCAGAAAAAAACAAAAAACTTGCTCTTCACCCAGGTGCATAAACACCTTGAGGCCACTTTAATTATGTGAATTCACAAACAGATTTTAAAAATTACCAAGTGGTCTATTCTGAATATGGCAGAGAAACATAAGCTAGTGTCCTTGTAAAAAAACAAAGCTTATAATATTTGGGAACTTCTTAAGAGATAATAACAAATGACAGCACAAAGCTACAAAAATATATGCAGGTGACTGGTTAATTAATTTTGCCAGGGAGAATTGATCAAGCTTATATGGAAGAAGTGGCATTTTGAGATATGAGATAATATCCAATAAGTGGAAAATAAAACAATACTATTTAGAGATAACCATATAACCAAATTTTCAAAGTAAGATGGTATGTATATACATAAATTTCATGGTATATTTATTTATATATCAATTTTATCATAGATAGGTAGATAGATGATAGATAGATAGATAGATATAGATCTATTCCCATGATATAATGACATATTTAGGCTATTATAAGGAGAGTAGTTGTTTGGCTGGATGTTGGGGTTTGCCAGAATGTAATGTGATGGGGAACTTAAAAAATAAACTGGGGCAAGTAATGCAGGTAATGAGGAGCCACTGAGATTTTAATAATAGATTATACAATGATCTAAATAATTTAGAAGATAACTCTGGTAGGAATAGACAATAGACTTGGCAGTACTTGACAAATTTTAGATTTGCGAGTTGGGAAGTGGAAAGACTTAATCTTTTAACAATAGTTTTACTATTCAGTCAAAAATAGATAAACAAACCTAGTACTATATAAAAAGTAATTTGTCCACCTCAATGAAGTTCTAACAGTTATTTTTGTGACACTCAGAATAACAAATTGAAAAAAAGGTTACTAAATTATTGCTGTAGGTTAACTGGACATAGCTATTTTGTCTATTTGAGTTGAGCTGTCCTTATTGTATGACTTACCAAAGCAGAGTTAATTGCTAAGTTTCCCCTAGCAAAGCTGTCTAATCCTCTTGCCAGACAGCTATAATCACCTGACTTTACTTGAGATATTTGGAGATTATTTCCTCTCTCTAAATTTTTCTGTAAGCAACTTTGATCTGAGCTAGAAACTTGCCTCAAAGAATATACTTGGTTACTGTAGTTTCATATTTATTGCCTCACTTCTTTGTTTTGGGGTTAATGTTCTTGTAACTCTCCTTACCCTAGTATATCACTCATCACTGATATTATATAACTACATTATAAACCTAGATTAATATTTTTACTCTTTAATCCATACTATGCAGTTATTAGTTTGTCCAAAAGCTCTTTTACAGAGTTATCCATTCAATGTTTTGGCTTATGATCACATTCCTCAGTGAAGTATAAATGATTTGTTCCTCCAGAGAAAATGTATAAGTATATTGTGTACTGGTCATTTCTGCTTGGCTGGCTTTTGATATAACAGTTGCCCTATCTTCTTGGTTTCTGCTTGCCTAAGGAGTTTCTCAGATTCCTCTTCTCTCTAATTGATTACTGAGTGTCCTAGACATAGAGTCCTGTTTGGAAAAAACCCTAGACCTCTGATTTCTTAAATGTGTATAAGCAGTTGTGTCTTAGCTCTTGATGTAAATAAAAACATGTATGAATCTCAAGGCTATTTAGAACTTGCTTATTACTTAAAAATTTAGAAGGATTATATTTGTTAAATGATATTTCATAGTACATTAATTGAAAATGAGATTTTTGTATCTGTGGCTAATTACATTTTAATTGTCATTTATTAATAGCCATATATAGCTTATTTGTAGCAGGCAGCTATTGATAAAATAAACAGCCTAATCAAACATGCACATTTTCACCTTAAAAAGAATGCAATAATTATAAGAAATTAAACCTGAAAGTAGAAACACTTATTATAATTGATTGAATTCCCCCAAGTTATATTATTCAACAGGCAGATATTATTTCAAATATCTGTAAGGTATTACGATTAATATTCCTCAAATAAATTTTCATGATCTAGGACTAGTTCTGTGAATTTATGTAGTAAGTGGCTAAAAACATAATATGATTTTTAAGGTAGTACCCAGAAATCAGAAATTATGAATCAGAAATGGGAATTGCATTATTAGCTATTGTACACTTATCATTTCAGTACTTTGAAGTTTTGGTTTGCTTTTAATAGATTTTACCTTTTACAGTAGCTTTAGGTTTAGAGAAAAATTGAGTGGAAGGTAAAGAGATTTCTCATTCACTTCCTTCCCTGACACTATTCCATTCCCTGACACTATTCCACTCCCTGCCCTTGCAGAGCCTCTCCCATTGGCAACCCCCACCAGAATGATGCATTTGTTACAACTGATCAACCTGCATTGACACACCATTATCATCCAAAGTCCATAGTTTACATTAAGGTTTACTCTTGGTGTTGTGCATTTTATGGGTTTGAACAAATGTATATGACACATATCAAACATCATAGTATCATACAGAATAGTTTCACTGCCCTAAAAATCCTTTGTGCTTCATCTATTCATCCCTCCCCCTTCCGAACCCCTAGAAACTGCTGATCTGTTTGTTATCTCCATAGTTCTGCCTTTCTTGGAATGTCATATAGGCATAAACATAGAGTATACAGCCTTTTAAAATTGGCTACATACATCTTTCACTTAGTAATTCATATAAATTTAAGTTTCCTCCATGGGTTTTTCTTTTCATGTCTTGATAGCTAATGTCTTTTCAGCACTGAAAAACATTCCATTGTCTGGATGTACCACGGTTTATTTATCCATTTACTTATAGAAGGACATCTTGATTTCTTCCAAATTGTGGCAATTATGAATAAAGCTGGAATAAATATCCGTTTGCAGGTTTTTATGTGGAGATAAGTTTTAAACACATCTGGGTAAATAATAAATAGTGTGGTTGTTCAATTATATGGTAAGACAATGCTTATTATTGCAAGAAACTGTCAAATTGTCTTTCAAAGTTGTTACAGCATTTGTCTTTCTGCTAGTAATGGGTAAGATTTCCTGTTGCTCAACATCCTTGCTAGCAGCTGGTGTTGCCAGTGTTCTAGGTTTTGGCCATTCTAGTGGGCATGCAATGGTAAGCAGTGTTTTAAATTTACATGTCCTTGTTGGCATATGATGTGAAACATCTTTACTGGCTTATTTATCATCTCATAATCATCTTTGGTGAGGTATTTGTTAAGTCTTTTTTCTCATTGTTGAGTTTAAGAATTTTTTTTTTGCTTGCTTTTGTTTTTTGAGATAGTGTCTTGCTCTGTCACCCAGACTGGAGTACAGTGGTGCTATCTTGGCTCACTGCAACCTCCGCCTCCCAGGCTCAAGTAATCCTCCCAACTCAGCCTCCTGAGTAGCTGGGACAACAGAAGTGTACCACAACGCCTGGCTAATTTTTTAAATATTTTTTTTGGTAGAGACAGGATTTTACCATGTGGCCCAGGCTGATCTTGAACTCCTGAGCACAAGGGATCTGCCCGCTTTGGCCTCCCAAACTGCTGGGATTACAGGTATGAGCCACTGCACCTGGCCTTTTGTTTTGTTTACTTTTATTGTATGTTTTGAATAACAGTATTTTATCAGATATGTCTTTCACAAATATTTTCTTCCAGTGTGTGGCTTGTCTTATTTTTCTCTTGATAGTGTCTTTCACAGAGTAGAAATTTTCAATTTTAATGAAGTTCAAATGATCAATTATTTCTCAATACCTTGAATTTTTGGTCTTTAAGAATCCTCTCAACAAGAAAGTCCCCTATTTTAGGATATAACGTTATTAGCAAACACACTAACCCCTAAACCACACTAACCCTTAAAACCACACCTTTTGACATATTATCAATAAGATAATTGATTTTAGTGAAGAATGTGATATAACTGTATTTGTATGTTCTCTCAGTATTAAAAATAGTTAATCCAACAAGAAAAAGCACAACACCTTTGAATACCATATGAACACGTTTTCCATGGATGTGTACATAAAGTGCCTATTTTTAAAATACTAAGAGTGTATATACATATGGCTTTGAATTAAGAAAACTAACACTATATGAGAAAAGACAAAGATTTACAGCATACCTTTTTGAAAATATGTGATTACCAAATTGTTTAGGGTAATTTAAATGCCTAAAAATATAATTTACTTGTAAGTTATAAGTGTATGGAAGTAATATAACCAGTGTTTTAGAATCACAGAATGTAAATTCAAATTGTTCCACCATGAATCCTAGCTCACCACTCAGATAATTGTTTGACTTATATCAAACAATTTAAACTCTCTTAGTTGCATCTTTCTGAAGTGTAAAATGTGAAGGAGAAGAATAGCCACATCATTGGGTGAGATGTGTGCAGAGTGCTTATAAAAATGCCTGCTCTGTTTCCTGATATCTGCTAATATTGATATCAACATTATCACCAACTTCAAATAGCATCCGGTGAAATTCCTCCAGGGTAATGACGGAACCAATTGTGTATTTGTATTTGCACATTGCTTCATATTAGAATAGTATTGGCTTAGGTCTAATTTGCAAGAAATTAGAGGCTTGGATTATTTTAATGAACTTTATTGAAAGGTAATATATTTATAAGATAATCTCATTTTAAGGGTGTAGTTCAATTTTGACAAATGTATAGAACCATGCAAACTCCACCACAATCAAGATATAGATCCTTTCCACAGAGGTCTTAATTTTAAAAACTAATATGTTCTATACATATATATAACATATTAGTTATATGCACATATGCACACATATGCATGTGTTGATAATGTTTATTTTCAAGTAATATATTTACTAATATGCTGATCCATCCCCTGCTAATAGGAGGGTGATTTTCTCAAAGAAAGGTTTGAAAATATATTTTAGGAGAATCTTGTTCCATGGATTATTAATAAAATTTCTTAGAAAGTAAAAAATGTTTCATATATAATTAATTTAGGTTAATGCATATTTCCACAAAGTCAAAAGCATTTCTTTGAGCACGAATTTCGTATTACATAAGAGAACACCTACATTTCCAAAATTTATCAGTGCACGACACCTATTTCTTCTTCTGAAACTCTTCAGCCTAGGTGGCTCTCTTCTTTTCTTACATATTTGGAAGGACAGTAACTGTTAAAGGTTTTCCTTGTTATGAACCAAAATTGGTTTTCCTTTAAGTCACCCTACTCTCTTTTGTCTTCATTTCCAGGTAAAAAGAAAAAGTGCTCTGCAAAACCAAACTATTGCAACCTTTAACTCCAGTGCCTCTGAGATCCTCCTGAGACATGTCTCAGCCTCCTAAGCAGCTAGGACTACAGGTGTGCACCACCACACTTGGCTTTCTTCTCTTTTTCTTTTTACTTTTTTTTTTTTTTTGTCGATATAGAGCCTATGTTGCCCAAGATGGTCTCGAACTTCTGGCCTCAAGATCCATCTGTTTTGGCCTCTGGAAGTGTTGGGATTACAAGCATGAGCCACTGGACTTGGCCTCTGTCCTAGTCTTAATAAAGAGAATAACCGTGGCTTGTAGAGTAAATTGCTATGCCTAAAGATTGCCTGTCCTTGTGAGATAAACAACAAGAAAAGGTCAGCCCCATTGTGGATTTTGCATGTAACAGATGAATCACTCAGCAATCTACACATTGGTAAAGGAGATATTCTTCCTCTTTACATATGAGATAGACTACAGCTTGGTCTACCCAAATAGGACTATAGTCATAGAGCTCATGAAGGAAAATCAATCACCCAAAATCAATCTCTATTTAAATCAATCTTTGTAATGTTCTAGAGTTTTGTGAAAATTAAGAATGCAAAGTTTAGGTTTTAGGAGAGTCATAAATACATGAATAATAAATATTTTTGAACAGCTAATCTATGGAGAGCTCTGTGCCAGACAGGGGAAAGTCAAATATGTGTGAAATAAATATACTATCTTCATGTCAGAAGAGTAAATAATTTATTACACATGAATGACAAAAATAAAGGGGATTAAGTTGGTGACACAAGGAAGTAGCCAAAGTGGGAAGAGGATCAGGCTTGAGCTAGGCTCTAAAGGGTCTGTTGAAGTTGCACAAGTCCAGTATTGGGTAAAGATATTCAATGAGGGTATGTGTGATGTGTACCTAATTGAGGTTACATGGAAGGCTTTTGTGTAAAGGTAAAAATAAATAATATGTGATGTATATGTAGCACTTCACAGTTTACCTATGTATTAATCTATTAATGTATGATGTATTAATTATTATTAGGAAAATAAGTCATAATATATTATCTTTCACATGAGGATGCAAGTTCAGAATCTTTAAGTAACTCGTCTGCAAGAAAATATACAGTTAGCAAATAAAGTAGATTGGAACCAACTCTACTATGTTTCTCACGACAATTGCAAAATGTCAGAGAATTAGAAGGTATTGAATGCAAGACTAAATTCCAGGCTTTTTCTTGTCAGTGGTTAATGGCATATGGGAAGATGAAGCTCAGCACAAATTGTATAACTTGGAGATTAAAGTGACTCCAGATAAAGGAAACCATGTAGATGATTCTTAGTATATTATAGCATGTATGGTGAATGGACTCTTACAAACAAGTCTAATTGGTGGAGAAAAAAATAGAAATAAACATTAACTATATTGCAAAAGAAAGGAAACAGTTTGGTGAGAAAAAAGAACACGGAAAGTTAAAAAATACATATGTCATACTGTTTCCAAAATCTAAAGCTAGGAAATGGAAAACTTAATAAGTGTGTGTGTGCCTGTGTGCATGCACGTGTGTGTGTGTGTGTGTGTGTATTATGACTGACTAATCTACACCTACTCTAGAGTTCTGTAGATAATACGGTGTGTATAAGTCCGCAGTTAACTCTACTGATAATTTGCTACTGCTTCTGTTTAGTTGGAAGTGCATTTCGTGCTTTTCACTTGAAATTTAAAAAGCCAAAAGGGTATAATACCTTCTGAAAATGCAGGATTAATGCTTTCAAATAGACAAGGTGAACTGGACAAATTACTACCAAACTCTTTTCAACTTTGAGTACTTCAAACCTCCTATAATAAGTATATTATTTTAAAATGGCATACACATAAAAATAGAGTACATAAAGCACAGTTTTAAATCTGAATTAATTAAAACATTCTATTATTTTTCATATATTAAAAAGCCTATAATTTGTTTATGTTACATTTAGCTTAAGTACTTCATATGTATTTAGGAAACTCTTTCCTCATAGAAACAGGCAAATGCTATACCTTTAGTTTGTTTAAATTATGCTAAACTCCAAACTATTACATCCTTGACTGAAAGCATCAGTACTAACTTTCTGACTTCACTTATATACTTGGATTTGCTTTACAAAATGAGGCAAGAAAGGCAACTAGTAACAAAAGACTGTTGGAAAATAAGTTTAAAATTAAGACTGAGAATAAAATATATGAATAGAAAGTATTGGAGTGATGACAAGGCAAAGACACATCTTGAAAATTGGGCAACAGAGTTTAGCAGGAGTTGCAGAAGTAAGGAAATTGGCAAGATTCTCTAATTTGTCACCTCATTTCTTGAAGATTCCTTACATGTAGGCACAGCTACATTATGAATCACGGCCGTTTTGTTTGGACAGATCATGGGCCTTATTTCCAATTAAGCTTCTGTTCATTTCATGAAAGACTAATTAATTCTCATCACACTTTCAGGATACAGAAAATTTTAAACACACTTTGAAGAAACTCAGGGAATAGTGATAAACCTCAGGCTGTATATCACAAATGTGGTAATTTGAGATTCTTATTCTATGTCCACATTGTACTTAAGTAAATGATTGAGGTCAGATAAAGAGTCAAAGACATTTTTTAAACATAATCTGTAAGTATACTTAAAATAGTACATCTATTAGTCTCATGTAGACAGATACGTTATTGATTAATAATACAGAGAAAAACTAAGTTACCTGAAGCACACATCCTTTTAGAATCTTATCCTTCAACCTACACCAAATTCAGGAAAAGTAGCATTTTGGCAAATAGAGCTAACGTTCTGCTATACTCCTAGACTTCCAAAAATTTTAACTTTTGGTTGTATTGTACATTTCACTGTGTTTAAAGATATTGTTTTAAACACTTTAAAAACTTTAAAAAGTAACACCAAATATCAGCAAAAATAAACCTTACCATCCTATTCTGTGTACTTTATTATTTAATTTATTTTATTTCAATTTTTACCACCTCCCCCACTGCACAGTGGCTGCAGCAAGCCTCACTCAAGGAAAGTCTGAGCCCAGACCTGCCTAACCCTCTCTACCAGCCCTGGTAGCTCAATACAAAAGACATAAACTCTTGGGAGCTCTATGGCCCCCTCCATCACCTGAGATTCTGGGGCAAGCTTAGATCCCCCTACTACAACCTCAGCTGGTGCTCTCTTGAAAGAACCTCCCCCTGGCAGGAGGCCAACAAACTCAGGCCATTGCAGCAACTCATAACAAAACAACTCTGCTTCCAGGAAGGAGAAAACAGCAGCTAATTCCACTGCCTGCAACATCCTAGCTAACCAGAGGTCCTGAGCCTGTCCATGTGACAACTTCACTGCTGGCACAACCAGCATTCGAGAAAGCCAGGACTAAACCTATTTACAACCAAGGACTCTCACAATCCACTTCACTCCCCTGCCACCTCCACCAGAGCAGGTGCTGGTACTCAGGGCTGGGAGACATATTCTGTGTACTTTAGGTTTTACTGTATTATCATCTTAGGACAGTCATCACAAAGAAAGGATAAATAATTATTTTATCACTACAAAATGAGTATAAGATGGCTTTTATAACCCTGCATGTGAAGTATTCAAAATACTGATTGACATCTTCAAATAAAGTACTAGATGAAGCCTGAAAAGAGTCAAACTAATAATCATTAAAAGTTCTACTTAATCTTTGACATCTGTTCAGCATGTTAAAGCCAGCAGTTTAACATGGTTTAAAGCAATAATTGTATGACTTCTGGATTAGATATTTTTAATATAGTGCATTCTTAGAATTCATAAATGCTTTTCAAGATTAAAATATAAAATCAATAAAACAGTAAGACGGTTGTCAACTGCTGGCTAGACTATGTTATCAAAATGATGAAAAAGCAGCTATGTATAAAAATAAACCTAATGTTATATCCACAGGGCATGATGAAGATAAACACTAGTTTCTCTAGTGTAGCTACTATAATCATTAAAGAATCGATGGCAAATCAAACTTACAAATCCTTAGGGGTAGGGGGCGGGAGAAAAAACACAGCAGTAAATGCAAAAAAGCTCAAATCAATTTTTCACCCTAAACATGTGAGGTTTATTAGTATTACTAACATAAAGGCAAATGTAAAGACAGAAAAACGGGGATATTATCTTCTTTCACTTTAATTACAGGGTTGCCTCAGGCAGAATTAGTTTTCTGACTTGCTTAAAAAATATTGCATTCCTATATTAGTAGAATTATTTAAATAATAAAGACATTTTAAAAAATGATCTAATGAAAAGTAATAAAATATAGTCTATCCAAATTTTTTTCTTTTTCTTTCTTATTTTATAGCTAAAATTAAAACTGTCTACATCACGCATTTTTTTTCAAAATGAATGTCCAAATTCACGAAGATGATTCCTTAAAAGTATACTCATGTACACCAAGACAGAAAGAAAGCAATTTTCAAACAAAAGCAATTTTCAAAATGCTGTGCTTACACTAGCTCAGTCAGATGAATTCTATGCCCACTTGACCTTCAATCATATTGTTCATTTCATCATTCTGATGAAAATTAGTGGGACGCATGATGTCTGGTCATCCTAGCTAAAGTGAATTCAGTTGCAGACGTATTTTTCTGAACAATATCATCATTCAAGAAATGTAAGATGGAAGTACACATCAATAACATCAGTGTTCTAATAAGTGTTGCCTCTGATGAGTTAGATTTATCTTAGACTGATCACAAAAATAGAATAAAAAACGCTTGAACATTGGTTTGGTCGAAGAGAAGTTAAACATGAAGCTGGTCTGTCTTGACACATGTTGAGAGGCAGAAGTGTAGAGTGGTAGGGAGAAAAGAGAGTGAGAGAACACAGAGAAAAGGGAGTGAGAGAAAATTAGAGAAACAGAACAGTTGTTTAGCAAGCATGTTTAGCTGGCAAATCCTGGGATTAACAACAAACGAAGTATACAGCAAATAAGGTAGTTACCTCCAGAATTCCTTTACTTTTAGAGGGGGTTGCTGTGATCATTCTCTTCCCTCTGCTTAGTTTAAATGAAAAAGAACGCCTGCTGATTTTTTTTTTCACTTTAGAGACCAAAACTTTAATTAAAACCAGCTATGATGTACATTAAAGATAAAAAATCCACACTGTGCTAATTTCACATTTCAATAAATACTAATGTCTGATGAGGTTTTAAAAAAGTGCATTTAATGGGACATGATGTCACTATTAGAATAATTTCTCTAAACAAAAACATGAATATACCAAAATTATACTAAAATGATGATTTTTGTATGCTTACATTTCATTTATTTAATAAACGTTATTTGACAACTTACTATGCACCATCCTAAGATACAAAAATGAATGACAGTGCCTACTCAAGAAGAGTTTACAGTAGGGCAGAGGGAGCGATGGAGATAAGTTACAAGCGGTGGTAATTTCTATTAATATAATGTATAAACAGAGTGCTGTATTATCAGATCAAAGAGAGAACGAAGTAATCAGGCTTCTGGAAAACTGGAAAATGTTCATCCCAGAAGTGAACATTAGAGATGGAATTCGAAAGAACAGTAGTTGTTGACTGAACCAAAAGGGTTCAGGACTGGAGAAGGAAATTCTAAACGAAAGCACCAACAGTGCAGAGGCAGGAAGGAAAGAATCTTTATGTCTGAAAAACAATAGATGGTTTCATTCGGATGGGATTTCAGATAAATATAAGTAGGAGGTTCTGACAGGAGATGAAGCTAAAAAAATCAAATGAAACAAAATGTAAATAGCTTCGTGTGCAAAACAGACATTTAAGCTGAAGAATGAACTGAGCAAATGAAGTTTTTGGCCAAAAGCTCTATAAGCACGGACTTGAAGTGGAAAAGCTGGAGGTCATGAGATGGCAAAGGTCTCTATTATGATATTTCACAAGTCTGTTTCCATGCCTGCCATGTAAAAATCACTATTTGTTGAGTTAATGGAAGGATGAATGAAAACAGTAGTACGAACACAGACATGTATGCAACTGAACTAATATACTTGCAGAAGAGATGGAGTACAAACATAAAAACTATAATACTCATAAAGTCTATGTGTTTCTGAAGATTGCCTTTACCTTAGGCAAGAAATCATGGTAGATTAAAAAATAGAGAATGCTTAGAAAAACATTCTATTTACCAATATTTACCAGAGCAAAATGTACTCAGTTTTTGTTCACATTTGCTTTCATTTTGTACACAAATTAATTTCAAACACACTGCCTTGAATGTGTATGAAAACCTAAAATTAGTTCAATACTATTGGGAGAGTAGTCACAGGATCATTTTTAAATGGATGTGACATTGAAATTTAAGTCCATTATATGGGGTTGGAATTTTTAGTGTCTGAATAACTATGTTTTTATAGCTATTCGTATTACAGCATGATATTAATTTCTAAGCCATGAGTAGATTGTCCATTAATACTTAAATGAGCTGCAAATTTTTAGATTGCTTAAGAGCAAATACCTCTACAAACATTATTATTCTAGATGCATATACAGCCTAGTCAATCTTAGCAATTACCTTCCCTTATGTTGGGTTAGTTTATGAAGCTACAGCAGCAGGGTGAGGACGAAAGGAACAAGCATTAAATTTCAGACTGGTGATTAAATAATGCTATAGTAAGAGAGACATTAATGAAATAACAGAAGAGAAGGTCAAAAGTAATTTTCATATGTCAACATGCACAAAGATGTAACAAAAAGATTCATACACAAAAGGCTGTGCATGAAAGGTAGGGAAAATTTTTTCTGACTGTCAATTGTGTTGCGTGCATTCTAGAAGCCAAGGGTTTTTGAAAGGCATTTAGCTTTAAACCATTTCTTACTCCTTTGAATGTCCTCAGCAGGACCAGAAATGGAGGATTCAATTTTCAAAGATAATTGTGTCAGATAACTGTCTCTTGCCTTTTCAGCAAGTATCTGATAAACACCTAATTACTAACCAAGTGATTTCAGAGCTACACAGCTGGGCTGGTGAGAAGGCTACTGCAAAAGACTTGGTAATTCATTGTATCAAGATGAAAATGCAGTTGGATTGCAAATTAATTTAATTTATTTGACTAATGCAATTTTACCAACTATTATGAGGGAGAATTTATTATTTTAATGAAAGAGTATAAATTTCAACATTAAATCAATGATAGCCACACAAATAACTTCTCACCATAACTCATCAGAGAAAATCTACTGGAACTAAAAATAGGTCTGTAGAAATTCCAGGCAGTTTGCTTTCTTTGGGCAAGCTTTGTGCTATACTGATGGTATTCTAGTATTTTGTAGAAAAAAGCAGAATATTAATATTTTTGCATGTTAGATCTTGGCTCAACTCTTTTAATAGCGATATTAGCCATAAATACATAACTATTCATCTTCAAATGTATACACACATACATTCACTGACTCTTAACTACTTCTGAATGTCATTCCTTGTCATATGCCTGGCCTTTCCCTGTTATGTCCAACTGTCTATTCTGGGTTGTCATATGTAGTTTAAGGCCTAAAATTAGGACCCCATATTATGTACTGCCTTGACATCTGGTGAAATTGAGATGGCTTGAAATTAAGATGGCCTAAAATGGCTTATTGCAAGTTCCCTTCACATTCTGCTTTAATGGATGAGGTCTACTATCAAAACAACCCTCCTCATCAGGGAGACCAGGCAGTTTCCTGAATAACAGGTTTCATTACCTTGCCAGCCCAGAGAATTGCTCAAACAAGCCAAGCCAATCACATCCTTCTGGAAGAACCAAGGGCATCTCACCCTCTTGACACAACAATACCCCCCACAGCCCTTGAACTTCTGGCTGTTGACTCTATTCTGGAGAGTTACCCCTCTGTGACTCTGCTTAGTGAGTGGTATCCTCTATCCTGAGATGTGAGTATATGTGAGTAATCACTTGAGATCAACTGCTGCTGATCTAACCTGCGAGTGTTGGGTGTCACATGTTCAACCATCCCCATAACCCTAGGACGGGAATCCCTCTCTCACCAACAAAGAAATAAAGAGGATACTAAAACCTCATAAAACCACTGAGATTGGTCTAATGCTCAGACCTGTCTGTGCTTTGAGTAAATACATCATTTGTTTTGTGTCCTTTCAGGGTGATTGCCAAATTTTAGAGATCTGGAGGGGCAACTAAAATGATTGGAGGTATGGAGTAAAGTGCTTTTTTATGTCAATGAATAAGATGTACTGACATTTATTGAACACTTTCCCAATACCCTCACATAGTTCTATTAGTGTAGTGGCTGCTTGTATAGAATAATAGGGGATAAAGTAAAAAGAGAAAGTAACATAAAACAAAACAATGCATTCCAGTTACCAAAGGATGATCAGAAGAGAGATCGCTCTGCAGAACAGTTAAAGCTCACTCTGTTTCAACAAGTGATACACAACAGGTACTCTCACGCAGGAGTTGTTCTTTTAATAAACAATTTCATCTGAAAATAAGATTACTATTAGAAAGAGGTACATTTGTTTACCTTTCATTTATTTTACATTCTGCTATGCACTATTTCTATATGCCATGAGTCCCATTTTTTTGTCCTTGAGTTACTCCTATTTTAGGCAAGTTTGAGATACAGAGGCAAAAAGTGTAATCAGAATAAAGGGGGAACAAATCAAAACAAAAAAAAGTAGCTATGGGATCTAGAAGGGAGTATCTATTACAGGTTTACCTGCTAAAATTAAGATATGATCCTTATTTAAAGGTAATTATTATGTGCTTCCACATCTGCATACTAAACGGAAGCATTTGAAATGTTTTTGAACTTTTAAAATGTGAAATATTATGAAGTGAAGTAATCAAACATAAAATGGTGAATTTTAGTAATTACAGGATCAGAGAAAGAGTAGGCACTTGGTTCTTTGTTATTCTATTTTAGTCACTTTAAATGAGTTTTGAGGTGGAAAGAACAATTTTTGTTGCAAAGTAAATATACGGTTACATAGAATTTGCAAAGTTACATTTCAAATACATAATCCTTTACTAAGAATTATATCAAAGATTAGAAATGATACTGTGGGTGGGTGCCCAATTCCTCAGTACTAAATATAAGTTATTGCTTTCTACATTCTTTGTCTTTTGCATGGCAAAATAATGCCAAAAATGTATTACTTAGCCAATTTATTCTGTGGTCATTTTCTTGAAAATTCCATTTCAATACAAAGAGTTATTTTTTTGTTTTGTTCAAGCCAATTTTCTCATCGCTGCCTTTTGAATATTTTTCCTCTTATGTAAATAATTTCTACCAGTATTACGCAATGTTCTGCTATCTTAAGATAAAACAACAGCCAAAACTATTTGTTGCTTGTTTTCTTAACACATTCCATTTACTGCCAAGTTTAGTTACAGGTATTCCTTAAGAAGAGTTGTCTCTACTCACTTTTTCTATTACCATAATTTCTCTTCTCTTTTCTTATTACTTCAATCTGACTTTTGCTCCCATAACTGCACTGAACTTCTTACTAAGGTAGCTAATGACTTCCTTTATGCTAAAAAGGAATTGTCCGAAATGTTCAACGCAGTTTACAGCCTGTCTTTTGGAAACCCTTCTCTTAGAAACTGTTTTCTCATATACTCCTTGTTTTCCTCCTATCCTTCTGGCCACACTTTTTATGATAGTTTCCGTATTACTTTTTTTTTTAACTCTTCTTTTTCTCTGCCTTGCTTCTAAATATTGGTCTGTAAAGCGGCAGTCCTGGACTCTTTTCTCTTTCTAGATTCTTTTCTGGGAAAATTCCATCCTTAATAGTCTCTGTGTGCTAGTATTTCTCCAACCCAGCCTCTATCATGAGGTCAGACCCAAGTAGTCAAAAGGATATGTGACATCTTCATTCTCCTGCCCCACAGTAACCTCGAATTTAACATATTCAAACTTGAACTCTTGATTAAATCTTTCCCTTCATCTCTCATTTAAATATTTCTTCTCCAGTCTTTCCCAGCTCTACCATTCAGGTACTCAGGCTAGATTCCTGAGAACCAGCTTCTTGTTCCAACTTCCACGTCCCAGCCATCAGTATAGTCTGTTGATTTCAGCCAGGCATTCACAGAAACTTAAGCATCGCCATCCTCCCTTCCTACCTTTCATATCCAAACTGTCACTAAGTCCCATTCATTGCATCTCTAAATTATCAAATTTCCAAATTTCCTTCTGTCTTCAACATATCCACTTTAGACAAAAATCACCTTTGTTTTTCTTATGGATGTGACAATTGTCGCCTAACCAGTTCCTCCATTCCATTTTAGCTTCCATCTCTCCACTCTTCAAGAACAACAAGGGCTTTTTCAATGCTTTCGAGTAAAACACGCTCAGTGTAATATGTATAAAGTGCATTGATCTTAAGTATACAGATTTGGAAGTTTACATATATGTGTGTGTGTATATATATATATATATACCCATTTATATATACATGTACCCACATATATATATATATATACACCCATTTAGCCACCACCCTGATCACACAAATACCTTTGTTTTTATGTCAATAAGAGCTTTAATTTACTCATTTAAAAAAATTACTCATTTAATTTACTCATTTAAAAAAAATCCAAATGCAATGCGCTATTGTGTAAGTATAGTAAGAAAGACTAGAGATCTAATGTACAACACTAGAGATCTAATGTACAACACGAGGACTATAACTACAGTCTTTTCTAAGGATTCGGCTCCCTCATGTGTTCTCATTCATGAAATAGTCTCTTTCAAGCAACGTGACTCATGAATCTGAGTTGTTTTTGCATAGATTGATAATGAATGACCCTCTCTCTTTGTGTCTGTCTCCTCATCATCCATCCAGCCAAATTGTCTTTGCTAAGAGACATTTATTTTCTTAATTTTTTTTAGAGAAAGGGTCTTGCTTCCCTGCCCAGGCTGGACTCTGACTCCTAGGCTCAAGTGATTCTCCTGCCTCAGCCTTCTGAGTAGCTGGCACTACAGGCATTCACCACTGTGCCCAGCCATTTATGTATTACTTAACCTGTTATTCTATCCTACTACTGTCCACTGTGTCAATCCTATGACTCCTGGACAGCCTTATTTATCTCCTGCCCACTGGTGACATATAAATAGACCAGTGGTCACCCTTGATATCATATTTGCCAGATTTCTCTCTTATGGGCCACTTAGACCACCTGTGTTTATTCATTTTATTATTATTATATTTTTCAAGGTCTAAAACATTTACAAATCAACCGTTTCAAAAAATATTATTGATAAAGAATAATAAAAGATTATGTATTCCTGAAATAAATTTTTGAAGTAAGTTATTGCTTTACTAACTGTACTTTATTTAGCAGGACCATCAATGTAAGATATTCTAAGAATTTCTATACAGTAAGTCCCCGCTATTAGGGCTGAAAATCCCATGATTGTCCTTACTGAGATTTCCGATAGCAATGTCCTTAACCTATAATTAAGCATAATACAGTTAATTTTATTATTGCTTTTCTATTTTTCAATAACTGTTATTAAAACCTGCACACACACACACACACACACACACACACACACACACATAGTGGAACCTAAAAATGGCCTTACATACTAAGAACATTGAAATCTGGTGTGATTTTACTATATGGAAAAAAAGATGTTCTTTTTATATTGTTAAGGTTAATATATTTAAAATTTCTTCAACTTTTATCTTTGTGAATAAATTATATAAAAATAATCTATTCATAATATAAATATTATTTTTATAGTGACCTGAAAATTAAACATTTCTAAAATCAATTGCTCTCATAGCCTTTAAGTTACCCAGTGAGTATAAAAGTTTTGTTCATTTGATGGAATAATAAGCTTAAGTTTAAAAACTCAGAGAAAGACATAAGACTAACTTAAGGGTATCATTACTGTATTTTAAAACATATTAACATTAAAGAGTTTCCTAAGAAGTAACAGAAAATTTTTGATATTCTTAAAATTTTTTCCTCATTGCATTATAATATTATCTTCAATCAAAAACTACAAATTTGTATTTCCAAGTTTTTTTTTTTTCTTACTGGGCAATGGATTCAGCTGCATCCATTTCTTATTTCCACCTAATGCTTCTTAAATTAATTTTTTCTGATGAAAGTGAATTTAGATAAACACAGTAATTACGAAGCTGAAAAACTGGCAAATATTTTAAATAGATTTAATTCCTAAAATAAATTCTTCCTCTCTCATGCTGTCTGTTCAAATGCATACTCACGTGCGTGGCTCTCCCTAGAGAGGATGCATTTAATTGAATATGATATTTTACAGCCCTAAGGCATGTTTGCCATAACCAGGATGTTGAATATTTGCAGTCATTATAGAAATGGCTGTGTAACAAAAGTCTCACAGGATTCAAAACTAAACAGAATATTGAAGCTAAATCACGTTTATGCTGTATGTATGTGATACTACATTGATCAATTAGTACGATTTCATCAAATAACTGTATGAGTTTTATTCTTTACAAAACATGAAAATAAATAAACATGTTGTCAAGTATAGACAGTCCTGGGTATACAACTAAACTTTGTTACATGCATGTGCTTACAAGTTCGTCGTATGGAAATTTGGGTTATATTTGCTTGTTGAGATTATTATTAGCTTTACCATGTGGTCCACAAAAGCACCTTTAGTCCAAAATGGGGTTATAATAATTATCAGCTCTTCAGCCCTTCTCTGATATTATGTTTGCTCAAGATCCTACACTGCTCAAGACACTGAACTTTTCTGGCCCTAAACCAATTTAAATCACATCTCTCTTCCAAAGTGTGATCCTTTTGAGTTCTGTACTATCTCTCTCTCTCATATACCAAGAGTCTCAAGTGAGCTGTGAAAGTGTCACTATGAGTATGAGAAAACACACTGCTTCATAATTCTCTTGCACTCTAGCAGTTAGTGACACAGGGAAGGAAAGGGTTGTGTTGGGTCAGACTGTATTGGCAGGGGATGTTTACAAACGTGGGTTAAAAGGAATAAGCAATTCCTAAGATGATACCTGCTCAAATAGACTCTGATGGATGTTTTCCTATAAAACTAACCAGATTTCTGAATAAATAAAGCATTTATTTATTTATTTTGGCATCATGTAAATAGGGCCATAGACAACTAAATAATTAAATTGAACAAAGGAGCAATTTCTGTTATGATTCCAAACCTCTCTGTGTTTAAAGTGTTTGACTTCTTCCCTAATGATCACTCTTGCCTTGTGATAGATTTTGCTGTGGTTTGAATGTTCGTGTCCTCTCAAAAATACACATGTTGAAATTCCAACCTCCAATGTAATGGTATTAAAAGATATATTCATTTGAGAGCTATGAGGGCACTTCCCTTGTGAATGGGATTAAGTTTCTTATAAAGGAGATGTCTTACAGTGTTACCTAGGTTGTTCTTCACTCTTCTGCTAAATAAGCCTTAGCATTCGTCCCATTTGTCCTTTTGACTTCTGCCATGTAAGGACACAGCAAGTAGGTCCTTACAAAATGCTGGCATCTTGATCTTGGACTTACCAGCTTCCAGAATAAATTTCTGTTCTCTATAAATTAGAGTCTCAGATATTTTGTTTTAGCAGCACAAACAGACTAAGACACAATTCATCATTTTTAAAAAGGCCCGCCTTACCAAAATATCACCATTTTCTACCACAAGTTGAATTGTTTGTCTTGCTAGCAACTTCTAAGGAAAAAAAAAACTGAAAAAAAAATTAAAGGACTACCATTTCACTCCTATTAGGATGGCAATTATCAAAGAGACAGAAAATAAGTGTCAGTAGGGATGAAGAAAAATTGAAACATCCGTGCACTGCTGAAGGAAATGTAAAATGTGGCAGACATTATAGAAAACAGTATGGCAAATTCCTTAAAATAGTTAAGATAGAATTTCCACATGATTCAGAAATGCCACTTCTGGGTATTTAGCTAAAATAACTGACAGTAGGTACTGAAAAAATATTTGTACATTCACATTTACAGCAGCATTATTCATAATATTCAAAAGGGGAAATTTACCCATATGTCCATGGATAGGTGAACAAATAAACAAAATGTGGTATAACATACAATGGAGTATCGTTCAGCCTTAAAAAGAAGGAAATTCTGTCACATGCTATGACATGGAAGAACCATCGAGACATTATGCTACGTGCCATAAGTTGGTCACAAAACGACAAATACTCTGATTCCACATATGAGGTGTTTCAGATAGTCAAATTTGTAGAGATGGAAAGTAGACCGGAGGTTTGCAGGAGTTGAGGGAAGAAGAAAATGAGGAGTTATTGTTTAAAGGGTATATGATTTCCATTTTGCAAGATGAAAACAGTTCTGGAGAAGAATGGTCATGATGGTTGAACCACAACCTGAATGAATGTAATGCCTTTGAACTGTATAGGTAAAGATGGTTAAAATTGAAATTTTATGTTATATATATTTTATCAGTATTCTAAAATTATAAATAGACTAAAATATAAATTAGCTATTTATATTTGAATAGTTTATTGAAACATTTTAATAATATATTGTTAATTTAGGTCATTAGAAAACTTCTGATCATCAATACAGTCGTCTCTCTTTATCCGTGGGGGATACATTCCAGGATCCCCAGTGGATGCGCAAAACCATGGATAGTACTGAACCTTAAATATGCTGTTTTTTCCTATACGTACATATCTATGATGACTTTAATTTATAAAGTAGGTACAATATGATATTGACAATAGTAATCAATAATAAAATAGGATAAGTATAATAATAAGAGTTAAGTGAACGTGGGCTCCCTTTCTCTCTTTCTCTCTCCCTCTCTCTCTCAAATTATCTTATTGTACTGTTCCGGGGTAACTGAAACTTCGGAAAGCAAAAATACTGTATTAAAAGATAGTGTTTTTCCTGTGATAATAAAAATATTTAAATTGACTGAAATTTTACAAAATATTGGACCTTGTTGAATTACCTGGAAAACAAATATTATATTCAAATACTGATACAAGTTTACATTGAAGCTTCATAAGACTTTGTGAAGCATGTTAATTGTTTAGTTAACAACACAGAAGTTCATGTTCTGTGAGCAAGCCTTCAGATTCTTGCTGTGGAAAGACGAGATATCATACTTTGCTAGTTAATACACTTTTGGCCTCAAGTGTCAGAAACCCAGCTCAACTGACTTTAAACATGAAGAGGAATTGAAGAAGGGATACCATGTTAGTTCTTTACATCCAAAGCAGTGTTAAATGATTATGCTTCAAGAACAACGGAATTGTAACACAGGTATCATGGAAAATAAGAACTCAAAAAACATTAGGAGTCTATCAACACTTCTCTGAGTTCTGACTTCATATTCTTTATCTCACTTGCAGAATTAGTTTCTTCATATGGTAGAAAACAAAGCTGCACAGTGATTGGCTTATTATAATCTCTTTAGCACTTGAGGCTGATCAAATATGAATGGATGTACCATTTTGTAATAAACTCATACTCCCTACATGGTACAAGAGTCAAAGGCACAAATTCTGGAGGAAAGAGGTAATGGATGTAGAGGGGCTAAGTTGAGCAGAAGTTCAGGGAAGGTACAAACTTATCAATTTCAACCTTGGCTAACAAATAGGCATCTTTTAATAGAAAAAAATTCCACGGTTCTTCAGTATGACCATAAAGTATATTTATGATAATATCATTTGAATATGTACAAATAGCATACAAATCTATCATGTTTATACCTCATAAAATATAAAATAACAATTAAAATTAAACATAAATGATAGAAAACCCAGAAAATTCAAATTAAAATCATTTGACTTAAATTAACTAAATGAAATCGATGGGATATTATTTTTCTTTAATGAAAATGGTATTTGGAATTTAAATATGAGAATAAGAAAGAATAGCAAAGACTTGGAACCAACCCAAATGTCCATCAATGATAGACTGGATAAAGAAAATGTGGCACATATACACTATGGAATACTATGCAGCCATAAAAATGGATGAGTTCATGTCCTTTGCAGGGACATGGATGAAGCTGGAAACCATCATTCTCAGCAAACTAACACAGGAACAGAAAACCAAACACTGCGTGTTCTCACTCATAAGTAGCAGTTGAACAATGAGAACACATGGACACAGGGAGGGGAACATCACATACTGGGCCTTGTCAGGGAGTGGGGGGACTAAGGGAGAGATAGCATTAGGAGAAATACCTAATGTGGATGATGGGTTGAGGGGTGCAGCAAACCACCATGGCACGTGTATACCTATGGAAAAAACCTGCGCATTCTGCATATGTATCCCAGAACTTAAAGTATAACAACAACAACAAAAAAAGAATAAAGTCCAAAAGAAAATAAATAAAAAAAGAAAAGAAAGAGATGAAGTAATGTTTTTCAGTTTCCATGGATATAATACCATGTACATTGTGGTCACAATTCTGTAATGACTATTATCTTTTTTTTTATTATTTTTTTATACTTTTAAGTTATAGGGTACATGTGCACATTGTGCAGGTTAGTTACATATGTATACATGTGCCATGCTGGTGCGCTGCACCCACTAACTCGTCATCTAGCATTAGGTATATCTCCCGATGCTATCCCTCCCCCCTCCCACCACCCCACAACAGTCCCCAGAGTGTGATATTCCCCTTTCTGTGTCCATGTGATCTCATTGTTCAGTTCCCACCTATGAGTGAGAATATGCGGTGTTTGGTTTTTTGTTCTTGCGATAGTTTACTGAGAATGATGATTTCCAATTTCATCCATGTCCCTACAAAGGACATGAACTCATCATTTTTTATGGCTGCATAGTATTCCATGGTGTATATGTGCCACATTTTCTTAATCCAGTCTATCATTGTTGGACATTTGGGTTGGTTCCAAGTCTTTGCTATTGTGACTAATGCTGCAATAAACATACGGGTGCATGTGTCTTTATAGCAGCATGATTTATAGTCCTTTGGGTATATACCCAGTAATGGGATGGCTGGGTCAAATGGTATTTTCAGTTCTAGATCCCTGAGGAATCGCCACACTGACTTCCACAATGGTTGAACTAGTTTACAGTCCCACCAACAGTGTAAAAGTGTTCCTATTTCTCCACATCCTCTCCAGCACCTGTTGTTTCCTGACTTTTTAATGATTGCCATTCTAACTGGTGTGAGATGGTATCTCATTGTGGTTTTGATTTGCATTTCTCTGATGGCCAGTGATGATGAGCATTTTTTCATGTGTTTTTTGGCTGCATAAATGTCTTCTTTTGAGAAGTGTCTGATCACTTCAATCATTGCAAAACAATGTGCAAGTCCTCCTCTAGTACTTGCACATTGTTTTGCAATGATTGAAGTGATGCTATTAGTCATCAAGGGGATCAAAAATTAAAACATAAAAATCATGTAGTACTACACATTTTTAAGGATGGATTTTCAGATATTTTCAGAATATGAATAATTAGATAATAATTGACATAATTTTACTATTAAAGTATTATAACAAAAAATGCATGTCCTTAGCTTGAGTAACATTAGAATTAGACTACTGATGGAATTTCAAAAGGACTGGGAAAGACTGAAAAAGGGTCAAGTATATTTTGGAGGAGGAACAAATAGTTTTTTCATTTAGCTACACTGCTTTATTTGAAGGTTAAACTCAGCTTTAAAACTACTATTTTATAGGGTTAACATTGTTTTGTCTACTGGTTTTTAATACATTTCTATATTATTATGCATAATGAAAAGTAATTGGTTTGGGATTGATTAAAAGAAACGTGCTATAAATTAAAGATATATCTTTTAAATTCTTGAGCAACAGCTGAGAAAGAAAGAAAGAAGTATAACTAACAAGCCAATAGTAGATATAAAACAAAATCATTAGAAATTATTAAAAATACTCAACTAACCCAAAAGAATAAGGGACAAAAGCTATAAACTACAGAGAGATAAAATATAAAATGGCAAAATGGCAGATTTAAGTTAAACCATATCAATAATTGCATGAAGTGTATATATCTCAATCAAAAGGCAAACATGGTCAGATTAGATGAAAAAACAAGAGCCAATTATATTATAAGATCTCTAAAAGAAACACACAATATCACTTGTAATACTGGCCAACTGTTTTAGATATGAAAGTCCCAGAGAGGGAATTCACTGGCTTTGCTTTGCCAAGGTAACTATCTTTAGACTGATCAAATGTTACCAGAGTGAAACACACAATAAATATAATCACATAATTGACTAAAAGTAAAAGGTTCGGAGAAAGATGTGTCATGAAAACACTAAATTGATGAAATTTGGAATGACCATACAGGTATTAACATCAAATAAAGCCAACTCAGAACATTACCAAGGATAACAACAAATGTAAAAGCAATAAGACAATTCATCAAGAAGACATAAAAATCTTAAGTGTGTATACACCTAACAACAGAGATTTAAAATGCATAAAGAAAAAAGATAAAATAAAAGAAATAGAGAAAACTACAATAACAGAGACTTTTGTCTTAATAACTCATAGAAAAGAATGAGAAAATATCATTAGGAATACAGAAAACCTAAACTACACTACCAACCAATTTGACCTAATAGATATTTATAGAACACTCTAGCAAACAGCAGCATAACAAATATTATTTTCAACTACACATGACACATTCTGCAAGACAGTGCTCATTCTGGGCCAGAAAATAAAACTCAAACTTAAAAGAATGAAATGGAGTTTAAACAGAAAACACTAAGGAAGATGCATGGGAAATTCCCAAATGTTTGGAAATTAAATACTGCATTTATATATCACCCACATGTATCCAAGGGAAAGTCAAAAGAAAAATAAAATATGTTGAACTAAATGGAAATGAAAACATAACATACAAATTCATGGAATGCAGATAAGTAGCACTTAGAGTAAAATTTAAAGCATTATAAGAAATAAGTGTGCTTAGCGATGCCTCATGATATTTGGTCAATGTATAAAAATTAATTGTATTTATATAGTCTAGCAATAAACTGGAAATTAAAGTATTAAAAAACTATAACTTTTCTTAGAACAATATAAGTCATGAAATAAAGATACATTTAACAAATAAATGTAAGATTTCTGTGCTGAAAACTTAAAAATACTGATGAGAAAAATGAAAGAATATGTACATATTTGCCAGTTCCATTGATCACAAGACTCAATATCATTATAGCATCAATTTTTCTCAAATTGATCTATGATTTCAATGCAATCCCAATTATAATCATGGACATTAAAAATATAAATAAAGAGTCTTATTTGGAAAATTCACTCTATGATTTCAGTGCAATCCCAATTATAATCATGGACATTAAAAAATAGAAATAAAGAGTCTTATGTGGAAAATTCACATTGTAAACCAAAAATAGAATTTTGAGCACTCTGTCCTCACCCCTCAACAGGGCAACCAACTGAATGGACCCCTCCTGTCTGTCAAGGGAATTCCAAAAATAACCTGAAACAAGAGTATAGGCCATAATGGGAACAAGTAGTCAAACATCTCTCATTATATCCTCCTCCCTTTGCAATTTAGGCACAATCGACCGGTGTAACATTAAAACGGATACTTAAGATGATCTTTTCTCTCTGAAGCCTGCTACCTGAAGGCTTCTTCAGCATAATAAACCTTTGCTCTCCATAACTCCTTATCTTAACTTAAATACTAACTTCTATTGATTCCAGGTCTTTACATAAACTCAACTAATTACCAATCAGATAATCTTCAAATCTACCTATGACCTAGAAGCCTCCACTTTGAGTTGTTCCATATTTCCAGACTGAACCAATGCACAACGTACATGTATTGATTGATGTCTTATGTCTCCCTAAAACATATAAATCCAATCTATAGCCCAACCACCTTGGGCACATGTTCTGAGGACCTCCTGAGACTTTGTCATAGGAACGTACTTAGCCTTGGCAACATAAACTTCTAAATTGGTTGAGATCTGTCCGAAATAATTTTGGTTTACAGCACTCAAACCTAAGCTAAAAATATAGATTAATCAAAATAGCTATGAAAAAGAACAAAATATGAGGATTCACACTACCTGATTTCAAGGTTCAAACATGAAGACAGGCTATATTGGCCTAAAGATAAACATGTAGAACAAACAAATAGATTAGAAAGCCCAGAAGTAGACCCAGACAAATACAGACTCATACATATATAATCAATAGGCAAAGGTGCCAAGGTAATCCAATAAGGAATGGGCAATATTTGCACAAAAATGAATCTCTATGCTTACATTTTACCGTATAAAAATAGTGCAAGTTTTCTTTTTATCAACATGGCAGACTAGAGATGTCAGATGCCAGTTCTCCTCATAAAGAAGATCCAAAGTTACAGGCCCAAGGGAAAAACTGAATTGCAGCAAGAGTCTAGCAGAGAGTGACCACTGAGGAACTTGCAGTTCCACGGAAAGAATAGGTGGAGGTGTTTCTTTGCTCCCCCAAACCTATGGTGGCTTGCTGACAGCCAAATTGTTGGAGAGCTAGTCTACCCTCATGAGCCCAGGCACTACTTTTGGCAGTGATTTGGGAACTTCTGAAGAGCAGAGCATCAGGTGGTCAGCTTGTGCAGGTTCATTCACTCTTTCTTCAAATCTGAGCTGAGGCAGTAGACATCATCCTGGCATCATACTGGTTGTGTACCAGTTGTGGGCCATTAACATGCCAAGAGAATTTCAGTCCTTGTGTCTCCACATCACTAGGTGCTCCATGAATATTTCCTAGAGTGCACTTTGGAAAATTCACATTGTAAACAAAAAATAGAATGTATAGAAAAAATATAATAGAAAATAGAAATATGACTGGGACAACCATAGGAGATGGTTGCTCTCAGGAGCTGTAGGATCCCAAGAGATTTAGCCCACAATATGGGACGGCCCTAGGGTAAAAATTATTGCAGCCATCAAAGTGTACTTTGGGACATAGGAAACCAGATAACATGGTCTCCCTGGCCAGAGAGCCCCCTTTTTGTGACCAGAAGGTGACTGTGTGCTTCCATTCAAAATGTGGGCCTGGTGCAGATCAATGAAAAAGGGGAGTGTTGCTCCATTCCAGTGGGCAGGAGGCACGAGTGGCTAGAAATGGATGTGAAGAGAGGATCTTCTCTCACCCCCTTATCCACTGCTGTGGATATGGCATGTCTTTTGGTACTGGGAGTTGGCACAGGCTTACTTGAAGACAGCCATTCCAGTGCTATTTAGGGCAGCTGCATCCCCACCGAAATTGTGTCTGCCTGTCCAGACTTGCACGAAGGGTTGTGCTCATGTCCCACTCCATATGTGGAGCAGCAGCATTTCTGCAGTGGACTGCAGACCAGCCACAGAGCTGTCTGTTTGGGCTAAGGGAAGAGGATCCACCCCAAGGCCATTTTGGTGGTAGCTGCAGTTCAAGCATTTTCCATGGACTTCAGTTACATTGTGGCCTTGAGATAAAGCACAATGTCTTTTTGAAATGAAGCTCATGAGCCCTGGGATGAGGGTATGATAGGGAAATGAATCACATTTCTACCTGCCTAGGACAAGGAACTAGTGTATCCCTCTCCCTACACCACCCTATGGAGACCTCACCCCATATGACCATGAACTTCCTCAACCATCCCAGTCATAGTATGTGCTTCTGGTCATCTTCAGGGTGTTTGAGAGTGAGCCAGCTCTTAGTTGTAATTGCCATCTACTGGACTGGAGGCTGAATTTCACAACCAAATAAAAATACTTGTTGACAGAAGGGCATGGTGCTAGGAAAGAAGATAATCTTCCTGAGACCTCCACATTCCAGGACATGAAAAATATAGTGAGATGGTTCATATGCCCAATACATTGTTGCAAATGTCAGCATTTCAAAAAACCATACACAGAAATTATCTTTAAAAAGGAATAAATATGAAGCCTTGCCCCGTGAAAGCAACCAGAATTGAAGGCAGACAATTATATACAACTTATATTACAGCCCCAGCATCAAGAAAGAAAAGTATGAAGAAGTGAAAGCAAATTCAAACATAAGAAGAGACAGCTCCTCCAGATGAGAAGGAATCAGAGTAAGAACTCTTACAGTACAAAAACACAGTGATTCGCCACTCCCAAAGGATCACACTCTCTCTAGCAATGGAACCTAACCAACAGGGAATTCTGAAATGACAGATAATTCAAAGTGAAATGTAAGAAAGCTCAATGAGATGCAAGAGGCCACTGCACTCCAGCCTAAGTGACAAAGTGAGACTCTGTCTCAAAAAAAAAAAAAAAAAAAAGAGCAATCCAAGAGAACCAACACAAAGAAATCAGATAAACAATTCAAGTTATACATGAAAAATTGACTAAAGAGATATATTAAAAAAAAAAAAAAGAACTTCTGGAAATAAAAAATACATTAAAAGATTTACAAAATGTAGTTGAAAGCTTAAAACTAGGTTAGATCAAACAGAAGAAAGAATTTAAGAGCCTGAAGACCAGGTCCTGTGAATTAATCCAGTCACACAAAAATAAAGAAAAAAGAATTTTTAAAAAATGAACAAAGGCTTCAGGAAATAGAGGATTATGTAAAAAAATACGAACCTATGAGATATATGCATTTGTGAAAGAGAAGAAGAAAAGGTAAAAAGTCAGGAAAACATATCTGATGACATAATTTCTAAAAATTTGGTCTAGATAAGGATTTAAACATCCAGATACAAGAAGCTAAAATAACAACTGGGAGAAACTCTAAAAAACAAATCTTATTGTCAGGCCTCTGAGCCCACATCTGCATGTACACATCCAGATGGCCTGAAGCAACTGAAGAACCACAAAAGAAGTGAAAATAGCCAATTCCTGCCTGAACTGATGACATTCCACCATTGTGATTTGTCCTGCCCCACCCTAACTGATCAACTGACCTTGTGACATTACTTCTCCTGGACAATGAGTGTCAGAAGCTCCCCACTGAGCACCTTGTGACTGCCACCCCTGCCCACAAGAGAAAACCTCCCTTTGACTGTAATTTTCCACTACTTACCCAAATCCTATAAAACTGCCCCACCCTTATCTCCCTTTGCTGACTCCTTTTTCAGACTAGTCTGCCTGCACCCAAGTGATTAAAAAGCCTTTTTGCTCACAGAAAGCCTGTTTCATGGTCTCTTCACATGGACGCACATGACATTTGGTGCCTCACTCCATGAGGAGATCCACCTACGACCTCGGGTCCACAGACCAGCCCAAGGAACATCTCACCAATTTCAAATTGGGTAAGTGGTTTTTTCACTCTCTTCTCCAGCCTCTCGTGCTACCCTTCAATCTCCCTGTCCTTCCAATTCCAGTTATTTTTCCTCTCTGGAAGAGAAAAAGGAGACACATTTTATCCGTGGACCCAAAACTCCAGCGCCAGTCACGAACTCAGGAAGACAGTCTTCCCTTTGTGTCTGATCATCATGCGGACACCTGCCTTGATCATTCACCCACATTCCATTGGTGTCTGATCACTGCGAGGACACCTGCCCTCATCATTCACCCACATTCCACTGGTGTCTGATCACTGCAGAGACACCTGCCCTCATCATTCACCCACATTCCATTGGTGTCTGGTCACCGCAGGGATGCCTGCCTTGGTCATTCACCCACATTCCCTTAGTGGCAAGTCAATTGTGGGGACAACTGCTTTGGCTGCACACCCACATTACAGCCCAGGGCTGCTCACCACCCCCTTCTCTGTGTCTCTACCTTTCTGTTTAAACTTACCTCCCTCACTATGGGCAATCTTCCACTCTCCATTCCCCCTTCTTCTCCCTTAGCCTGTGTTCTCAAGAACTTAAAACCTCCTGAACTCACACCTGACCTAAAACGTAAATGTCTCATTTTCTTCTGCAACACTGCTTGGCCCCCATACATACTCGATAATGGTTCTAAATGGCCAGAAAATGGCACTTTACATTTCTCCATCCTACAAGATCTAGATAACCCTTCTATTACCTCCCTTCCTCACACCCAGTCTGGCTTACAGTTTTGTTCCACGACTAGCTCTCCCCTACCTGCCCAACAACTTCCTCTTAGAGAGGTGGCTAGAGCTGAAGGCATAGTCAGGGTACATGTGCCTTTTTCTCTATTGGACCTCTCCCAGATCAGTTAGCATTTAGGCTCTTTTTCATCAAATATAAAAACCCAGCCCAGTCCATGGCCTGTTTGGCAACAACCCTTAGAAGCTTTACCACCCTAGACCCAGAGGGGACAGAAAACAGTCTTATTCTGAATATCCATTTTATTACCCAATCCACTCCTGATGTAAGAAAAAGGTCCAAAAATTGGATTCCAGCCCTCAAACCCCACAACAGGACTTAATTAACCTCGCCTTCAAGGTGTACAATATAGAGAACAGGCATCCAAGTGGCAACATATTTCTGAGTTGCAATTCCTTACCTCCACTGTGAGAGAAACCCCAGCCACATCTCCAGCATACAAGAACTTCAAAACACCTAAGATGCAATGGTTAGGCATTCCTACAGGAACTCCTCCCTCAAGATCTTGCTTCAAGTGCCAGAAATCTGGCCACTGGGCCAAGGAATGTCAACAGCCCAGGATTCCTCCTAAGCTGTGTCCCGTCTGTGCGGGACCCCACTGGAAATTGGACTGTCTAACTCACCCGGCAACCACTCCCAGAGCCCCTGGAACTCTGGCCCAAGGATCTTGGACTGACTCCTTCCCAGAACTTCTTGGCTTAGGGGCTGAAGACTGATGCTGCCCGATCGCCTCGGAAGCCTCCTGGACCATCACAGACACTTTGGGTAACTCTTACAGTGGAGGGTAAATCCGTACCCTTCTTAATCAAAACGGAGGCAACCCACTCCACATTACCTTCTTTTCAAGGGCCCCTTTCCCTTGCCTCCATAACTGTTGTGGGTATCGACGGCCAGGCTTCTAAACCTCTTAAAACTCCCCAACTCTGGTGCCAACTTGGACAACATTCTTTTATACTCTCTTTTTTAGTTGTCTCCACCTGCCCAGCTCCCTTATTAGGTCATTTTAACTAAATTATCTGCTTCCCAGACTATTCCTGGGCTACAGCCACACCTCATTGCCACCCTTTTCCCCAGTTCAAAGCCTCCTTCACATCCTCCCCTTGTGTCTCCCTACCTTAAACCATAAGTATGGGATACCTTTACTCCCTCCTTGGCAATTGATCATGCACCCCTTATCATCCCATTAAAATCTAATCACCCTTACCCCACTCAACACCAATATCCCATTCCACAGCAGGCTTTAAAAGGGTTAAAGCCTGTTATCACCCACCTGTTACAACATGGCCTCTTAAAGCCTACAAATTCTCCTTACAACTCTCCTGTCCTACCTGTCCAGAAACTGGACAAATCTTACAGGCTGGTCCAGGATCTTTGCCTTATCAACCAAATTGTCTTGCCTATCCACCCCATGGTGCCAAACCCATATACTCTCCTATCCTCAATATCTCCCTCCAGAACCCATTATTCTGTTCTAGATATCAAACATGCTTTCTTTACTATTCCTGTACACCCTTCATCCCAGCCTCTCTTCCCTTTCACTTGGACTGACCCTGATACCATCAGTCTCCGCAACTTACCTGGTCTGTACTGCTGCAAGGCTTCAGGGACAGCCCTCATTACTTCAGTCAAGCCCTTTCTCTTGATTTACTTTCTTTCCTTGTGAGCCCTGCCCCTGCCCACAACAGAAAAATCCCTTTTAACTGTAATTTTCCACTATCTACCCAAATCCTATAAAACTGCCCCACCCCTATCTCCCTTTGCTGACTCCTTTTTCGGACTCAGTCTGCCTGCATCCAGGGGATTAAAAAGCTTTATTGCTCACACAAAGCCTGTTTGGTGGTCTCTTCACATGGACGTGCATGACACTTATCAAGGCTCATAGCCATCAGACTGTCAATAATCAACATGAAGGAAAAATCCTAAAAGCATTTAGAGAGAAGCATCAAATCACCTATAAAGGAAAACCTATCAGATTAACAGCGGACTTCTGAGTAGAAACCTTATAAGCCAGAAAGGACTGAGGTTTTATTTTCAGTCTTTTTCTAAAGAAAAGAACTGAAAGCCAAAAATTTTGTGCCCTGCTAAACTACCCTTCATAAGTGAAGAAGAAATAGTCTTTCTCAGAGGAGCAAATGCTAAGGGAATTCATCACCACTAGACCACTGCTATAAGATATGCTCAAAGGCATTTAAACATGAAAATATAAGGATAATATTTGTATCAAAAAATCATATGTAAATGAAAGGCTCATAGATTTCATAAAGCAATTGCGCAGTTGAGACTACAAGGCAACTACGTAACAACATAATGACTGTAATAAAACCTGGGGAGCGGGCCAAGATGGCTGACTAGAAACAGCAGCATTCCGAGGCTCCCATAAAAAAATAATAATGATAATAAGCATGTGAATTCTTCACCAGCAACAAAGGTATTCATATTCTCTCATCAGAACTGACTAGGAGCCTGGCATGACCCACAGAGAGAAGGAAGAACAGTGTGGTTTGGCAGCCCACCTGAAAGCCACAGAGGGCAGGGGAGCCACCTCTCCACAGTCAAGGGAAGTGGTGAGTGAGCATGCTACCCAGACAGGGAAACTGCTTTTTCCATGGAACTGTGCAAACCATGGATTGGAAAATCCCACTCATGAACCCACTCCACCAGAGCCTAGTGTCCCAACCCTGGAACGCACAAATTCCCAACAGCCTGTCAGCTGGAACCTGCTTAAGCCTCCTGAACTCTTGAGGGAAGGGGCGACCAGCACCCCAACTGTGGTTGCCTACTGTCTAAGCTTTTGGAACTCCTTGGGGGAGGGGTAGCAGCTGGTACTGGGACTCACAGCTGCCTAATACACTGAGCTCCCTGGTCAGGGAAAGTGCAGCATCCATCTCTGTAGCTCCAGCCTGTGCTTTTCCCCTGCTGGAGCCAGGAAGGCTGGATGGCTTTTTCCCAAGACTTGTCCCCCAACAGCCCAACATACTGGCTGTGGCAGTCTGTGACAAGAGTGCCTCTTGAGGCCTGACCCTGACCCATCCTTCCTCATTGGGTTGGGCTTCCCTGCAGGAACTCCAATAACTCCAGCCAGAGGCTCAGGGATGGAACCTGATCTCCCTGGGCTTGAGCCCCTAGTGGGAGAGGTGGCCGCAGACATAGCTTTTCCTGCTGGTAGTTCTGAGGAATCTGGGCAGCCTAGATGAGTGGGTTTCCTCCTAGTGAGGTACACCCCCTCCACCAAAGGACAAAGTGCTTCATTAAACAGGTCTTGTTCCCTGTACCACCCAACTGAGTGAGACCCTCCAACAGGGGTATTCAGACACATCCTATACAGGAGCAATCCTACTGGAATCAGGTTGGTGCTCCTCAAGGTCAGAGGTCCCAGAAGAAGGAGCCAGCACCCATCTTTGCTATTCTCCAGCCTCCTTGAGTGACATCTCCAGGTGCAAGAGCGAATCAGATGAATGGGGCCTGACGTGAACCCCCAGGAATCTGCAGCAGCCCTGCAGAAGAGGGACCTGACCATTGAAAGAAAAACGAACCTACAGAAAGCAGTAACAATGGCATCAACAACAACAACAACAACAACAACAACAAAACCTTCACAATAACTCCATCCAAGTGTCAGCAGCCTCAAAGATCAAAACTAGACAAACTCACAAGGATGAGAAAGAATCAATGAAAAATTGCTAAAAACCCAAAAGGCCAGAATGTCTCTTCTCCTCCAAACAATCGCAACGTCTCTCATTCACGGACACAGAACTGGATGGAGGATCAGATGGATGATTTGACAGAAGTAGGCTTCAGAAGATAGGCAATAAAAAACTATGCGGAGCTAAAGGATCATGTTCTAACACAATGCAAAGATGCTAAGAACATTGATAAAATGTTAGAGGAATTGCTAACTAGAATAAGTTTAAAGAGGAACATAAACAACCTGATGGAGCTGAAAAACACAGCATGAGAACTTCATGAAGCATACATAAGAATCAACAGTTGAATCTACCAACTGGAAGAAAGGATATCAGAGTTGGAAGACTGCCTTATTAAAACAAGACATGCAGACAAGACTAGAGAAAACAAGAATGAAAAGAAATGAACAAAGACTACAAGAAATATGGGACTTCAATAAACGACCAAACCTACAATTGATTGGAGTACCAGAAGGAGATGGGGAGAATGGAAACAAGCTGTTAAACATACTTCAGGATATAATCCAGGAGAACTTTCCCAACCTAGCAAGACGGGACAACATGCAAATTTAGGAAATACAGAGAACACCACTAAGACACTCCATGAGAAGATCAACCCCAAGACGCATAATCATCAAATTCTCCAAGGTCAAAATGAAGGAAAAAATGTTAAGGGCAGCCAGAGAGAAAGGCCTGGTCACCTACAAAGGGAAGCTCATTAGGCTACCAGCAGAAGTCTCAATGGAAATTCTACAAGCCAGAAGAAATTGGGGGCCAATATTCAACATTCTTAAAGAAAATAATTTTCAACCCAGAATTTCATATCCAGCCAAACTAAGCTTGATAAGCGAAGGAGAAATAAAATCATTTCCAGACAAGCAAATGCTGAGGGATTTCATTACCACCAGGCCTACCATGCAAGAGCTCCTAGAAGAAGTATAAAATATGGAAAGGAAAAACTGGTACCAACCACTTCAAAAAAACGGCAAAATATAAAGACCAAAGACACTATGAAGAAACGGCATCAACTAATGTGCAAAATAATCAAATAGCAGAATGATGACAGGATCAAATACATACATAACAATACTAAACTTGAATGTAAATGAGCTAAACACCACAATTAAAAGACACAGATTGGCAAATTGGATACAGATTTAAGACCCATCGGTATGCTGTATTCAGGAGACACACAACTCACATGAAAAGACACACATAGGCTCAAAATAAAGGGATAGAGAAAAATTTACTAAGCAAATGGAAAGGAAAAAAAGCAGGGATTACAAGCCCAGTCTCTGACAAAACAGACTTTAAACCAACAGAAATCAAAAAAGGCAAAGAAGGGCATTATATAATGGAAAAGGGAACAATTCAACAAGAAGAGCGAACTATTATAAATAAATATGCACCCAATACAGGACCACCCAGATCCATAAAACAAGTTCTTAGAGACCTATAAAGAGATTTAGACTCCCACACAATAATACTGGGAGACTTTAACACCCCACTGTCTGTATTAGACAGATCAACAAGACAGAAAATTAACATGGATATTCAAGACTTGAACTCAACTCTGGATCAAGTGGACCTGGTAGACATCTACAGAACTCTCAATCCCAAATCAACAGAATATACATTCTTCTTAATGCCACATGGCACTTATTCTAAAATCGACCACATAATTGGAAGTAAAACACTCCTCAACAAATGCAAAAGAACTGAAATTATAACAAACAGTCTCTCAGACCACAGTGCAATCAAGTTAGAACTCAGGATTAAGAAACTCACTTGAAACCACACGATTATACGGAAAATGAACAACCTGCTTCTGAATGAATCCTGGGTAAATAGTAAAATTAAGGCAGAAATCAAGAAGTTCTTTGAAACCAATGAGAAAAAAGCAACAATGTACCAGAATCTCTGGTACACAGTTAATGCAGTATTAAGGGTGAAATTTATAGCACTAAATGCCCACATCGGAAAGCTAGAAAGATCTCAAATCAATACCCTAACATCACAATTAAAAGAGCTACAGAGGCAATAACAAACTAATCCAAAAGCTAGCAGAAGACAAGAAATAACGAAGATCAGAGAAGATTTGAAAGAGATAGACACACGAAAATCCCTCCAAAATATCAAGTAATCCAGTAGCTGTTTTTTTTGAAAAAAAAAAAAAAAAAAAAAGCAAAATAGACCACTAGCTAGACTAGTAAAAAAGAAAAGAGAGAAGAATCAAATGCACACAATTTAAAAAGACAAAGGAATATCAGCACTGATCACACAGTAATACAAACTACTATCAGAGAATACTATAAATACCTCTATGCAAATGAAGTAGAGACTCTAGAAGAAATGGATACATTCCTGGACATATACACCCTCCCAAGACTAAACCAGGAAGAAGCTGAATGCCTGAATAGACCAATAACAAGTTCTGAAGTTAAGGCAGTAATTAAAAGCCTACCAACCAAAAAAAGACGAGGACCAGATGGATTAACAGCTGAATTCTACCAGAGGTACAAGGGGGAACTGGTACGATTCCTTCTGAAATTATTCTAAACAATTGAAAAGGGGGGACGCCTCTCTAACTAGTTTTATGAAGCCAGCATCATCCTGATATCAAAACTGGGAAGAGACACAACAAAAAAAGAAGACTTCAGGCCAATATCCTGATAAACATCTATACAAAGATCCTCAATAAAATACTGGCCAACCGAATCCAGCAGCACATCAAAAACTTATCCTGCATGATCAAGTCAGCTTCATCCCTGGTTCAACATACCCCAATCAATAAATGTAATCCATCACATAAACAGAACCAAAGACAGAAACCACATGATTATCTCAATAGATGCAGAAAAAGCCTTCGATAAAATTCAACATCCTTTCATGTTAAAAACTCTCAGCTGGGCATGGTGGCTCACACCTGTAATCCTAGCACTTTGAGAGGCTGAGGTGGGTGGATCATGAGGTCAAGAGATGGAGACCATCCTGGTGAACATGGTGAAACCCTGTCTGTCCTAAAAATACAAAAGTTAGCTGGGTGTGGTGGTGCATGCCCAGCCACTTGGAAGGCCGAGGCAGGAATATCACTTGAACCCGGGAGGTGGAGCTTGCAGTGAGCCACGATCGTGCCATTGCACTCCAGCCTAGTAACAGAGCAAGACTCCATCAAAAACAAAAACAAAAACAAAAACAAAAAAACCTCTCAATAAACTAGGTATTGATGGACCATATCTCAAAATAGTAAGAGCTATTTATGACAAATGCACAGCCAATATCATATTCAATGGGCAAAAGCTGGAAGCATTCCCTTTGAAAATCATTATAAGACAAGGATGCCCTCTCTCATCACTCCTATTCAACATAGTATTGGAAATTCTGGCCAGGGCAATTAGGCAAGAGAAAGAAATAAAGGATATTCAAATAGGAAGAGAGGAAGTTAAATTGTCTCTGTTTGCAGATGACATGATTTTATATTTAGAAAATCCTATCATCTCAGCCCCAAACCTCCTCAAACTAATAAAAGCAACTTCAGCAGAGTCTCAGGATACAAAACAAATGTGCAAAAGTCACAAGCATTCCTTTATGCCAACAACAGACAAGCAGAGAGCCAAATCTTGAATGAACTCCGATTCACAATTGCCAAAAAGACAATAGACTACCTAGGAATACAGCTAACAAGGGATGTGAAGGACCTCTTCAAGGATAACTACAAACCACTCCTCAAGGAAATAAGGGATGACCTAAACAGAAAAACATTCCATCCTCATGGATAGGAAGAATCAATATTGTCAAAATGGCCATACTGCCCAAAGTCACTTATAGATAGAATGCTATTCCCCATGAAACTACCATTGAAATTCTACACAGAATTAGAAAAAAACTATTTCAAATTTCATATGTAATCGAAGAAGACCCTGTATTGCCAAGACAACCCTAAGCAAAAAGAACAAAGGTGGAGGCATCACACTACCTGACCTCAAACTATACTACAAGGCTATAGTAACCAAAGCAGCATGGTACTGGTACCAAAACAGACCTATAGACCAATGGAATAGAACAGAGACCTCAGAAATAACACCATGTATCTACAACCATCTGATTTTCAACAAACCTGACAAAATCAAGCAATGGAGAAAGGATCTCCGATTCAGTAAATGGTGCTGGGAAAACTGGCTAGCCATATGCAGGAAACTGAAATTGGACCCCTCCCTTACATCTTATACAAAAATTAACTGAAGATGGATTAGAGACTTAAATGTAAAATCAAAAGCCATAAAAATTGTAGAGGAAAACCTACGAAATACCATTTAGGACATAGGCATATGCAAAGACTTCATGACAAAAATGCCAAAAGCAAAGACAATAAAACCAAAATTAACAAATGGGATCTAATTAAACTAAAACACTTCTGCACAGCAAAAGTAACTATCATCAGAGTGAACAGGCAACCTACAGAATAGGAGAAAATTTTTGCAATCTACCCATCTGACAAAGGTCTAATATCCAGCATTTACAAGGAACTTAAACAAATTTACCAGAAAAAAGCAACCCCATCAAAAAATGGGTTAAAGATAAGAACAGACACTTCTCAAAAGACATTTACGTGGCCAACAAACATATGAAAAAAAGTTCAACATCATTGATCATCAGAAAAATGCAAATCAAAACCACAGTGAGATACTGTCTCACACTGTGATTATCAAAATGTCAGGAAACAATACATGCTGGTGAGGCTGTGGAAAAGTAGGAATGCTTTTACACTGTTGGTGGGAACGTAAGTTAGTTCAATCATTGTGGAAGACAGTGTGGTGATTCCTCAAGGATCTATAACCAGAAATACCATTTGACCCAGCAATCCCATTACTGAGTATGTACCCAAAGGAATATAAGTCATTCTATTATAAAGACACATGTACACATATGTTTATTGCAGCATTATTTACAATAGCAAAGACTTGGAACAAACCCAAATGCCCATCAATGATAGACATAGATATATCATCAATGGTATATACACCATGGAATACTATGCTGCCATAAAAAGGAATGAGATTATGTTCTTTTCAGGGACATGGATGAAGCTGGAAGCCATAATCCTCAGCAGACTAACACAGCAACAGAAAACCAAACACCGCATGTTCTCACTCATAAGTGGAAGTTGAACAATGAGAACACAAGGACACAGAGAGGAGAACGACACACATCAGGGCCTGTTGGGGGATGAGGGCTGAGGGAAGGGAACTTAGAGGATGGGTCAATAGGTGCAGCAAACCACCATGGCACAGGTATACCTATGTAACAAACCTGTACGTTCTGCACATGTATCCCAGTTTTTAGAAGAAATAAGAAAAATAGAATAAAAATAAAACCTTACATATCAACACTAACCTTGAACAACAACAATGGCCTAAATGCTCCACTTAAAAGATATAAACTGGCCAATGGAATTAAAAAACAGGATCCAACCATTTTCTGTCTACAAGAAACCAACCTAATCAGTAAAGGCACCCACAGACTAAAAGCAAAGGGTTTGGAAAGAGATATACCATGGTAAAGTAAAATAAGTTAGCAGGAGTAGCTATATTTACATAAATTCAAACATATTTTAAACCAACAAAAGTAAAAAAAGACAAAGGAAGTCATTGTATAATGACAAAATTTTCAATTCAACAAAAATATAAAACTATTGTAATTATGTATGTACCCAACACCAGAGCACACAGATTCATAAGGCAAATGCTACTAGAACTAATAAAAGAGATATATGGCAATATAGTAGTAGTGTGGAACTTCAACACTCCACTGACAGCATTAGACAGATCATTGAGGCTGAGAAAATCAACAAAGAAACCTTGGGTTTTAACTGGACTCTAGACCAACTGGGCCTACTAGACATTTTCACAACATTTCATTCAACAACTGCAGAATATATATATTTCTTCTCTGCACATGGAGCATTCCCTTAAAATTGTCTATATACTGTGCCATAAAATAAGTCTCAATAAATTCAAAAAGCTGAAATCATATCAAGTGTCTTCTCAGAACATAGAATAATAAAATTAGAAATGAATACCAAGAGGAACCCTCAAAACTATACAAATACATGGAACCTAAATAACTTGCTCCTAAATGATTTTTGGGTAAATAAAAAAATTAAGGCAAAACATTTTAAAATGAATGAAAATACAGATATAACATACCGAAACCTCGGGGATACAGAAAAAGTGGTATTAAGAGGAGGGTTTATAGCATTAAATGCCTACATCAAAATACAGAAATATCTCAAATTAACAAACCAATGTCACAACCCAAGGTACTAGATAAACAAGAACTAAACCAACCCAAAGCTAACAGAAGAAAAAAAGTAACAAAGATCAGAGCAGAATTAAATGAGATAGAGTCCAAAAAGATTATACAAAGAATAAAGCACACAAAGTTGTTCATTTGAAAGTATAAACAAAATTGATAGACCACTAGCTAAATCAAGCAAGAAAAAAAGATGAGAAGATTCAAATAAGGACAATTAGAAATGATAAAAGTGATATTAAGACTGATACCATATAAACATAAAATATCAGAGGCTACTATGAGCATCTCTATGCACACAAAAAACCAGAAAATCTACTAGAAATAAAGTTTTTAAAACATGCAACCTCTCAATATTGAACCAAGAAGAAATAGAAAGGCTGAACAGACCAACAATGAGTAATAAAATTGAATCAGTAATAAAAAACCTCCAACCAAAAAAGCTCAGAAACAGATGGATTCACAATGAATTTTACAAGATATACAATAAGAGTTAGTACCAGTATTACTAAAACTATTCTAAAAACAAACAAACAAGAAGGAGGAGAGATTTCTCTGTAATTCATTCTATGGAACTAGTATCGTCCTCAAACCAAAACCAAGCAAGGGCACCAAAAGAAGAAAACTATAGGCCAATATCTCTGATGAAAATAGATGCAAACATGCTGTACCAAATGCTAGGAAGCAAAATCCACCATCACATCAAAAATATAATACATCATGATCAAGTGGGTTTTATTCCAGGGATGTGAGAATGGTTCAACATATGCAAATCAATAGATGTGATTAACCTTATAAGTAGAATTAAAAACAAAAGCCATATGATCATCTCGATTGATGCAGAAAAGGCATGCAGTAAAATCCAACACCCTCTCATGTTAAAAACCCTTCACAAAATAGGCATCAAAGAATCATACCTCAAAATAATAAAAGCCATAATACCAATCTATAGCCAACATCATTGTGAATGGGAAAAATTTGAAACATTTTCCTTAATAACTGGAGAAAGACAAGGATGCTCACTTTCAACACTTCTATCCAACACAGTACTGGAAGGCTTTGACAGAGCAATCAAGAAAGAAATAAAAGGCATCCAAATTATAAAAAAGAGTAGTCAAATCATCTGTTTGCTTATGACATATTCTTATAACCAGAAAACTAAATACTCCACCAAAAGATTTTTAGACTTGATAGCGATATCAGTAAAGTTTCATGATACAAAATCAACATAAAAAAATCAGTAACATTTCTATACACCAATAACATTGAAGCTGAGAACCAAATCAAAAAGTTAATCCCATTTACACACACGCACATACAAAAAACCTAGGAATATATTCAACAACCCAGATGAGAGATCTCTGCAAGGAAAACTATAAAACACTGAGGAAAGACATTGGGATGACAAAAAGAAATGGAAAACCATCCCATGTTTACTGATTGGAATAATCAATACAGGTAAAATGACGTACTATATTTTACATATAGGTAAAATACATCCCAAATCAATCAACAGATTCAATGAAAATCTTATCAAATTACCAACAAGAGTTTTCACATAATTAGAAAAAAAATTCTAAAATTCATATGGAACAAAAAAGAGCCTGCATTACCTCAAAAAACAAAGAAAAAAAAGAACAAAGCTAGAGATACCACATTACCTGATTTTGAGGCTGTAGTAACGAAAACAGTATGGTACAAGTACAATTATGGACACATAGATCAATGGAACAGAATAGAGAACCCAGAAATAAAGCCTCATATCTGTAATCAACAGATCTTCAACAAGATCAACAAAAATAAACAATGGGAGAAGGACATCCTATTCAATACATTGTGCTGAGAAAATTGGATAGCCATATGCAGAAGAATGAAATTTGGTCCCTATCTCTTACCATATAGAAAAAATAACTTGAGATGGATTAAAGACTTAATTATAAGACCTGAAGTTATAAAAATCTTAGAAGAAACCCTGGAAAAAACTCTTCTGGACATGGACCCAGGCAAAAAATTTATGACTTGGCCTCAAAGTCAATTGCAGCAGAAACAAAATAAGACAAGTGGTACTCAATTACTCTAAAAAGCTTCTTCACAGCAAAAGAAATAATCAATAGAGTAAGGAGAGAACTTACAAAACGGGAGAAAATATTTGCAAACTATGCATCTGATAATCCAGAATCTACAAGGAACTCAAACAGTTCAATAAGAGAAAAAACAAGTAAACCCATTAAAAAGTGGGCAAAGTACATGAACAGACATTCCTCAAAAAAGATATAGAAGTGGCCAAAATACATATGAAAAAATGCTCAACATCACTAATTATAAGAGAAATGCAAGTTAAACCACAGTGAGATGCCATCTCACACTAGTCACAATGGCTTTTATTAAAATGTCAAAAAACAACAGATATTGGTGAGATCACAGAGAATAGGGAATGCTTGCTTATATGCTGTTGGTAGAAATGTAAATTAGTACAACCTCTATGGAAAGTCATATGAAGATTTCTCAAAGAACTGAAAATAAAACTACCATTCGACCCAGAAGTCCCACTACTGAGTATCTACCCAAAGGTAAAAGAAAACATTATATCGAAAAGACATCTGCACTTAATGTGTTTTTGTAGCACTATTTACAATAGCAAAGTCATAGAATCATCTTAAGTGTCTACCAGCAATTGATTGGAAAAAGAAGTGTGGACTCTATACACCATGGAATACTATGCAGCCACAAAAAGAATGAAATCATGGCTTTTGCAGCAATAAGGATGGAGCTGGTGGTCATTATCCTAAATGAATAACTCAAGTAGTAAATCAAATACCACATATACTTACTTATAAGTAGGAGCTAAACAACTGGTACACATCGACACACAGAAAAATAACAGACACTGAGGATTCCAAAAAAGTAGAAGGTAGGAGGGTAGTGAGGGTTTAAAAATTACCCATTGGGTACAAGTTTCACAATTCAGGGGACAGGCACATTAGAAGTCCAGGCCTCACCATTATGCAATATATCCATGTTCCAAACCTGCAAATGTATCCCCTGAATCTATTTTTGAAAAATCCAAAATGGATCACAGAAGCAAATGTAAAACCTAGAACTGTACATATTGTGGAAGAAAACATTAGAGAATATATTTGTGACCATGTGTTAAGCATCTACTTCAGCAAGACACAAAAAACATTACTTCTAAAAGAAAAAAAATGAACTCCCTCAAAATTCAAATCTCTTCCTCTTCAAAAGACAGCACTAAGAAAATGAAAATACAATCTACAGATAAAGAGAAAATATTCCAAAAAAGATATCTGATTAAGGGTTTTTAATCCTAAATGAAGAGCTCTTCCAGTGCAGTAATAAGAAATGAAACAAAAACCCAATAAGAAGCAAGAAGACATTTTGAACACTTCATTGACAAAGAGATACAGATGCCAAAAAGCAGATTAAAAAAAAGTTAAATGCTATGAATCAGAAGGGAAATACAGGTTAAAACATGTTATACAATTACACACACTAGAATAATCAACATGAAATTTGGCAGTAGAAAGTTTCGTATAGAAACATATATTATAAGAAAAAGGGTTTGATTTTTACATATGTATATTTGCTGGGTTTTTTTTTTTTTTTGAAAGGGTCTCACTCTGTCATCTAGGCTGGAGTGCAGTACATGATCACGGTTCCCCAGTCTCAACCTCTTGGGCTCAGGCGATCCTCCCACATTTACCTCCCGAATAACTGGGACAACAGGTGCCAGCTACCACACCCAGCTAATTTTTTGCATTTCTTTTTTTTTTTTTTTTTGGAGAGATGGGGTTTCACCATGTTGGCCAGGCTGGTCTTGAAATCCTGGGGTCAAATGAGGAGGCTCAGCCTCCCAAACTGCTAGGACAATCGGCATGGGCTACCATGCCCAGCCTACATATTTGTTCTTATTTCTGAATTATGAGAATGGAAGAAAAACTTAATGAAATTAAATTTAGTGTTAATTACTGTTAGTCCTGGTTTTTCTCTCCAAATCATTAGAAACCTAGAGTGACATCTAGTGCAAACCCTCTTAAGCATAATTCTGACCTAATATCCCATCCTTGATTGAATCAAGGCTTGATTCCTTGTTGTTCTTCAAGAACATCTTTTATATACATACTTGAATAGTGATTTAAAAAAAAACACAAGAAAAAATAACCTTTGATACCCCATAGTCAATTTTCAAAATTATTATTAAAAGATCTGTAATTGAAGCTAAAAATCTTTCTTGTTTGGTAAAAGCTCCAGCTTCAGCCACTGAAGCTGTGTCCATCTCTGTGGTTCAGATATAATCTGATTGTAGCTGGCAATTCTGAAGGACAGGACCTGCAGCAGACACAGGAGCTTCTTTGTTGGGAACTGATATAGAGAAAAAAAGGAGCCAAGTATGACATTAGATTCAATAACATGTCTAGTTATTGGGAGGAAAGAGTGAGTTTGAATAAATGTGTGGAATATTATTGAGCTCTGACTTATACCTAAGAAACTTAGGCCTGGGGAGAGAGAAGGCTGTTGCTAATAATTGTGAACAGTCTGATTATTTCAACAGGTTGCCTCTGCAAATATACTATCTGTCCCTCTTTGCCAAGAAACACTGCATAGCTCTGACATGCAAAGCTTCAGTGAATGCACACAAGAGGTGACATGAAAAGTGGAAACAGTGCCCAGCAAGGGAATTTGGTTGTCAACGGTCAAAGTTCTATCCAGTAGCTGGGAAACACAGCAGAATTGACCAGCACCATGCAGCTTCCAGGATTTGATGAGGGGGAGATGAGACATCCAGAATCAGAAAACAATGATAAAAGAACAAAAATAGGTTATACTTTGTAATTCTGCCAACATTCAACAGTCTTAATATTTCCCAAGATATAGTTATCTCATTATCATAAGGCTCTTTCTTTGACAATACAGTAAATTTTCTTATAATCTGAAGAAGAAAGGATTGCTAAAGAATTAATATCTCATTTTAATAATCTCTTCATGATTTTATATCCTGTATTTATTTTTACAAAATATCAAATCCATTTAGGTACATTTTTTGTGGCTTAATATTTAAAGCAAATAAACACAGCATGATTTTTATCTAAGCCATTAAAATTCATCATCATAAATTAATTTAAAATTATAAACAGGTTGAAAAAATACAGAAGTCATTTAATTTCCTGTGCATTATATTACTTATGGGAATGTTATTAAAAATACTCTTGTTGTGCCTTCAATGTTTGTAATGCAGCTATAATTTAACCATGTTTTGTCTTCTGATAAGCGAATAGGAACATCAAAATATAACCATTTGAATGTAGCTTTCCAACACAATTACAAGAGAAAATAATGAGTTAATGTTATATGGAACTTAATATGTATCAGGGACTCTACTATATATTTCACATTTATATGCATCCTTTTAGTCTTCATAACAACACTGATATAACAACGTATAAGATTGTGTGGGAATAAATCAAAATGCTACTTCCTGAATTGAAGATTTCCATTTTCTCAATTTTTAGAGGCTGATGCATGGTTGTGGACTTAAACACAACAGGCCACATTTTCCTATCACTACATTTAACTGACCTATGTTTTACCATCGCCTTTTCATTAGTAACTTGTGAATTTGGCCTCTAGGTAACACTCTAAAGCTATATGCATGATGCTTACACAATCAGTGCAAACTGTGAATTCAAATAGTATATACATTTCACAAATCTGGAAAGAAGCAAATTGCTAATTTCCAACAGGGTGTATAAGATGATACAAATAAAACCATAATGTTCCTACCCTCAATAGCCAATAAGTGATTCATTATTGCTAGTGAGCCTGGTTGCTATCTCCTCTTTCTTAACAGAAAATAAGTAAATTATATTTTTTCATTTTTAGATGGCAAGTTTAGAAACTATGTATGGAATAACTATCATTGAACACCATCTTGACTAACAACTTACAGCAAATATCTATTTTGAAAAGTGGAGAATATTCTTTGAATTTTATTTTTGTTTCAACTGTCTGTAATTGTGAAAGAAAGTTATTTTCCTTCACAATATTGTATAAGGTTATTACAGCTTTGATTAGTAATAAAAGTGGTTACATTCAATTGTATACAGCAGTCACAAGAACTAGATGTTAAACCATAAGGCAGAAATGTACAGAGAAAAAGGAATGGTAGAAGCATGAAGAAATGTAGGAGGCCGAGATGGAATGGGGATATTTTTAATTATTGCACTTAGTTAGATAAACTGTTATCCCTTCTAAGCCTAGATTCCTGTAACCAAATTAAATTAATAGTAAACAAATGTTAATTGAGATACAATACATATATCCTTCTTTATTAGGATATGATATTCTATCCTACCTAATATAGACTGTTAGTTCCCATATATTTTTCTTTCACTTACTTTTGCCACTTCTGTTACGTTTGTTATGCCAGTAGTCTTTCTCGCCACCATTATTTATTTATGTGGTTGAAATCTTAACTAATTTAGAAATGGAGATCATTTAGAACAGATAATGTATTATAAAATAAGTACTCTATAATTAAGTGTGGGGGAGAATTTAAGGATAATTTCAGTATAGAATAATTTCCAGATATTGTACTCTGGCTTCCTTTTAAACCAGAAACCCTGATTTAACATTGTAAGTGCTGTCTGGGGCTGTCAAATTCATTGTCTTGTCGAATACATGGATTCAACAAATACAAGTCACACTTAAATTTATTCATAAGTGTATATATACTAGAGAAACAACAAAAATAGGGAGCAAACCTCTTGAAATTATGGTGAAGCTGGAAAAAACTTGCATTGACATCATTTTTAACAAGGCACTTGTTAGCATGCTTCTCAAAGTTCTAGAATCCGTTGACTTGCTACAGGTTTTCTTCTCCTCTATCCTTAGATTGCAATCCCTAGAGGCTGTCACAATGGCCATCGTAACAGCCTGTCATAAAGTGATTCTTCTGAAGCTTCCGATGACAACCCCTCACCATTCCTTTACTCCATTATTGGTGAGGTGTTCCTAGTTCAAGACATTGAGAGAACAAGGCTCCCCTCACGTGCACTTTTTATCCCAACCCTGTAAAAGCCTATTCTGAGAATAATTGAAAGCTCACTGGATAATACAGGCAACAACAAATGGTTTGCTTCTGACAAGAGTATTGCAGGCACTATCTCTGGCTTCAAAAGAAGATTTGAGATGACAGTAGGGATACTACTGAAATGACTTTTATGCAACTAAGATTTACAGGGAATGACTGAAACGTGTTAGCTGTATAATAAAAAGCCGAACTATGAAGGAAAAATACATTTTGTAAATTATATGTCCTCACTGCTTCTTTGAAGTTACCAAACATTATCTTCTTATGAAAAATTTTGAAAGCTTAGAAAAAGAGAGCTGGCTTTATTAAACATGAAACAGAAAGGCTAACCCATAACATGTGTGGCTATTCAAATTAAAATTAAGTAAAATTAAAAATTCAATCACACTAATTTCAACAGCCCAATAAACCACATGTGTCCAGACGCTATGGTAATTGGGCAGCCCAATGAACATTTCCACTATCACGGAAGTTCTACTGGACAGCCCTGAAATAGAACAAGTAATTAATATCAAATGGAAATTTTCCAAAATGTGTGCAGCAACTTTGCAAATGTATGCACATATTTATCATGTATTATAAAAGATCACAGGGAGAGTCAGTGCTATCTAGTAACTGATTTCAATAGATTGAAACATTTATATGACAAACTTTTGTGTTTCCCAGTACTTTCAATTATTTTATACTTTCATTTTATAAGTAGCAAAAAAAAAAAAAAATTAAAATGTGACCCTCCTTCCCAAACCCTTTTTAAGAGTAAAACTCACGTTTGATTGATTTTTACATTGGAAAAAAAAAAGTCTCTGAAGACTCTTCCAATTTTTAATATGCAATATTATAAAAAGTTTGAAAATATAATATGTTGAATAAAGCATAAGCAAGTCATCCTTTATGGTGATGTAATCGTATTTGAATTTACAATTTTGGAGTTACTCTATCTTATCTTCAGATGATACGTTTTGATATGCAGGCCGTTTTTTATTATATAAGATATATATAAAGAGGATGGACTGTGATCATGTGGATGGTTTAACACATAACACAATGCTTTATTTTTACAGCATGACTTTAGAAAGACTCCCTTTGTCAAAGGTGATAGAGCTGTCTTTGAGTTATACTAGTAATTCTACATAAGAGTCAATAAAAAGCAGTATCAGGCACTCTGTGTATTCCATAAATAGTCCAGTAGTCCTCTAGCTTTCTTTTTAAAAAGGACTTTTGACTTGGGTATTTTTTTTAATTTTTTTATATGGATGGTTAGTATAAAGTGAATGTTGAGTATTCTCTAAAATATTTTATTGTTACAACAGAAATGACAAGGAAGGAAATTACCCTTAGTTGAACAGAACCTAATGCAAACAGATAATGTATTTTCAAATTTTCACTTAAAAACTTCAGAAAGTTCAATAGATTCAGACTACTCCATTAGGAAAGTAAGACAAACATTGGAAGGGCAGCCACTAAAGTTGGCATAGGGCATATAACAGAGGATTAGTGATACTTAGCATCATTTAATTAAAACATAGCCATATTTAGGACTGCAAAATATCCAGTATCATATCAGATACTTCTCATGGTAGATTTGCAAAGGCAGGAAAAAGCAGCCTGATTTTCCCTACAGTGATTCTAATTTATTTAGCAGAAATCTCAGTTTCTAACTTACCAAAATAAAACCATATGTATATTCTTAATTATGTAATGGTCTGATTTTTTTATTTTTTATTTTTTGAGACAGAGTCTTGCTCTGTCACCCAGGCTGGAGTGCAGTGGCACGATCTCGGCTCACTGCAACCTCTGCCACCTGGCTCAGGATGGTCTTGAATGCCTGACCTCAGGTGATCCGCCAGCCTGGACCTCCCACAGTGCTGGAATTACAGACGTGAGCCACCGTGCCCAGCCTTAATGGTCTGATTTTGAAGAACCTGACAAGCAGATTAATTTCTGTGAAAGGAGATAAATTTCATTATTTCCCAAGGAAGAGTAAAAGAAGAGAATCAAGGACTGTCTGAGAGAAGGAAAATCTTTTTCAGTATTAGAGCTTGACTAATACTGATGAAATATTCTCTCCCACTCCAATCTAAGTTGAACAACACATTCACTGTGTGTAAGAAAAAGGTGCTTTTTGGTTCATTTTTCAAACTTTTCCCTAACCTGATCCCACAAAACCTAATATTGGCATCAAAGAAAGACTTATGTGCCTAAGACTTTTAAATTTTGAAAGAAAAATCCCATGATTTCAGAATATCAAGTACCACCACTGTACACCTGCTATAAATGTATCTTTGTTAAATTGAAATTCTAAAAACTGGTAATGTAAAATAGAAGAGGATATAGTATGTGAACTGGAAAAGAATATAAATAATGTTCACTTGCATAGCATCAATGGTGTTTGGGAGAGAGTTTCTATCAAAATTTTAATTTCATTTGAAACGATAACCTTAATTTCTGATTGTATTACTAATTCTATATGCAAACTTTATAGATTATCTGAATATCATAGAATACACCATCACATGATAATCTTCCAATATGTCACAGTTTAGAGATATCACAGCTAAATTTGAAAGGTTTTATTCAGAGAATGACTTTGGGATTTTCATATGAGACATGCATTTTCAAAATATATCTTGATACATTCATTTATTATTTTTTTCCTAAAGCAGCAAACACAACTATTCATTTCAGAAGGACTGTTTTGAAGTGAGTAAAATATTCATAGTAATAATTATTAAATAAAATGTAAGAAGAAAGAACATTTTCTAGAATGGCCTAAATCAGTAAAATTTTATACTAAATACAACCAGGTTGGAAAAAAACTCATAAGCAAATGGCAAGAATTTTCTCTATCTTTAATTTGCACTACCAGGGAAAATGTCTAGCATTTACCTAGGTATGCTAATAGTTAAGAATGCTGCAAGAGCACTAATTTTATAAGTTGCTACCAAATATTCTAGTTTTATTATATTTCACTCATCAACTAAAGAAAAATGAGCCCATTGGATTTGATGTTGTCTTCCCTGTAGACCCAACTATCATTCTATGATATTTATCAACAAAGCAAAAGTAAATTTTAGAAAAGAAAAGTTCTGGGGATTAAAACAAAACTGCTAGCTAGTACTTCTCATATTATGGCATGAGTATTTGACAGAATTTCTAAGTACTCCTAAGTTATTGAGGTAATACCCTTTTTATAGCATTGTCACCCATAGTTTCAGATGTTTCAGTGATTCGATTCTTTGATATTTAGTGAGCATCTGCATCAGTAGCTTGTAAGAGTTAAAATAGATTTTTTTCTTTTATGCAAATGTGTATTAAAGTTATCTTTTCTTCATCATCCAGGGACAGAAGTAAGAAGTGTAAAGAAATTGGTATTGAGTCAGCAGTTTTAATAGCATTTCCATTTCACGAACACAACTAATGAAGTCTACCAACTTCCCCTTTTGCCATTCTCTGTTGCACATTCTGGTTTCACCTAATTTAGAAATCAGGAGAAATTTGAGTTGAAGCTACCTATAAAGAAAAAAAGATAGCTTGGGAAATATGTATTTAATATGAATTGCAGTAGTATGACTCCATTTTTGAGTGTAATAATTATGACATTAGCTTAAAATATTAAATTTTAATTTTTAAAAATTAAAAATTTTCCTCTCTCTCTTGCCTGCCACCATGTAAAACATGCTTTGCCTTCTGCCATGATGGTGGGTGCTCCCTAGCAACTTGGAACTGTGAGTCCATTAAACCTCTTTTTCTTTGTAAATTACCCAGTGTCGGGTATGTCTTCATCAGCAATGTGAAAATAGACTAATACACTGCCCATGAATTTTTTGGGTGGTCTAATTTTACTTATAACCGACTTCAGTCCGGCTGTCAGTGATCAGCCATTTCCATTACCATTCATTTCTTAAGGCCTGACTTCAATTTTATGTACCTCATACACTTCAACTTTAAAGACACCTCCCTTTAGTGTTCTATCTTTACTTAGCTCCCATGTGACCTCATGGCACTATTCTACATTGACCTCATGCTACTTTCTTTGGTGGTTATTTCTATGAATAGCTCAGTTCTTTATTGGATTTTAATCATGTTGAATTTGCCATAACAAACTTGACCATGAAGACTCACATTACCTATACAATGGATTTTCTCACCAATAGGAATCATTGATATTCAAAGTCAAGAGTTAAATCCCGGAGCTCACTACAGTTCCCCCAGGATACAATCTCAACTGAATTTCCAGAGAATGTAAAATTGGATTGCTCTTCCTTCATATTTGCATTCCCCAAGCTATCTTTACCAAGATGTCTGAGACTGGTTCCAATAACTGAAATTAAACTCAACTCTGATCTTGTCTTGGTGGATTGGATATAGGGAAGTTGTACTTCCTCCATCATATATTTAAGGAAATTAAGGAACAAAGGAGTAGCAAAAGTGGTATCGTGAGACTACTCATGGAATGGTGAGAAATAATTTCCTCAAACTTTCTACTGTCCCAGAGTAATGAGGTAGAGTATCTGATTAGACATTTATTTTTCCTGCCGCTCAGAATGCCCTTTTCATTCTTCATTTTTACTAATCAAAATCTGATTTAATATCTGAGATATGGCTTAAATGATATCACTTTCATTATTAAATCATTGCTGATCAACCTTCCCTACACAACTCTTTTTTACATCTTTAAAAATAATCAAATATATAGACTTTTTCACATTTTAGAATATTAATTTTTCTTATTTTGAGGGATAGCATTGGGAGATATACCTAATGCTAGATGACGAGTTAGTGGGTGCAGCGCACCAGCATGGCACATGTATACATATGTAACTAACCTGCACAATGTGCACATGTACCCTAAAACTTAAAGTATAATAAAAATAAATAATAAATAAAAAAAATAAAATAAGAAACGAAACAGTGACTGATCCTAGTGAGTCTGTGAAATGTGAGCCCTCTGACCAAGAATTCAAAATAGAAGTTTAAGGGAAACCCAGTGATCCAATATAACACACACAAAACTCAATTCAGAAATATATCAGAAAAATACAAAGAAGAGATTGAGGCTAGGTGTGGTGGTTCATGCCTGTAATTCCAGCACTTTTGGAGGCCAGTGTGGGTGGGTCACTTGAGCTCAGGGGTTCGAGACCAGGCTGGGCAACATGGTGAAACCCCATCTCTATAAAAATATACAAAACTTAGCCAGGCATGAGGCCTGGTACCTGTAGTCCCAGCTATTCAGGAGGTTGAGCTGGGAGGATTACTTGAGCCCAGGAGGTTGAGGCTAAACTGATCTGTGATCATGTCACTGTGCTCCATCCTGGGTGACAGAGTGAGAGACTGTTTTGTTTTGTTTTTTGTTTTTTTAAAAAAGGAAAATAAAGAAACATTTAACAAAGAAATTGAAATAATAATAAAAAATCAAACAGAAATCTTACAAGTGAGAAATAAATTTGCTGAGCTGAAAAGTTCTTTAGAGGCTTACAACAGCAGAATGGATCAAGTAGTGAAAATAATCAGTGAGCTTGAAGACAGATTATTTGAAAATACACAGTCAGAGGAGAAGAAAGAATGCAATTGAACAAAGATTGCCCAGAAGATAAAGAAAATGTCTTCAAATGACCAAATATAAGAATTATTAGTATTCAAGGGGGACTTCAGTAAGAGCAAGGGATAGAAAGCTTATTCAAGGAAATGGTAACAGAAAACTTTCCAAAACTTGAGAAAGAGATAAATATCCAGTTCCAGGAAGATCAAAGAGCACCAAACTGATTTGACCCAAATAACTACCCCAAAAATATAATAAAACTCTCAAAGGTCAAGGACAAAGAGGGGCTTTTAAGAGCAGCAAAAGAAAAGAAGAAAATAACACATAAAGAAGCCCCAGTTCATCTAGAAACACAAGTCTCAATGGAAACCATATAGACTAAGAAGAAGTGAGATGGCTTTTTCAAAGTAAAATATTGCTATACAAAAATACTGTATCCAACAAATCTATCCTTAATTATAAAGGAGAGATAAAGTATGTCCTAGACAAACAAAAGCTGAGAGAATTCACTGCCACTATACCTGCATTACAAAATTGGCTAAAAGCAGTTTTTCACTCTGAACGAAAAAAACACTAATATGCCGAAAGAAAACATTTTAAGGTATAAAACCCACAGGTAGAATTAAGTACCTGGACAAACCCAGTATAATCTAACATTGTAAGTATGGTATACAATACACTCATAACTCGTGAAGCCTGTGATGGTTAATATTGAGTGTCAACTTGATTGGGTTGAAGGATGCAAATTATTGGTCCTGGGTTTGTCTGTGAGGGTGTTGTCAAGGCAGATTAACATTTGAATCAGTGGACTGGGAGAGGCAGATCTACCCTCACTATGTGGGCATCATCTAATCAGCTGCTAGTGTGGCTAAAAAAAAAAGCAGACAGAAGAAGTTGGAAAGAGCAGACTTGCTGTGTCTTCTGGCTTTCATCTTTTTCTCATATGGGATGCTTCCTGCCCTCCAACATTGGACTCTACGTTCTTCAGATTCTGTACTCTTGGACACCAGTGGTTTGCCAGGGGCTCCTGGGCCTTCAGCCACAGACTGAATGCTGCACTGTTAGGCTTCCCTACTTTTGAGGTTTTGGGACTTGGACTGGCTTCCTTGTTCCTCAGCTTGCAGATGGCCTATTGTGAGACTTCACCTTGTGATTGTGTGAGTCAATACTCCTTAATAAACTCCCGTTCATATATACATCTATCCTATTAGTTCTACCTCTCTAGAAAACCCTTACTAATACAAAGCCCAAAGGAAAAATCTATAGAAACAATAATTAAAAGATAGGCAATAAAAGCTATGCAAATTAGACAATACCAAGTCAAAATGTGGGAGAAATGGAGTTAAAGTATAAAGTTGTTTTTCTTTTTTTCCCTATTTTTGGTCAGTTTGTTTCTATTCTTTTCTTTGTGATCTAAGTTAAGTTGTCAACTTTTTAATATAACTTGTTATATCTATGAGGTGTTCTTTGTAAGTCTCATGGTAACCACAATACAAAAACCTATAATAGATTGACTAAACATGAAAAGCAATGAATTAAAAAATACTACCAGAGAAAATCACTAAGCCACAAAGAAAGACAGTAAGAAAGGAAGAAAAGAAGAGAGGAGGCATGCACAAAAGATGACAGAAGTAAGTCCTTACTTATCAACAATAACACTAAGTGGATGCAATTCTCCAAATAAAAAAACGTAGGATGAAGAAACAACACGCAAGTTTACACTGTCTGCAACACTCAAGTCTATGCTGTCTACTTCACCTACGAAGACACTTATAGACTGAAAGTGAAGAGATGGAAAAAATATTTGATGCAACTGGGAACCAAAAACCAGTAGCTATAATTATATGAGATTAAATAGATTGCAAATCAAAGATTGTAAAAAGATAATAAAATGGTAACTATATCATGATAAACAGGTCAATTCAGTAAGAGGAAATAAGAATTCTATATATATATGCACCCAACATCAGAGTTTCCAAGTATATAAAGCAAACATTAATAGATATAAAGGAAAAGGTAGACTACAATACAGTAAATGTAGGGAGTTTCAACATTCCTCTCTCAGTAATGAATGAATCATCCAGACAGAAAATGAACATAGAAAGAGCAAAGTTAAACTACATATGTATTAATTTGTTTTCATGCTTCTGATAAAGACATACCTGAGACTGGGCAAGTTAAAAAAGAAAGAGGTTTAATTGTACTTACAGTTCCATGTGGCTGGGGAAGCCTCACAATGATGGCAGAAGGCAAAAAGCAGCAAGTCAGGACTTACATGGAGGCAACAGGCAAAGAAAGAGAGCTTGTGCAGGGGAAGTCCTCTTTTTAAAACCATCAGATCTCATGAGACTTATTTACTATCACAAGAACAGCACAGGAAAGCCTTGCCCCATTATTCAATTACCTTTCACTGGGTCCTGCCCACAATACATGGGAATTCAAAATGAGATTTTGGTGGGGACACAGCCAAATCATATTAACATACTAGACAAAATAGGCTTAACTGACATTTACATTTCACTAACTGGTGCAGAATACACATTATTTTCATCAGTACATGGAACATTCTCCAGAATAGATCATGTTTTAGGCCACAAAACAGGTCTCAGCAAATTCATAAAAGTAGAAATCACATCAAGTTTCATTTCTGACTGTAATGAAATAAAACCAGAAATCAACAACAAGAGGATTATAAGAAATTACACAAACACATGGAAATTAAATGACATGCTTGGAACAATAATATGTCAATGAAGAAATTAAGAAGAAAATTGAAAAGTTTTTTGAAACAAATGGAAATGGAAATACAACATACCCAAATCTTTACAATACAGCAAAAACAGTACTAAGAGGGAGGTTTATAGCAACACATGCCTACATAAAAACAGTAGAAAGACTTCAAATGAACAACCCAATGATGTACCTCAGGGACCTAGAAAAGCAAAATCAAACCAAACCCAAAATTAGTGGAAAAGAAGAAATCATAACAATCAGAGTAGAGGCTGGGCATAGTGGCTCATGTCTGTAATCACACCACTTTGGGATGCCAAAACAGGAGGATTGCTTGAGCCCAGGAGTTTGAGATTAACTTGGGCAACGTCACAAGGCCTCATCTCAACAAAAAATAAAAAAATTAGCCAGCCATGGTGATGCACACCTGTAGTCCAAGTTACTCAGGAGGCTGGGGCAGGAGGATCCTTTGAGCCCAGGAGTTCGAGGCTGCAGTGAGCTATGATCTTGCCACTGCACTATAGCCCGGGAGACAATTTGAAACTCTGTCTCTAAAATAAATAAATAAATAATTAATATTGTTAAAGTGTCTATTCTACCCAAAGCAATTTGCAGATCCAATGCAACCCTATCAAAATACCAATGACATTCTTCACAGAAATAGAAAGACCAATCCTACACTTTATATTGAACCGTAATAGACCCCTAATAGCCAAAGCAACCCTGAGCAAAAAGCAAAACTGGAGGCTTCACATTACCTGACTCCAAAATATGCCACAAAGTTACAGCAACCAAGTCAACATGATACTGGTATAGGCACAGACAGACAGACCAAGAAAACAGAATAGAGAACATAGATATAAATCCACAAATCTATAGTCAACTGATTTTGGACAAAGGTGCCAAGAACATACAATGTATAACCACATTCAGAAGAATAAAACTAGATCCCTATCTCATACCCTCTACAAAACTCAACTCAAAATGTATTAAAGACTTAAAGGCAGGATCTGAAACTCCAAAGCTACTGGAAGGAAACATTGGGGAAACAATCCAGGACATTGCTCTGGGCAAAGATTTTTCATGTGAGACCTCAAAAGCACAGGCAACTAAAGCAAAGATACACGAATGGCATTATGTCAAGCTAAAAAGCTTCTGCACAGCTAAGGAAACAATCAATAAAGTAAAGAGGCAACCAACAGAATGAGAAAAGAAAGGATTAATAACCAGAATACAAAAAGGGCTTAACCAACTCAGTAGCAAAATAACAATAATAATTTGATTAAAAAAATGGACAAAAGATCTGAATAGACACTTCTCAAAAGAAGACACACAAATGTCCAACAGGTAAATGAAAAATGCTTAAAATAACTAAACGTCAGAGAAATGCAAATCAAACGCACAATGATATATCACCTCAACTCGGTTAAAATGGCTTCTATGAAAATGACAGGGAACAACAAATACTAACGAGCATGTGGAGAAAGGGAATTCTTGTACACTGTTGGGAATGTAAATTAGAACAATTACTATGAAAAATTGTATGTAAATTATTCAAAAATAATACAGAACTACCATATGATCCAGCAATTACACTACTGGATGGAATAAATATCCAAAAGGAAGGAAGTCAGTACATTGCAGAGACATCTGCACTCCCATGCTTATGGCAGCATTATTCATAATAGCCAAAATATGGAATGAATCTAAGTGCCCATCAATGGATGAATAGATAAAGAAAATGTAGTATGTATACACAATGAAATATTATTCACACATTAAGAAGAATGAAATTCTTTCATTCACAGAAACATGGGTAGAACTGGAGGTTACTATGTTAAGTGAAATAATTCAAGCACAGAAGACAAATATCATATGTTCTCAATCATATAATGGAGGTAAAAGAGCAGATCCCATAAAGACAGAAAGTAGATTGCTGGTTTCCAGAGTCTGAGAAGGCTAAGAGGGAAAGGGGATAAAGAAAGGTTAATTAATACATACAAATATACAGTCTGATAGAAGAAATAAGACCTGGTGTTAGACAGATCAGTAGGGTGACTATAGGTTACAATCATCTAGTGTAAGTTTCAAAAAGCTAAAAGAAAATTATTCAAATGTTTCTAGCATAACAAAAAGAAAAATATTTACGAATTATTTAATGTAAGGTAATGTATTTGAATTACATTCCTTTGATCTTTACAAATTATATGAATGTATTATATTATCACATGTGCCCAGAAAATATGTACATCTATTATATATCGATAAAAATTTTAAAAATTAAAGCAATAATACAGAACTTCAGTTTTGGCAATATGGAGAACTAGAGTACCTGAAAGCTCTCATGCTACAAAAATTTCCCTCTACAATTATTAGATAGTGTATAAGTAGGCTTCCTATTAAATATGTAAATAACTTCACAAGAAATAAGGAAAATTTCTATGATCCCTAAACAAGAGGCAACTGAAAACCAGAACATTAACTACATGAGTAACCATGAGGTTACTCTGGAGGGCCTGGAGTTTATCTTAATAATCTGGGGTAATGTTCTCAATTGGGGGCAATTTTCCCCACACAGTGACATTTGGTAAAGTACGGAGACATTTTGGTTGACACATGTACTATCGGCATCTTGTAAGTAGAAGGCAGGATTGCTGCTAAACTTCCTACTAAGCACAGGATACAACCTTCTACCCCCACCACTAAACAATTATCCATCCCAAAATATCGCTGGTGTTGATGTGGAGAAGCCCTGCTTTAGGGACTTTAATATTAATATTCACAGCTGAAGATGGGAGAGAACCTCTTGAGCTAATGAGATACAGCAGGTCCTCAAATAATGTTATTGTGTTTAGTGTTATTTTGCTATAATGTTGATGAGAAAAAAAACCGATTCCCGTAAGATATATCAGTTCTTTAAGATAGATTGTCTTACTTGTTTTTATTAATCTTTGAAAAATGTGTGTCTAGCTCACATTTATTTCAATGTCTCACATTAGAATTTTGTTGACGTTTTTGTGACCAAAAATATGCCTTAGGAACTTAACTCTTGTTTTTAACAATTGGCCTAAAGGAAAATTGGTTTTGCTATATGTCTTTTCATTTAAAGTTACAGTTTTCAAGTATGTTAGGTGAGAGCTTACAGTATAGGGAGTTAGAACTGAGATACCCATACATTATAAGGTCAGGAACTTTTCCGGGCTAACCCACAGTGAACTGCACAACTAGAAAAATGTCTGCTATCTAAGCAAAAAGGAACTTCTGTGTTTGGACTGGGCCCTGAAAATTTGTAGCCATAATCTGCCATTAGGTATGTCTGCATTTCAGCCATCTTCTGTTATTAGATCGTGCATAATCCCTAGCCATAAACTTGACTCCGCTGCAGTAAAACCGTTGGGAATCAAGCACAAGCAAGCACAAAGAGCACTGGAGAAAGATATCTCCAACACAGACACACATATATAAGGCTCAGTGAAGATGAACTCCTGATCACAACTATAAAAACACACCATGAGCGTGAGTTTGTAGACATTAAATAGAACAGGAGGATTCAAACCACACGCATTTCAGGTAACAATTTTTTTCTAGACATTGTATTTTCAATAGACGTACTTAAAATAATTAATGATAGGAGATTTAGAAATGAGAGAAAAGAAGCTGTTATTAAAATGACAACAATGACCACCATAAATGGATGGGGTAATATTCAGAGTAAATGGCTGAATTTATTTCACTTTTAATAAAATAAATGAATTGTCATTATGAGTCTTGACAAAGATAAATCTAAATAAGTACATATCAAAAAGCATGGTAGTAAAACTGCAGAGGACTGAAGGGAAAGAAAAACGAAAAACTAAAAACATCTCTTAAAAGTAACTAGAGAAACAAAGATAAGGCCAAACATAGAATAATTAGTCCAACTGCAGGTTTCTCAATGGCCATATTAGAAAGCATGTGACAATGAATATCATCAAAGTACATTGAGAAAATAGTTGTCAACCTGGTATTTTATATTCTGAACACATGAAGATATTTTCAAACAACATTTTTTAAGTGTAGCTTGCTAAAAAGGTAAGAATTTGGTTATCAACTCTATTTGACCCAAATTTGAAATTTTAAAATCCTCAATGTCAATCCCCACTTCAAATCTATTATGTTAGGATCTCTTTGGGTGTGACTGAGTCCCTAGTATTTTTTTAAAGCCCTATAAATGATTTCAACATCCAACTGAATTTGAGAACCACTGTAGTTGACACAATATTTTAGCGGGCAAGAAATAAAACCCCAAAGGAAGGTAGAAGTAAACAAAAAAGTGGCAAATAAACCATTGTTGAACACATAACAATTGTCATAGCAATAATAACTATATTTATGTAATGTATATGTCTCCATATACATTTGTTTATATATTTATTTAACCTATCTATAGTTATACTGCAAAATAAACCTGAAGCGATAATAAAGACTTCCCATTTATAGACTACATTTTCTAATAATAATTGAATTAAAATTCTAAAAATTAGCCCAAAATATCCATATTCCAGAATTTCAGATGCAAACATTTAAACACTCGTGAATCAAAAGAATCATGAGAAAAGAGGAAACATTTAAATTAGAGTGACTATGGAAATATTTGTCAGAAATGATGTGATTCATTTGAATTAATGTGATATCTAATTATAGGTGTCAACTTGAATGGATGAAGGAATACCAGGAAACCTAGTAAAGCATTTATTTGTTGGGTATATCTCTGAGGGTATCTCTGGAGGAAATTAGCCTATGAGTCTGACTAGACTAGGCGGGAATAATCTACCCTTAATGAACATGGGCACTATCCAAACTTCCTGGGGCCCAGAGAGAACAAAAACAGAAAGGCCAATATGTTGATATGTCTTCTGGAGATCGGACGCATCCTTCCTCTCCTGTCTACCTGTCTATCCATCTTATTGGTTCTGTTTCTCTGGAAAACCCTAATACAAATAGTGTTTAAAGGGAAATTTAGAATTTTACAAGGTTTTATGTGAAAAAAAATAGATAATTATTGACAAAAATTTCTATACTTTCTATTTTAAGATTTCTAAGACACTTTGAACAATAAAACAATAAATCCAAATAAATGAGGAGGAAGAAAATAATTAAGATGAAAATATAATTGAGAACAAAGAAAAAATAGAGAGGATATATAATATTAAATGCAGATTCTCTGAAAAGTCCAATAAAAACTACAAATCTCTGACAAACTGATTAAGAAAACTGCAGAGAAAATACCAATAGATTCTGCTCAGATTAGTAAAACAGTAAATAGATAATAAAATGTATAATCATATAGAATATAATTTAAAAACTTTGTCAATGAATTTGAAAATTCTAAGGAAGTAAACTAATTTCTTTAAAGTCATAATATAGAAAAATTGAAGAAGAAATGATAATCAATTTATAACCATTAAATAGACTGAATAAGAATATTGTAATTCTTTAAAAAGGTATTACATATACTGATATAATAGGCAAGTTTTATCAAATATTTCAATATATCAAAATTTTGATGGTAAAATACATAATTCTTTATGTATATGTAAAATTCTTAGATATTTTTCCAGTATAAATTTATGATTAAGTTCATTGAAGTATTGTGTTTTAAAGAAAAAATATAGAAAAAAAACCCTTAATTATGCAATAATAAGAAAATGAGTAAATTCTAATACATTTTAGGAATAGAATACCATAAATAATGAAATAAATTAGAGCTCAATGGATAAATGAAAATAGACCCCAAAGCAATGATATTGAGTAAAATAATAGTAATCTGAAGAAGCATACATATAGTGGCCTTTTTGATATTTATGACATTTCTGGCAACTGTACCATATAAAGGCCTGAGTCAGAAAAAATAAAAACAAAACCTTGACCCCATTTAGAAAATATTCAATAGCATGTTTGCGTGTTATTAAATAACATGTTATTAAATAATTTAAATGTTTTCTCTTTTCTCATGATTCTTTTGATTCCTGAGTGTTTAAATATTTGCATCTGAAATTCTGGAATATGGATATTTTGGGCTAATTTTTAGAATTTTAATTCAATTATTATTAGAAAATGTAGTCTATAAATGGGAAGTCTTTATTATCCTTTCATAACATGCATGTTATTAAATAACATGCAAACACATTATATATGTTTATGTTTTCAAATACAAATATACATAATGTAAATATGGTATGGCCTATCCCATCCAAATTTAGGATGTTCATTAGCTCTTAGGAGAAGAAGGGAATCACAAGGAGGAGTTTGTAGGAGGCTCCAACTGTATTCCTAATGATTTATTATTTCAAAAATATAAAAATTGATAAATGTATGCAAAATGTTACATTTAAACAAAGATGGTGGGTGTATGAATATTTATGATATTTTTCTGTGTATTTTTTAGGCTTATGGTACTTCCAAATATTAAAAGAAAGGAATACTGCTTTTTTTAAAAGCACCTATAACTAAAATTATGTGTGAGAGAGTTAATTTTAAAGCCAAAACATCCATATAAATATAGTTGTTCAAATTTACTTCACAAAACTGTGCCAACTTGAAAACCCTCTTCCCCAAACTAAAGTCAACTGATTTATTTGCAGAACTCAGCGGTGCATGACGCAGTCAGCAACCTCTTAGCCTTAGTCTGCAACGCTAGCACCCCGGGAGACCAGCCATTGCACTGCTTCCCTCCAGATTAGGTCTAGAGAGCCTGAAGCGTTCATGGGTGAAATGGACACATACAGAGGCTCTCCTTGGCTTGGTTTAATGTTTCATTTGGTGCCAAAAAGTATTATACTTTCATTCCACTTACATTCTTCTTCTATTTGTGCATGACTGAAAAATCTATTAAGTGTCAAAGAAGATCACTGAAAAGAAACTAATATCACTCAAACTAAAATTTATTTTTACTGTAATTCACCAACATTTTTTCTCTTACTGCATTTTGATTGAAATCTAGGTCACAGTACAGTTCAACTTATCCGTTGCAATGCCAAATATTTATAGATAGCAATTGCTCAACCTCAACTTTCCGTCTATTAACAAATTCTATGTGTAAAGTTATACATGTCAGTGGAACTGAAGCCCTCAGGTCTCACATTCAGCATATGAATAATTTATTATTGTTTTATTTTATACTCAAGCTGATTTTTCCTATAATTTTAAAAAATATACCACACTAGTTTATTTGCACTGACTAGATCATTATTCTTGTTGTCTTGGTGAGATTCTCCAGGGGGAATTCTAAGCAGAATTATTTAAATCCTCTTTGAGGTAGCGCTTACATCAATGATTGAGGCATGTCCACTTTGTCTTTCTTGTCTCTCTTTTCTAAAAATTCTTTCCATTCTCAGACCTCTTCCACACTTGTTAGCTTTCTACTATTTGCTAGAGGAAGTAGCTACCAGTGTAATCTTGGTTCAGTAAACTACACTGCAAAATTAGAATATTATGGCACCTAGAAGATTACCTAAAATCATTCAGATGAAAGTGGCTTTTGGGAATTTTGCATTGCCTTAACTTTGGGTTTTGTGCAATTATAATTGTGTTATTGTACAGGATTAACAGAAGAATCTATCGCACAGGATTTCTATAAAGCCTCAATGCAATAATCCATAGTAAGTCATTTAGCTCAGGCTTTGGCACATATTTTCTATGCAACAAATGTTAATTTTGAAACAAGTGTGATGGTGGCATTCACAGTGATATTAATAGTAGTGGTGGTGATGGCAGTAGTAGTAGTGTATTGGAATGAGTATTTGCTATTGTTTTAATAATAATGAGATTAAAATAAATACAAAAAAATTGTGAAAGAGCTTGCCCCACAGGAAACAAAGACTTCTGTTGTTCTCTTACTTTCTGTTTTCTAAATTAGAAATTCTAAGAGTTTTCTTTGAAATATTCTATTTCAAATGGATAGCCATAAATAAAGGAACAGACCATTCTACTTAAAGAAAAGAATAAAGCTTACCTCTTTGAACATAGTAACCTAATTGTGCTGACATTATGTAGTACTGCACATCACCTCAATAATCACTAAATATGTTTTTGCTTCACTTAACCAAAAAAGCCATTAAAATGTTTCTGAGCAATTTGGAATTTTTATTATTAATTAATAATTTTGATTAATGAAAAAATCAATTCCATATCACAAATAACTTACTGGAGGATTATTACAAATGTTATATAAAATTATTATAAATGTGTCTATATCTTTATTACACATCGATGTTTAATTATATTTCATTATAATTTCATGAAAAAATAAATGAGAAATTCATTTAATGACAAATAATTTTTAATTAAAATATTTTCTTGTCAAATATAACTCTTGAAAGAAACCCATTATTTTAGAAGCTAGAACCCCTTATCTATTCATTGGACACATTTTACCTCTATTGTTCAAGTTCATTTCCCAGAAAGCTAAAAACCTCTCTCATATTTCACTGCCTTTTACTTCGAATAATAAAATGTTAATTTGTATTTTATGTCAGGGGATTTTTTTTCACAAGGGATTTGCTATTGATGTAAATGGTCATTGTACAGGATTAGTCAAAGAACCATATGAAAGAAATATTTTTCAGGCTTTTGAGTATCATTTCAAGATGAGAATATTTGCATTCCCATTAGGGCATCTTTTCTAAAATGAATAGATCAGTGTCTTAGATTGTTGAAAGGCCATCGGTAGATCGTCTTTTGTGTAATGTGTCTGTAGTAGGCCTAGTAAAATGCAGTTCCTAGGGAAAGAGGTTGTTCAATAATGTCAGATGAATCCCTTGAGTCTCACACACTGTCATATTATTTTCTGCTAATGTTGACGCAAATGAAATGAATCTCTAGTTCTATTCATCTATACAGTATTATCAAAAGGTATAGCTGGTAGCTATATCAATATGATAATTTCAGTTTACAAATTATAACTGAAGATTGGAAGTTCCTTTCCCTAAACTTCTACAAAGTACATGTTAGGAAAGTATGTTTTGTTTTGTAAAAAATACAAAGCCTCTCTGTTGAATATTGAAGCTATCGATTTGTGAGTTAAAAAACCTTATGACATATCCAGAACATTATTTGAATTTACTTTGTATGTCTAACTGTTTAGATGGGCATACAAATAAGTTACAAGCACGTTTATAAAGTATATATTACAAGGATAGATATATTACTCCGTCTACTAATGAGAGGATAACCTGAGTTTATGGATGTAACATGAGATTTAAGGACAATTCATATGTAATTAATCATTGGAGAAGAATGGAAAATCACAGGCAGCATCACAAACAAGTATTACTAGAGCTTTTGACAAACTACAAAATAAAACACTTAAAATGACCGTAGTTTTGAGGAATGCAAAGATATTTCTTTCCAGTGGCAAACAGTGTTTCATAGCATCATGAAAATTTAAAACCAGAGGCAAATACAATAGCCTTCTATTCCAATGCTGTCATTTTACATAAGAGAAAATTGAATATCAGAAAAAATAAGTGACTTATTCAATATAAAATGAAATGATTATTTCTAGTTTTGACCGTAAAACAACCATAATAAAAAGTAGAAATCGCATTCCTTATGTTTGGGAACACATGCCAAAACTTGTATTAAAAACACAACTTTAGTTGTTCTGTCTATTCATCTTTCTTTTAAAAGATGCATTTAATATAAAAATTTGCACATTTACACATTTTCAGACTACCTTTCTAATTTCACGAAATCAGTTGACTTTTGAATTGCACTCTGTTTAGCTCTTTTCTAGTGATTTTTTTTCTTCCATTGCTCATACAGGGTGCATTTTCTTTTAGCCTCTCTATTATCATTTTGATTTAAATCCTTTGCTTTCTTGGATTGACTGTTCTGATAAACTATTCCTATTTCATCCTTTTCTGTTTGGCTCTGATGATCCACAGTAATTTTGTAGCCTTTGCTACATCACCGCCTCTTAGGTCTGTGTAATGAGGGATGCAGTGCCTTAATTTTTTCCCCTTTATGGTTCAATCCTAAAGTATAATGTGGGAAGTGGGATTGGTATTTAGCTTGTTAGGAAATCTACAGAAGTCACGTTAATAGCACACTGCTTTATAAACTGTCACTGCCACAGGAAAATTTGAGGGCAATTTTCCTACATAATTAGTTCCCCTCTTCTTTAGTAACAAAATAATTACTTTAAAATATGAATAAGTACACTTTAACACATTTTAGAATCAAGTGAACCTCATGATATTGAATACTCAAGATCAAAAATATAAATGACATGAGTTTGTATAATTTGTTATCATATTATGAATAAATCCTCAATATTAAAACTTGTCAACTATACCCTCATCTTTTCTGACCATATCAACAGGGACTTCGCTGATACAAATGGCATACCACTGTTAAGCACAATACTGTTCTAAATGAACATTATTTCTGATACAGGAAATACAGAAACTAGAAATCTATCTTCAAAAAGGAAGTTGCAAAGCATTTACTACTCTTGTGTGGAAAATCAGTAAAGATTTTAGCCTGTGGAATGTATGTTGGAGTATAGTTATCAAATCTATCAATTTTTAGAGCTCTGATACTTGCACTTAATAATGGCAAGATGTGTCAGGAACCTCAAAAGAATCAAGGAACAATGACTAGCTTCAACAAAAACATTCCATGTATTTTTTTAAATAAGGGCTTTCATTGCCATTAATTAATAAATAAGAGAATAGCAAAGCTAATTGGGAACCTAAAGATCTTTCATCTAAACACTCAAAATATAAGTGTTGACAAAGAAGAAAAGTAAGCAAGGGAGTATGTCTCAAAAAGAGCAAGCTACCGTGGCACTATGTTTGACCGAGATGTGTTCCCTGTAGTATTCAAAATACCTGATCCAGGCTTCTAGTTGTCCTTTCAGCTGTTAAGGTTCTTATTTGATGTACTAATAAAATGATAATACATATAAAGATGTGAATTAGAGTTTTTTTATGGAAGAGGGGAAAGATCTCAACTGAATCACCAACTTGGATATTCATTAATAAATCACTTAACTTTTTAAAAGATATTTATTTTTAAGCTTATTATTTGTAAAGTCAGCACAAGAACACTGTCCAACCATGATGACTGATAAACAATAAACACACAAAATATTCTCTTCCACACCTTCTACGATGGTTTTAAATCAGTTTTTATAACATGTAGTTAAGGATTGCAAAGACAAAGTGAAAGACTTCCGATTAAAAGGAATTCTAAGAATTTCTCTTAGGTCAACGGTTTCTGTTTATTAATAGTAGTGGTATTTTTGCTTTTTTTTTTTAAATTTAAACACATGTAAAGTCTGTGGTGAAAGATGATTTGTTTTTTGAGATAATAATAATGAAATTACTACCCATTGAGACACATGGAATTGGAAAGAAACTATAAAGATTTGAAGGTATTACATAAGCTTTAAAAATATTTAGGAGGGCGAACCATTCTTTCTCATCTCTTATCTGAATTCAAACAAAGAAAAACAGGAAATGCAAATTCCTAAAATAATAGTATACTTTATTGAATGAGACATTTTATTTTATTTATTTTTGTCTATCAATTATCTATCTATCTATCTATTTTTACTGTCATAACCATAGAAGAAAGCTTTATTGCCTTTGTTGAAAAGAAAGAATAAATATGGCCTGGCTGGGAGGGATGGGCTCATATCTATAATCCCAGCACTTTGGGAGACTGAGGCAGGAGGATTGCTTGAACCCAGGAGTTTGAGACGAGCCTGGACAACATAGTGAGACCCCATCTATACTAAAGAATTAAAAAAAATAGCTGAGCATGGTGGCACATGCCTGTAGTCCCAGCTACTCAAGAGACTGAGGTGGGAGGTTCACTTGAGCCCAGGAGGTTGAAGCTGCACTGAGCTGTGATTGTGCCACTGCACTCTGGCTTGGAGGACAGAGCAAGACCTTGTCTCAAAGAAAAAAAATAATGCTCTTGGCCGTAGATATAACAATGGACAACTATAGCAGGTGTAGAAAAGGGCTGAAGCCATTATGTCCATTACATGATCAAACTACATCTATTCTTTGTTAGCTAACAATCTTAGTATGTCAGATTTGTGTTTTTATTCATCCAAATGTAACCTTTGAAAATATGGTAAAAATATACATTTTTAGTTAATTCAAAAAATATGAAGTATTCTCATCTCTGTTATAAAACTACCTTATAAACACATAGGAGTACCCAATGGGCATTAATATAAAATGCAATAGGGGCACTTCCCACAGAAAATAACCTTTGCCAAATACTAATATATACATACATAATCTCAAAAGAAGAAATACACAATGCTGAATAAGCATTTTGATGCTTTTTCAATTAATATTTTGAACAGAGAGGAAATACTTAAGTCTCCAACAAAAATCTTGACAATATAAAAAGCAGCATGTTTATCAGAAGGCCTATCCTCTTGCTTCCAGTGAATGAGAGAAAGTAACTTTTTGATGAATGTAAAAGACTAATAAAACACATGAATATATTTTCCAAATTGGAGAAAAAAGGAGAAAGGAAACTTAAAATATCTTAATCAACAAATAAAAGTTTCATTTACTATGGGAAATATATAAAAATTAATGAGATTATGCAAATGACTACAGATTACTGATTAAAACTAAACACAAAATAAGGAGAATGGCACCATTTGTGAATATTTATTATATGTATTAGATTTATATATGAAAACGTTACCGAGTCTAAAATTAACTAGAAAATATAACTGAGAGATACTCTTCCCTTTTGCCAATTTTTATATATAACTTATATTCTTAGAAATAAAAGGGGATCATATCTAGATTTTGAATGAATCTAAATGCTGGTAGAATCAATTTGGTGTTTTGCTGCTTGAAACCCGGTTTGAAGCTTATATATTGAAACATTGCTCTAGGCATCTATACCCTACTGATGGACTTAGTAAGCCAGCACACTCTCTATGACTTGAGGGAATCATAAAAAGCATCTATCAATGGTGTCAGGCAATGAAGAAAAAATTGTATGTAATGTCAGGTGGCTGAATATAGGAAAAAGATATATGGTAATGACAGTATAGACAAGCAATTGCAGGTAAGAAAAAGATTATTTAAAATGATAGTCAAAGTAAAAATATACACATTCAACCATTGCAATTTACTTTCTTTGATTGAAAAGGAAAGTTTTTATGTCTTAAAGATAATGTTTAGTTCATATTTGACAGCTTGAATAATGAACACTTCATACAACAATTCTAGCGGACTTGATGGAGTGCCCACCCGTATGTCAGTGGTGGAATGACTACATTTTGAAGGAATAATTTTTCCTAGAGCACAATGTTCTGATGTTACAGAACGAATGGTTAATTATTTCTTATTAGTAATAGTGGGAATATTTCAAATAATTAGGTTGTTATAAACTCATAAGCATGTAAATATTTTTCCCAGCTTCCAATCACTTCAAGGGTCTTTACTTCCTATGACATTAAAGTAGTACTAATTTGTACTTCCACATTTTTGCTTTCCAACAAACCATACTATGATGTCATTGCAGCTTCACTTAACATTAATGTGTTAAAATTTTAGGTACCCTAATTATTTTTGACAGCTAAAGTGGTATTTATGTATTTATTTTACTTTTTTATTTTTAATTTTTATGGATACATAGTAGGCATGTATTTAATGGGTATATGAGATATTTCAATACAAGCATACAATATATAATAATTATATTGGGATAAATGGGGTATCCATCACCTCAACCATTCATCATTTCTTTGTATTGGGGACATTACAATTGTACTCCCTTAGTTATTCAAAATCTATTTTTTTTTTTTTCTGAGATGGAGTCTCGCTCTGTCGCCCAGGCTGAGGTGCAATGGTACAATCCTGGCTCACTGCAACCTCAGCTTCCCAAGTAGCTGAGATTACAGTCATGTGCCAGCATGTCCGGCTAATTTTTGTATTTTTAGTAGAGATGGGGTTTCACCATGTTGGCCAGGCTGGTCTTGAACTCCTGACATCGTGGTTCACCCACCTCAGACTCCCAAAGTGCCAGGATTACAGGTGTGAGCCACTGCACCCGGCCCTCTAAACCTAATTTTTAACATGTTCAATTAACGTAGCATTAATAAATGTTCAGTTTTACATCTACGTATCATAATATAATCGACACATATCAAAGCTTCCATTGTGTAAATTTGTGTATATTAACCATCCGGTTGACTCAAAGCATGCTTATATTTCAAAAGACTAAAATATGCAACTAAACATGATGCTTAAAAATTATTGAGATTTCAATAGTAATGAAATACATTTTATCACACAAATATCTTCAGAACTTCATCTGATATACACTGATTTAGCCATTTAACTCTTGACTAAATTAGAGAAAATTTTAATAATAAAATGTAATGATATAAATCGATTCTTAGGATTTAGTTTTAATGACTTAAAATATAAAAAAGTTTAGAGTCTACTTGTGTAGGAAGTAGTTTGTTATGGGATCATCACCCAAAATAAAGGTCTGATAATTTTCAGTAGCCAAGCACGTTTCCTTATTGGATAAGACTCATTAGGCCTATTTTGACATACAGTTAATCCGAACTGCTTCAAAGAGCATTACCGAACAGTTACGATGTATGAACAATGGACCCAGAGTTCAGAAAAAAAAAACACAATATTTTTTGGTTTTATAGACCTCACAGAAAACAATTGGGCACTATTGTTCGGTAATTGGATAGAGAAGATAATGTCATGCGAATGTCCACCATGGAAGAGTTACTAAGCCACCATGTCGACAGTGAGTTGGCCAGTTGACATCATCTAGCCCCCTCTAACAATGGCCACCCTGGTTCTGGCACAATGGATCATGATCAAAGGGACAATGGTGATAGGGATGAAGTATATGCATAAGCCCAGCAACATGAACTCATTTATTGAAGTTGATCTAACAGGGCTGCTGCCAAAGACACAACATGACAGAAAAACAGAGCAATGATTGGTTCCCTATATGCAAGCGTCCCTCAAAGAGACTACATGGCTGCTTAGTGGAAAGTTGATTATATTGGTCAAGAATACCTTCTGGCAGGAGAATTAATCTGATGTGGGTTTGCCGTTTTTCCTCACTAGGCCTCAGCTAGGCTCATGGTTTCAGGTTTACCAAATATTTGACTGATTAGCCTGGGATCCCGCATGATATTGCATCCGACTAGGGAAATGACTTTATAGCAAAGAGATGTGGAAGTAAGCCCCAAAACGTGGGAACACATACTCTACCACCGAGAACTTGCAAGCCTAAGAGAGCTTTGGAACATCCTGTGGAAGTCACGACTAAAATGCCAGCTCAAAGGCTATACATTAGTGGGTGAGGTGCCATATTCTCAGAAGTAGTGTACATTTGGAAACAGAGACATTTATACAAGGCTATGTTTCCAGAATGTAAGACACATGGATCAGGGAAGCAAGGAGTGAAAACAGGAGTGGCTACAATGCGATCACTCCCAAGACACACGAGAAGTTGTGTTTCCTCTTTCTGCAAACCTGTGCCCTGAAGGTGTAGAAGTCATGATATCCAAAGAGGAAACAATTTCACTAGGAACCCAACAACTGTCCCTTTACATTATCAGCTATAATAGTCACCTGGGAACTCTGTATTTCTGTTGTTAAGAGAGTAGCTGATAAGAATAAAAATCTCTATTCTTACAGGGATAATAATGGCCATGACCATCAGAATATACTATAACACGTAAGATCAGAGAGAAATACATTTACCACCCAGGTGATCAATTTGAGTGATTCTTGGTATTCTAATACCCAAATGGGCACGTACAGCAACCTCAGCCTGAAAAGCACAATGACCTTAGAAGCAGACTCCTCAGAAGTCAGAGTCTGTGTTATGCCACGTAGTTACCAAGACCAGTTAAGGTCCTGGCTAAATATGAAGGAAACTTAAAACTGTTAATTGATTTGGAAGAAAATAATTATCAAGTTTCAGCATTTTGGGCTATAGTTTATCCTTCAGCCTTCTAATTTCCCTCTTGGAAGACAGCCCCTCAGAAATCCTAAAGGGCCTGATCCAACAATTTATACTAAAAAGTAGATAGAGAGGCACAAAGGATGAACTTTGATGGACATTATGTTGTGCTCACTACCCATACGCCCCTTCTTTGACAAACTTTTATCCTACCTTCCTGGAATGCTGTCAGCAGACAGCTTTCAGCTCTCAACCACTTTAAAGAATTACCTTTGCTTCAGAGATCCACTCCATGGTAGATCATGCACATTCTTGGAGTGGCCCAAATCAAATGACTGATTGATGCAGAAAGATCTGGCTATGCTCTCTTTCCCTCATTTCCCCAGGTGTTCAAAAATACACCTTAATAAGCAACTTGCATGCCTATTCTGACTCAGGGTCAGCTTCCGAGGGAAAATAGCTTGCAATTCTGCACGACTACTGCATTGCAGATTATTTTAGTCTTACTAAAGTGTTTTTGTATGATTAAAACCCAAGAGTTCTGCCCATTCAAATTAACAGATACTGCTTAAATGTATCATTTCTTCTTTTCTTTCTTTTCCCCACTTCCTTTTTTTTCTATCGTCTTTTCCTTTCCAACTTTGCTAGCATTTTTCTTTGTTCTTTCAACCAAGTCGTCTTTCTTTATTCCTGCCTCCCTCTATCCCTTTCTTTTTCTCTTTCTATATTTCACATTTGTACAGAGACAGGTGTACATTTAGAGATTTTACAGTGTAGTAAAATATCCTACCATAAAATTGCCTAGAAACCTGTTTCGCCTGCAAGAAAATTTCTTATTCAATGTGTCTTCTATATCACATTTTACATATTGAAATTTCATGTCTTTGAAAATAACTTAGATGCTGTCAGCTGGTTAACAGCAGGGAATGTAGCAAATACTCCAGTCAAGAGACAATGTGGAATGATTTTTACTGCATCTTCCATTGTACTTTGTTTATATTTTCTCTTTTTTTTTGTTTCTTTGAATGCCTAAGTGTAATAATCCTCTTTCTCTGAAAACTGTTAAAATTTGAACAGTGCCTCTCAAGTTTAAAATGCAAAGAGCAGTCCTTTTTTACAGGTTTTCTATGATAATACTTGGAATGAGTCACTCATCCTGAAAGTGGCCTTCTAAATTACTGTGAAATAACCGTGGCTGCTATTACACACACTTACAGATGTGATTTAAATTCTCTGGAACTCCTCTACACTTGGAATGAGAATTAGCAGCTTTGAAAGATTTAACTTCACATTGAAAAACGATCAAAGCAAGCAGGAAAATGAACTGGCGATCTTTCTTCATGATTGAGATCTCCAATGTTTTTCCTGCCAACTGATGCTTCCAAAATGTTTCAGTTTCTTGCAAATGTTCTACATTATAGATATTTTGACTATCTTTATAAAAACCTGCTAATTAAGGTTTGTTTTCTTTTAGATCATTAAACCCTCATTCTTTGACTGTAAAAATTTTTGCTTTTATTTTTTGCTGAAATCCTTGCTTTGAGCAAATCTCAAAAGGACAGGGAAGGGGAAACTTTAGTTGTAGTTTAATTAGTGCTTGCCAAGTTTCTCCTCAATGGAGTTTTTACCTTGTAAAGGAAGTCGACTTCTGCCAATACTCAGGAGGCTTCATCCAGGTATAGCATTACAGGATCAAAAACTTGCCATTTGAAAGAGACTTCGTCAATATCATTTTATGTTTCTTCTTGGCTGTCTTTTTCCCTCTGCCTCTCAAATTCCCAGTGGACCCCACCACCATCATCATTTGCTCAACTTGTAAGGTTGCCATGGAACAATGGCAGCGAATATGAATAAAGTTGCAAAACTGTGCCTTAGAAATGCCATGCTGCTGTGGAAGAAACGAGTCTTTATAAGACTGTCACTTAGAGCCCTGTGGGAGAATCTGAAAGGAAGTATGAGTCCAAGAAAATAACAAGGTCTTTTGACAGAACTGCAAGATAAACCAAAGAAAAAATATATAAAATAATCACGATATATAAGGTGGTATTTATTATTGACTGCTAGGCACACACAAAGAATCACATATAAATTTGATGTTAGAACTCAGAAGCTATGATTCTCACAAGTGGGAGCTAATAAGTGAAGTTATTTTCTTTATAAAAATAATTTCTGCTAAAGTGGACATAATTCTGTTCATACTATAGCTTATCACTTATCAAATACCAGGTTTTAGATAGTTTTATTCACAGATTCTCTATGGTTTACGAACCTTATCACTCTGATAACTATTGCATTACTTATTTGAAAAAGCCACACTTCTATACCATTAATAAAATTATTACAGAAATGTTCCACAAAAAAATGCAATGGTATAATGGAAAAAAAACTCAAAGTTATTTATTGGATTATATGTTTGTCAAAAGGCAGTGCTTGCAATTCTTTATTAATATCAACATATACCATTGTGCACCAGATTTCCAATTTTTGACACATAAAAACAATTTTCCTAAGTAACTGGTAATTCCTCTCATTCTCTTCCTATTCTTACTTTTACATTAATTTATCATCTGCCACTACCAATTCTACTACATGTTCACTTACTATTTTCTTTCTGAGATTGAGGTCTCACTAGGTTGCCCAGGCTGGTCTCTCCTGGGCTCAAGGGATTCTCCTGCCTCAGCCTCCCAAGTAGCTGAGGTTATAGGTGCATGTTGCCATGCCTGGCTCTCACTTAGTATTCTTAATCCACCCTTTCTCTTCTAGTTCTGTAGCACTTACTTGTATCTCTAGAGCACTTGCCATAATCTGCCTAGTTATTGTCATTTTTTAGATAATGACATTGCCGACTGTTCAGTTCAAGAAACCATAGTCTATATCCTGGAATCTCTTCCCACTTCTTTCTTTGTTGGTCTCTTAAATGTTGTTATTTTCCAGCATCTTCCTCTTGTACTCTACTCTTCTCAGTTCATTTCAAGGTTATTTTACACTAATTGGTTCAAATGCACTAGAACAGCTGCCACATCCATATATTCCCTACAAATTCAGTCCTTCCATTTATTCTGCTGTCAACGAATAGCTGAAACTAAACTTTTAATATACAATTCTGAATTACTTTTCTGTGTCTACAGTAAGTTCAATGTTTTTCTTAATTCTTTCAAAATATTTTAAATCACTTACCATGTTCTAAGTTTGTTATAGGTGCATCTTGTATCAAAATGAATTATTATTATTTTATTTTAATGTGTCTTTCCTCTATTAGTCTGGAAATTGCTAGGGGTCAATGATCACCTCTTAGTAGTTTTCTTTGCTTGTTTTGTTTTTAATTCCAAGGACCTGAATAATCTAAATCATATTGTAAGCAATGGAGGGCAGAGATTTTGTTTTCTTTTTATTTCGATAAGTCTGATGTCTTAAAATGAGTAGACAATCAGTACTTTGTAAATTGTGTCAACTACATATATGTGAACTCCTAGCCTGTTATCACCACCATTTTACCTCTATGTAACATACAGTCTACATAAGCTATGGACTCCCAGGTGCCTGGATGCCTTGTCCTACATCTTCCCCTCCTAACTTAATGTCAGAAATATGCTTTAGCATCTCATTCCAGCTAAAATTATTTTGTAGGATTGGCTTCAATTTATTTTTTCATAACAAGGTAGCATTTCTTCTCCACCCTTGGCAGCTATCGTCTTCTTACTCTCTCAGAGCACGTCCTGTGGGATTATACCACCTGAACAGAATTGCAGTAGAGAAGGCACGATCCCATTCATTTACGGTGCTTGTTACATTCTCTCTCTCTGCTATGACGGCCCATTATGTCCTCTATGCCCTGACATCTTTAACTCTCTACCATAAATTTTCCGTGGAAGTGAAAACTAACAATAAATATTCAATGCCTTCCGGTACTGTAGGCAGGTTTTCTGAAAAGTAAAGGAGCCATGATAAGCATGTCTGACCAGTAGATAGTTACCTATCCCTGGGCGGAGAATATTAGATACTTTCTGTATTATGTCATATAAAGTGTAATGTATTTAATAAACATTATTTTGCATATATATTAATATTAGTTTGATTTTCTTACTGAAATAACTTAAGCCACATAACGAGAAATGATGCAGTTGAATATTTTACTCTTTAATTAGGTTCCCTTTCTTTAGAGATATAATTTAAAAATATTTGCGGAAAATATTTTGCATATGGTTTAAAGTATAATTATAATAACACATCAGAGGACTATTTATTCAGCAGATATTTTACATATTTTTGAAATGCTATATACATCTGGGAGAGCTGTGTATTTATAAAATCAAGAATTAAATTTTATATAAAGTAAATATGATTTCATATACTGTTATAGAGTCTACTTAATACTTGGTTTTGATATGGTATTTTATTTAAAATAATTCCTTCAATATCAGTTTCTTATTTTCATTTGTATAAGTCTCCTTGTTTTATTCTCACAATATCTGTATGTCAGTTCCATAAAAACATATATTTTCAGCTATTTCTATGAACAATGATCATTTAGATATATTAGAAAAAATATTAGAAATTGAAATATTCCTTTATAGGTGTCTCCCCTTTAAGCAATATTTAACATAGCAATACCAAATTGTAATTCAATAGCCGTGAGGTCTTGTAATGTAAATCAGTCAAAAAAAACATTTGAGTCTGTAAAATATGATGCAGTGGTTGTACTCTACTCTTATAGAGATCACCACCTAAAAATTTCAATAGAAATGTGGCTTAATGAAGGATTTGAGTGAAAAAATGACGCTTGCAAAATGAGAAAAGTATTTCCAAAATCAAACAGAAAGTAGACAGTGATTAAAGGAGCAATAGAAAAAATGTCATAGATAAAGAGAGAAAATTGTGAAGGTCCTTGAAATTACAGGAAAGGATCTTAAACACAAGGCTTTAAAAGACCTTAATTTCACAACTCAGAGGAGTAGGTAGGCTGAAGGAATCATCACTGTTGGGACAGTGAAAGATGATACTTGTTTTAGACTGTGGCTACCTGGTGTGTATTTTAAACATCAAAAAAAGGACACAAGGGTCTCTAATTTGAAATACATATAGAAAAAATAGGTAAGAAAAGTTATCTAAAATAAAAAACATTAAATTTTCAGTATATGAAAATGTGGCATGTTTTTGAATAAAAGTGACCCAATTTCATAGAGATATATTTAGAAATTGCCAATAATGTACTCTACAACACCTGGTATAATATTAATTGAGAATGCTCTCTGAGAATGGCTAGCACAAACATTAATTTATACAATCTGGCTAGAAATAAAAAAGCAAGCTAAAAAGAATCCCATTTGGGTTTCAATGATCAGCCTAGTGAACTTAGAGCAATGACAGCTAAACATTTACCTAACTTGTATTCCACTGTGGTATAACTTGAACTCCTTCTCTTATTTCTTGGAATTATTAACAATTGATTAGTTATTCATTTACCTTCTCTAATCAGGCTTTTATTTTATCTTTTCATTCTGTGTTTTACTGATATGATTTGGCTATATCCCCACTGAAATCTCATCTTGAATTGTAGCTCCCATAATTCCCACGTGTTGTAGGAGGGACCCAGTGGAGATGATTGAATCGTGGGGGCAGTTCCCCTCATACTGTTCTTGTGGTAGTGAATAAGTCTCATGAGATCTGATGGTTTTATAAGGGGTTTCCACTTTCACTTGACTCTCATTCTTTCTTGCTTGCTGCCATGTAAGACATGCCTTTCCTTTTCTGCCATGATTGTGAGGCCTCCCCAGCCACGAGGAACTATCTGTCCATTAAACCTCTTTTTCTTTATAAATTACCCATTCTTGGGTATGTCTTTATCAGCAGTGTGAAAATTGACTAATACACTCACCATCTATGATTTTAGATAACTTGAATTCAAAATCTGACTTTAAAGATCATTTTAAACTTTCAGTTACTTATATTGACTTGGTGAAAATTGCACCATTAAGGTAATAAACTAACTTTATTTATACTCTCAAAAATATCTGTTCTAGAGTCTAGATGACTGGATCTCTTTAAAAAGCTATTTTGCCTATTTTAATAATAACATTACTAAATATTTACACAAAATTTCTTCAAATAAGATAAAAGTAACCAAATAACTCATATTTATTTTACTCCTCTGGATTCGGCCAGTGAGTAGATTACACGTGTCACTCTGGTAAATGACATACATTACCTGGCTTTCTTGTTTTTCTACTTGACATCAACATGCCATAGAATGAAAATATACTTTCTTTTTAAAGACAAAAACATTTTAGAAAGTTTAAAATATATTTTGGGATAATGCAGCATTTAAAATATCCATAAAATATCATTTCTCCAGAGATATGATATGAATATTCTTTCTTTCCACATCAAACCAAATTCAGAATAGTATACTGATCATCAAATGAGCATTTTCTTCTAATCCAGTCTGTTGGTAAAGTAATTGTTCTTTGTATTTAATATACATTGTTATATATTATAACTAAATAACATTCTTCGGGTCTTTGTGATATTGTGTAAAAATGACCCATACACAGGATTTTGGTTGTAAGAGAGTTGTCTTAAGGAATAACAGCACAGTATGAATACTGAGCAACATCACTTTAAAGTATCTTAATACTGTTTGAAAGACATGGGAACTTTTAAATTTTTAACCTTTTAAGTGAAACCAGATAAATGTGTGTTTTATTTATGTAGGCCCTATTTTATTTCAGAGAAAATATGATATAATTAAAGGATGTGGATATAAAGATATCAGAGATTTTTTCAGTGATGTCTTGATCAAGCAATCACTGTCATCATATCATTGTGAGTATTCTTAGAATATCACTACCTTCATTTGTATTTTTGTTCCTTATATTAAAATAAATTTTCAAGTAAAACTTTCCAATATCCTTAAAATAACTTACCTTTACGTTTAACAATTACATTCCTCCCCACTCAAAAAAAAATCTCATTTGGAAACTGGAAAAAATTTCACTTATAACATATGAAGAAACATGCTGTGCTTTAGGAATTAAGACATACTGCCTTTTAGTCCTTGTAGCTCTCAATTACAATCAAGAAATATTTCTATAGCACCTTCGCAATGAACACAGCTAACTCTTCTGTAAATTGATAATGGCAATCCTTATGTGATACAACAGACAGGTGACACTGACAAAGTCTGTTTTTAAAAATATATGTTATGATAAATTCTTAAATACAAAATATTTGTAAAGCTTTATTTTATACATTACTGTAGCTTTTATGATTAATATATTTTGAAATGACTTTCTAAGGGTAGAATATTATTTAAAATTAAAAGCTGAAGTAACATTGGGTTTTACTGTTTGGGAAGCATGGTTCCTTCCATGAAAAAGCACAGTCCTCCATACTAAACACCATCCTTTTAAAACATGGTGTTTTTTTTTGTTTTGTTTTAACTCAGTATTTTTATAAATTAATATTAAGTTTCTTGACTAGATTATAAATAAGTCTCTGTGAAGCAAAAAAAAAAACAGTGAAAGAATAAATATGGAAAGATTCCAAGCAACCTTCAAATTTAAAAATCTAATTAATTAGAAGTTATTAAGAATTTTTATTTATTTTCTTTCAGTCACTCAATGCAATTCCTTGCATCAGAGGATAATCATTCAGCCCAGGGAAAGACCAATACCCCCACTTCTGTTCCACACACCAAAAACAAATAAACATAGAAATAAGCAACTCAAAGAAATCTAAGCAATTTACACACACACACACGCATTATACATGTATATATAGATACATAAATATAAAGAGAGAAATGCTCAACAGACTGACTTGGCAACCTAAATGTAAGAAAAAGAAAGACAATTTTTGAGTTTTATAATTTGAATGGGATATTGAATAGCCTTGGAAATTTCGGCTTCAAAGAAAACGGGAATAGATATCAACAGCCAAAGACCAATGGCAAAGAGAGTATAGACGGAGATCATGAACAGAACTTTGTAAATTCTAGTACTATAGTCATGTGCTATGTGATAACATTTTGGTCAACATGTGTACAATGGTGGTCCCATAAGTTTAAAATAGAGTTGAAAACTTTCTATCACATAGTGATATCATATCCATCTTAATGTCATTGATATGGTTTGGCTCTGAGTCCCTACCCAAATCTCACCTTGTAGCTCCCATAATTTCTACGTGTTGTGGGAAAGACCCAGTGGAAGATAACTGAATCATGGGAGCGGGTCTTTCCCATGCTGTTCTCATGATAGCGAATAAGTCTCATGAGATCTGATGGTTTTAAAAACGGAGTTTCCCTGTACCAGCTCTCTTTTTTTGCCTGCTGCCATCGATGTAAGAAGTGACTTGCTACTGCTTGCCTTATGCCGTGATTGTGAGGGCTCCCCAGCCATGTGGAACTGTAAGTAAATTAAACCTCTTTGTCTTCCCAGTCTCATACGGGTATATCTTCCCAGTCTTGTATGGGTATGTCTTCATCAGCAGCATGAAAACTGAGTAACACAATCGTAATGCAACACATTATGTTTCTTATGTTTAGATATGTTTAGATAAACACAAATACCATTGGGTTATTATTGCCTACAGTATTTAGTACAGTAACATGCTGCACAGGTTTGTAACCTAGAAGCAATAGGCTATACCACATAGCCTAGGGATGTAGTAGACTTTACTATCTACGTTTGTGTAAGTGCACTCTATGATTGCATAATGACAAAAAGCACTGAAGCTCACATTTCTCAGAATATATCTCCATCTGTAGTGATGCATCACTGTATACATAAGAGACCCTAGTCACTATCATACCTAGGGAGAAAAAAGGATAAAAGGGAGATCAAAAATATCTTACTTGACTTAATGGCATTTCAAATTACTGAGGAACCATTGGAATGAAAGACATTTCCTAAATTTAACTAAAAGAAGGTTTTTAAGTTTTAGTAGAATAGGGGCTTAAGTTAGAGAAAATAAATTTTTGTTCATATAATTTACGGTTTTTGCACTTTACTTCTTATGCTGGGCAGAATTTAGAAGAGACATTTTCCCAAAATATAAAGTGCTCAAAGTGAATAAATTTGAGTACACAGCTTTACATTCCAGGAGATATTTAAAAACTCGTCAATATTTGAACAATAACAAACTGAAGTAAGCAAGCAAATTTTGGATAGCAGTGGGAATAAAAAGTTTTAGAAAATGTTGCTTCATCAGTAGGGATAAGAATCTATATTATTATCCATAGATGCCATAAATAAGATATAGGATATTTTCATGTTATATGTTTTACTTATAGCCAGGTAATTTAACCTAAGTCATGGTTCATGTTCAGTTTATTTAGAAAATTTTCACAAAGATGTGCATTTTGTACTTCCAGTGAGTGCATAAAATAGATTTAAACCTGCCATAAATACAGCAGAATAAAGGGAATTATGGTTAATGGTCTTTTATATGAAATTGCGCAACAGCATCTTAAGCAAAAAATTCTATCTACACAGCAAATAATATCTCAAACTGTAATTTAAACAAGTATAACAGTTAACTGGTGATTGATGGCAACGTTCAAAATGGCGTATCAACTCATACTCTAAACTTTACCTTTAACACACTAATCAGGTTTGACTTTATAGACTACACCATAGAAACTGTCAAACCTAGCTAAACCATCAAAGTGATCTGGTTTCTATTATTTGAAAAAAGCACATTGAAATGGCACACATTCACTTAATAACGTTAACTTTTAGGTAAACATTGGCATTTTTCTATTAAGACGTAAGAAGCATAGAGCACTAAGAGGACTCAGCATTCAAACTGAAGTTATTTAGGACAGAAACTCACGTACAGCCACTTAGGCCAAATAAGTGTAAAGAAGAGATAAACAGGCTCTGCTAATGTTAGAAAGTCATTTAGGACCCAAGTCCCTAGGGTGAATTTGGGAAGCAATTTACTGCAATATTTTCACTATGTTGATTCTATAATTCACAAGGAGAACAATACAGGAAGAACTAATGTAATTGCTTTGAATAACTGTCTTAGTATTGACAGCCAACTCACTCACCCAGGTTGTTTAATTAGCTTTCTATGCTTCGTTTTATATCATGGGTAAATACATTGTGAGAAAGTGGAAAAAAAGCTGACTCCTAATTAACAATGAAGCAGGTATATGGAATTAAAATAGTCAACATATTGACAGGTATAAAAATTAGATACTGATATACAATGTTTAAGAGTTACCACCTGTAACATGCTCATTGGGTGACAAGCAATTAATTACATACATTATGTTAGAAGGAAAAGCCTAGATAGTGTCTCTGCGTTTGTTATGCCTGTGAATGGAATATTACAAGGGAATCAAAGAAAATGTGGAAATTAATTCTCTTTTAAATAGAAATCTTCTGCATTTAAGAGAGGTACTACAGATGTAAGAGAGAATGAAAAATCCAGAGAAAACAAATAGGTACCCTATAAGAATATCTAATAAATTTTACCAGGGAGTCTCTTTTTCTAAACACTCTCATTGAGTAGAAATAGGATGATTTTATAAAAGCCCCAACTCAACCCAGTTTGACAAATTCAACAGTACATTCTTGGAAATAGTGTATACTGTATATATTGTATTGAGTTGATGCATAAAACAATGGCATTTGTTTTTAACACAAACTTATGGTTAACATTGAAACAACAAAAATACATTTAGAAATAAAAATGAAGTTGAACTTACATAGAAATGTAATTTTGATATGGTTAAGTTTCTTAAGTTGGCCATAATGTCAAAACTATAAAAAAGTATACAACATATTGAAATTTATTGTATTGTCGGTATTTAAAATCATCCGTGTATTCTATATTTGTTCTTGATTTTCACAGATAAATATACACAGTAAACAATAACAGATGCCAATTAGCATAATTGAGTGTTCAGAAAAATAAAATTAATGCCTTTATTACTCATAATGTATTCACCCAAATGTTTCATTAGCTTACTAATGTAATATTAATGAGGAAAATAACTAAATTGTGCTGGTCCCAACAACTGCGAATTGCAACCTAATCATGAAATCCTATTCCTCTGTCACTTAGTTTCTTCTGCACAGGTTTTCTCTAAGATTCTCATTCATTGATCACAAAAGAACAATTTGGGTTACTTCAAGAATTAATTAGACATTTGCATGAAAGTCACTAGAACAACCGTTCACCCTGTGAGTTCATAAAGCTATTTAATTTGCTCTTGTATTTTCATTCAGAGAAGCTGGCAACACCACAATAATGCACAGCATGCAGAGACAGTAGGCCAAATTTCTGAATGAATTGTTCACTTTCATTTACTGTGCTCATTTAAGAGGTTCACACACACTAACACCTTTTAACCTTACCAGTGACACAGCTGGGACACTCTTTACTCATAATGAAAGATGACTTTGAATAATGTCAATCTTTGAAGACAGTTAAATTTACATTCTTCATTTGGGAAACTAGTTGAAGTGTCTTCTTCTGCCTTTAGACAGAATTCTAACATTGATTTATTTAATGCTTAATAACTCATCCAATAAGTTAATTTCTTGTATTTTATTTAACTCATGTAGGGTATACGAATTAATCTGGAAACTAAAGTACACAGGATAAATATCAGATCAGACGTAAACTCTTATTTTTTAGTTAGAAGACTGCGTGAGGAATAATTTCATTCTACTATCATACTTTAAATTGGGGGGACATAAGGATGCATTTTATTAATAGTTTCCGTAGTTGTTGGCTGTTGTATCTTTCAACCAGTATGCAAACCTAAATGAGTCCTGCTATTACTCCCCACAAGACAACACTGCTTCAAAAGTGGCAATTTGACATGCAAGGACAGAAATCTAGTTTCTGATACTTGAATGTAATGACAATATTTTCTCTATGTCATGCCAACACCTGGGCCCATCTGTGAGGAGAGCACTGTGCCATGCAGAAGGTACAATGTCATATTCAACAGCATGTGGATGCCAAGATGTGGAAGCTCAGAGTGATAGCCTGTGGAACTCATCAAATAACTGATCTTTTGTAAGAAAATCCTCTCAAGAGCGAGCAATGCCAAATGAGGGCCAAATGCTTCATTACGAGGCTTCACAGCTGCTGATGCTTGTGGGCATTCATACCATCAAAGAACATTTTTCTTCTCTATTCCCTTTTCCAATCTGCCTGAAAGCTAGTCACTTTACATAAAGAAATAAAGGATAGAATTATTCTCGAAAGCCAAAAAAATTGATTTGTTGTTTTATGTAACAACATTTATAGATTTCTTAATATTTCTGCTAAATGGCAGATTTAACAATTAGTGATAATGTTGTTTTAATCATGCAGTAACAATTTTTATAAATTCATCAAGAATTCTCTTGAGGGTAAAACATGAATGTTTTATATGTGTGTGGGTGTGGGTGTGTGAGGGTGTGTATAATTTTTAGATCGTAACCAGTAAACAAAGAAATATGAGAGATTTAATGTTTTGGAACTGGTTTACATATATATGGTCCCAGGTTTAAATAACAGGTACTGGCTAGGTGGAACTTGAGCATCATGAATGTGGCCAGTGCCAATATATGTTCAATGGGTTTAGTTTAAAGTACCTGCCATAGGCACTATCTCTATATTAGAAAGCCCTTTTTGTGTGGGAGGCACAGTCCTGTGTGAGAGGTTGAGCATTGAGAAAAAGGGTTGAAAGGGCTGTGTTTCTAGAAATTATATTGGGTAAAAAATTTGGTTCTTTATTTTTGAATAGCAAGAATAACTTTAAGATTCGTCTGAGGTATTTTTGGCTTTTTAATTCAATCATTTCTAAACCAGAGTTTCATGTTAACATATCCTCATTTCTCATGTTTGAAGATATTTGGGGTTTTATCAATAAGAAAAGTTACCTTTGGGGATTGCTGACCCTCTTCCACTCGCTGCAGTCTATGGGCTTAACACCAGTGAGTGGATTACCATAAGCTCAGATGTAAAGAAAGACACATACAAAACTCTCCTCATTTTAAACTTTCCCTCCAGGGGAAGCATGTATTACCAACCAAATTAAAATTATCTTCACAAAGAATTAGTATTTATAAATCAAAGATTCCAGAAAGTTATTTCAGTCACCAATAAACAAAAATCACATGGCAATAATCTACTGCTTTCCTGAAAATACAGTACTGACATTTTAATGATATTTATGAAACAATAAGCAAGTAGCCAAAGTTTCTGTTATAGTCTACTATTATACTATGATATTCAGATTAACAAAGGACCTGCAATTGAGACACACAGTTCTGGGAACTTGGGTAGATTATTTAAACTATTTTTAAGCTAGATTTCTTCAACTGAAAATTAAAATAACCTTATACGGTAATGTTTGTAAAGGACTTAACACTGAAGAACACGTGGCTGTTCTCAATGCATGTCAATGCATGTAAATAATTAATATTTTAAAGCATAAATTTATTTTGACCTTCATACTATCTTTTAAAGACAACATTTTGGGTTTTGTTCTTGGTTTAGAAATTAATATATGTTTGTTGCAAAAATTTTTGAAAATAGAAAATAAAAAATGGAAAAAATAGAATAACCCATACTTATACAGTACTGAGGTTTTTACAGTATTATTTAATATGTTGCTTACAATGTTCATATCCTTCCTGAACTCCCCTTCAGAGAGGATCAATCAGAATATATAATTTTGTAGTTATGAAACCTATAATCTTTGCACAGGACAAAATAAACTTTAGGGTCATTCTGTCTTTATGTAACACTATCCTCTCCTAGGCAATGATTTAAATATTCTATATTATTTATGCAAGGATTTATGAAAGAGAAACTTTTGCATTTCATTCTGAAATTGTAAAAAAAATACACTTTTACCTAACTTTGTATCTGGTAATAGATCAATCTATTTATATCCGTGTGTGTGTGTGTGTGTGTGTGTGTGTGTGTGTGTGTGTATTTACAGAAATAAAGAAACATTACTCAACCAAAGTAATTTTTAGTTAAAAAACTAGTAATTCTTACACACAGATCCAGTCTTTTTATAATTTTAATATGACATTTTCTTAAATTTATTCCTGGTAAAAATTTCTTAACAAAAAGTAAAAATGTCATTTCAATTCCAAATATGTTTACATCTGGTTGAGCACAGTGCTTCTGTTGATATCATTACAACTATTTAATGATATCAAGCTTGAGCCAAAATTCCAAGTAGCTGTGGAAAACAACATTAAACGTGCATTTGGTCATTAGAATATTACAGTCGGTGTGTATGAGCCTATACATCCCACAGGAATTGGGATGAAACAAGAGAAATTGATTGTGTTTTTTTTATTTATATGTTTGCTTTTGCTTTGAAATTTTATATACTTATGATTGCATTAGTTTAGTGTTAAATATTAAAGAAAGCAAAAGTATGTCTAAGATTTGTTGAATCCAACTCTCAATTATTCAGTCTAATGGAGGAGGGAGCTCATATGGATAACTGAAATTCATAGATGATAAAGATGTCAGAGAATAGTTGCTCACTCTCCTCACAGCTGCATGTACAGGAGCTGCTATTAAGATCAGTTTGAGTTTTCCCTCCTCTTCATGAACTTGGACAACTTCCAAGGGAGAAGACAAATGACAAAATGACAGGTAGCTGGAGGGTAAAGAGAAATACCAAGGTGATCTGAATAATCTATATATGAATAATCAGTACTAATAATTTAGTGGAGAAAATAGAGGTAACATTTAATTTTAAAAAATCATTTCTTTTGATTGCTGAGAAAATGGGGGAAAAACAGGTTTAATCTTTACTAAACTGTAGTCACAAGTGACAGATATCAATCCATAAAATATTTACTAAATCTTTTTGATGCTTATGAAATTTCAAAAGAAAAATGACTGTGTAGTGTCACAGAGAATAATGCAAATTCTGAAGACAGTCTAAGAAGGTTTCTATCAGGTTCAGAACATGCTGTGCCAGTTAATTTCCAGCAGATCATTCTCTTTTCTCTTCGTCATACATCTGCACAATTGTCGATAAAAAGGTATAGCTTTCTGTATTTTGGGAGGGTCTTTATTTCCTTATGAAGGCTCCTGTGTCATATAAAACGTAGTAACTTAATTTGCATGCTTTTCTCTTGTGAATCTATTTTGTTGTTGTTGATGGTGGTGGTGGTGGTTTTACGGAGCCTTAGCCACGAACCTTGTGACTGGGGAGGAAAAGATATTACTTTTATCTCCTACAGACTAAATCCCATTTTGTCACAACTGTCCAGGTGACTTTGAGAAAATAACTCCATGATTTATATAATTTTGATATTGCAACTGTAAAATAAGAATACCCATATTTCTCACTTTATAGAGTTGTTGAGAGAATTAATGAAACTAATACATATTGTATTATCTGTCGCTATGTGCCACACATTTAGCAGATTAAAGCAAACCATTTCACTATCACAGTCTTCGTGGGTCAGGAGTCCATGTATTAATTAATTGGGTCCTCTGCTGAGGACCTCACTAGGCTGTGATCATGGAGTTTGCAGGCTGCATTCTCATTTAGTGGCCCAGTTGAGAAAGAATCTTCTTCCATGTTCACTCGGGTTGTGGTATAATTTATTTTCTTGTGGCTGTATGACTGAGAACTCTGGTTTCTTAAGAGTTTCTCGGCTGACTATTGTTAGGTTGCTCCTACAAACTGCAGTCACCTCCCTGTGATATGGTCTTGCAACATGGCCTCTTCCTCCTCAAATACAGCTAGAGAAAGTCTCTAGACAACAAGAAAGAGGCTTATATCATATCCTGGAATCTTGCAGGTAACATTTCACCACCTTTGACACATTTTATTGTTTAGAAGCAAGGTATAGGTCCTGTTCATACTCAAGAGGTGACAGTTGATTACACACACCCATAAACACCAAGGGATGAGAATGAGGGGGAGTCAGTTTAGCTTCTGTCTGCTGCAAAACAAATGGAACCATACTTAGGATCCAAATCATATCTAAACCTTACTGAGTATTTGAGATTGAGGGCTCTGAATGGATAGTGTAATGGAATGAGACTCTTGGGAACCTTGGGATTGGGTAGATATTTTTTCAAATAAGAAAGATGTTAATTATTTTGTTCCAGATGGAATACTGTAATAGACAGACTCAAAGGTGGCCCTTTCATGATTCCCAACTCTTGGTGTTAAAACTTTGGTGGACTCCCCTCTCCTTGAGTGTGACAAAGATTTGTGACTTGTTTCTATGCAATATACTGTGTTGAAAGTGAAGAGATGTCAGTTCCATAATTAAACTACATACCTAAAACTCTGTCTTTCTAGCTGGCTTGTAGACAGCCTCCTTGCTGGTTTGATGTAAGAAGCTGTGTTAAGAAACCTACATGGCATGTGTTAGTCTGTTTTCATGCTGCTGATAAAGAGATAGCTGAGACTGGGCAATTTACAAAAGAAAGAGGTTTAATAGAGAACTCATAGTTTCACGTGGCTGGGGAAGCCTCACAATCATGGTGGAAGGCAAGGAGGAGAAAGGCACATCGTATGTGGATGGTGGCAGGCAAAGTGAGAGCTTGTGCAGGCAAACTCCTGTTTTTAAGCCATCAGATGTTATGAGACTTATTCACTATCATGAGAACAGCACAGGAAAGACCTGCCCCTGTGATTCAATTATCTCCTAGTGGGTCTCCCCCACAACACGTGGGAATTATGGGAGCTACAAGATGAGATTTGGGTAGGGACATGGGGCGAAACCATATCAGCATGCAACTGCAAGTGGTCTCTGTGGCTGGCCTGTAGAGGCCAAAGGTGACCTGCAGGCAACAGCCAACAAGAAGTCAAGGCCTTCAGTTCTACAACCTTAAAGATATCAATTTTGCCAACAAATTGTGTGATCCTGAGAATGGATTCATCTCCAGTGGAGGTGCTAAATGAGAACATAGCCAGGCCAATACCTTGTTTGCTTCCTGTGGGATCCTAAGCATAGGACCCAGTTCAGCCATAGTGAATGCCTGAGCCACAGAAACATTCACATAATAAATACATGCTATTTTAAGCTGCTAAATTTGTGGTAATTTGTTACATATCAAGGAACAAGAGTTATATATGAAATATTTAAAAAGCAACATATTCATATTAAGAATTCAATGAATATTAGCTCTTGATACTTGGTTTCACAGAGGCAATATAATAGCAGGGTTCACAGAGAGAATATTCTAGAGACAGATCCTGGTTAAAAAATCTGGCTGTATCAGTTACTGGTCATTAAAGAATGGATGGGTAACTTTTCTAAACCTTTAGTTTCCTTCTGTATAATGGAAATTAGAGCACTATGTATAATGGTAATTAAAGCAACATGGAGCTGAACATGAGGAGCAGATTAGTTAATCATATAAATCACTATATATATATATATAAATCACTAGAACAATGTTGTATGCATAAAAATGTCATGCATATTAGAAATATTACTATTATATCGATAAGCATTTACTATAGCCACTAAAGTAAGACTCCTTTTAGTCTGTCACTTTCTTATCTTTTCAAATAGATAAAATATTTGATAAGGCTATTTAAAATTTGTAACTTTAGAAACTTTAAAGAAATAATTTGTAGACACTTTAAAGAATACTAGGAGTACTTATTGAACATTATCAGAGAGTTAAAAATCTTCAATTCCTCTTTTAGATAGAAATTCCTTAGAAATTTTAGAATTCATTAGGAATTTGCAAATAAGAAAATCTTACATTTTCAATATCTTAGTAGGAGTTTCTTTGACTTCACTGTAGTAGTTTGATAATGTTACAAAAAGGCATTTAATTTCCAGTACATGGAAGAAATTGGTAGAAATTATACCACAAAGGAGCACGGATTGCCAGCAATTATAGTTTTTTGAGAGGGCCACTGCTTAGTTCTAATGTGAGGAATCTTAAAACTGCTGCTGAATTCCAGGCAACCAACTGCTTTGATGATCATATTTGATACTATTTAACACACCTCTGTATATTTTGTTCCATGCTCTTTTATAAAACACTTAAAGTGTCACAAAATGGACACTTAATGAATACTATGGAAAAAGGTAATTAATTTTTTTCTTTTTTTAATTACGCAAATAATGTGTGAAAATATTCTCATACAGAATATTAAAATCATATGGATATATAGTCAATACAGTTGGACTTTCATTTCCCCTTAATCCCACAAATTACACTTCCTCTAATTAACAATTAGTAACATTTTGATATGATACTTAAACATTTTCTAGGCAGGTATGTGTTTGTATGTGTGTGAATATTGAATGCTTTTTATTTCATAAATAGAAGAGTAGAGAAATGCTTAAGTTATAAAAAGTTCTTGCATTTTGAAACAACGTGTCTTTGATTTTATTTTATATTAGTTGTTTTATAGCTCCCTCATTTCTTTATGATTTTACATAGCATTCCATATTATAGGTATGTAATGATTTTTGAGTATCTACTAATTGACATTTAGGTTATTTCAAGTATTCTCTTACTTAAATACTTGGTGGTAATGACTATCATTTTTCAAATATGTCAGGGAACAATTACATTATTTACTGTGAGAAGTATTAAAGTTGTGAACAATTTTACTTGAAGATATGTGTATATGTTTAAGTATAAAAACTAAATTTTTTAAATGTTCAAATGTAATGTTTTTCTCTTCTGTTTGTTAATTTAACTCAATTTAACAAGTAATATATTCAATCAGATAGTGTTTAAATCATCTTTTGAATTTCAGTTTGTTCTCCTTTTCCTAGGATAAGAGTTGCAGCCCTGAATCAGTGTAGTGCAGAGACAGCAAATGGGAGAGTGAGAACAAAATTGCATTTGTACCCCTTTGACTTCTACAAATGTGAGAAAAAGGAAAAAAAGAAAGAATCAGGATGACAAATATATTTTTCTCACATAGACTACAGGCTTTATGAGAACAATCCATTAGTAAAGGAAGGTAACAGATATGCAGGACATCAAGAGGAACAGTGCTGGATCCAATGTTCTTGAGTTTAATGACATGGGATCTGAAGCACGTCACATGTCATGTTGGGAAAAAATAGTGAATCAGCTCAGCATAGATTATGCTTCCAATAACCCCCAAATTTCCATTGCTTAAAATGAAAAATAGTTTATTTCTTGCATATGCTACGTGCTCATCACTAGTTAGCTAGTGATGGTCCTCACACTGTGACCTAGGATCACAGAGCAGCCATTGTAGAAAACATTACCTCTCTCCAAATAACAAGGAAAGAGATATCTGAGTATCTCCACTGTCATTGTCTAGAAGTGACACTTATCATTTTCATTCTTAGCTCACTGGCCAGAGCTAAGTTTATAAATTCACCCAACTCTAATGGAGCACGCAATGCTACCATGTACCAAGGTGAAGCAATAACATGAGTCTTTGGAAAATAGTACTAGTGACTACGAGACAGTCATTTCTTTAACAGGAAGAATGTCAAAGAACAAATAAACTTACTCATACTTGCTAATGAAAATTTTCTGATTACTTCATGAGAAAGAATTATCATCTGAGTGAAGAAGTGGTATGAGTTACTGGATGGGAAAGGAAAATACATAAAATGGAACTGAAAAGTGAGGTACATGAACTAGAGAAGTGATTATAGTTTTGATTGTTGGTCAACATAAAGTGTCTACTTCCTGTAAGGAGTCATAAATTAAATGGGAGCCAATTAGCTGGACTGGGTGTTTTTCATCCAAGCATATTCAGCTGGTGCAAAGATGATGACAGTCATATTTAACAAAGTTTACACTTTTTTTCCCAAGAGAGTGTGTCTAAGGAAGAATGAGGCAAAGGAATTGAGAGTGTTGTATTATAATGACATAGCATAGAAAACAACCTAGATAAAGCAGTAAGAAATGACATGAAGGTGAGTGGCTATTTAAAAAGTAATATTGAAGAATCTCTAGGAGGTGGGGGGTCAAAGAATGTATGGAGTTTAAATGCCAGATGAAGTGAAATGGAAATGGTAGAAATGGTGGTCAGAGAGTGAGATGCTGGAAGTTGAGGTTGTTGAAGAAGTGTTTATTGATAATGACTGGAACATAGTGATTGAGTGCAGCACAAGGAAGATCTTTGGAAAAAATGAGTTCAAGGAATCAAGAGAACGGTGTATTAGAACAATCCCTTACATGGATACCAAATCACCTTGTGTAGTTTAGAAGAGATTAACATTGAGTAGGAGCTGATATTTAAGTTTAGAAGAGACTAACATTATGTAGGAGCTGATATTTTGATAGATAACGATGAAGGAGTGGTAGCTGTATGAAAACATGTGATTCAAAGATTTGGGTAGGAACGGCTTTATGGCTTTAAAAATTCCAAAGAATGGAATGGAGGATGCCTCCACTATTTCCAAGCTCTGGGATATGAGAGTTACAGAGCAGAAAGCAGGAACAGCCTATTATAATGTCTTCAGGGAAAATCCAGATTTTGGCCCTAACTAGAAAATATAAAGAGCTTTCAGAGAAGCAGTTGAGTATATAGAGAATATTAAGGATAATGGGCAGTAAGTGCCAGAGGCCACTGGGAAAGGAATCCAGAAGTAGGAAATGAGTGGGGGATAGGATCAGAATAGAAAAATGTGAGTTATTTGGAATGTAAAGTGTGAAAAATATGAATATGAAATCTGAGTGTTACCTTGTATTGTGGTGATATAATATATAATCAAATTTGTTCTGATGATCTTGTGGTAGATAGTAGAGGGAAGGTTTGGGGAACAAGGAAAATGCATGTTTAGATATCAAACTCCTTCCCAAGGAGATGTGGAATCCTGGAGATTTGGTAGGCCTACTCTGGGGCACTGGGCTTCCCCTTGGCTCTTTCAAATACTTACAAGTAGACTTTTGTAGGGATAGTGTCATTCACAGACAACAAAACAGACAATGGATATCATTCAGAAAAATCATAAAAATAGTTCATCAGAAACAGTACGTAATATTAGACGTATTTTTATTTATGTTTGTATGCTTGCTGAAAGTAAAACATCAATCGTTTATCATATTATTTCATTGTTACTGCTTATATACATCACTTTCATCCTAACATTATTTTAAAATTCAAACTTAGGGGCTTTAATTTAGCAGAACATAGAACAATCAAGCAAAATGTAATTTTCTTCTTTAAAGTAAATCCCTGCCTCAGGCATTGAATATTTTGTTAGAGTTTCTATCCAATAAATACAAAAATTAATACTATATCTTCAATTAAGCAGACAAATTCCTAACGGGCATATAGAATAAATAATACCCATTTTCAGAAAGTTATTTCCTATGGAAGAAACATAATTCTTATACTCTAATAATTAGCATTTTAGCTCAAAATTTGGCATAATTCATATACTTTCTGAAAATCAAAAAATGTTAAAAAGCCTTTGAGAAAGACCTGTGGCTGCGTAATATGAAACATAAATAACATCTTATGACTTCCAAAAAAGCAAAGGAATTTCTCCAATTTCTGTTCTTACTAATTTTAACCTGTCTGGCTAATTAACCAATAAATTGCTTGAAGAAAGTAAGCGTTAATAAAAACAAATTATGGACACCACTCTGCCAGAGAGACTCCTAAAATCATATATCAGATGCATGTATCAATAGTCAATCTTGGAAAAATGGATTTTTAAAAAATAGAATATTCTCATTACTTCTAATGTCTACTTGTCAATTTAAGAAAAGTACTTTCCCCAGAGAAGGTCTCCTGATTTATACATACACATGTACACACAAACTACACACACTACAAAGTAAACAAGATGGTTATAGTAGATGGCTCTAAATAATAGAGAAGAAAAATAGAACTTCCTCATTACAGAATTGCCCTTACTTGGGCATAACCGCATGTTTTACATTTCTTTCATTTTTTAGGTATTAAATAATATTGAGGATCACTTCAAAATGTTCATGAAGTTAGCCAGTAGAAGAGGTGGAAAGAAAACCAAGTCATCTAAGTTCAGAGTGGCTTCAAATTATTGCTGTGTGGGTCTTGAAGGAAGTGAAACAATGAATTAAAAATCAAATTTATGATCTCATTCAGAACATGTATAAATGTAAAAGACATATAGGATATAGCAATAGTTTTAGAAGTATTTTTAATCATATCAGTCCTAGTCTAAAACAATATCTTGTAGTATTATCTGATTTATTTTTGTCTACTGATTTAACATGAAAGCAAAATTTAATATATTTGATTTTTTTCTATCTTTGGTAAACCCTGCAAACCCCTGCATTTCAAGTGGAAAAAACAATAGTTTAATGTCTCCAAATTTAAAGTGAATTTTGTTTGTTATTCATGTGAGAATTAAGATAATTCAGTGTTTTTCCAGTCCCTGATCCTTTCCCTCTTCCTCTCTCTGTCATGCGATAAGATGCCAACATAATAAGTATATAACTCTAAACATGTGTTTGATTATCCTTTATTTTATAAAATTGCAAACAAATTCATGTAACAAAATTTTAACTCTAGTAATTTGAATGTGGAAAATTGAGATCAACTACATGTGAATCAGAAGATTATTTCAAGATATACCTAACATAATTATTTTAAAGTTTACAATTTATATCAGGCAATTTTAGTATATTCACAAAGCTATGTAACCATCACCTTGATCTACTTTCAAAACATGTTTATCACTACAAACAAACAAACAAACAAACATGCCCATTAGCAGTCACTCCCTATTTCCCCTCATCTCCAGCTCCTGGCAATCACTAATCTACTTTCTGTCTCTATGGATGTGCCTATTCTGGGCATTTCATATAAATGGAATTATACAATATCTGGCTTTATATATTGTCCTTCTTTCACTTAGCATGGTTTCAAGATTCATCCATGTTGCAGCATATATCAGCCCTTCATTCCTTTTTTTTGACTGAATAATATTTCATTGTTTGGATATACTGTATACTGTGTATCTATTCATAAGATGATATACATTTAGGTTATTTCTAATATATTTTAATTATGAATAATACTCTTATGAATATTCCCGTACACGTTTTTGAGTGGACACATGCTTTCAATTATGTTGGGTATATATTTAGAGTGGAATTGTTAGGTCTTATGGTAACTTCATGTTTAACAAATTGAGGAATTGCCAAAATGTTCTCCAAAGTGTTTGCGCCATTTTAGATTCTCACCAGCAATATATGAGGACTCCAGTTTCTTCAGATCTTCACCAATACATGTTATGGTCCATTTTTAAAATTATAGCCAAACTTATGCACTTTAAGCTGTATCTTATTGTGGCTTTGATAAGCACTTCCCTAATGATTAAAGATGTTCAGCATCTTTTCAAATGCACATTGAGCATTGTCAGCACTTCTTTTTGGAGAAATATCTATTAAAACCCTTTGCCCAGTTTTATTGGGTTATTTTCCCTTACATAAACATAATATACATAAACATATACACATAAATAACTTTCAGTTATTTTGCTTTTTTGATTTCTGGATTTCCTTATGATTCTTTCCTACATTTCTTTTTCTTTACCTATATTCTCTAGTTAGTGAGACATATTTTCCCACTTAACTTTTGTTTTTTACAGGTGGTTTCCTTTTAGTTCTTTTAATATATTTAAAATAGCTGATTTAAAGTATTTGCGCAGTAAGTTCAATGTCTGAACTTCCTCAGGGAAAGGTTATTTTGACTAATATTCTTCTTTTGTTTGGGTCATACATTTTTTATTTACCTGCATGTCTCTTAATTTTTTGTTGCATACTCCTGAATTATGATGATGATGATGATGATGATGATGGTGATGATGATTTGAGATGGAGTCTTGCTCTGTCGCCCAGACTGGAGTGCAGTGACGTGATCTCGGCTCCCTGCAACCTCTGCCTCCCGGGTTCAAGCAATTCTCCTGCCTCAGCCTCCTGAGTAGCTGGGACTATAGGTGCACGCTGCCACACCAGGTTAATTTTTTGTATTTTAGTAGAGACGGGGTTTCACCGTGTTGCCCGGGCCGGTTGCACACTCCTGAGCTCAGGCAATCCTCCTGCCTCAGCCTCCCAAAGTGCTGGGATTACAGGTACTCCAGGCATTTTAAGTAGTATAATGTGGCAACTCTGGAAATCAGACCTCCACCTAACAGCCTTCCCAGAGTTTGACATTGTTGCTCTTTTTTATTGTTTTGTGGTAGTTTCCGTTTATTTGTATAGTGACTTTCTAAACCAATTGTGTAAAAAATATGTATTCTTTGTTGTGTATGATTTTTGAAGTCTCTACTCAATTCACTTAATGATCAGCTAAAGATTGGCAGAAATTTCCTTAATGCCATGTATCAGTAAATCTACCAGCCTTTTCTGAGGGCCTCTGTGTGCATGTTGGGAAACACTTCCTGCTTGTGCAGGGTTCAAGGCCAGCCAGGGGTGAAAGCTTATGTAACTCTCAGGTCTTTTGTAGGCATGTGCACAGCTCTGAAGATGAGCATGGCCTTCTAAATTTGTTCTGAGTTCAGGAATATGTGGAAGTTTTTTAAAGGCCTTTATGGACATCTGAAAAACCCAGCTTTTGCTTTTAAGTGTTTTGTCAGCCCATTTGTTCCAATGGCTATCACTGCCTAGGCACATGTGATGACTTTGCCTTTGATTATTGCACAACGTCCTGGGATAAAGCAAATAATGATAAGCATATGGGTGCAGGTTTCCAGAAAACTGCCAAACAGGGCAGTTAATGAAAGTTCTCTGAGAATGGGTCTTTGGCAAGTTACAAACCCATTGTGCACGCTCCAGTGGCTACAAGTCTTCCACAGTGACTGATTTGTCTGTTGGTTTTCAAGGTTACACTCAAGCTTGGTAAAGAGGGATGGAAATAAGGCTACAAAAGTCCAGGACCAGATGGATTCACAGCCAAATTCTACCAGAGGTACAAGGAGGAGCTGGTACCATTACTTCTGAAACTATTCCAATCAATAGAAAAAGAGGGAATCTTCCCTAACTCATTTTATGAGGCCAGCATCATCCTGATACCAAAGCCTGGCAGAGACAACAACAAAAAAAGAGAATTTTAGACCAATATCCTTGATGAAAGCCAATGCAAAAATCCTCAATAAAATACTGGCAAACTGAATCCAGCAGCACATCAAAAAGCTTATCCACCATGATCAAGTGGGTTTCATCCCTGGGATGCAAGGCTGGTTCAACATATGCAAATCAATAAACATAATCCAGCATATAAACAGAACCAAGGACAAAAACCATGATTATCTCAACAGATGCAGAAAAAGCCTTTGACAAAATTCAACAACCGTTCATGCTAAAAACTCTCAATAAATTAGGTATTGATGGGACATATCTCAAAATAATAAGAGCTATCTATGACAAACCCATAGCCAATATCATACTGAGTGGACAAAAACTGGAAGCATTCCCTTTGAAAACTGGCACAAGACAGGGATGCCCTCTCTCACCACTCCTATTCAACATAGTGTTGGAAGTTCTGGCCAGGGCAATTAGGCAGGAGAAGGAAATAAAGGGTATTCAATTAGGAAAAGAGGAAGTCAAATTGTCCCTGTTTGCAGATGACATGATTGTATATCTAGAAAACCTCATCGTCTCAGCCCAAAATCTCCTTAAGCTGATAGGCAACTTCAGCAAAGTCTCAGGATACAAAATCAATGTACAAAAATCACAAGCATTCTTATACACCAATAACAGACAGAGAGCCAAATCATGAGTGAACTCCCATTCACAATTGCTTCAAAGAGAATAAAATACCTAGGAATCAAACTTACAAGGGAAGTGAAGGACCTCTTCAAGGAGAACTACAAACCACTGCTCAATGAAATAAAAGAGGATACAAACAAATGCAAGGACATTCCATGCTCATGGGTAGGAAGAATCAATATCATGAAAATAGCCATACTGCCTAAGGTAATTTATAGATTGAATGCCATCCCCATCAAGCTACCAATAACTTTCTTCACAGAATTGGAAAAAACTACTTTAAAGTCCATATGGAGCCAAAAAAGAGCCCACATTGCCAAGTCAATCCTGAACCAAAAGAACAAAGCTGGAGGCATCATGCAACCTGACTTCAAACTATACTATAAGGCTACAGTAACCAAAACAGCATGTACTGGTACCAAAACAGAGATATAGACCAATGGAACAGAACAGAGCCCTCAGAAATAATGCCGCTTATCTACAACCGTCTGATCTTTGACAAACCTGAGAAAAACAAGAAATGGGGAAATGATTCTCTATTTAATAAATGGTGCTGGGAAAACTGGCTAGCCATATGTAGAAAGCTGAAGCTGCGTCCCTTCTTTACACCTTATACAAAAATAAATTCAAGATGGATTAAAGACTTAAATGTTAGACCTAAAACCATAAAAACCCTAGAAGAAAACCTAAACCTAAGCATTACCATTCAGGACATAGGCATGGGCAAGGACTTCATGTCTAAAACACCAAAAGCAATGGCAACAAAAGCCAAAATTGACAAATGGGATCTAATTAAACTAAAGAACGACCACACAGCAAAAGAAACTACTATCAGAGTGAACAGGCAACCTACAGAATGGGAGAAATTTTTCGCAATGTACTCATCTGACAAAGGGCTAATATCCAGAATCTACAATGAACTCAAACAAATTTACAAGAAAAAAGCAACCCCATCAAAAAGTGGGAGAAGGATATGACCAGACACTTCTCAAAAGAAGACATTTATGCATCCAACAGACACATGAAAAAATGCTCATCATCACTGGCCATCAAAGAAATGCAAATCAAAACCACAATGAGATACCATCTCACACCAGGTAGAATGGTGATCATTAAAAAGTCAGGAAACAACAGGTGCTGGAGAGGATGTGGAGAAATAGGAACACTTTTACACTGCTGGTGGGACCGTAAACTAGTTCAACCATTGTGGAAGTCAGTGTAACGATTCCTCAGGGATCTAGAACTGGAAATACAATTTGACCCAGCCATCCCATTACTGGGTATATACCGAAAGGATTATAAATCATGCTGCTATAAAGACATACGCACATGTATGTTTCTTGTGGCACTATTCACAATAGCAAAGACTTGGAACCAACCCAAATGTCCAACAATGATAGACTGGATTAAGAAAATGTGGCACATATACACCATGGAATCTATGCAGCCATAAAAAATGATGAGTTCATGTCCTTTGTAGGGACATGGATGAAGCTGGAAACCATCATTCTCAGCAAACTATCGCAAGGACTAAAAACCAAACACCGCATGTTCTCACTCATAGGTGGGAATTGAACAATGAAAACACATGGACACAGGAAGGGGAACATCACACACTGGGGCCTGTTGTGGGGTGGGGGGAGGGGGGAGGGATAGCATTAGGAGATATACCTAATGTAAATGACGAGTTAATGGGTGCAGCACACCAACATGGCACATGTATACATATGTAACTAACCTGCACGTTGTGCACATGTACCCTAAAACTTAAAGTATAATTTTAAAAAAATCACACAGCTTTTTCTTTCTGACATTCAGCCATTGCTCTTAAACACTATTCCAGTTTTTGCAAGACTTTGATTAATATTCAGAGTTCTGAAAATTATTACTTTGACTATTTTTTGCCAATATTCTAATCATTTCTATTGAAACAGTGGATTTTTGAAGTCCTTCTTCCACCATTCCCACTGACATTTGTTTCCTAAGCACCCATTTATAAGCAATGTAATGTTGGTTGCATATTAATTATACTTTCGCATGTTATTTTTAAGTTTACCAAACAGCAACTCTATTTTACAATTTATAAGAACTAGAATTTTATTTGGATTAATTTAATTCAAATCAAAACTATCGCCTGTTTTGTTGGGACTGACAGAAGTTTTATTAAAAAAAATTCTCCCAGAGTCCTAAAATTCAATGGTTATTTCTATTTACTTCTATTTCTAACTTCTTATATTTTGCATTTGATTTTGGTACATCTGGAAATAATTGTTGTAAGATACACATGCATGCACATGTAAAAGACAAAAACTAACCAAATTATCTACAATTTATCAACATGTATTATATTATTCTTAAATTTCCCCATTATTTTGTGATGTCTTCTCTGTTTTATAATTATTAGACTTTTTTCTCAGCTAGCTATTCTATTTAACATTGTCAAGTTTCAATTTCCCCATTATATCTTTAACTTACTGAACACGCGTTTTTTATATATAGTCATCGAAAAATTGGATTAACTTGTAATAAATTAATAATCAGTAGATGAAACCTGGAAAAAAACCTCAAAAACACTAAGCTTAATACAGGATATCAAACCTTTGATTTTAAAGTACATGTAATTAACTACTCACTTTTAAGTAATTTTAAAATTAACAAATGTTCCTGAAAACTTGATTTAAAATTGTAGATGGTGTGAAAATCTGTTTTATTGTGAAATAATTAGACGCGATGACTTATTGAGAAATCTGAGGCTTTGGAACCTTAGAAACAAACGCTGGGTGCCAAAATACATCTTATGTTTTATAATATTGGGTATATCTTTATTCCTGATTGTTTCTTCATCATTACATTTAAGATCTATAATCATATGAATAATTTTGCTATACGAGGCTGCTTTAAGAATTAAGTGAGATATATGGTACATCTGTAGGAGCACACTAGCTGTTAATCACCATCCCCTTTTCCTTATGAGGCAAATAAAACAGATCAGGAAGAGAGCCAATTGCAACAGGAGGAAATCAACTAATAAGGAAAAACAGCTGAGACTAAAATTAGTTAAATAGTTATTCCTGGAAACTATCTTGCTTTTTCCATCTATAATTCTATTTAATTTTAGCAATATATTAGCAATATGCTAATACTTTCCCCAGTATAGTGTTATCCTTACTTTTATGGAGTTATAAAGTCTGGGTTCATGTTTTCCTGGTTGAAAACACATCTTGGTAGCAAAATGTCTACACAGAAATAACAAATATTGAGAAGAAAATATTTCAAAATAAAATTTCAAACCTAAAATCTTATTAAGAATTGATTATAGGACAGTGTATAAGTTAAAAGTAGTTCTTACTTATAAAATTGTTTTCTTCAGCTGTAAATCAGTGAAGTGATTAATCAAGATCCTCCTAAATCAAATTGATTTAAATAATTAATTTCACCTGCAGTTAATCAATAGTTTATTTGTATCCTGGCACAGTTGTGATACTGTCTTTCTTTTCCTATCATTTCCAAATATCTTTACAAAAGTATTAGGAAAAGTAATGCACCGCTCCCCCCACCCCAAAAATATCTGTGTCCTCATCCACAGAACCTTGTAAATATACTACCTCATATGGAAAAAAAGATTTCCAGATGTGATTAAGGTTAGGGACACTGAGATGTGTGGTTTTCCTGGATTGTCCAGATGGGCCTAATCTAATCACACAAATCCTAAAAAGCAAAGAACCTTTCCTGGCTGTGGTTAGAGAGAGATGTGAAGAGTGATGAGAGGACAAGAGAACAGGCAGTGTGAGAAGGACTCAGCTTGCTCTGGAGGTCTTTGAACATAGAGGAACAGACTGCTAGAAGTGGGAAAAGGCAAAAACAAAACAAAATACCAAAATCCAAACCAGATTCTCCCCTAGAGCCCACAGATAAGAACACAGACTTATGGACACCATGCTCTTAGTTCAGTGAAATTGTGTTAGATGTCCAACCTACAGAATGGTGAGATTCTAAACTTACTTGCCTTAAGTTGTTAAATTAGTTACAGTGGCAATAGAAAACTAATATAAATAAACTTTTTCCATTAGTCATGTTTTATCCTGTAATCCCACATTTCCCAGTACTAGAACCATTATACTGACTGCCAGCTGTGGAGCACTTTTTACCTCAGTGTCCCTACAATGATTCACTTATTCACTTAATGAATATTATCCAAATTGGACAGATCTCAGGTGCTCCATCTCTTAACATAATTTGTCATCTTTTCCAAAATATCCCAAGTACATATCCTTGTGTGAGTTCTAAAGTAAAATATCAAAAACTAAGGTAGCATTGGGTAGTAACTCTTAAAAAAATAGCTACTATTTCTAGGCTGTCTACAATGTTCCAGGCACTTTACATATATAATTTATTCTTTTCATGGTAAATTTCAAGATACATATTCTTATAAACATCTTTAAGGTTCAGAAACTGTGGCTTTAACAGAAATAATTTGCCAGTAAGAATCAAGTGCAGGATATAAACCCAGGTCTGGAAATCCCTAACACACGTAAGAACAAGTCCCTGTATTTTATAACATTTTTGCATTAATGAGATGGTTTCTTTACCCAAATAATAGCCACCTAGCAGTGACATTTCTAATGCCAGATATTTACAGCTATAGAACAGGATATCAGAGGAATTGGTACCATCCTCTGCCCCTTCCCAAAATCACTACTTACTATCTCAATATTCCAGGTCCCCAAAGAAGAAAAAGCAAGAAGACTAACTCTTCAAAATTTATGAGAGAAACAATAGTATGTGACAATAGTAGATAAGGTGTAAAATATTATTCTTTACATAATAGAGTATATGCATTATATAGAATATGTAGTTATCTGTATCTATATAATATATATAAATATATATGTTTAGCCATGAGATATAACTCAAGCATTGAACAATGCATTACTACTATTTCAGATAATAAATGTCAAGGAAGGGAAATTAGTTTTCTCAGCACAAATCAAACCATAAAATTAATTGACTTGTTTTCTATTCTTAAGACCGACTGTGCATCCAATATAAATGTAAGTATTTGGGAATTTTTTTTATTTCTTATGTTAACCAGCTTCTTGCTAATTTTATCAGCATAAGCTTGTTAGCAAGTTCTTTTTTAATAACTAGCACAAAGTTAATTTCTAGCCAAGAATTCTTAACATTGTCATTATTTCTACGTAATAGAAGTTCAAATTGTAATATTCTGCTGTATGTTTAAAATTACTTTCTACGAACCTGGTGTTGCTGTTTCAGTCATAGATGATTCATGTGTTCTTTTGATTTCTCATTCATGAAGCACATTTTTGGCTTAGTTTTGTATTAGACAGCACAATTGTTTTGAATTTTGCCTTTATCAAGTGTATCTTCCAGTGTGAGAAACAGACATAATTTTTATAGAGGAAGTACAAGGTATATTTTTTAAAGTCAGAGAAAACCTTCTGGTAGACAGGACTATAAAGCTGATGATTGAAGGAAGGGTAGGGATTATCCAGAAGAAAAGGAGGTTGAGGAGAGGAAATATTGTTGGCATAAAGAGAAAGAACAGCAAGAGAGAAGGTGGAATGTTTAGAAGAAATAAAAGTAACTATACTTTTAGAACAAATGCAAAGCAGGAAGTATCCATAGGCAAAGCTGGAGAGTTAAGTATAGATTATAATGTAACAGGCTTTATAGGACCATGTTTATCTTGACAGCATGGAGGCACCATAATAATAAAGAAAGCTGAGAATAAAGTAATCAGATTTGTTCTTCTGCCCTAGCTTAGAGTTAGAGAAAGATTTCAATGAAACTAGTTAGGATACTTACATGCATATCCAAGAGGACAGTAGGGTGATTAGTGTCTTCAGACAGGAGCAAGTAGAAGGAAACTTAAGCACCAGAGAAACTCTTGAAAGCATTGATCCATTCAAAGACCCCATTGTGACTATTCTCTCAGCTAGATTCCAAAAGAAAGACACAGGAAGACAAGTCCTGCAGGATCTCACGGATAGTGGGTTCTAAAAAAGTCCACGGCATAGAAGCAGAGAGTGGAATGGTGATTACTAGAGGATGGCAATAGGGGCACTGGAGAGATGTTGGTCAAAGAATGCAAAATTTCAGTTAGACAGGAGAAATAAGTTCAAGATATATATTGTATATCATATGACTATCATTATTAATAGTACAGGCTAACTATTCCTTATCGAAAATATTTGGGACAAGAAGTGTGTTGGGTTTACAATTTTTTTCAGATTTTGGAATATTTGCATATACATAATGAGTTATCTTGGGAATAGGATCCAAGCCCAAACACAGAATTCATTTATGTTTCATATACACAAAGTCTGAAGTAATTTTATACAATATTTTAAATAATTTTGTGCATATAACAAATGTGTTTTGACTTTGATCCATTGCATAAGGTCAGGTGCATGTTGGTGCTCAAAAAGTTTCAGATATTGGGGCATTTAAGATTTCAGATTTTCAGATTATGGATGTTCTGCTTGTGTATGGTATACCTGAAAATCGTTAAAAGAATAGATTTGAAAGGCCCTAACCAAAGAAAATGATAAGTGTACGAGATAATATATGTGTATTAATTAGTTTGATTTAGCATTTCACAATGTATAAATACATCAGAGCATCATCTTTTATAGCATACATACATACAAACTTTGTCAATTAAAAATAAAATTATAAAACAAAGACAGGAAATGTGGTCTTTCTAAAGTAGTTTTATTGAAATACACAAGCAGATCACCTGTTAATAAAATACACATCAATATATAGAGATTTGTGTGTGTGTGTGTGTGTGTGTGTGTGTGTGTGTGTGTCCTTGTTTTTTTGTTTGTTTGTTTTGACACAGGGTCTTGGATCTTGTTCTGTAACCCAGGCTGGAGTTCAGTGGCACGATCATAGCTCACTGTAACCTTGAACTCTTGGGCTGAAGCAATCCTCCTCAGTTTCCAAGTAGGTAGGGCTACAGTTGTACACTACCATGCTTGCCTAATTTTTATAATTATTTTTTCACAGAAATTGAATCTCGGTAATGTGGCCCAGGCTGGTCTCAAACTCCTGGCCTTGAACAATTTTCCCCCTTCGACCTTCCAAAGCACTGGGATTATAGGTGTGAGCCACTGTGCCCAACCCTGATTTGCTTTTTTATGAGGACACAAATCTAAGATAAATAACTTAATTTACACATTCATTTTCTCAAGGACACCAAAAATGATACTGTAAATTGTACTACCTTCTAATTATCAAATACCAACTTTAGATTATTATCTTGAGAATTTATTTAAATAAATATCATGAGAAGTGGGTACATAAATTATATTATATTTTTTCAAAATTCAGACTCTTTTCCAAGTCTAAGTTTTGGACATGGCCAAATTTAGAATTTACGTGTTAACTTAAAAAAAAAGAAGTTGTAACAAGAAAAATAGAGGCCTAATACTGGATTCTGAAATAAGTAAAATAAGTATTTGAAACAACTTCTATGTAATCACACACAAAGAACATTCTTCCTTAAGATTCATAAAGTCTTCAGGAAAAAACAACAACACAACACTCTGGAATGATGGGAGGATGCACAAATGCATTCTAGTTATATAAATGTAATACAAATTCCTTACAGAAACACACTCATTTTGACAGTAGAATGTCTAATCAGCATTCATTTTTGTCTTACAAATAATTTATAAGCCACAGTTTACAAAAAAAATGGCCTATTTACTTATCTCTTTTAGGTCGACTGTTTTATAATGTCTTGAGAAAGTTTAATAGATTTTTAGCTAAATTTCTACTTGATACAGTGATGTATGCTGTGAAAGGTGGAAGGTGTGGTTTACCACCCAACTCTGGGCTATCTCCACCTCAGTTTTTCTGTTCTGCTCTTACATTCTGCTTTTTTCTGAAGCAAAATGATTTATACTAATGCAATAAATGGCTTGCATTTTCACCATCAAGTTAAAATTAAAGGAGAAAATAAAGGGGAGGTTAATTTTAAATGTTACCCTTAAAGTAAAGTTTGAAGGGGGATTAGTAAATAATTTACATTCATACATGTTTGGGTATGTATAAGTTCTAGATTACATCTTTTTAAAGCCATGTTCATTTACCTTATCATGTGTTGCTAGCAATGACATATGTAACAACATACAATATATGAAACATTTCTTCATATTAACAAGTGTGCAGAAATAAAATCGGAAAAATTATTTTTAGAATACAAAAAATGCAAAATTCTTTATCAGATGTATAACTTAAGCTTTTTTGAAAAGCAATTTGACAATGATATGAGCTTAAAGCATTGTATAAACTTTGGCCATGTAATTTTGATTCTAGGATTCTCTCTTATGAAAATAATTATAATAAAATATTGATACTTTTCTCTGTTTTCCCATTTTTTGGAGGAAAATCTGTCATTTTAAAACCAAAAGAAGAAAAATACAGTTTTTAAAACTGTAGAACATGTTAATATACTGATTACATTCAAGGAAAAGAAGGAGATGGAAGCTTTACACCAGCTATGTGTTATGTTTTGTTCAAAGATATCTGAAGAAAATGAGGAAAATATGAACATCTGATAACTGATATATATTGTCTTTTAAAAATTAAAAATAAAAACTAACAATAAGATGAATAAAAGACAAGCTTTTTAATTATATTGCCTATTTAGTCCCTCTCTGTTCTGGTACTAATTACTTATTTGTACAAAGAATCTACTCTCGTAATCAATGCAACATTAAACAACCTCTTTGACGATGTGAGTATTCAATACACCAGTGTTGGCTTGTTCTGTTTAATTCAGAATTACAATGACTTTACTTTGAATTTTGATTTAATTACACTAATCCAATATGGGCTATTGATTATCAATTTAATTTATTTCATTGAGACTGTGGTGCTTTTTCTCTCTTCTTTCCTTTACTTGATTAAAAAACAGAGCAAAACAAAACAGAAAACACCAAGCACTTAAAACCGAGAACAGAATAAGAACTACCTTGGGAGTGGAGAATGCAAAAAACTCCAGTGACCTAAAAATGGCTACTGAACTATACTCATGTGATTTTGAAGGAATTAAGAGCCTATTAACAAAGAATTATGTTGAAATGCTACTGAACCATACTCATGTGATTTTGAAGGAATTAAGTCTTCTAAGAAGAAATTATGTTGAAATGCTTTACTGCTAAATGTAGAATCTAGAGTAAACTACTGGGAATATAAAAAAAAAGTGTATAAGGCATTTTGTGTTGTGATTATTTTACAATCTAAAACACCATGAGTAAATAATATATCTTTAGAAAGTTTAGTTTCAGTAAAAATTAAGCGGACACAGTTATAGGTTTTTTTTCCCCCCAATCAAAACAAAAGAATAGCATCATTTTTCCCTTGGGGAGGGGGTTCTGTGTTAGAATTGACATTATCTACTTTCTTGAACACTGTAATAAAAATGAGAATGTGGGAGGGACTTGGGGTTTTTTGTTCACTAAAATGTTAATACGTGAGTATATTTATGTTTGTGGGATATATTGATAATTTTTGCTTTCTACATATTTCAATTGTATATTTTTGTAGCCTGCAACTTTTCCTCCAAGACTGATTTCTCTCTGGAGGAAATCCCTTCAGCTGATTCCCAAGTTCTTGCATATTTAATTTCTCTCTTGTTCTGGATTCCGTTACTTTTCCTAATTACTTATTTGTACTAAAAAGAATCTGCTCTATTGTAATATTAAACTTGAAGCCTACTTTATGTTGCTTATTAAATATAACTAATAAACCTTATTAAAATAAGAAATTATATTTAGGAATTGATCTATAACTTGGCATAAGTGAATTATTTAGATGAAAATAATATATCTAAATAATATATATATATATACACACACAGGTATATATACAGATATATATGAGGTATAGAAGGAAAAAAGACATCCATGGCAATGAATCTTGTATAACAAATTGGAAATAGCATATGGACTTTTGTATTGTTTTCTAAGCTCTAATTCAAATTAATAAGGATAATATCATGATATCTGAAATACTTTTAACTAAACTGATCTCTAAAAAAGGAGGCAGAGGTAAAAGAAAATGGCACCTGGATAAATTACCTTCTCATTTAGTCTCTTTTTCAAGTCTTCTAAAATGTTCTACTTTCTCATAGACTGTCATCACTTCAAAAATGACAGTGAAAAAAGTGGCAATTGTATTAGTTTGAGAGCCATGTTCAGACCAAGATTATATAAAGTCAATATCACCTTCTAATGTATTGACTGGGAAGTTGATCCAATTTTCTTTTGCCTTCTTTTCAAAAATGTTGTTTCTGGTTTCATTAAGGAAATGAAAAAAATCAGACATAAATATATTGTCTCAAAAAGGATATTGGGTTCATTTCTCTGTGTAGAGAACCAGGGTATCTAGTGACAGAGACGTGCTACAAGTCGGAGAAAAATAAAGGAAAAGAAAGGTAGCATGCAAAAATATAAAAGTTCAGTGTTCCTAACATGGTCCATATGGGTTCTCTTGGTATGGACTACCCAGCCAGTAATAACTGGTGTTGGGAAGGCAGATGGAACAGGGTAATTTCCACCTAAGTAATTAAGAATGGTTCTAAATTATATATAATTATCATTTTCTAATAAGAGAAAGTTTGGAAGAGTCATTCAAAAATATTCTTAAAAAAGAATGAGCAAGTCAATGGTTAGATGTAATAATCTATTCTGCAGCATAACAATGTTAATTCAAGAATTAGAGAATATTTTAGAAAAAAATTAGATACATACTTCACCCATACAAATGACAAAAGAATATCCAATGAGCTAGATTTAATTTTGAAATGGTCATCATATCTTAAGGAGAATAAAATTACATTCAATTATTATGGATCATGCAGAAGGGAAGAATAAATATCAAAGTATGGAATAGCATATAGACATTATGGCCTAAAACTGAAATATTTTAATGCATAAAAAGGAACAAATACATAAAAAGAAAAAAATGACCAAAATATATTGTGGCAAGTGTTTTCAAATTCTTTGTCACAATAAGACATATGATGAGGTGATATATTAATAATAATAATTTTTAAAGTTCCATGGATTGGAAAATGTAGTTCATAACAAGGAATTATAACCAAGAAGCAGAAAATGTAATCAGAAATGAAAAAATACTACTTAGTAATAAGCATAATAAGTTAGCATTTTGTTGATTAATTTATAAACCTGGGAAATAATTCTGCCCAATTTTGTTCAGTGAGGTCTCATAGCAAGTATGGCCACCATTGTGAAAAAAGTATAAAACAAGAGTTAAACATACATACATTCCATTTAAATGAAAAATCACTATCTTAAAAAATCTAATATTTTTAAAACATAAATTAAAAAATGTTAGATTTTAAAGATTTTTTATTGAAAAATAAAAATGTTCTAAAAATGTTTTGATACTTTATTGCAGCATTAAGCATTAAAAATTAGGAGCCACTTGAATTTCCATACATTAGGAGATAATCTAATAGTAAAACTTTTTCTCAGTGATATACTAGGCAGCAAATTAAATATGAGGACTTTGAAGACTGATGTGGCACAAAATATTCATTGACATGAACTTACTAGAAATTTGTTTGCCAAAGCATACAGTACAACTATAACTATTAGTAGCAATAAATAATGGAAAATGTAAAACTTGTCAGAGCAGCTGTCATTAATGAAATCATAACTATTAATTTTATATATTTTTCTCATGTGCTCATTCTACCTTTATTATTGGTTAAAAAACAATCACAGATAGATAAGATAGGTAAGATAGATATATCAGTAAGGTAAATGGATAGATGAAGTAGACAGATTCACCTCTTTTAATTTTGCTTTTCCACATATAGATAAATATATATGATAGATAATAATTTGATTACTTAGAAGTAAATTCTAGACTATTTTTCATATGGTCTATTCTTCCAGAATATGCTTCTATTGAAGAAATCCTAAAGGTTCAATTGTGAAATTTGCCTTTATTTCCCTCCTGAATTATTTTCCATTTAGTTAACAAAGAGGCAGATTTGTAGCTAAACTACCATTAAGAAGTTACTTAATTCAATCTTAAAGTATTCCTAAAGGGAACCACCATTAATAGAGAGAAAGTATTGCTGGCACAATAAAATTTTTTGAGAAATTGAAGTGTTTAGTCAGGCAGCAAGAACATTAATAATTTATGAAGGAACTCAACACATAAAGCAGACAGAGTTGACTCTTGACCATTGAAGAATAAATCAAGAAATCCACTGAGGAGATGTTGAAAGTGCTGATAAGCTTTAAAATAATAGTTTTTTTTGACCTCTCTAAACACTTGCCATATTTGATCACAAAATGAAAGTTTAATACAGGTCTGTATATTTAGAACATACCTTCCTATTCATAACATCAATTATGCACTGTGTAGTTTTTTTCAAAGAGAGATCATTAAAGGACGTTTATAACTAAGATATATATTTATTAATTTATATATATATATATGACATTAACATTTATGGGTAGAGTATGAGATGTAACCATCTAAAATAAAAACAGTACGTTTGAGTGAACAAATGCCACCTCTAATGGATATCTGTGGCTCAAATTTGAAAAGTTTGATTAGAATTGATTATTATTTTTCCTTCCTGAGGCGTGAAAATAATATATGGTATGGAATTTTTCTGAGATTCCATGATATGTTACTAAACAACACAGTACAAGCACAGGGAGCGCCCCCTACATGGCAACAGAACATGATTTGTGCGCCTTCCAGGTTTGTCTGACATCTGAAAAGCAGATTTCTCGGACATTTCAAAATCTCGAAGTACCATAAATACAATAACATTCTAAATCAAATTGATAAATTGACCCCTATATAAATATGCATTTTTATAGATAAAGCAACATATTAAAGGTTGAGACCTCTTGAATCCTCTCACAGTCTCTTCCAAAGGCACACCTACCAGGGGTACAATTTTTGCAATTATCCTGAGTCCATAGGTGAGGATTCAGAGAAAGTCTTGGATAGGAGCTGCTATTTATTAAAACGTATGTTGTTGTTTTTTTTTCATAATTATAGAGCTCACAGTTTTTAGTTAACCAACTGGTTGACTACAATACAGACATTTTCTAGATCTAGGTTCTGGCCAATAAGATATGAGTGAAAACGATATGTGGCAGCTTCTGGGAACATTTCTTGAAAGGTAGTTACTGTTTGCCTTTGGTCCATTTTTTAAATATAATTTTAGTTGTTATTTTAGAGTCACGGAGTGTATGTGTAGGTTTGTCATATGGGTTTATTACATGATGCTCAGGTTTGGGGTACAAATGATCCTGTCACCCAGGTACTGAGCATAGTACAAATAGTTTTTCAGCCCTTGTCCTCCTCCCTCCCTTCTCTCTCTAATACTTCCCAACATCTGTTGTTGCCATCTTTATGTCCCTAAGTACCCAGTGTTTAGTTCCTACACATAAGTGAAAACATGCGGTATTTGATTTCCTGTTCCTATGTTAATTTGCTTAGGATAATAGCCTCCAGCTGCATCCATGTTGCTGCAAAAGACATGATTTTGGTTTTTTATGGCTGCATAGTATTCCATAGTGTATTACATTTTCTTTATTCAATCCACCAGTGATAGGTAGCTAGGTTGATTTCATGTCTTTGCTATTGTGCATAGTGCTGTGATGAACACGTGTGTGTGTGTGTTTGTGTGTGTGTGTTTGTGTGTGTGTGTGTGTGTGTGTGTGTGTGTCTTTCTGGGAGAACAATTTATTTTCTTTTGGATATGTACCCAGTAATGGGATTGCTGGGTCAAATGATAGTTCCGTTTCAAGTTATTTAAGAAATCTGCAAACTGCTTTCCACAGTGGCTGAACTAATAATTTACATTCCCACAAACAATGTAAAAGTGTTCACTTTATTCTTCAACCTCGCCAGCATCTGTTGTTGTTTGGCTTTTTAGTAGTATCCATTCTGACTGGTGTGAGATGGTGCCTTATTGTGGTTTTGATTTGTATTTTTGATGATTAATGATGCTGAACACTTTTTCATGTTTGTTGGCCACCTGTATGTCTTCTTTTGAAAAGTGCCTGTTAGTGTCTTTTGCCTACTTTTTAATGGGGTTATTTGTTTTTTGCTCTTTCAATTAAGTTCCTTATAGATTCTGGACATTAGAGCTTTGTCAGATGCATACTTTGTGAATATTTTCTCCCATTCTGTGGGTTGTCCGTTAATGCTGTTTTTAGTTTCAATTTTTGTTTTTATGGCAGTTGCTTCTGAGGACTTAGCCATAAATTCTTTCCCAAGGTCACCATTTTAGAAAGTGTTTCCTAAGTTTTCTGCTAGGATTCTTATAGTTAAGATCTTACATTTAAATATTTAATACATCTTGAGAGAATTTTTGTACCTTGTAAAAGGTAAGGGTCCAGTTTCATTCTTCTGCATATGGTAGCCATTTATCCCATCACCATTTATCGAATAGAGAGTCCTTTACACATTTTTTATTTTTGTCAACTTTGTTGAAAATAAGATGACTGTAGATGTGCAGCTTTATTTCTTGAGTCTCTATTCCATTCCACTGGTTGATATGTCTGTCTTTATACTGGTACCATGCTGTTTTGGTTACTGTGGCCTTATAGTGTAGTCTGAAATCAAGTGATGCAATGCCTCCAGGTTTGTTCTTTTTTGTTTAGGATTGCTTTGGGTATTTGAGCTCTGTTTTGGTTCCTTATGAATTTTAAGATAGTTTTTTCTAGTTCTGTGAAAAAATGATATCCTTTTTTCTATCCTATTAGCTGGACATACATGTTGCCATTTTGTACAATCATACCAAGGTTCACACTACCGAGATGACAGAACTATGAGCTAAAACGGGCCTGAGTTCCTGTGGAGTCTGTAGAACAGAGCCAACTAACCTTATTACAAAAGATAGAAATAAATTTCTGCCCTTTGTCAGCCATTGTTATTTTCAGTTTCTAAAACTTGCTGTCAAACATAATTCTAATTATTATTATACAGATGAAAAAACAAAACTGAATATATCAAGTAGCTTTAGAGCTGCACTGCCCCATATGATAGAAAATACACTGCCCAATACACAGCAACACATGGATATTGAGTGATTGTCTAGCACCAAGTGAGATGTACATGTAACATATGCAATGTATTCTGAAGGCCTGGAACAAAAAATAATTTAAATGCTCCATTAATTATTTTTGTATTGATTATATTTGAAATGATAATATTTTGGATATATTATATCAAATATACTACTAAAATTAAGTTCATCTTAAATTACCCATATGGCTCACTTTATGACTATGGGCAGGGCTTTTATTGAAAGTAGACTATACAAAGCAGATTATATAAAGTAGACTATATATCTAAACTTCGTCCTCTCATGCATAGGCTCTTCCCATCAGATCACACCACTGCTGTTGGCATGGTAAGATGTACAACTGAGTTATATTGCACACAAATAAAACTAAATATCATCAGGTAAATATCATCGTTGAAACTAGTGATATAAAAATCACACCATCCATAATTAAAAGAAAATGGCCAAAGTCAGAAGGATATGCACAATTCTAAGGATATTTGAAGCAAAATCTACAGCTGAAATGGTAAAAGCATATAATCTGGAAGAAGCAGCTTTCTGAGTTGGTAAAATTTTAAGCAATGACAATGTCTAATTGGCATAAATGGGTATGGTTTTGCTCAGGTGGACAATTAGTGAGGATGTTAAGATATGACATGGTGAGGGGATTTATAAAGTCCTGAGGTAACCCACTTCACATAATATAATTGACAAAAATTTATAACTCATTGTCTCTTCTTTTTCAAACTTAAATCTTGTGCTGGTTATTTTCTGATCCATTGAAGGTCACTGATCCCCTCAGTTCACAACAGCATACCTGCTACTTTTCCTGGGATCCAATAACAATTCCATTCCTTCCCTCTTCAGGCATTGGTATTGATTATTCAATTAACCTTCACACGAATCTAAGAGATAGGCATTATTGTGCCTATCTCTATTTTAATGATGTGAAAACCAAAGCATGAAGAGACTGAAAACAATCACCCAAGTTCGCACAACTAGTAAGCAACAGAGTCAGATTCCAACCCAGGTAAAATGGCTTTAACTTCAAACACTTAATATTTGTGCTGTATTGTCAGTGGTGTAATAGCCAGTTATGAATTACCTGTCAGCATCCATTCCCCATGTTTTAAAACCAAGAATTCAAATGTAATTTGGAATCCTTGTGGATCTTGTACATCTGAGTCTGCTCTTAATCCTACTCGTGGCTTCTGGCCACAACTTTCCCAGTAGTGGCCACGTGGCCTAAAGCAGATCAACCAGGGTATCTCAAAGGACTTTTACTGAGATCATGGTGACCTACTATTCCCTTGGATATAAGTTAAGAAGCATGTGATTTTAGGAACCTTAGCATTGGCATCAAGAAAAGAAGAGAAAACAGAAATAAATCAAGTCTTAAAGGTTAATGTAAAATTCTAAAGGGTCTAAAATCTAAATAGTTGTGCCCTATTAGCATATGAAAATGTCTCAAAATTGATCATTTCTATGCTTTCTATCACTTTCATATGTCCTAACATATAACATATGAAAATGTCTTAAAATGTATTATTTCTATCATAATTAGTATCCATTTTTTAGAACAGAATACATCCTTCTTTTCATTTTAATTATAATTAATCTATTTAATTAAGAAGAACAATTTATACATCTTCCAAAATACAGCTTTTAGTCCAATGTGTATCTGATAAGCATTTTAAATAATCCTGAATCTCTTAATATAATGAAAATAATAACTATTTTTATTAATGCCTGGGGTATAAAAATTTAGTAATTATCTACATTTTGTTCCAAAGAGTGTTCCTGGAAAAAATATGAAACATTATTTAAGAAACTGCTATTTTATCATCTTCATAATTTTGAACAATTCATTACAATAAAAATAGCTAAGCAGTTTTTAGCATGTGTACTCTATTAATGCCATGTCTCCATTTTTACTTATAGAAAGTTTCATTTGTAAAAATCTGTGTGGTCTCTTATATGAACTAACTTAAACTATGTATTCTTTGATAAATGAATGTAATGCCAATGCTTAGAGAAACAAAACAGTATAGGGAAACTTAGAAGAATGAAATTATTTTAAACTTTTGCTTATAATTAAACTAGATGGTAAATTGGCCTAATACTTCTATTTTTGAAAATCTTTTAGAGTTTCATTGGACCACTTAGATTTTTGTGACTATCACTGTTGAAAATTCCAAAGAGAGTCTTTGATGAAGAAAAATGAATAGATGGTGTTTTGTGGCAGATATTTTTATGTTGGACAGATTTATTGTTTTATATAATGACACCTACAGTCATAATATGAAAATATTTTCCATACTACAGTTAAGGTGGCTTTTATGAATAGAATTTTTGTATTTTTTAATATTTAATTTTTATAGAGCAGTTTTAGGTTAACAGCAATATTGAGACAAGGGTGCAGAGATATCTCCTATACCCACTGTACACAGGCATAGCCTCCCGGATGATCAACATTCCCGCCAAAGTGGTACATTTGCTACAATATCACTCAATGTCCACAGTTTAAATTAGAGTTCACTCTTGGTGTTATATATTATATTTTAGACAGATTTATAACAGCATGAATCCACCCTTGTAGTATCACATACAGAATATTTTCACTGCCCTAAGAACCCCTCTACCTATTCATGTCTCCCATCCCCTCTAACTCCTTAAAACCATTCATCTTTTTACTGTTTCCATAGTTTTGACTTTTCTAGAATATCATATGACTAGAATCATACAGCTGGAAGGCTTTTGAGATTGGCTTCTTTCACTTAGTAATATGCATTTAAGTTTCCCTCATGTCTTTTCCTGACTTGGTAGTTTTTTCTTTTAATGCTGCATAGTATTCTATTGTCTGCATTAACACTTTTATGTATCCTTTCATTTGCTGAAAGATCCTTTAGTTGCTTCCAAGATTTTGCAATTAGAACTAAAGATGCTGTAAATATTCATGTGCAGAATTTTGCATGAAAATGAATTTTTAAGATTTTGGGGTAAATACCAAGATCACTGGGTCACTGTGTCATATAATAGGAGTGTATTTACTTTTGTAAGATATCACCAAAATGTCTTCGCAAGTGGCTACATCATTTTACTTTCCCACAAGCAATAAATGAGAGTTCTTGTTTTTCCACATTCTCATCAGCATTTTGTATTGCCAGTGTTCTGTAATTCAACCATATGAATGGGTGTATAGCAGTATCTCATTGTTGTCGTCTGCGTTTCCCTGATGACATATGATATGGAGCTTCTTTTCATGTGCTTATTTGCCTTCTCTATATCTTCTTTGATAAGGTGTCTGTTGAGGTCTTTGTCCCATTTTTAATCAGGTTGTTTTGCTTTTCTTCTTGAGTTTTACAAGTTCTTTATATATTTAAGACAATAATCCTTTTCAGATTTTTTTTGGCAACTATTTTCTTCCACTCTGTGGCTTGTCTACTCGTTCTCTTGAAAGTCTCTTTTGCAGAGCATAATTTTTAAATATAATTTAAAAAATTAAATCCAGCTTATCAATTCTTTCTTTCATAAATTGTGCCTTTGATGTTGTATCTATAAAGTTACTACCAAATCCAAGGTCATTTAGATTTTCTCTTATAATCTTCTAAGAGTTTTAGTTTTGCAGTTCACATTTATATTGTGATCCATTTTTTGAATACTGTACAGTCTCTGTCTAGATTTATTTTGTTTTCTCATGGGGATGTCCAGTTATTCTAGCAACATTTTTTAAAAGATTGTCTTTTCTCCATTGTATTGTCATTGTGCTCCTTTGTCAAACATTAGATTGCCATATTTATTTATGTGGCTTTATTTCTGGGCTCTCTCTTCTTTCCCGTGGATCTATTTGTCTGTCCTTTCACCAATACTGCATTGTCTTGATTACTGTAACATTATTGTAAGTTTTGAATTTGGATAGCGTCAATCCCCCAACTATTTTCTTTCTTTTTTATAGTGTTGGCTATGCTAGGTCCTTTGCCTTTTCATATAAACCCTAGAATAAGTTTGAGAATATCTACAAAATAACTTGCTGGAGTTTTATGGGATTACACTGAATCTATAGAACAAGTTGGGGAGAACTGACATCTTGATAATATCGAGTCTTCATATTCATTAACATGGAATGTCATTTCATTTATTTCTTTGTTTTCTATCACAGAGTTTTGTAGTTTTCATCATACAGATCTTGTACATATTTTGTTAAATTTATATTTATGTATTCCATTTTTGGTGCTGATATGAATATTGTGTTTTTAATCTAAAATTCCACTTGTTCTTTGCTGGCATATAGAATAATTGGCTTTTGTATATTAGCCTTGTGTCCTGAAACCTGCCTATAATTGCTTATTAGTTCCAGAAGATTTTTGTTGATTCTTCCACATTTTCTATATAGACAAACATGTCTGTCATCTGTTGTATTTTTTCCTTCCCAATCAGCACACCTTTCATTTTATTTTCTTGTTTTGTTGCATTAGCTAGGATTTCAAGAATAATATTGAAAAGAAGTGGTGGGAATGGGCATCATTGCTTTATTTCTGATCTTAACTGGAAAGCTTCTGGTTTCTCATGATTAAGTATGAGTTTGTGTATAAATGTTTTATAGATACCCTTTATCAAGTTGAATAAGTTGCCCTCTATTTTTATTTAACTGAATTTTTATCACTAATGGGTGTTGGATTTTGACAATTTTTCTGTATTTATGGATATGGTCATGTTGTTTTTCATCTTTATCCTGTTGGTGTGATAGATTACATTAATTAAATTTTAAATGTTGAACTATTCTTACACATCTGAGATAAATCCTATTTTGTAATAGATATGGTTTGGCTGTGTCCACACCCAAATCTCATCTTGATCTTTTGTTGTGGGAGGGACCCGGTAGGGGGTAATTAAGTCATGGCAGCAGGTGTTTTCCATGCTGTTCTCATGATAGTAAACAAGTCTCATGTGATCTGATGGTTTTATGGGGGCGGGGGTAGTTTCCCTGCACAAACTCTCTTTTTGCCTGTTGCCATCCATGTAAAATATGACTTGCTCCTCCTTGCCTTCCACCATGATTGTGAGGCGTCCCCAGCTACTTGGAACTGTAAGTCCATTAAACCTCTTTCTTTTGTAAATTGCCCAGTCTCAGGTATGTCTTCATCAACAGCATGAAAATGTAGTCACACAGTCATGTTGTATAACACTTTTTCTACCTTGTTGAATTCAATTTGCTAATATTTTGGTGAGGATTTTTACATTGATATTAATAAGAAATAATTATTTGTAGGTTTTTTTTCTTGTGCTATGTTTGGTTTTAATAATAGAGTGACACTGGACTTATAGAATAATTAAGAAATTATTTTCTCTTCTTCTCCCTTCTAAGAAAGACTGTAGAGAACTGGGAGAAATTTCCTCCTTTGCCTGGAACTCACCAGGTAATTCATCTAGGCATGGTGCTTTCAGATTTAGAAAGTTATTTATTATTGCTTTAATTTCTTTGATAGATATAGGTCTATACTGATTGATTCTTTCTTCTTGTGAGAGTACTGACATATGGTGTCTTTCAAGTAATCTGTCCATCTCATCTGGGTTACCAAATTCGTGGGCCTAGAGTTATTCATAGTATGCCATTATTATCCTTTTAATCTCCACAGGACCCAGAGTTATGTCCCCTTTTTCCTTTATGACACTATTAACCCTTGCCCATTTTTTTTCTTAGTAGCGTAGCTATACGTTTATAAATTTTATTAATATTTTCAAAGAATCTGCTTTTGCTCTCATTGCTTTTTCTCTGTTGATTCCCTACATATCACGTTTAAATTATATTTATATTTTAAAAATAATTTGTTTCTGAGACAGAGTCTTGCTCTGTTGCCCAGGCTAGAGTGCAGTGGTGCAATCTCGGCTCACTTCAATCTCCACCTCCTGGGTTCAAGTGATTCTCCTGCCTCAGCCTCCCAGGTAGCTGGGACTACAGGCACATGCCACCACGCCTGGCTAATTTTTTGTATGTTTAGTAGAGATGGGGTTCCACCATGTTAGCCAGGATGGTCTCGATCTCCTAATCTTGTGATCTGCCCACCTTGGCCTCCCAAAGTGCTGGGATTACAGGCGTGGGCCATCACACCTGGCCGAAAAGAATTTTTTAATGCTGAAATTTAACTGAGCCAGTCAAAACACCAGTAATTTACATAAAGAATCCAAAGTTATTTGGAAAAAATATAAATAACTAATCTTTAAATTTCAAAACTAAGAAGAGTATAACATAACTTATATTGGCTCTAAACAATCACTAAGTGACTTTTTTTGTCGATGTTAGATTCTCATACAAGGAGTGGTATTCTGTTTTCCTTTTAAGAAACTGATGAAAGAGTTAAGAATATGCCACCATAAAATATGCTACTGTGGCATATTGACCATTTTGCGTTAATGGCACTTGATAAACAGCAGGTACAACATCACTCTGAGGTTCACTCTGTTTCTTAAAAGCAGGAGAGGAAAGTTCACATGAAAGCTGTCCTCCCTATACAAGGATTAAAGTAACATTCTTATCAAGATTGGGAAGTGAGATGGAGAGGATTCTTTACAGACTGAGAAGATAACTATTTTCTTCTTTTAGCTTCCCCATATAATTAAATTATCTTTTCACAATATAGTATTCATTTTCCAATTCAGCATAAAATGTTTCAACATCAACTGCATCTTTGAATCTTTATTTTCTTATGAAGGTGCCTCTGCCACATAAAACACGAATTATATAAATTTGTATGCTTTTCTCATTTTGATCTGTTATGTGTCAATTTAGTTTTCAAGCCCAGCTGAAAATCCTAAGAGAATAGCAGTAAAATTTTGCCTCCTCTACATGAAGAAAAGAAAGGACAAGTACTTTGTTCAAGAAACAAAACTGGCAGGGGATGACAGCTTCACACTGTAATTGCAGCACTTCGGGAGGGAAAGGTAAAAGACTTGCTTAAGCCCAGGAGTTTGAGACCACCCTGGTCAACAGAGTGAGACTTTGTGTCTACAAAATATTAAAAAGAATTAGCCAACCATGGTGTTTTGTGCATGTGGAGTCTTAACTATTCAGGAGGCTGAGGTGGAAGGATTTCTTGAGCCCAGGAGATGGAGGCTGCAGTGAGCTGTGATCGTGCCACTGCACTCCAGCCTGGGCAACAGAGCGAGTCCTTGTCTCAAAAAACAAGACAATAAAGAACAAATATGATGAATAGGAGAATAAACATTTAAACTCATGGGGTTTTTTGTATTTTTTTTTCTTTATACCAGTGATTATCAGAGTCAAAAATTTTCCAGATCAATTCAATTACCAAAAGGGAAAGAGAGAACACCAAGATATATCAAGTGTTCATTACACACAGGCACACACAAACAAAATAATATTTTAAATGTAAAAGAGTGGGAAGTACATAACCCACAAAATAGACACATTTTAACTTAAGCAAAACAAAATAAGATCAGTGTAAACAAACATTCATGACTGATATTTAAGAACCAGTGTCTCCTGTCAATATGTATCCTACATAATCTCATTTCTTTTTCCAAGATCTTAATTTGTTCTCCAGAATGACCTAGCCTATTATATTACAGCTAAAAAATATACAAACTTGTCAAATCTTTTTTAATAGTTTATATAATTAGTCTAATATGTAATTATTATGTTTCAAAAGCATTTAATTTAGAATAGAGGAATCTGTAGCTACATAATTATTTTAGCAACTATGTGTACAAAGAATTTTCATATGGGTGTGAGAGACAAATGGGAGAGAATAAATTATGGAGAGAGAGGAAAAGGTTTTAAAATATTAGACAATTATTAATGTTTCAGAAAAAAGGTTTTCAATATGTACTGATATCAACAATGACATTAATATAATAAATATACATATCTGAAGAGATATAAACTATCAATGGGTCAGACAACTACTTTTACTAGACACTAGATACTGGATGTCACAATAACTACATTCTGCATGAAAACGCTTTTGTTATGCTCTCAATGTTTGTGTCCCTCCGCCTGCCCCAAATTCAAATGTTGAAACCGAATCACCAATGTGATGCTATTAGGAGCCTTTGGTGGTAATTACATCATCACTTCCATTACCATTAAAATAGTCTCACTGTCCTTATAAGAGAGGCCCCAGAGAGCTAGCTGCCTTGCCCGTTTATTACACCATATGAGGATACAGCAAGAATGCATTTTTATACCAAACCAGGAAGTCTGCCCTCACCAGGCACAGAATCATCTGCTGCTGCATTGACTTTGGACTTCCTAGCCCCTGGAATTGTGAGAAATAAATTTCTGTTGTTTATAAGCCACCCAGTCTATGAAATTTGTTATAGCACTCTGAATGAAGAAAGACAGGGCTGACATGAGAATTTATGAGCCAATAAAGAAGCTGAAGAAATAATTGACAGCACACAGAGTAAGGGAGACGAGAGATATTAACAAAAAGGAAAAGAGATATGGAAGATGACTTGAGAAATTCTAGCATAGACCTAATAGGAAGCTCAAAGACATAATGGCTTAGAATTTTTCCAAACTGGTAAAACACATGAAGCTACATGTACACTATCTCTCTAGTTATGATTAAAAAAAGAAACCCACACCTGGACATCTTGTAGTGAAACTGCAACACACACATTTACACAAATAATCTTAAAGCAGCCAGAAATTAAGGACCTGTCACACACGAATATTATTAGCAAACTACTCAGCAGCCAAAATGGAAGCCAGAAAACAGTCTAACAAGGTCACCAAACTATATTCGCAGCAAAATCATTTTTCAGAAATGAAGTGAAATAAAGATTTATGCAGATAAACAAAATGTGCAAGCATTTCCCATCCAAAAATAGCCTACAGGAACTTTTAAAGATACGGTTTGAAATGAAGGTTATGACCCTGAAGGAAGGTTTGAGACAGCATAATAATGTGCAAGGCAATTGGTAAGTATGTAAATAACACTACAGTAATAGTGTTTGTGTAAAACACTAATCATCATATCCAATGGTTGAGTGTTCAGAGAGAATGAAACCAAAAACTAGATCAGAGTAGCATAAAATTTGGTTGGCGTGTTCTAAGTCATATATCAGACAGTGGATATTTGGTATAGAGGTGAAGGAACCTACTTGTCAACAATTATTTGAGTAAATCTTGTAAAGTTAGTTTGAATATCATCTCTATAAAAAATGAATTTTGCTCTTCTGGTACTTTGAAGTTGGTGAAGCCAGGCCCAGTGTATAAAGGATCTTTGGATCATTATCCCTGAGTAGAGCACCTGGTAATGAGTTGTAAATATGATCTACTAAATTTATGAGTGAATAAAATGAATGAATACTGATAACCTTTCTATATTTTCTATAATAATTTACTTATGAAAAGTTGAAAAACCATAACGAATAGGATTGTTTTATTTACTTTAGATAAAATGTAAAGAATATGAATCTACTTGTGAGTCCTGAAGGGGCATAGTGGATCTTGCACTTAGTTTGACCTCTGTAGTCCTGGATTCATTTACAGTTCTGTTATAGAACTCATTGAACTCTGTGGCTCAGTTTCCTTGTGCATAATACAGTGAATAATAACTGACCTATACTGTTCATCAACTTGTTACGTTGTAAAAGCACATAAACTAATGTATATAAAAAGTTTAGTAAGTTATAAGAAAATCACTGAAGATGTTAAGTAAAGCATTATTATTACACACAGAGATTACGTGTAAGAATAAATATAGCTCAGAAATCATTATTTAAATTGCATTTAATTTTTTGGTTTTTGTTTTTACTCTGATGACAAACAGTAATTATAGTTTAGAAAAGAATTAAAATAGAAAAGTATGAAAAAGGAAAATTAAAAATTCTCACATCTAATCATATATTGATAAACATTAACAATACTGATAATGTGGACTTGCTTTCTTCTATGAATGCTACCGCTCTTGCTAATGTTACTGTTAAAACACATACACACATACACACACACGCAGGCATGCCTTGTTGTATTGAAATTTGCTTTATAGTGCTTCAGAAATATTGCATTTTACAAGTTGAAGTTTTGTGGCAACACGTGTTGAGCAAGTCTATGGATGTCATTGTTCTTACATTATGCGTTCCCTTCCTGTCTGTCACATTTGGTAATTCTGGCAATATTTTAAAACTTTTCATTATTATATCCGTTATGGTAATCTGTGATCAGTAAACTTTGACATTACTATTCTAATTTGTGGGGGATGGGCGGGTGGGTGGGGGAGCACTATGAACTTTGCCCGTATAGGACAGGAAGCTTAATTGATCAATGTTGTGTGTGTTCTGACTGCTCCACATACCCAACTGGCCATTCCCCTGTTTCTCTCCTTACTTTCTGGCCTCCCTATTCCCTGACACACAACAATATTGAAACCAGAACAACGAATAACCCTACAAAGACCTCTAAAATGTTTAAGTGAAAGGAAGAGTTGCATATCTCCCATTTTAATTAAAAAGCCAGAAATGATTAAGCTTGGTGAGGAAGGCATATCAAAAGCTGAGATAGGCTGAAAGCTATGCCTCTTGTGCCAAAAAGTTATCCAACTTGTGAATACAAACAGAAATTCTTAAAGAAAATTGTAAGTACTACTCCAGTGAACATAGGGATGATAAGAAAGTGAAACAGCCTTATTGCTGATATGGAAAAAATATTAGTGATTTGAATAGAAGATGAAACAAGCCACAACATTCCCTTAAGCCAAAACCTAATCTAGAGCAAGGCTCTAACTCTCTCCAATTCTATGAAGTCTGAGAGAGGGGAGAAAGCTATAGAAGAAGAATTGGAAGCTAGCAGAAGTTGGTTACTAAGGTTTAAGAAAAGAAGTTGTCTGCATAACATAAAAGTGCAAGGTGAAGCAGCTAACGTAATGAAGAAGCTGCAGAAGTTATCCAGAAGATATAGGTAAGATCACTGATGCAGGTGCTACACTCAACCACAGATTTTCACTGTAGACTTAACAGCCTTCAACTGGAAAAAAAATGTCATCTAGGACTTTCATAGCTAGAGAAGATGAGTCAATAACTGGCTTCAAATCTTTGAAGGACAGACTGACTGGGGCTAATGCAGCCAGTGAATTTAAGATGAAGCCAATGCTTACCGTTCCAAAAATCCTAGTGCCCTTAAGAATGATGCTAAATCTATTCCCCCTGAGCTCTATAAATGAAAAAACAAAGCCTAGGTGATAGTACACCTGTTTATAGCATGGTTTACTGAGTATTTTTTTTATTGTACTTTCAGTTCTAGGGTACATGTGCACAACATGCAGGTTTGTTACATAGGTATACATGTGCCATGTTGGTGTGCTGCACCCATCAACATGTCATTTACATTAGGTATTTCTCCTAATGCTATCCCTCCCCCACCCCCCACTTGAGTATTTTAAGACCACTGTTGAGACTTATTGCTTGGAAAGAAAAGATCCTTTTCAAAATACTGCTCATTACAATGCACCTACTCACCCAAGAGTTTTAATGGAAATGTACAAGGAGATTAATGTTGTTTTCTGTCTGCTAACACATTTTTTCTGCAGCCATGGATCAAGGAGCAAATTTGACCTTCAAATCTTATTATTTGAGAGATACACTTCATAGGGTTATGGTAGTCATAGATAGTGGTTCCTCTGATGGATGTGGGCAAGGTAAATTGAAAATCTTCTGGAAAAATTCACAATTTAGGATGCCATTGAGAACATTTTTAATTCATGGGAGAAGGTCAAAAGGTAAACATGAACAAAGGTTTGGAAGGAGTTGACTCTAACCTTCCTGGGTTACTTAGAAGAGTTTAAGCCTTCATTGGAGGTAGTAACTGCAGATGGAGTAGAAATAACAATAGAACTAGAATTAGAAGTGAAATCTATTGCTGTGCAGAAGCTTTTTAGTTTAATTAGATCCCATTTGTCAATTTTGGCTTTTGTTGCCGTTGCTTTTGGTGTTTTAGACATGAAGTCCTTGCCCATGCCTATGTCCTGAATGGTATTGCCTAGGTTTTCTTCTAGGGTTTTTATGGTTTTAGGTCTAACATGTAAGTCTTTAATCCATCTTGAATTAATTTTTGTATAAGACGTAAGGAATAAATCCAGTTTCAGCTTTCTACATATGGCTAGCCAGTTTTCCCAGCACCATTTATTAAATAGGGAATCCTTTCCCCATTGCTTGTTTTTGTCAGGTTTGTCAGAGATCAGATAGTTGTAGATATGTGGCATTATTTCTGAGGGCTCTGTTCTGTTCCATTGGTCTATATCTCTGTTTTGTTACCAGTACCATGCTGTTTTGGTTACTGTAGCCTTGTAGTATAGTTTGAAGTCATGTAGCATGATGCCTCCAGTTTGTTCTTTTGGCTTAGGATTGACTTGGCAATGCAGGCTCTTTTTTGCAACCTACTCATCTGACAAAGGGCTAATATCCAGAATCTACAATGAGCTCAAACAAATTTATAAGACAAAAACAAACAACTCCATCAAAAAGTGGGAGAAGGATATGAACAGACACTTCTCAAAAGAAGACATTTATGCAGCCAAAAAAACACATGAAAAAATATTCATCATCACTGGCCATCAGAGAAATGCAAATCAAAACCACAATGAGATACCATCTCACACCAGTTAGAATGGTGATCATTAAAAAGTCAGGAAACAACAGATGCTGGAGAGGATGTGGAGAAATAGGAACACTTTTACACTGTTGGTGGGAATGTAAACTAGTCCAAATATTGTGCAAGTCAGTGTGGTAATTCCTCAAGGATCTAGAACTAGAAATACCATTTGAACCAGCCATCCCATTACTGGGTATATACCCAAAGGATTATAAATCATGCTGCTATAAAGACACATGCACATGTATGTTTATTGTGGCACTATTCACAATAGCAAAGACTTGGAACCAACCCAAATGTCCAACAATGATAGACTGGATTAAGAAAATGTGGCACATATACATCATGGAATACTATGCAGCCATAAAAAATGATGAGTTCATGTCCTTTGTAGGGACATGGCTGAAGCTGGAGACCATCATTCTCAGCAAACTATCACAAGGACAAAAACCAAACAACGCATGTTCTCACTCATAGGTGGGAATTGAACAATGGGAACACATGGGCACAGAAAGGGGAACATCACATTCTGGGGACTGTTGTGGGGTGGGGGGAGGGGGGAGGGATAGCATTAGGAGATATACCTAATGCTAAATAATGAGTTAATGGGTGCAGCACACCAACATGGCACATGTATACATATGTAACTAACCTGCACATTGTGCACATGTACCCTAAAACTTAAAGTATAATAATAATAAAATTTTTTAAAAAAGTGGAATCTAAAGATGTGTTGAATTACTGCAATCTCATGATACAATATTAGCAGATGAGAAATTGCTTTTTATGAATTAGCAAAGACAATGGTTTCTGGAGATGGAATGTACTCCTGGTGAAGATGCTGTAAACACTGTTGAAATGACAACAAAGGATTTAAAATATTACATGAACTTAGTTGATAAAGCTGTGGCATGGTTTGAGAGGATTGAACTCAATTTTAAAAGGCATTCTACTGTGTGTAAAATTCTATCAAACATCACTGCATGATGCAGAGAAATGTTTTTGTGAAAGGAAGAGCCAATCAATGCAGCAAACCTCATTGTTTTAAGAAATTGCCACAGTTACCCCAACCTTCGGCAACCATCACCCTGATCAATCAGCAACCATCCAGATGGAGGCGAGACACTCTACCAGCAAAAATCACAAGACAATGAAGGGTCAGCATTTTTTAGCAAGAAAGTACTTTAAATTAACATATGTACTTTTTTAGAAATAATGCTCTTGCACATTTAATGTAGTACAGTATTATGTAAACATAACTTCTACATGTGCTGGGAAACTAAAACATTCATGTGACTCACTTTATGGTGATATGTACTTTATTGTGGTGGTTTGGAACCAAGTCTGTAGCATCTCCAATGTATGTCTGTTTGCAGTGTTGAAATTTATTTTAATTATATAATTTATGCTATGTGCCGTGTATTTGTGCTCGGCTTTTATTTTTCCTTGATCATACTTTGAGAAATATGCCACAATTTTAATATTTCTTAACCACATTCATTTCAAATGTCCAGACAGAATTACATTTAAATAGAAGAACCAAAATATATTTAACTTGTCTTCTATAGGTATTAACATATAGGTATATTTGGATGTATAAATTCCCAATTCCCACTAATGAAAATAACTCTAAAATATGTATAGGAATCTTAATGTGACTCTGCTTTTTCCTTTTGAGTAAAATAGAATGAAATTATTTTTTCCAAGGAGATAAACAAAAAGCTGAAGATGTTTTTAGCCAAATTCCCCTTTATAAAAAGTTATAGAGGTAACATTCTATGAATGGTGTAGAAAAGCTGTAATAAAACCAATCAATTTTTTAAGTGGTAAACTTCAAATATCTGGAAATTTAATCATGATTAGATTATTATTATATCTGATTTGTCATGAGTGCTAAGATAAATATGGTATTATTGTTTTATATTACATTATAGGAAATAAGAATATTAACCATAATAATTTAAGGGAGGTGCCCCAGTATACCCAGTATCAAGACAGTTTAAGTAAGTGTGGAAATAATAGATGCATTATGAAATACTACATATTCTGGAATAATTTGGGCATGTGATATAGATATAATGAACAGTACATTCTGTAAATCCCAAAGATTAGTTTTCAGACTAGGTTTTAGTACAGTAAGGTACCTGTATATTTTCATTTTTATTAATGGTGATTTTTAACTAAGTAAATATATTTTTCACTAATTTATTTAACGAAACAATACTATGATAATTTTTCAAAGTTCTGGGTCATAATGGGAGCAGGTTGCATATATTTTAGTTGTGGCATAGAAAATTAGAAAAAAAATAATCATTCTGACAATGGAAAATGTGAAGATGTAGCAAATATGGTATTAGATGACCTGATACCAACTATGTTGGTCCTCAGCCAGTAATACCAGCTGCACAAGAAATGGAAGACGGCAGGTGAAATTGATAAACCACAAATAATTTAATAACACAGCATGCCAATATAAGGACTAAAACTGACTAGGTTATTAAAGAGATGTCTGAAATCACATGAATTTTAAAAATGATTCGATGACATTTTGTTGATAAGGGTGAAAAAATCAGGTGTAAGGCAAACACTTTAATTGTAATAAACTATATAAATATTACCAGTGGAATATACAACTCAGAATTTTGAACAAAGAAGTAACTACATACCTAATCATGAAAATTTTGAACTGTATTCTGCTTATAATTAATTAATCCATTTTGCAGAGATCATTTGTGAAAAGAATGACAACTAATAACAAAGCAGAAAAGAAAGCAAGTTATGGATTTTGATTCCTCTTATCTTAAAAAATTAGTGTTAGAATTCTCCCAATTACTTTTCTCTAGTAAGTTTGTATATTTATACTTTAAATGTGACTATTTTGTTTGAAATCTTCTCAATAAAGCTTTTGTTTTTCTGAATTTAGAGCTCAGAATAGTTAGAATAATTTACCTGTTTTTCTTTCTGAAGAGAATACAGTTTTATAGATAGCATCTCTGAATCTACTTAAATTGGTAAGCTGAATCTTCCAAAAGGCACTGAGAGAACATACACTTTTATTTCTGCTAGAATGATAAAATGCCAGACAATTGCATTTTAGGTTGGCTATCTTTAAAAGTTTGTAGACCCTGAACAATCTTGGTGAGCCAGGAAAAATATATGGCATGAAATAAACATTAATTGGCAGGTGTGTTTGACCAATTCGAGCTCTCATTGTTTAAAATGAAAATGCACACCTTCAAAAAGTTAATTAGAAAATAATTTGAGAAAACATCATTTTCCCCAAATGTTTCACACATCTTTTTGTACTTAATTCAATGGTTACATCAGTTGCAAAGTTATTATCTGTACTACAGAACTTTCCATCTACTGCTATTTTGTGCATGTTATAGAATGCATATATGTTAGAAGTGTGTGTTTCAATTTTTTAAAACTTACAGTGCTATTCTGAAAAACTTTAGAGAAAGACCAAGCAAAAATAGTTACACTAGATTATGTGTTTGTGTGTGAATGTATTCAGATGTTTTCATGTATATCTTTGTGTGTGTCTTTTGTGTGTGTATTTTTCTGTGGATTAAGTGGGAAAGACGTGGAAGGAGAATGAAGCTATGTTTCAATGCTTTTTGATTTTTGGACAGTCCCACCAATTCTTACAGGAGCATGATCCTTGGAAGGATAAAGTGGAACATCAGAAAGAGGCAAAGGAACAAAGGAAAAAATAAATTAGGGAGTGAAAGTGGAGATAGTGTCAACGGAGTTTCAGGGGATTGTAGTTAGACAAAAAGAAGATGGATAATATTAACAACAAACTTGAGCTGCTTACAAATATCTGCTCATAACATTATTTTATTACTAGTCCTAATTTATTGAGTGAAAAGAAATTCAAATATTAAGAAAACTGTCTTTATCTTAAATGTAGTAAATGTTTATAAATCATAATGACCAGAACAAATTTCAAGGCAATAATATAATTACTGTTAAGTACTTATATGTTCCAAATTTATATCAAAAATTAAACAACTTAAGCATTGAGAAATAATATTTTCTAACATTGTATATCGCTCCTGAAATGTATCTAGCTTTATGACATTTTTTGCATTTAGCTTTGACTTTGGGGTTGTTAAATTGTGCCAGGGGATAAATAACTATAAACTATATTTGAGAAAGAATGTCCTAACAAGCAATAATGGGATGTTTCCATTCTTTGATTTTTCTCACTAATTATGATATGTATTATAGTGTTATAATCATCTGTTGGCCAAAATGATAAACCATAGTGTAATTATTTGTCTCCCCCATACTGTGTTTAAGGAATAAAAGATAAAATAATTTGAACATGCTAAAGATATTAAATAATGTGCAGCCACAAATAGAAAATGGGCATGGAAATAGAGTATTTCTTATTTGTTAAAAAAGGTTAGAAGTAAAATTTAAAGATATTCTTATTAAGCAATAAAAAGAACATGTGGCATTTCCCTTATACAAATAATAATGTTGAATTTTGGAGAGGAAACTAATGACATTATATATTTATGGCTAAAACTTCAAGCCACTGTAAACATTTCTATAAAATTAATTTCAGCTAAAAGATTCTGTAACCTGGATATACATTAGTTTTGTATTGGTCACTTGTTGAACTAAAAGAAATACTTAAGCAGAAGGTATCTGTAGAGAAAGAGTATTAATAGCCACTGCAGCAAGCATAAATAAGAATGTCTTGCTGAGTGTGTGTGAAAAATAAAGACATTATTTATACTCAATGGCAGATCCAGAATGGTTTTTGGCAAGAAAAGTCAAAAAGATGTAATGTATAGGCTTCTTTGAGAATTTAAGTACAGTTCTAAGGAACTAGTCGAAAATGAACTAGTTGGCAAAGAAAAAAAAAAGATAGAATAAAAGTAGAAAAATTCTAATTCCTCCTAACAAGAACAGCTATCCATGCAAAATTATGCCTAAGCAGTCTAGTATTTTCAATAACATTAATTTGGGTTCATTTTAATGAACTGTCTAGTTTCCATTAAACTTTTATTAAATCTTGTCCCACCAATATAATAGACTAAAATTATTAAATCTCTCTGAACCATATATAATTATTCTGAGATATTTACCCATGCAATAATATATCAAGACAAAAGGGCATTTTTATTCAACCTTTCAGAAGGAAAACTTTTGTGAAGGAGTAAACTTCTACATAACATGTAAATAGAACGTCTTCTTATAATGCTAAAATAAAAGCATTATCCAATGTTGGTGGGAAGATGGTCATTGCAATTAACCACAACATATAGTTCTGACCTTCCTGGCAGCCAAAGGAATATAGAGACTATGTAATTTTGAGGTTATGTCGCTTTCATATCATATTACAAAAGGCACATGAACTCATGCAGAGAGTGTGGATCTTCATAAAGAAAAAAACAGCATTATAATAATCAACATTTTCTAAATGTCTTACACAAATTAAGTGCTCAATGAATTTATATTAATAAAACAAATACTTTTGTTGTTTATTAAAAATTAATGAAATGAATTTGGTATGAGCTTTTCAAATATTTATCTCAGAAAAAATAAATATTGTGCTATTAAATCATATTTCTGTTTAACCAAGGTTCATATTTGAGGGAGAGCATAGATCCTTTTGGTAGTTGGGTAAAGACTAGAGACTTTTCTCAGAATAAAGGTTACAAATGTGTACTATAAAAATATAACATTGCAAAGAAAACTGTATCACATCATCACAAAGTTTTAAAAATAGTTTTTGAAATTCTATTAAGATAATAAAAGTGTTAAGGAAAGTGGCTAATCTTTAAAGATGGCCCTCAATGAATCAGACTTTCCAGTATTCGTGCCCTTTATTAGACTCCTCCCATCTTGATTCTTAGCTGGAGGAAATGATAAGGCTATGTCATAAGAAGTTTTGCAGCTTCTGCCTTGGCCTCATGGACCAACGGACCTCTTGGAACATTCCTTATAGGAACTCAGGCACAACAGGACAGAGAGATACTGAGTAGGTGCTCTGGTTTTCAGCACAAACTAAGCTACTAGTAGCCTTTTGCCAACATCAACTGCCAGTCAAATTAGTGAGCCACTTTGAACACCTAGTCCAGCTGAGCTTTACCTACTACAGTTCCAGTGGATTCTGACTGGCACCTCATGAGAGAGACCTCAGGGCCACTCAGTTAAGTCCAGTCCAACCAATGAAATACAAGAAATTATAAATTGCTTTAAGCTACTAAATTCTTGTGTGGTTTCCTAGCCATAAATTACTGGAAAAATGTGTTTCTCTACTATTGCATTAAGTAACAAGACAAGAGAGAGTCTAATAACTAGTGATTTCAAATTAGTGAGGAGCATAAAGTATGCTCAAGATTTCTGTTACATTCATAATGTTCTTTGGAAATATGTGAGATTTCTATGGATTCTACTAAAGTCACAGATCCTGCCATACAATACTGTGGTTTATTAGTCACATACATAATTAAGGAGTTGCTAATTTTTTTTTTTTTTTTTTAAGATGGAGTCTCGCGCTGTTGCCCAGGCTGGAGTGCAGTGGTGCGATCTCGGCTCACTGCAAGCTCCGCCTCCCAGGTTCACGCCATTCTCCTGCCTCAGCCTCCCGAGTAGCTGGGACTACAGGCGCCCGCCACCGTGCCCGGCTAATTTTTTGTATTTTTAGTAAAGACAGGTTTTCATCGTGTTAGCCACGATGGTCTCGATCTCCTGACCTCGTGATCCACCCGCCTTGGCCTCCCAAAGTGCTGGGATTACAGGCTTGAGCCACCACACCCGGCCAAGGAGTTGCTAAATTTAATGAGAACTTGTGAAAATAAAGTGCACCTTCTGTTCCCCCTTATCCAAATTCATGCATTCTCCTGAATTCTAAACAGTGATTGTGGATGCCAAGTGAAGAACCCCTGTGCCAAATCATTGCTGTGCCATGTGATAATTATGGAGATAATTACTCTCCTCTATTGCATAAACATTTCTTTTTAAATAGAGAAACAATTACAGTAGGACATTTGATATAAACTTTGATGGAAACTATGAGACTATTGTTTATATCATAAAAAAACTAAAAAAAAGTACCAAAACAGTCTCTTATGATGAGTCCTTATAAAACTCATGAATCTTTAATCAAGTCAGTGATTCAAATATTGGTTTTACAAATAGGAGGAAACTGTCAAACTTTCTGGACGGACACATTATTGTCACCAAACTTAGTAACAAAAATCCGTATGGTTAGCATATGTCTATGCTTAATTTTCTAGGCCCACTTTCAAATTTTACTAAAACAGACCTTTGAAAATATCAAATGATAGTGTCATCATCACTATCCCTGACATGTTGAACTTTTCTGCCCCTACAAAAGTGAAATGCAGGATGAGAAGTAGGGTTCACCATTACTGTTGACCCTAATTAGTGGTGTCGAGTTAGAACACAATGCTAAAGATTTGAAGACTAGATCAGAGTCCTGAGGAAGACTAACATGATGAATCATTAATATTTTCCATGTATATCCAAAGTGTGAAGTGTAGAACTTTCATTGAATTCCCATTGTTTAAAAATATAAAAGTAAAGCCCCCCATTGTCCAAAAAAGTTTATCAAGGTTAAACTAGTTTAAGATCACATTGAAAACAGACTGTGCCAGTTAACGAGAATGATTCTAATGCTCTTTCTGTAGCTTTTTAATTAAAACATTTAGAAACTCATAATATTTGCAAAACATTATTTTTCAAGATCAGGTGACATCACTGGGCAAGTCAGGAAGATGTTTTTATTGTTTTTCATTGGGAAAAGGTACTACAGGAAACAGACTTTAAAAGTAATATTACTAAGTATTTTAAGGAAACTAAATAATATTTTACTTTGGAAAACTAATTTAAATGTTAAAAGTTAAAATCAAAGATGTGATACATCTAATGGTATGTACTGGTAGCTCAAGTATGTACGGGAAAACTGCACTATCAATTGACCTCTCATACATCTTTAGAAATCTAAGCTTGCAATTAAGTAATTCAATTCACTGCATCCTAATTTCCAGCTATCATTTTATTGTGTTCCATTTTCACTTGACACAATATAGAGCTAAAAGCAATGATGCCTTGTACCCAAAAAAAGTTTACTAAATACATTTTGATAGTGATTTCCTCCTGAGGTCCACAGCCATTCATGAAGACCTCACAGTTCCATCGCCAACTGTTGCTTTTATCTAGCATTTTGTTAACCCCGAGTAGCTGGTCATTCCAGTTAATTATCTCCCTCTTCATAAAAAGCTCCTGTTGCACAGGGAAGCCATCTTCACTCAGTCAAAGATAATCTATAACTTTCAGAAATGCTGATAACAAATTCAAATTGAAGTCACTTAATCAGCAGTTGGTTTTGTTTTTCTTATTAAATATGTGCAGCCTCCTATTCTTTACACTTATTTAAAATTTGTATCTCCACTGTCATTGTCACAGAAGTGTTTTGATGGCTTATATATACTAGTTACTGCAGTAGCTGGAAAAAACAGCATCTATATATGTGTAATAATAGGGAGCACATTCCAAGATCCAGATCACCATGGATGCCAGGCAGAGAGGTCACATATGCCCAGTCTGGAGAATAGGTACCAGTGACTTTACGTATAATCCTCACAGGTACTGCTCAACAGTATTGCATTTGACATACAGTTAATATATTGAAAAAGATAGTGATTTGTTGACCAATATGCTAAATAGATAATGTTTAAATAATTTTAACCATGAACCATGGCTATTTTTGGTTAAATATAATTAGTATTATAAATTTTTCTGTCTATAAGAAAGCACAGTCTACACCAATACCAATTGCCCTCCTCCCTGCCACCATTCCCGTGACAATGTTGGATCGTACAAGGATTGAACAGATGGAATGTGTTATGGGAATGCCCTTACTTATGACCTGAAGGCATCCTTCTTTCCCTTGGGATCAAAGGTGATCTTATTTTCCATGCTAACTCTTTGTCCTGAGGCAGAGTCTATCAACTCTCTGACATTTCTGCTGAAATATATGATGGTTTTGAAATGTGAGTTGATGTTCCCTCCAGACTATATTTTAATCAGATTCATTTTAATAATAAAAAGAACCTTGAATTAACAAAATGACAATATTTTATAGGCAATTTGAAGATGATTAGATGCACTTCATAATACTCCCAAAATCCTCAAGATAAATGTATAGGTGAATAAAATTATCCCCTACTCCCTAAAATCATGTTTTCCCAACTTAAGAAGATTGGACATATTATGCTTGATATGATTTAACTCTTTATGGATTTTACACTAAGATAATACACTAGTCAAATTGGAATTCATTGTTTTAGATATTTTAATGCTTTGATATCTATGGTCAAAGTAATATTAAGAGTCATATGAATAAAAATTATTTCAATTTAATCACACAGTAAGAAGTAGAAGAAAATAGTTCTCAGTAATATGAAACTTAATTAAACTTAAAAAGTAATTTTAAGATTTGTTTCTATAAGGTTTATTTATTTTCAGTAACAAATATTATCTTTAATATTATAAACCATGTTAAGGATTAAATTATTATATGAGAAATATGACTTGAGTTACTCCAACACTGACAGAAGTACAGAAATAAAGCAGTTGACTGCCTTTCATAGATTAGAAATAAATAAGTGTTTTTATAAGACCACTTTGGTGATATCTGTATTATTCTAGTGAATTGTACTAATAAAGGATTTTGGCTTAAACTATAACTGTCTTAAATCTGTGTTCATCTTTTACAGTCTTCGTTGTTCACTTGTTCTGTTTAGCATGTCACTAACATTTGACGCTGTGTCTAAGGCTTAATTCTAGACTCCTATGCCTGTTATAGTAGTGTTTTGTTTGCTCTTTTATTTCACCTCCTTGACTCCCATTTAGGGTAAAGAACAACATTGGAATTATTTTCAATTCCTTTACATTTTTTATTTTAAGATGGTTAATGGGCTAAAACATAGTCAATTAAGAAACTCGAAACTCACTTTAAGCATATTGATTAGGTCTTCGTGTTTCTAAGCTATTACGTTTCTCAATACCACTGATATTCGCTGCCCCCTGGTGTTCCCAGCCTTGCATACTTCTCTCTTCTTGAGTAACTTGCTTCTAATCAACAGAATACGGCAACGTTGAAGGGGATGGCCTGTCCATGCCGAGGTTACGAAACATGGAGACTTATGTCTTGTTAACAGACTCCCTTTATTATCTTCTTAGCTTTTACATGTGATAAGATGCCACGCTAGAGAGGACAACAAGGCAAGGAACTTAGTGCCACCTCTGGCCAACAGCTGGCAAGAAACTGAGTCCCTCAGTCTAGTATACTTGCCAAAAACTATGTGTTAGCTTAAAAGTTGAGGCTTTAGATACGACCTTGATTGCAGCCCTGTGAGTGAACAAGAAACAGTGTCCCAGCAAATCATGCCTGAATTCCTGACTCACAGAAAGTGTGAGATAAATCAATGTGTTTTAAGCCACAAAGTTTTGGGGTAATTTGTTACCTATCAATACATAATACACTTTTTAGACTGTATTTACTTGATCAATTTCTGCTACTTTTGAAAAATATGGAGTATTCCTACAGTCCTGCACTGAAGTGATGGAACCCTATCAGTGTCCTTCCTTACCCTTCTTCTTTGATATCCTAGACTCCAATTCTGCTTTAGTTATTACTACCTTGTAAGCTATAGAAAGATGATTCTCTTTCCAGTACCTTGGGTTTGTATCATTCTTAGGCTAAAACACTCATTGTTGACTGTTTTTCCTTGCCAGTGATAAGGCATTGGTGTTTGGCCCAGACTTTGCCAATGATACCTGGATGCCAGTCTACTACTGGAGGGCTTATATTCTGGTTTCCCAATGCTATGTAAAAGATGCCTTATGAGAAACATCTCTCTTCTTCTTTTTTTTTTTTTTTTTTTTTGAGACGGAGTCTCGCTCTGTCGCCCAGGCTGGAGTGCAGTGGCGCGATCTCGGCTCACTGCAAGCTCCGCCTCCCGGGTTCACGCCATTCTCCTGCCTCAGCCTCCCGAGTAGCTGGGACTACAGGCGCCCGCCACCACGCCCGGCTAATTTTTTGTATTTTTAGTAGAGACGAGGTTTCACCGTGTTAGCCAGGATGGTCTCGATCTCCTGACCTCGTGATCCGCCCGCCTCGGCCTCCCAAAGTGCTGGGATTACAGGCGTGAGCCACCGCGCCCGGCCCTCTCTTCTTACTTATATCTGCAGGAGATGCAGCCAACATGCAATGAAGACAATGATTTTCATTTTAAGAGTGGCAGAGAAAGATGAATGCAATACCAATCCTGTAATGTTATAATGCCCCTAAATTAATCACCCCCAAATCACCTCTTCTCCAGTTTCTTCTTTTATGTGGTAGAATACACGTCTCACAGTTAAGAAAATTTTGTATGTCTTCTGTAATCTGCAGCTAAAAGCATCTTTACTGATAAGCTTGCTAAAATATATGACTTTTAACTGATACTGAATATATGCAGTGCTTCTGTTCCTATACCAGGACAGGTTAAGGGTCTCTTTTGCCACGTTAGTCATTAAATATAATAAAGCTTACATACAGACACTTAAAAAAAAAAACTTTTCTTAAAAAAAAAAGTATATCTGGCACTTGTTTGATCTTAACCCTAAGTTGTAGCTCTGGAACTTTAAGAGAATCTCAAGAAGTCAAATCATGGAGGAAGACTAAATTCAAACAAGAGTCTGGCAGCCATTCTCGGCTGGGTTCCTCGTCAGAATTTAAGGACACAAAATGTAATGTGAATGACGATTTTCTTACCTCTGTCAAGGATGATCCATAACTATTGCACTGTTGTCATTCTAGTTGCATAGGAAAGAAGTTAGTTCACTATAGACAAAGAATGCCTTAGGGCATTGGGGCATAATCCTCTCCCAGGACACCAGTTGTGAAAGGATGTTCTGGCTGTTAATCCCCTGGTTCATCTACAGTCCCTCAAGCCCTCCTCCAACCCCATCTATCTAACACCAACAAAACCTGTAACAGCAGAACCTTCCTGAACCCTTGGATCTCCAGATTACACTTTATATACAATACTTTTGGAATTGTTTTTGTAACGACATCATATAGAGATTCAAATCTATATTATAATGTCTGACATATATTTAAATAAATGCTTGATGTTGAAAAATAATCATGGGGCAGCTTGTATGATCATTATGACTATGCCATAATCAAGTCCATACTTCTGATAAACAGGAAATATTAAAATTGATTTTATTGTGTACTTATTCCATATTTTCTTGTTCTCATGTGTTTTAGTTTTGAGATTATTGGCATTATCTCTAAAAAAAATTACCTTTTACAATATTCCATTTGTTTCGCCAACAGCAAGGCTTTGCTGGTGCTTTTAGTTAAGCCAAATACATTTGTACCTATATTTCTCATGAGGCGAAAAAATACATTTTTCAATCGACATCTAGTCCTTTGAAAATAGGGTATATAAAGAGAGTAAAATCCAAACAGAGGATGTCTGAAATTAAAACTTCAGTACTCCTGTTTATATGTGAGGGGAATGGGGGACTACTAGGGGCATTTCAAATGCAAATTCAAAGAGCACTTTGTGACACAGTGTAAGCACCATCTCATAGTCTTAGGTTTGACTAATTGAATTGCTATTGATAAGATGTCACTTAAAGAGACATCTCTGCAGTGAAACATGAGTTTGCTGTAAATGACCTGTCATTAATGTCATGGGTAACATCCGTGTCTAGACTGAATTAAAATGTATCTACTAGCAATATGCTCAGGAGGAGCTAAACCAGCAAGGATGGGAAGAACTCAGTGTCCAAGGCCCACTAGAGAATTATGCCTCAGGTGCTATGTTAATTTACTTGCTGGCAAACATTAATTGAAGTCAATAAACAAACCAGGTGAAAAAGCTAGGGATTGCTGCTACATTAATTGCCAACTAGAGTCAGACATATTTTTACTTTAAAAATATGTGAAATATTTTGAATTCTTAAGTTACATTAATGTAGCTAATATGATTAATTTTGTAGAATTTTCAAAAAAAAGGTGACAATAGAGGTGATAATATTGACACTGCAATTCATAAACAAGGTTTTAATTTAAAAATAAACTTTTAAAATAATGTTTTGGCCAAATTTAGTCTGGAATCATTTAAATGAATAAAATTTAAATTCAAGGGAGATATAAATATTTTTCATAAAGACCACATATTTATTAAATACCCACTTTGTGAATTGAAACCATGAGTGTTTCTATGTCTGTGTTGGATTTTGGCATCTCTGCTATTTTAAAGAAATATCTATTAACTACACAAACAGGTAAAAAGATTTTCTGCAACCTGCCATAGTAGCAATCTATGGAAACATTTTTCATTTTAAAAAATCATGTATTTTAATTCTTCATATCCTGCCTGCACCCTTTTAAAATCTCAGTGCAGTTATAAAATATTGGCCATGATTCTACCTGTGAACATGACTCAAATGCAATACACAGTCCCTCTTACAAAGAGGACAAACATTTTTCAAAACACATTTTAGAGACAACACATAGTACCTATACAATTTAGTAGCATTGTATGTTTTTATGTAAACCAAAGGTCCCATGTATAGCAACCTGCTTTTTATTTTAAACATATTTTTAAAATTCAGGGTCATTTCTAGATTAATGTTCTTTAAGACTTTTCAGTGGCTTCAAAATTAGAAAAAATAATCACGCCCCAAGTGCTTATCTTGTTATGTCAGAAGGCACACGACTGCGTGTGTGTATTTGTGTGTGTAAATATATGTATTTATTTGTATATTTAGATATATCCCCCCCCCCACAGGAAATTTTTTTTAGTTAACTCATAACTAAAGACTGTACTTTTTTTATTTACTGTTCCTAGTACTCCACTCTCTATGAAGTTGATATAAATGAGCAGAAATTCCTTTAATCTTGAAAGGTATCTCACCTTTTGGTAGATATGGAGAGCTGAAAAAATCTCAGATTTCCTCAGAATTTCAGCAGCAAATACAATATGCCAATGGGTTGTCACTTGATAAAGAAAACATGTATGTGCAATGTCACAGTCTAAAAAGTTCTACATTAATTTCATCCCCTCTCATATTTCATCGATAACTCTTTGTTTTGTTATACCGTTTCTGACCTTCAATGTTAACCTTGACTGACAATAAGTAGAAGTGTAAAAGGTGAAATATTTGTAAACCAACTACAACAAACTATAATTTAAAAATAAATCACATTTTAATACTAGTATTTATAATTACACATATCAAAGATATATACCTTTTAAACATGACTACAATTTTTTTGGTGTAAAAACTATGTACACAAAATTTCCATGTATTTGATGTAATCATTTCTCTGGTTAATTTTCAATAGCATAAGCCAGAAAAAGACTTAATTTCAGTCCCTTCAAATTGTTCCCAGTTAAAAATCATGATTTTACTCATTTTGTTAAAATTTCTTTATTAAGCCATTTAATGAAAACCTTCATATAGCAAGTTCTCTTCCAAGAAAGCACTATAGTTTGGCATGATTACCTTTTTTAATGATTGAAACTCTTCATAGACTATATAAAGAATAACATGAAATAAAGTGCTAGCTATTTTAGGAAATTTTTTTAAATTGGGTAAAATTCTAAAGTACATAAGAAATATATAATCAAATGTTGACCATATGGAAATGTTTTACATATTAGATATATTTTCAATTTTTATTACATTGTTTCCGTAGCACATTTTATTTGAGAATTGTTGAAATTTAATTCTTAATGAATAGCCATGTAATGTTCCTTGGTTTGAATATTTGTATTATGTTCATTTCATTTTCAATGTAAGGTTCTTTTTTCCCAATCCCTTAGGAAATTTTAGCCTTTTGCTTTTTCTTTACAACTAACTTTGAACAGAGGGTCAGATTGCCAGCTAGATCCACTGTGTAATTCTCACAGCACGACTTGGCCTAGCTCCAGGGAATGAAGTCGGCCTCTGGCTGAGGGAAAGTTAGAGGTTATGACTAAAAGGCTTACTTCAAAGCCCACACTCTGACATGCACAGAAATTCATATAAAGCTAATTAAAATTTCCATATGAAGTAAAAGGAAAACTGAATCATAATTAAGACTAGTTAGTACATATCTATTTAAAAACAATCTCACTTAGAAAAAAAAGTGCTGTGTTTGTTTATTATTGACTGTTTCCAATCCTTGGAAAAGCAATATTTCAGTAAAATTAGAGCAAATTTAAGAGGGTACTTTGTGGTTATATCCATCCAATTGCTGTATTTTTCTCATTTCTGACTGCCTAAAGCTTATACACATAATTTGCTCTTCATTTTGCTTTGCATCATTGTTGAAACTATGTCAAGTTTTATTATATGAGGGAAGGAGATTGGAAAGAAAAAACCTATACACACAAACTGTTTGCCACTAGAAAAGAAAGGCTGGCATTTGGCTGTCTGCTAACTAATTAAATGTCACTGAGTCCAGAGGCTAAATACGCATCAGTTGATGATTTGGTAGATTTTACTGCTGCATATGTAGATTTAATTATAGAGTGATTGAAATTAATAAAGTGGCAGTACCTCCCAGAAACATATTTTATGGCCCATCCCATGATTTCTCTGTGAAAGATCTTGCCAACCATTGTCCTTTACATAATGTTTTACTTTGCTAAATTCATTAGAGAGATAATTATATTGCAAATTAACAAGCATTCACCTGTGTATTATCCCCATTGATGATTCTCCATTTGATGCAAAGTTAACATTTTGTTTCTTCATCTACTAGGTGCTAAGGATCTTTCCCTAACAATCATGGTTTAGAGAAATCTTCCCTACATTATCCTATACACTGTAACCCAGGAAATGCTATACTTTTTCCTCTAGGATATATACAAACACAGGTGTTTTCTCATAATCATAGTCCCTAAATGAAGGGAGGGGAGATATGATTTCCTAATTATGTTGCTTTTTAAATATTAAGAGTGATAAGAATCAAATATTGAGGACACTCTATTTGGCCAAAATCACATATATCTGATTCCTATGTAATTATATAGTCACTCACTGAATATTCATTCTAATGCAACAAAGTGATATATATGATCAAAATTAATGTTTACTCATAAACACATATTTTAATTTGGTATTCATTTCATTCATTTTGTAATATCTACAAAGCAAGTTTCATCCCCTCTCCACTTGGGGGCCAATAAAAAAAATTTAACCCAAAATGAATGGATTGGTGTACCAACAGCTAATAGGTAAGTATATTTCATTTGAGAATGCTTTCTTTTCATTTCATTTCATTTCATTAGACTTAATATAAAAACATCAGATCTCTAACATCTGGCAGAAACATGTACCAAAAGTTCTGTTCTTTGAAGGAATGGCAGTTGAAACAGTAATTTGTAATCACTGTGAAAATGTCTGTTTCCTGTATTTCCTTTTTTTTTTTTTTTTTTTTTTTTTTTGAGATGGAGTCTTGCTCTGTTGCCCAGGCTGGAGTGCAGTAGCGCAGTCTTGGCTCACTGCAAGCTCCACCTCCTGGGTTCACGCCATTCTCCTGCCTCAGCCTTCCAAGTAGCTGGGACTACAGGTGCCCGCCACCACGCCCAGCTAATTTTTTGTATTTTTAGTAGAGACGGGGTTTCACTGTGTTAGCCAGGATGGTCTCGATCTCCTGACCTCGTGATCCGTGTTTCCTATATTTCAAAGTTGAGCCATTTCCTTTTCTACATTTTAGTCAGCAAACTTGCTAGAAGGGTGATTTTAAAATAACGGTGATAGTCCTTTTCATATAATTGCCCCACTTTAATATATCTCTGTCTCTTGTGGAATGAAATTGTGACATCAGTTATTAATGAAAGAAAGTAATATTTTTAAAAAGTGTGTGTGTGAAGGCAGAATGAGTGCCTATGATTTTTTCTAAATGAGATGCTTAGAAAGACACAAGACAATTAATTGTATGGTATTTTAATGGGATGTCCCTGTTTTGCAACAAAAGGTCTGCATCAGAATCATCTGTAAAGCATGTAAAGTATGTCCCTGAGCTCCTTGGATCTATGTATGGACTCAAATTCTCCAAGGCTTGGATGGGGCCTGGGTATTTAAATTTTAAAAAGCCTAACTAGGTGATTTGGTGCTGACCCCTGGTTAGGAGCCACTGGATTAAAGTAAGGCAGAGATGAAGCAATAAAATTACCCAATGCTGTCTATCCCAAAACATCCTAGATGCTGTAAGGAGTCTGTAATTCCTGCCATATTCAAAAAACAAAACAAAAAACAATAAAAAGCATTACATATTGAGTAGGCACAAATATTAGCCCACCCTATACTTCAGGATAGATTGATGGTATGCAAATATTCTAAATTATGACATGAGAATATAATACAGATGAAGCCCCTAGCATACCCAAATGTTATAGGAATTCTAACCTCTGCCTAAACGATTTTCAAAATGTGTTTTGTAATAAAATTCAACTTGAGAATATACAAATCATACCTGTTCAGCTGTTTGGGAAGTAAGTTTGTAGGTGAAATAAGTTTTTTTTATCATAGGAAATTTCTAGGAGGTGGGGGAGAACAGAAACTGAAACAAATGTCATCATGCATCACTTGATTGTGGGGATTCTGTCTGAGAATTGAGTTATTATGTGATTTCTTAGTTATGTGAACAACATTGCATGAATTTCCACAAACCTAGAGTGTGGTCTATAAAACATATAGATGAGGTATGTATTAGTCTACACCCTCTAGGTTTGTGTATACAAACCCATCCAGTATGTTACTATATTAAATATTATAAATAATTATAATGCATTCATAAATATTTGTGTATGTAAACATACCTAAACATAAAAATATACAGTAAAAATATAGTGGTATAATCTTATGGGGCTACTATCATATATGAAGTCAAGTGTTGATAAAAATATCGTTACACATGACAATATTTAAAATTTGAGACTAGATCAGTCATTACAATATAGACATCATATATATCACATATAAAATTTACACAATTTAAAAAAGATATTAATATACTTTGTTTAAAATTATTTTCTTAAATTGTTATTTTATGATAAGGAAATAGAATAGCTGTTCCTCAGTCAGCCACATCAAACAGGAAAGGATTTTGAATAAAATTTCTTCCATGACTATATATACCAAATCTTGCTGTCTGTTCCCATTCTCAGCCAAAAGTGTTTAAAAAAAGTTCTAGTCTATGGTTTATGAGTCTCAAATTTGAGTCCATTTCCATTTTCTGTGCTCCCTTGCCGCTCTATGAAAATCTCCAACTATGAGAAAAAACTTCCTTTACTCAAAATTCACCGGGCACTTTTGGCACCCTGTCTTATTTCAGTTTTAAGAAACAGTTGACAAACTCTTTTTCTTTGACTTTCTTGACACTATGTTTTCCTCTTGCTTTTTTCTACTTTCAGATGCCAATCATCACTTACAAGATGATGTTCCTAATGACCTTATCCTGGGCGTTTTTTATACTTTATTTTAGTTTAAGTGACCCTCTTTGATTAGCTTACATTTTCATGTTTTAAAGTGCAATATGTATGCTGAAGACTCCCAATCCCTTTCTCTTTTCCATATCTCAATCATGAGTTTTAGACCTGTAACTATCCATTAAACGACATTATTTCCGAAACCCAAATTATCATCTATACCGCCATAGCAGTCCCCAAAATAACTAACCAAAGATTTCCTATTCTATGAATTGAATCTTCCATCAAATTACTTGCTTCAGATACCCGAGTGTCATTCTCAAGTCTTTTCCATCTCCAATCGATAAATCCGCAAGGGCTACACTTTTTACCTCCTAAAACTTTGAAACCATTTCACCATCACTCATTTTTTCATCTAGATTGGACTCCCATTACCTCTGCACAGATAACAAGTGCCCAATTATCTTCTTATCTTCTATATTTCCCATTAACCATACAGTTAGAAAAACTTTCTCATATGCAAATATAATCTTATTTCCATTGTTAGTGAGATATTGTTGTAGGATGACAAAATTAGATATTGTTGTTAGGATATAGGATGACAACATTTTTTCCCTTGTGAGAAAAATTCAAATACTGAGTAACCTGGAAGAAAGCTCCACAAACTCACCTCTTCTCAGTCGAATCTTTCACTATACTTATCTCTCCTTTTTACCCCTCCCAGACCCCACTCACCCATGTAAGCCATCAGTGCTAAAGATGGGCTGAATTGGATTTAAATCTTTAAGTGGACCTTAGTCTTTCTCACCTCCAGACTATTTCCTTTCTTATTCCTCTGGCTCCCACCATCCTCTTCACTTCAGGTGTAGGTCTGGATGTCAGTTTTTCCAAACATTCTCCTTGACTAATCACAATCATGGTATAGGAGTATTTTTGCTGTACTATCATATTCTCTGTACTTACTCTATCATTATTTATCACACTGCTTTGGGTTGTCTGTTATCTTCCTGTATTTCCCACTATTGTGTACTTTTTTTGAAAGTAGAATAAATGGCTATGTTGTTCTCACATATGCCAAATTCTTAGACATTTTCCCCCTTACATAACACTGGTCTGGCTTATTACCTTATGATAAGACTCACTATCATCACCATCATACAATCCTCCCATCTTTTTTTTTTTTTTTTGACAAAGTTCACTCTCTCGCCCAGGCTGGATTGCAATGGTGCGATCTGGTCTCACTGCAACCTCCGCCTCCCGGGTTCAAGCAATTCTCCTGCCTCAGCCTTCTGAGTAGCTGGGATTACAGGTGTGCACTACCATGCCTGGCTAATTTTTGTATTTTTAATAGTGACGGGGTTTCACCATGTTGGTCAGGCTGGTCTCAAACTCCTGACCTCATGGATCCTCTCACCTCGGCCTCCCAAAGTGCTGGGATTACAGGCATGAGCCACCATGCCCGGCACCCATTTCTATTTTAACTGTTTTCTTTTGGCTCCTTCATAGTTTGTAAATATGCATGAGTCTCTCACATCTAAAAAACATACAAAGCAAAACAAACAAAAAACATCACCCAATGCCTGCTCTGTACCACCAACCAGCCTCATGAAAATTCAATTATACTATCTGTACTTTATTTGTGTTGTATTTAATTTTTTTCTGACTATAATTTCACTTCCATCTCCATTCCAACACTAAAACTGTTTTGCAAAAAATTGCCTTTGGCAAATGCAGTAAGCATTTATATTCACTGTTCTTGTGTTATTTCCTAAAACTCTTTCTTCATACTGAGAAGCTTCACTGGACTCCTGCATTCCTACTTGTGATTGAGAATAGAGCTTAGTAAAACAAAACACAGCAAACACACACAAAACTTCTTGCTCTAAATTTCAAATTGCGGAGTGCGTACAAGTCACCTAGGGATTTTGTGGAAATACAGCCACTACTTCCATAGGTCTGAGTGGGAGCGTCAAACTCCGTTTTTCTAAAAACCTCTCATGGGCACCAATGCTGCCAGTCTGTGGACCACACTAAGAGTAACGACCCTCTCAATCACAATGGAATAAAAAGGGAGTTTTAAAAATAGCTAACCCTGGGCATTTTTGGAGATTGTTTTAATTTGTCTGGATGCTACCTGGTTATTGAAATTGTTAAAGTTCCCTTGGTGATTCTAACACGTAGCAAAGTTTGAGAGCCAGTGCTCTGAATCGTAACAACCCCTTCTTGCATTAAAATCCATTTTCTAATGATACAGAATGGAATATGTGAATTACATGTGTGAATGAATGACCACTTAGACATTACCTCTGAAAAAGCATAGGCGGATGGATCCATACCTTCTGCATCATCTGGAAGAAACTGCATTTTTAACAAGCTATTTGGGTGGTTTGTGTGCACACTAACTTTGAGGAGTAATGCTTTAAGGCAACTTATTACTTCAAATAGGTCTCTAATATCTCAAGAATTATCAAGCTAGAGGGCAATGACTTCAGTAGCACAATAAGGAATTCTTTTACGAATTTCATCTAGAGTGTGTCTGGTATATCTATGCATATGATTCATTTTCCATGTTACAATGCAAGCTGACTCTTATTGAAATAGATGGCTGGGAGGCAGCATGATGGAGTGAAAATAGCATGCACGTTCAAATCTGAAAGATATGGGTTCAAATTCTTACTCTTCTCTGTTATTTGGAGAAAGTCATCCACCTCCTGTATAGTACTTTTCTTGGCTTTAAAATGAATAGATGTCTTGAGGATATTACTGTTCTCAATTAAATCAAAATTTTTGCAAAAAGGTCTGACACTGGCCGGGCGCGGTGGCTCACGCCTGTAATCCCAGCACTTTGGGAGGCCGAGGCGGGTGGATCATGAGGTCAGGAGATCGAGACCATCCTGGCTAACAGGGTGAAACCCCGTCTCTACTAAAAATCCAGAAAAATTAGCCAGGCGTGGTGGCAGATGCCTGTAGTCCCAGCTACTCGGGAGGCTGAGGCAGGAGAATTGATTGAACCTGGGAGGCGGAGCTTGCAGTGAGCAGAGATCGCGCCACTGCACTCCAGCCTGGGCGACAGAGAGAGACTCCGTCTCAAAAAAAAAAAAAAAACAAAAAAAAAACAAAAAATGCCTGACACTGCCTCATAGATTCATTCAGGTATCTTGTATCCAACAATTATTTATTGAGCACATAACTATAAACAATAAGAAGTTAAAAAAGAAAAATAAGATTTTGTTTTTTGTAAAGCTCCATTCTACAGTGCGTGTGTAAAAAAAATTAAGTAAATGAGGCAGAGAAGGCTTAGAAGAGTGAGGAACTCCTTTACAAAAGGAAATCAATGACATCCTCTCTGAGATCTGAATGATAAGAAAAACCATCCCTTGAAAATCTGGAGAGAAGCATTTCAGGTAGATAACAGAGTAACTGCAAAGACTGAAGGTGTAACGGAGCTTGATGCATCCAAAGGATAGAGAGCAGGCTACTGAGGCTGAAACTAATGAGAGGAGAACATGAACAAATGAAGGTTGAAGGTTTAGGGAAGGGCCAAATAATTTGAAGTCTCAGGGGCAATGGTAAGAAGTTTGCATCTTAATTGCAAAGGTTAGGCACAGGAATTTCCAATTAAGATATAATCTAGTTTTTATTATTAAGATATTGTTCTGGCTTCTATGAGGAGAATTGACTATGGTGGGGAGGAACTAACTGGTAAGTAACAAGGCCAATTATGAGGTTATTATACCAATACAAGGGAGATGTAATAATAGCTTAGACAAACAAAGAAATCATAACTTTCAACATTTATCTTACATTCTGTGTTCTGTGGGTGTACCTCCTCAAAGTTTTAAATGCCTCACAATTCAGTGGACAATGTTAATCATATTGCATGTCAGGCTACTCCTGAGATCATCCAAGTTGATGTTCCATGATCTACTTATGATAAACTATCAAAAAGACAGACTTGAATACATTCTTGCACTGGTAACTGTCAGGGGATTTAAAGTGGAGCTCCGAAGTTTTCCCTAAATACATAGTTAAGTCTTTGTGACCCAGCAGGCATTGACTTAATGAAAATGTCCCTGAATCATTTATTAATTTTACTCCCTAGTAATTTGGAGAGTTGTATAAGCAACATAAATTCAGTGTAATTTAACTGTAGCTTGAATATATTTCAATAGACTTCTTTGCTTCCAGTCTCTCAAACACATTTCAGTTTTTGTACTGGATGTATTGCTCAGTAATTCAAAACCACTTATTAATGGCTCTTACAGTACATCCAGGTACCAAACTAAACATTAGGCAAAATTCAGTGACCAAGATAACACTGTCATTATCTTCATAGAGCTCACTCTCTGCTGGGAGAATACAACCCAAAATATAGACAATCCAAGAGAGTGCAATATGAGGCACTTAGGGTACTTTGAAAGCATATGTGAGATAGAGAAGTTCAGACAAGCTTCCTATAGAAAGAATGATTTTAACTATGAATTACATAATAAGCAGGACAAAGAAAGTGGAGGAGAAAGCAAATAATCAGAAGTGAAAGAGATTATGCCACCATCCATATTTCCCAAATATGCACGTTAGAATCCTCAATGTAATCAAATGCCTTATACTTAATCTAAGCCTACTGTGGTGAAGCAAGAAGACAAAAATTAATTTATTCATATGTTAATCAACTCAACAAATATATTCAGAACTTTCAACATTTTAGGCTGTAGTAATTGGAACACAGAAGTGAGCAAAAGAAAAGAATTTCTCTAAATCTTAACTTATATCAGAAGGCAGAGAGGCAAACAATGGACAAACAAGTCAGTCTTTTCCCAGCTCATTGTTTAAAGTCAATAATGTAAAAATATAACAGATGTTCTTTGTCCTATCAAAAAAAAAAATCCCACCTGTGTGACACCCTACAGTTTTTGAACAGGTCTGTCAGAAAGTAAGTGATTCATAAAAATCACCTGGCAGAGTTAAGCACAGGAAACTCATGACAAGGCTGTCAGTGCTTTCCAGCTCACCAAATGATGAATGCCATAAGGAATAAAGCTGCTTTAATTATTTCCCCCTGCAGTCTTTCTGCAATTCTAAGAATCTTCATCTTTCTTCTTTATTTACCTTGAGTTGCTTATTCCTTTCACCACCTATCTTCACATCTTATTCCCTCTAACTTCCATACTCCCGCTGGAAACCAGCCTGTTAGTCATCTACTTGGTTAGAGACTGACCTGGGATCCCTTTGAGGAGTGACAATGTACTTCTTCAAATAAGCCAGAGGGTACAGTTCATCCTGGGGAATGTGTAAAAGTTTCACAGAGCCAATTTTATTTTTTCAGAAGGCTTTCTAAAATAATTCAGTAAGTTTAACACCAAATAAAATAATGGGGTGGTTCTTCTTTCAATTCAGCAGTGTACTCTTTCACAGTCCCAGCATCTACAATAAACAATTTTCCCACCAAGTAGAGAAACAGTTTACTGAGATTTAAAGACAATGCAAAGTAAAAGACTCTCCCGAAAGGCATTAAAAATTAACTAGTGTCTTAAAATCCAGAAGAGAAATGCCAAAATAAAATCTGAATTTTTATCTAACACAATGTAAACTTGATATAAATCAATGTTGTGCATAAAATCTTTAACATTCCCTCCATCTTGGCCAGCAAGTCCAATTATCCTCCAACATTTTCTGATCAGTCATGCTGAGCTTATTCACCAGCCCTCCAGTTAGAAAATAATAAAAAGTCTGTAGGTGCATTGACACTCATAGAAAAAAGTTATTCGTGTGAGAACTGCAATCATTTTCTTTAGCGTTAAAAACAACGAAGAGTTCAGAGTCAGGAGGATATTTATTCACAAGAAGTTTCAATAATTTATATTATGCTGTTTTGAGTTAAAATGGGGAAAAGTATTCAAAGTAAATATGACTTGATATTTTTCCACCAAGTCTTATAAGAAAATACTAAGGCTACTGCATTGTGTATTTAATGTTATTTAGAATTTTTGTTCATATATTTCATTCACTTGTAAGCAATCCCCGGCAGACTGCATCCTGAGGAAATTGTTTCCCGTGCACGAGTTACTCCAGTCTAGTGAAAGAGACACTCCAAAAATAGATAGGGGCAGTCCAATGTGATACATATTATAGAATGATGTGCCAATTGCTACTGAAATACTGAGAAGAATATGATAAAATCTGTGCAGGTTTACTGAAGATGTCTGCAAATGAATAAGTAACACATAAATATGTTGGCTTAATGGCACAAAGTTGTTTCTGATTTCCTCATAATCACCCAGAGTTTAGGAAAAGAAATGAATGCATATAGGTTTATGTTTGTTAGCAGGATGTAATACTGTCTGGTTTATTGGATTGAGGCAAGAAAATGTAAGATTTTACAAAAAGGATATTGACCATTTCCCAAAGTTTTAAGTCATTAATCTTGACCTCTGCCACATGTATGAGATGAACAAGAGAAATTTAAGTCAAAAGCCTCTAAGACTGCCAGTTAGTCATGAATTCAAAGCTAGATGGGCTGACCAAAATGATATCTGGAAAATGTTTAAAGATTGATCATAGAGACAAAGGGATGAAATAAGTATAATTTTTAACATGATATTCCTGGAGCTAAACCTTTGTATACTCTCCATCTGCCAACTTTTCCTTATAAGTGGTCTGGGTTTGGTTTAACTCCTTAAGGGGAGTGCAAGTTTGGGGAACTCAAAGCAATTATAATCAAATCAATATATATAATACATGAATGATGTTCATATATTACATTACCACAAAACACAAAAGAACATGTTTCAATTAGCAAATGGAGGCTATTTCACATTTATTATTTTAGAAATATATGAAACAGAAGATTAAAAACAAAAATCCTAAGTCATAGAAGAGAAAGAAGCTAGGGAAAAGATTACTGTTTTGGAAGGTGTTCAAGAAATCTTTATGGTGTATCTACTAAGGACCAGCCACTCTTCAAAGCACTGGAGATACCTTGTGGTCCAGTGTTTAGTACTGGTCCAGTTTAGTACTCATAAATAATTTTCCTAGGATACACTGTTAAAGCAATGTAGCGATAATAAAATCAGAAATATTATCAGAGCAAATTGGTTTTACTAACTTGAAGTTTTCAGACTGCTCCTTGAGATTCAAATTATCTTCATGTATTAGAAATAAACTGATGCAGTTCAGAAAAACCACATCAACAACTCTAAGACATGTGTCATGTTGATAATCTCATATGATTTTTATTTTTCTTTATTTTATGACATAGCATTTCTGAAGTATATAAAATTCTAATCATTAACTTTAATATAAAATAATAATTTACATTTAATTCCACAATTAAATGCACTTCAAGAGATCCTACTAAATCCATTTAAGGCACTGCTTCAGACTTAGTAATCTCTTCTCTTTAATGCATCCTCTGATAAAAAATATATATATTTATATATATAAATTTATATATAAATATATATATATATATACTGAACTGCATACTCTAGTGAGTTTTCAAATTTTACATAATGTAAATGAACATACCTATTAATAAGTGATGTTGCTTATGGGAATCCATTAATAAATGCCAGTACATTTCACCTTTTAGTGTTCTTTATTGTTAATTTTTACTGGAAAACTGTATTGGTTCCTTCTCACAGCTGCTATGAAGAAATACATGAGACTAGGTAATTTATAAAGAAAAGAGGCTTAATTGACTCACAGTTCCGCATGGCTGGGGAGGCCTCAGGAAACTTACAATCATGACAAAAGGTACCTCTTCACAGGGTGGCAGGACTGAGAATGAGTGCCGAGTGCCGAGCAAAGCAAGAAGCCACTTATAAGACCATCAGATCTCGTGAGAACTCACTCACTATCACGAGAACAGTGTGGCAGAAACCGCCCCCATGATTCAATTCTCTTCACCTGATCCTGCCGTTGACATGTGGGGATTATTCTGGCTGAAGACACAGAACCAAAGCATATCAAATACTTAATCTTGGATATTTGGAATGGAAAACACTTGTTTTGTTCTGCACAACAGTTAAAATTATTTTCACTCTGCCAATTAACATTGTGTGAGTCATAGCAGAATTAACATATACATATAGTGATATCTAAAAATTATTAAAATAATTGCTAGATAGATATGAAAGGACTGGGTGGTAGATATAAAAAATAGTTGTGAAATACTATTTTCTCTACATCTATATCCTTTCAAGGAGATAGTGCAGATTGTTCAGTCAAAAGTGAAATCCATTTCCCCAAATTTTGAGTTGGCCATAAGACTTAGTTTTGCCAAGGAAATATTGGAAAACTTGATATAAGAAGCTGGAAAAGGTTGTGCTTAGGGGCTTGCTCTGTTACCGTTCTTTGGAACCCCAAGGAGCTAGGGCTACCTGCTGCAGGATGGGAGATCTTTTTCAGCAGAACAAACCATATCAGCCTAGTCAATTCCCTCAGCCAACCATTAGCCATGGAGTAATTCTGGTGTTAACGATTATATCCATTCCCTTATGCTACTGGTAAAACTTAGAGTAGGGTATTGTAATAGAGATGTGTTTCTCCTGGTTCTTCTGCATCCACATCTTCTATTTCAGTCTATATATATCTTTGTTTCAGATTTGACTTTTTTTTTTAGCTTTGATCCCAAACCAAACTGGCTGCTTTCTGTCACCAGAACTCAGATTTTGTTTCCTAGGTAATCAAAAAATTATCCTGTAAACAAGAGTTTCTCTAAGCTTGCTGTAGAATTTAGCAGCTATTTCTGATGTCCCTGGTAATTGTAATATTAGCAGTTCTTACAGTAGCTTCCTTTATAACCAAAGATGCTTGATAAAATGCCATGTGTTGGGAGTGAGGCATTGCTATAAAGATATCTGAAAATGCAAAAGTGACTTTGGAACTGGGTAACAGGCAGAGGTTGGAACAGTTTGGAGGACTCAGAAAAAGACATGAAGATGAGAGAGAGTTTGGAACTTTCTAGAGTCTTGTTAAATGATTGTGACAAAAGTGCTGATAGTGATGTGGACAATAAAGTCCAGGCTGAGGAGGACTCAGATGGAAATTAGGAACTTGCTTTGAACTAAAATAAAGGTCACTCACTATGCTTTAGCAAAGAGGCTGGCAGCACTGTGCCCCTGCTCTAGGGATCTGTGAAACTTTGAACTTGCAAGTGATGATTTAGGGTATCTGGTGGTTATATTTCTAAGCAGCAGAGTGTTCAATATGTGACCTGGCTGCTTCTAACAGCATATGGTCATATGTGTGAATAAAGAGATGATCTGAAACTGGAACTTATATTTAAAAGGGAAGCAGAGCATAAAAGTTTGGAAAATTTGTAGCCTGGCCATGTGGTAGAGAAGAAAAACCCATTTTCTGGGGAGAAATTCAAGCCTGCTGCACAAATTTCCATAAGTAAAGGGGAGTTGAATGTTAATAGCCAAGATGTTGGAGAAAATGCCTCCAAGACATTTCAGAGTTTTTTCAACAGACCCTCCTGTTACAGGCATGGGGGCCTAAGAGGAAAAATTGGTTTTGTGGGCCAGGCCCAGGGCCCTCCTGTTCTTTGCAGTCTCTGGACATAGCGTCCTGGATCCCAGCTGCTCCAGCTCCAGCTGTGGCTAAAAGGGCCAGATATGTTTCAGGCTGCCGCTTCAGAGGGTGCAAGCTAGCAGCCACCAAGGTTTCCCTGTGGTGTTAAACTTGAGGATGAACAGACGGCAAGACTCTCTCTCTCTCTCTCTCCCCACTGCCTCCCAGCTGGCCATATGACTATGTGCTATGTGCTTGCTTCCCCTTCACCTTCTGCCATGATTGTAAATTTCCCGAGGGTTCCCCAGCCTCACCTCCTGTATGGCATGCAGTACTGAGTCAATTAAGCCTCTTTTCTTTATGAATTACCCAGTCTTAGGTAGTTCTTTATAGCCATGTGAGAATAGCTAAGAGTTTCTCTAAGCTTGCTGCAGAATTCAGCAGCCATTTCTGATTTCCCTGGTAATTCCTTTTCTTATTATTATTGTGACATTAGCAGTTCTTACAAGAGCTTCCTTCAAAAGCAAAGAGGCTTGGTGAAATGCCTTCTGTTCTGGGCTTTGATGATGGAAAAAGCATTTAGACATTTCTGGGCTTTGGGTTGGAATGTGAAAGGTGACCAAGTGACTTTAATCAGGCAAGGGAATTTTTAGGGTAAATTAGACTTGAGCAGATTGAAAATGTATTAGCCCATTGTGCTTTTCTGTTTCTAGCAAACATATTCCCAAAAAGTAACTTCCTCTTTCTGAGATAGAGCCTTGTTTAACTCAACCATCCATCCAACCATGACTTTATGGGCAGTGATCATGTATCAGTTAATGATGGAAATACATTATGAGAAATGCATCCTTAGGCAATTTTGTTGTGCAAATGTCATAGAGTGTACTTACACAAACCTGGAGGTATAGCCTACCGCATAGCTGAGCTATAGAACATACCCTATTGCTTCTAGACTGCAAACCTGTACAAAAGGTTACTTTACTGAATACTGTATGCAATTGTTACACAATGGTATTTGTGTATATAAACATATCTAAACATAGAAAAGGTAGAGTAAAAACATGTTATACATTTGTTTTCAATGATTCACCAGTATAAGGCACTTACCATGAATGGAGTTACAAGACTGAATTTGCTCTGAATGAGCCAGTGAGTGACTGGTGAGTTAATGTGAAGATCTAGGATATTGCTATATACTGCTGTAGACTTTATGAACACTGTACACTTAGACTACACTAAATTTATTTTACAAAATTCTTTCTTTACTAATAAATTAACCTTACCTTACTGAAACTTTTTTCTTTGTAAACTTTTCAATATGAATATTTTACTCTTTTGTAACAACATTTAGCTTAAACACACACATTCTACAGCTACACAAAAATATTTTCTTTCTGTATATATCCTTAGTTTATAAGCTTTTATTCAATTTTTGACATTTTTTAAACTTTTAAACTTTTTTGTTTAAAAGTAAGACATGAACACACACATTAGCCTGGATCCAGGATCCGGGTCATCAATATCACTGCCTTCCACCTCCACATCTTGACCCACTGGAAGGACTGCAGAACAATAGCACACGGAGCCGTCGTCTCTACGGTAACACTGCCTTCTTCTGCAACACCTCCTGAAGGGCCTGCCTCAGGCTGTTTTACAATTAACTTTTTTTTTTAAGTAGGAGTACATTCTAAAATAACAGTAAAGAGTATAGTATAGTAAATACACAAAACCAGTAACATAGTCATTTATTATCAAGTATTCTGTACCATACATATTTGCATGTGCTTCACTATTACAAGACTAACAGTGCAGTAAATTTTTTTACATCAGCACCACCATAAACAAGTGAGTAATGTTATGCTGCAGCATTACAATGGCTATAACTTCATTAAGCGATAGTTATTTTTTAGCTTCATTATAATCTCGTGGGTCCACCAGTGTGTATATATCATGTATATGGTCCATCACTGACTGAATCATGGTTAGGGTGTGCATGACTGTATATAAATATGTATTTAGGAGTTAGTGTCTGCGTGAGGTACTGGGTGTGAAAAAATAGTTAAGAAATAAACCCTATTGCAATGGAATGAATAATTGTGTCTCCTCAGAATTCATATGTTGAAACCATAATCTCCATGTGATGATGTCTGAAGGTAGGGCCTTTGGGAGCTAATTAGGTCATGGGGATGGAGTCCTCTTGAATGGGTATAGCGACTTCATAAGAACAGGCCAGAGATCTAGCTCTCTTTCTACATGATGTGAGGATAAAGCAAGAAGACCCTCACCAAGAGACCAACCCTGCTGGCACCCTGATCTCAAAGTTCTCAGTCTCCAGAACTATGAGAAGTAAGCACTTATTCTTTAAGCCACCCGGTTTATTGTATTGTGTTATAGAAGGCCAAGGTGACTAAGATACCTGATCTCAAGAATAACTTATACTCCCCATTTTCACAATAAAATAAGGGATGTGTGAAGAAAAATAAATACTAACAAAGAGCCCCTTATTCACAATTTACACAGTTACTACATTTTTACAAAAATTCCAGTTTATGAAGTGATGAATGATAAAAAATTACAATATTTTGGATCATATATATACATATGGTCAAAAATAGAATATATATATAAAAACATATATATATTCTAAAAGTGAATGCTTTAAATGCCTATTTTTTCTATAATCCAGGATATAAATGGTATCCAATGATTATTCCTATTCAAACCTTCTATTTCAGCCAGAAGGGTGCTAGTTAAGTGTTTTCGTGGTTTGTAAGAATAAAAGGTGCCTCTGTAAGCCTCCATTCAGAGTGTTTTTGCCTTAAGTACAGCTTACATCCATTAACCTAACCACTCAGTCACAGAGAAGTTCTTATCACCACATTGTCCTTGGTTGTCCCTGCTCTGCCCTGAAATATTCAAACTGAGACCATATTCTTCAACAGCAGCATTGGTATGTATGAGATGTAACATCTAAATAGAATACTATTACTTAAAGATGTTAAAACACAAAGGAAATAATCGTATTAATGTACATGATCTCCAATTACCAAAAACAGTGAAAAATAGAATCTGGTTCTTGTCTTTTTTAAAAAAATAGGAGAAACACATTTATGTAATTCTTCAGTTTTTATGACAATTGTCACTGACTGGGAAATGTATCAGAGTAGTCTGCAAGGAGACTCATTCACATTTAACAGAATCAATACAAAGGCGATATGTCATAAGGAATGTGGAGCCAGACACAGCTAGGGTTGAAGCCTGCCTATGCTTCTTACAGGTTGTGTCATTAGCCTTTTTTCTTTATTTTCAAAATGGGTGTGATAATATTTATCCTGTAAACTCAGAAAAAAGTAAAGTGTCATTATCATGTAAAAAGAGATAGCCAAGGTGTAACAAATGGTCATGTCCCTTTTCATTTTTGGAAAATACACTTTAGTATAGTCTATTAGAGTGTAATTACAATTATAAGGAAATAAGTTAGTTCATTAAGGATTAATAAAACTATATATGTATACAATTGGCTTAAGGTCAAGTTAGTTTATTCTTTTTTTCTTCATTTGTGGCTTTTTACCCCTTAAAAATGCTCTTAATTATGAACCCCTGCTTTTATTCATATAATTATATGTTCTCTTCACGTAAAGGCATAATTTTAAAAATTGCTTTATGTTTGCTTTCATGTTAACTTAACAGATACACTGGCCACAGAATACGAGAATGTGCTTTGAAACTTTATAACAAAGTGTAAAAGGGAAAGTGAATAATTGAGGCAATCATGATATAATGTTTTCCCTATTTCTATCATAAGTGGGATATTCACTTGGAATCATTCTTTTTAGGGTTTATCATGGATTAGTTCTAGGGAAAGTTTTCAATTCCATTTTTTCCATGCATCCATCCAGGAATGAAATGGTACATTTCTGTGTACCATAGATGTGATTAACATATCCTCTTTAATCTTTAAAAATACTGAGATTTTGGAGATAAAATGTTATAAAAATCTACATTAATTTTTAGAAGAAAAAAGAAATCGCCACTTTTTAAGATGACTGAGAGATATGAATAGCTGACTTGTGATACAAGCATTAATTAATTTGTGGCCACTTTACTGATACAGTGCTTAAACCATAATTATTTTACAATTCCTATTCTAATTTGGAATTCTTCCAACATCATCTTCTAAAACAAACATGTTGTAATAAGAGGTATTTTCAAAACAAAAGTAATTTCAATGACCAATTTATAACAACAGTTATGTTAGCTCAATTTCTACCTCACTTTTCCTGTCCTGATATCAATTTCCATTTCAGGGCCTCTGGTTTCTATTCCACAAAGTAATGAAATGAGAAATATACCACAGAGTATCTTCCACTTTTGATATTCTGAGATTTTAGTCCTAATATTTTACTTCATTTGTAAGTTTTATGTCACAAATAAATCAAAACACATGACTGAACCTGCAATGGAGCCTAGCTTTTTCAGAGATAGCCTAAAATAGTAATTTTAACAAAAACACACATTTGTTGCTGTGATAGCTTACATTTGCATAAGACTTGGCTGATAATTATAAAGAATCATGGATTAAAGTATTCAATTTCTAATTTAGCTTTAATTCAATATCATTTTCTTTGTAAAAAAGCATTATTTCAGGTGATCAGTTATACTTTGCTAAATAAGAAAGCTGGGCTTAAACTCTTATTTAATTTCTAAGCTATGTATTCAATATTATTTTTGGTATGTAAAGGAGTATTCCAGCCCATAAATCATCCAGGTCTAAGTAGGGAATATAAACTCACTTTCATTCTACAAATTGGGTTTTCCTTTTTTAAATGTAACTATATTTTGCTTGCAGATGTGTTTCTAGGTTTCAACGGCTGATTAGAGAGAATGCTAGCTGAAAATGCAATGCACTCAGGGAATCTTAGAGTGTGCTCAGTTCTTTGTTTTCATTTATTTTGAAAATATGTTTGTTTATCTGGATTTAAATAGGATACCAGGACTCCAACAAGGAGGTTTGAAATGGTAATATAGAGATTATGTATGTATACATGTGTGTATATATGTACATACAGATTTTAAAAGCACTCTATGTTAATGAGCTTGGATAAATTATATTTTTATGGAAAGAACAATATAATTTGTTTGTGTAGGCATTATACTCCTAAGAAAAAGTAAAATTTTAATGGAAGAAGAAATTGGGAAGTAAACATCTCAGAGAGCTAAAAGTAATGAGAAAGTATACATTGATGGCTTATGTGATATAACAGAAAGCGGAGTTCCAGTTTAAACTGCTTAATAAGGAATATCTTGAACAAGAAACTATAGTTCCTCTGAGCATAATATTTTCTATAGTCACAGGTGTAACATAGTCACCCCACAAACTAAAAGACATCCCAGGAAAACTGAGAGTGATAAAAATGACTAAATGTTAGATGTGACTAATATTTAAGAAATATACTGGACAAATATGTAGTGTGTTTCAGGAAAATGAAAATGTGTGTCAAAGCTGGAGGAAATATGCAATGAAAAATAATGTACAAAAAATGGAGATAGGATAAATGATCAAATAACACCACTATAAAGAGAAAACAAAAACAAGAAAAAAGAAAAATAATTTGAAATTGTTGGTATGACTAAATATATGAATACATACAATTATTTGTAATATGGTTGACCAAACTATCCTAATATTTTCTTTTTTACTTGGATTTCTATTTGCTCATAAAAATGCATGGTTGTTCAGTAACCAAAAAAAAATACTACTGCAGATTTTGTTAGATTAAAGTATATTGGTACTTCCAATTTTCTAGAAAATTTTCTGCTTTTCATATAATTTTTACATAAATTATTTCAAATAACAAATAGTAGAATACAGTTAAATAAATCTTCATCTTTTATTGAAATGAATTCAAGAGACCATCAGCTACCTGATAGTGAGATATGCACTTAGTGAAACATTATTTGGGATATTCAGATTCAGAGGTTATAAAGTAATAATGAACAAAAGGGACGCTTGTGAAATACTGTTACAAATATTTTTAAATGAATCTGAATTATATCGTAAAACACACAATTTTATTACCTATGTATCAGATGGGAGAGATTGATTATGGGGCATCTGTAGTCTTTACATGTGGAAATATATTCTTAATATGGATCTCCATACACATTTAAATTATGGTGTTTAAACCTAATTAGTTTTATTTCAATATTTTTATTTGAAATAAGAGATATGTTACCAAATGGCAAATCTCTACATTTCTTTTCTGGTTTGATATGGTTTTGCTGTGTCCCCACCCAAATCTCATCTTGAATTGTAACTCCCACAATTCCCATGTGTTGTGAGAGGAACCTGGTGGGAGGTGATTGAATTATGGGGATGGGTCTTTTTTGTGCTACTCTCATGATAGTGAATAAGTCTCACATGCTCGGATGGCTTTAAAAACAGGAGTTTGCCTGCACGAGCTCTTTGCTGTCATCCATGTAAGATGTGACTTGCTCCTACTTGCCTTCCACCATGATTGTGAGACTTCCCCAGCCACATGGAACTGTAAGTCCATTAAAATCTCTTTTTCTTCCCAGTCTCAGGCATGTCTTCATCAGCAGCATAAAAACAGACTAATACAGTAAATGAGTACAGTGGGGTCCTGCTGAAAAGATACACAAAAAAAGTGGCAGTGGCTTTGCAAGTTGGAAACAGGCAGAAGTTGGAATAGTTTGGAGGGCTGAGAAGAAGACAGGAAAATGTGAGAAAGTTTGGAACTCCCTAGAGACTTGTTGAATGGCTTTGACCGAAAGGCTGATAGTGGTACAGACAGTGAAATCCAGGCTAAGGTGTTCTCAGATGGAGATGAGGATCTTGTTGGAAACTGGAGTAAGGGTGAATCTTGCAAAGAGACTGGTGACATTTTGCCCCTGCCCTAGAGACTGTGGAACTTTGAACTTGAGAGAGATGATTTAAGGTATCTGGCAGAAGAAATTTCTAAGCAGCAAAGCATTCAAGATGTGATATGGGTGCTGTTAAAAGCATTCAGTTTTATAACAGAAGCAGAGCATAAAAGTTTGGAAAATTTGCAGCCTGACAATATGATAGAAAATAAAATCCCAATTTTTGAGGAGAAATTCAAGCCACCTGCAGAAATTTGCATAAATAATGAGGATCCAAATGTTAATTCCGAAGGCAATGTGGAAAATGCCTCCAGGGCATGTCAGAGGTCTTCATGGCAGCCCCTTCCATCACAGGCCTGGAGGTCTAGGACTAAAAAGTGGTTTTGTGTTCCAGGTCTAGAGTCCCCCTACTCTGTTCAGCCTAGGGACTTGGTGCCCCGTGTTCCAGCAACTCCAGCCATGGCTGAAAGGGAGCTTGGCCCATGGCTTCAGAGGGTGCAAGCCCCAAGCCTTAGCAGCTTCCATGTGGTGTTGAACCTACAAGTGCACAGAAGTCAATAATTGACGTTTGGGAACCTCCACCTAGATTTCAGAGGATATATGGAAATGCCTGGATACCCAGGCAGAAGTTCATCACAGGGGAAGGGACCTCATGGAGAAACACTGCTAGGGCAGTGTGGAAGGGAAATGTGGGGTCAGAGCCCCCACACAGAGTCCCTACTGGTGCACCACCTAGTGGAACTCTGAGAAGAGGGCCAACATCCTCCAGATCCCAGAATGGTAGATCCACCAACAGCTTGTGCTGTTCACCTGGAAAAGCCACAGACACTCAAGTCCAGCCCATAAAAGCAGCCAGGAGGGAGGCTGTACCCTGCAAAGGCACAGGGGTGGAGCTGCCCAAGACCATGGGAACACGACTCTTGCATCAGCATGACCTGGATGTGAGGCATGGAGTCAAAGGAGATCATTTTGGAGCTTTAAGGTTCTACTACTCTGCTGGATTTCAGAATTGCATGGGGGCTGTGGCCCCTTTGTTTTGGTCACTTTTTCCATTTGGAACAGATATATTTACCCAATGCCTGTACTTCCATTGTATCTAGGAAGTAACTAACTTGTTTTTGATTTTACAGGCTCATAGGCAAAAGGGACTTGCCTTGTCTCAAATGAGATGTTGGACTGTGGACTTTTGAGTTAATGCTAAAATGAGTTAAAGCTCTGGGGGACTGTTAGGAAGGCATGATTGGTTTTGTAATGTGAGGACATGAGATTTGGGAGGGGCCAGGGCAGAATTATATGAGTTGGCTGTGTCCCCACCCAAATCTCAACATGAATTGTAACTCCCACAATTCCAGCATGTAGTAGGAGGAATCCAGTAGGAGGTGAATAAATTATGAGGGTGGGCCTTTCTTGTGCTGTTCTTGTGACAGTGAATGAATCTCCTGAGATCTGATGGCTTTAAAAATGGGAGTTTGCCTGCACAAGCTCTTTGGCTGCTGCCATCCACGTAAGATGTGACTTGCTCTTCCTTGCCTTCCATCATGATTGTGAGGCTTCCCCAGTCATGTGGAAGTGTAAGTCCATTAAAACCTCTTTTTCTTCTCAGTCTAGGGTATGTCTTTATTAGCAGCTTGAATATGAACTAATACATGGTCTTTTCTGTTTTCTTAAATTCTCTGATTGTTTCAGGTGATGAGTCAACTGTCACTTGCAGGTATTATGAAGCTAGCACCACAGAAGAAAAATGTGGCTAAAATAAACAAACCATTAATTTTTTAATATACTTGGTTGTTCTAAAATTAACCAGAGAAATAATTACTTTAAAATAAATAATTTCATGTAGATTTGTAGTCTAACTCTATGGCACAGTAGCTTGAAGAAATATTCTTCTTTCCTCCAAGAAAACATTGGCTGACATCGTGTTAGTTTTACAGTTTTGCAAATCAAATGGAAATTTATCTTGCTGTTGAATCTTAATATTTTAATTTGTTTTGGAGATTCTTTCTATATCCTATATCTCAATACACAAGGATAAACTGTGGTAGTCACTTATTCCCTGTAATTAAATACACATTTTACATACTGTTTATGATTTATATTGCCTTCTATTCTTGAATACATGTAAATTCAGTTATTGTATTATCATATCATTAAAATGTATTATTAATTGCAAAAATGTCTTGAGATTGAAAATATTCTATAGCACTGCAATATAAATGTAGGATAGTCATATTTTCTACTAGAAATTTAAAAATTCAATATATCCTCATCAAAATTAGGGAAGGGGGATTAATAAAATTCAATAGGTAAAATCACTTATCTGTGTTTGATAATTTAGCTAAGTGCTATTGTTAAAGTCCATAAAGCAAATATATATCTACAGTATCCTGATGTTTGTATATGGACTACTACCCACTGTTAAATGTACAAGTGAAGTATAAGATCATTTCTTTTTCACTAAGAAGAAAGGCTTAAATATTTAAGGATGGTTATCGTATTTCAATGTATCTTGCAATTTTTATCTACAATAATATGGGCATGGGCTTACAAAGCAATGAAAATCTGATTATTCAGATAACAAATTAAATAATTTTCTTTACTCATAGGATCATTAATGATTAGTCACAGGGTATTAGACAACCATTATACTTTTCCATTTATTTTATCCAGAAGACAGGTGCACAGTCTTACCATTAAATAGAGTTGCCAGAATGTCACTGGCCAGGGTCATTAAATACACTCAATAATATAGGAAACCAGTCATCCATTCAACAAAGTTAAGAATGTAATTATCACCTGTAGCAGGCACTACCATATGCATAGCAGCTACAAACGAAAACAATATGTCCCTTATAGTAGGGTATTTTTATTTGAAAAGGGAAACAAGCCAACACATTTTTATCTGATACAATTCTGACAGATGTAGGAACAACACACCATGGAAGCAACAGGGGAAAGCTACTGTTTCTGTAAAGTGAATTGCAGAAATAGTGGATTTGTGTATTTCACATTTAAAATATGAGTTTAGCAGATAAAGAAGAGAGAGGAAGAGTACTTGGTAATTCCACTCAGAGAAAAAATGTGAAATGACAGTCTTGAGAAGTTTCTGCATGCATTACTTTATACATTTATTCACTCAACACATAATTTTTTAATAAAACCTATGTTTAAAGCACTCTGGTAGCAATGGACATAGAGTCACCCATTCTTCTCTCTGGGTGCCGGCAATCTATTAGAGAAGACAGGCATTGAATAAGTATGATGAGACATTTTAAAAAATGGAACATAGTGGTGCCATGGGAGCTTATAGAAAGGGCTTTAGAATGTAGGGTGTTTCAATCAAGTGAAAAGAAATTAGGTGAGGAAGAAAGGTGTGTGCAGAGGGTGAAAGGTCTCACAAATTATGGTAATTTGCTTGGACTCTATTCTGCAGGCAGTAAAGCAAAAATTTTATTGAAAGAGCAGCACAGCTGATTGGCATATTTGAAAGTTAACACTGACAGTATAAAACAAAGGAAAAAATAAATCAAGGAGAGGCTATAATTATGGAAAATAGGTAGGGAGTCCGCTACAAAATTCCACACAGGAGATGAGGACAGCCTGAGTGACTTTACTTGCAGAGATAATGAAGAAGATAAAGAATATTAGAAAGAATATGACTGAGATACAATTTTAAAAATGAGGGATCATCAACTATAAAGACTGAGGGAAATCCCAATTAAGTCTACAGGCTTAATTTAAAAGACCGGAGGCAGTAGGGAGTGGGGAAAATCTAATACGATTGAGGATTTAGAAGGCAACTATTAATCTTTAGGTAGAGAGTGACTGATCATTAGTTCATTTGGGTGGGAATGAGGGCAGACAAATGAAGAGGCATAGTAAAGCCTGGAAAATATTTTGTAAAATGAAAATAAAGCTGGAGAGACAGAGATCAGTGCTAGAAAAATAAATACACTTGAGTACCATCAAAATATTTAGTATAGACCTGTGGTTCTCAACTTTGCTGCTTATTCAAACCACCTAAATTACTTTTTAAAAATATTAACACTTAGTTCACATTCCCAGCAATTCTGATTTAAATGATTGGGGTGCAAACTGGATACTGGGATTTAAAAAAAAAAAAACTTTCCCAGATGATTTTAGAATATAGCTAAATTGAGAGCCTCTGTCAGGGTGATCTATTTGCAAGAAGTCTTTTAATGTTAAGAGCCTGGACTCAGAAGTCAGACAAAATAGGGTTGAACCTAAGCTCTGCCATGAAACCTTGTACATGAGAGACTTATCTGCAAATCAGTGATGATATTGTCCACTCAGTGATTTGCAAGAGTGTGTGCAAAAAATTATAAAGGTGCTTCTCCTGATGTTGAGCAAGCAGTAAGTGTTCTACAGACATCATCTAGAAATATCTTTGCCAATTATTATTATTAATACCATGTCATTTTGTTCTCCTTTACATAAAAGTTGAAGTCATAGATGTAAAGAAGAGCATTAAGAGAGAATCCACCAAATCCTAACAGAAAAGCTTTATGGGTAGAACCTGGGGAATACACAGCTTTTGAAACACTCACAGAGGAGAAAGAGGCAGCAAAGGAAATGGAAAGGTCAAGGATTTGGAGAAAATCTGGGAGAGAATGGTGTCTTTGAACTTACTTGATAAATTTAAAATGATGCAAAAATTTGAAATAGGATGAAGTCTGAAGCTAGACTGTTGATTTGGCAACTTTAAACATTTATGGGATCTAAACATGATCAGATTAGAGCTGTCCAAATCTACCATTGGTTGAGGGTGAAGAACAGGAGACAGCCAAAAAGGACACTATTTCATAAAGTTTGGTTTTTAAGGGTGCGGGTGGTCTAAGGATACAAGGAAATACCTTGTGAGAAAAGATTATGAAAACTTTGACCAATGTTCTTTCTAGGATTGAAATAATTATAAAAATAGGTAAAGAAGTCAATTATTAAAGAGGTTGGAAATACATGAAGGAGGAAATCTGATGAGCCATGGCCCCAAGGAAATGGTTGTCTCTGAAGATAAGCAGTGATTATTCTGAAATAGGATTATATAAGCATATTTTATATGCAATGTTAGAAGTGGACAGGAAAGCAGAGAGAGAGAACCCCACTGAAGCTGTGGGACTGGTCTATGCTGTAACCTGAGGGTGGAAATCACTTGTATTCACTTCAGTGCCTACAAGTGTCTAGCTCCCTGCCTTATACAGATTGGTATTTAATAGATGCCTGTTGAAGTGAACTATAACTTGTTCAACTCAGTCCCTTGTTCATTTTAAGACGGTAAGTAACAGAAGATAAGAATGCCAAAGTGAATGAAGACAAGGTTATAGGAACCAATGAGAAGAAGATCCTGCGAATGACCGAGCATCTCAGCAACGCTAGCTCCATGTCTATGTTCCCACTCTATCATTCTTTCTCCTCATAGGCAGTTTGGAGAGACTTAATGGAGAAGGAATAGGATGAAATATAAAGTGCCTGGACCGCAGAAAAACAGGCAAGGCTTTTTAGTTTTCCAACCAAAATCTTTCTTTGCTGCTCTGGAATTAGCAACTAAGGCAAAATAAAGACCATATTTACTAGTCTGTTAGCTAAGACGATGGCTCTGGACAAAGCGCAAACAATTTTCTCTTAATATTTTCCCCTACCCAAGCTCTAATTACCTGATACCACTTTTAAGTATTTATTAATTATTTATTTAATTATTTTGAGATGGAGTTTCACTCTTGTTGCGCAGGCTGGAGTGCAATGGTGTGATATCGGCTCACTGCAACCTCTGCCTCCCAGGTTCAATCTATTCTCCTGCCTCAGCCTCCCGAGTAGCTGGGATTACAGGTATGCACCACCATGCCCGGCTAATTTTGTATTTTTAGTAGAAACGGGGTTTCACCATGTTGGTCAGGCTATTCTTGAGCTCATGATCTCAGGTGATCCATCTGCCTCTGCCTCCCAAAGTGCTGGGATTACAGGTGTGAGTCATTGTTCCAGGCCCTGATATCACTTTAATAATAGTTTCTTATACCCTCAAATTATCTCACGATGCTTAGAATGAAAATAATTGCTTAATTTTTCTAAATTAGAATATTATTCTAATAGATAATCAAGATCTTCTTTCTACCCTCTTGTGCTTATTAAGCTGAATTTAATTCCATGGAAACCCATCTACAAGCAACAGCATCAAGCAAAAGAGTACAACCAAGTTAGCCCAATGGGTTACTCTTCTGAAAACAAAAAACAAAACAAAAAAACCCTCACAGCTCATGCCCTCTGCGTGTTAGATGAAAAGCTTTATCTTTGTGTAATGTAAAAAGGGCAGTCAGTCTCAGGGAGGGTTTTAAGTACCCTCGAGCATCATCTGAAAAGAGTGTTATCTGTAGGATGCCAAATTACATCTATTTAAAAAATTTAATGACACTGGAATAGGAAGATGGATTAAAGAGATGTTATAATCAGAATGTGAATCATTATAATAAGAAGAAAAAAAAACAAGAGGATGTGACTGTGGCTTATTTCCAGCACCAAGAGCAATCAGTGCTCTCACCATCACTACAAGAACCTTCCTTGTACATATCCTGCCCCCCAAGGAGTCAGAAAGGGAGCAGATGCTCCATAATCTGCAATTCACGATCTCAGCACACATTTTTGTCACTGGAGTAATCCCATTTGATCATATTAGTCCTTGATCTGGCAGTTTGCATGTGCAGGTGGCCAAGACATTGCCTTATTGACCACTTTGTATCATACTCAACAGGAAGTCCTCCTGGGGTTTTACATCTACCTACTGCATTTGGCTATCCAGTCATTTCATTCCAAAACTTCCATCATACCTCACCAGCTCTCATATCCAGAATCACAATATTCACTGTTAAATATTTTATTTTCTCTATTAAATATACTTGTTTAGTATATTACAGTCCATAGGGCAGATGCATTGTAGGTATGTTCATTTTCCACAAAATCTCTTGATTTATTGCCTTCCTCCTAATATTAATAGGTGAAGAGTCTATTATTCTATGGTGCTATCTTTAAAATGAACATTTTTAGAGGACATTGACACGCCTCATTAGAAGTACACATATTGGGCTGGGTGCGGTGGCTCATGCCTGTAATCCCAGCACTTTGGGAGGCCAAGGCGGGCGGTTCACGAGGTTAGGAGTTCGAGATCAGCCTGAACAACAAGGTGAAACCCTGTCTCTACTAAAAATACAAAATTAGCCAGGTGTGGTGGCGCATGCCTGTAATCCCAGCTACTCAGGGGGCGGAGGCAGGAGAATTGCTTGAACCCAGGGTGGCAAAAATTGCAGTGAGCCGAGATGGTGCCACTGCACTCCAGCCTGGGCAAAATGAGCGAAGCACCATCTCAAAAAAAAAAAAAAAAAAAAAAAGTAGAGATATTTTTCTAAGGGGTAAGGATGTCCAAGCAAAAATGATTCCATAATAAATATTTATCGAAGTCTTTTTTATTGTGGTAAAATATATGTATGCCTTTAACCATTTTAAGTGTTTAACTCAGTAGTATTAAGTGCATTCAAATTGTTGTGCAATCATCACCACAATCCATCTCCTTAATGTTTTCATCATCCCAAACTGAAAACTCTGTATTCATTAAACAATAACTTTCCATCTCTCCCTCCTCTTAATCCCTGCTGACCACCATTCTACTTTGTATCTCTGTGACTTTGATTATTCTAGGTACCTCATATAAGTGGAACCACATAATATTTATCCTGTTTTTTGGCATATTTTATTTATCATAATGTTTTCAAAGTTCACCCACATTGTAGTTGTAGTGTGTATCAGAATTTCATTTCTTTTTATGGTTGAAAAAAATTTCATTGTACATAATAGATCATTGTTTGTTTATTCATTCATTCATCCATAGACACTGGGGCTTTTCTACTTTTTGGCTATTGTGAATAAGGATGTACAAACATTGCTGTACAAATACTTTGTTTGAGTCTCTGCTTTTAGTTCTTGTGATATGTACCCAGAAGTAGAATTGCTGGATTATTTAATAATTATGTTTAATTTTTTTAGGAACCAACATATTATTTCCACAGTGCCTGTACCACTTCACGTTTCCACCAGCAATACATAATCCGATTTTGTTTGAAGTCTTAATTAATTCATTAACATTGTGATCATTTAGTGAGATGACTCTCCACGTACCAACCTGACAGACAATAACCAGAAACAAGTGTCTCAAATGAGGACAGAGGACAAAACAGCTCTATAAGCAACAGGCAGAACCAGCCCCAATTTTTTATTCTTGTCAATACTTGCTCTCTCTTTCTTTCTTTCTCTCTCTCTCTCTCTCTCTCCATATATATATATGCCATCCTAGGCTGGGCAGAGTGATTCACACTTGTAATGCCCGAGCTTTGGGAGGCTGAGGCAGGAAGATCACTTGAGCCCCGGAGTTCAAGGTTGCAGTGAGCTATGATTGTGCTACTGCATTTCAGCCTGGGTGACAGAATGAAACCCTATCTCTAAATAATAACTATAATAATAATAGTCACCCTAATGGAAATTAATGTCAAATTGAATCCAATATTTGAAAAAGAGGACATGAATATATCTTCTCACATGAAGGAATCAAAACATTAAGGGAAGGAATTATGACCACTGGCTCAATCGCATTTTTTATAGCCCAGTGTCTTAAAGGATGATGATTACTACACTTCCATCTCAGGAAAAGAAGTTGTGGTTGAATATTTAAAGAATTCACCAAAAATAGCTTTAACTCTTCTTTTAGTTCCTTTGATGGTTCACATTGTCATTACCTTCTTGATCAGGCTGAGATTATCTGTCTTTGCAGGACATGCTGAAATCTGCAAAGTTGCAAAATTATCCTTACCAACACAATCATTAGTATAATACAACTCTGTGGCAGCTATCCACTGAAAATTAAAGCATTGATGTTATTACCATGCCCTGTAAAACTATTTTATTCATAAATTCATCTCCTTCTAATTTTACTGTGAGTCTATTCTTCCCAACACTGTCCAATAGAACTTTCTCTGATGATGGAAACCGTCTGTATCTGCTCTATCCAAGACAGTAGCCACCAGCCACATATTCATTGCATAAAATTGGCTATCTAAACTGAAACTCTAAATTAAAATAAATTTAATTTAAAAATCAGTTCCTTTGTTGCACTAGCACATTTTCAGTGTCAATAGGCACATGTAGCTAGTGGTTAGAGTATTAGACAGTACAAGTTTAGATAAATACAGTGATATATTGTTGTCATCTTTGTCCTAGTTAGTCACAGTCTGATTATTAAGATTGACACAAATAATGCTGTACTAAAGGGTAATACAGGTAAGTGCTCAGTCTTATTCAAACACGAATGAGAGAGAGATGATCTTTCTATAGGAATATGATTCAGAAGGGTCATAACAATAAAGTTATATCTTGAAGGATGAACATATTCTCTACAGAGAGAAAAGAAGAAAGGTATTTTGAGAAGACAAGAAGGGGAAGGCAATGAGTTGGAAACAGAGTGGTGTGTTGAGGGAGGGTAAAGTGTACCTTGTATTGTAAGGCAGACTATACTTAGGAGACAGGTGGGGAAAGGGAAAGAACTTAGGAAAGTAGCCTGGAGTCTATGAAAGGCAGAGTGCTGAAGAACTCAAACTTGAAGTCATATAAAAAAGGGCCAAAAAGAATGAATAAAAGCACACAATAAATTTGTTCATTTTCCAAAATAATTTCTTTCCTTTATCAGAATTGTGACAAAAACCATTAACTGGAAGAAATCAAAATTATTGGTATGAATATAATTTATATTTGGTATAGAGATTAATTTTAGGTAAGCTTATGAATTTATGCATCTGTCATTGGCTAAACCAGGCCATTTTTTAACACTCTCTTAAATTAATACCCAATATTTAAATAATCCAATACTTGTTTAGCACAAAGCATGCTTGTTTAGTATGAGGTTTTTAATTGGAGAATAAAAAGTAAATTCTTACAGAATACTTTCTATGACTGCGTATAAGTAAGTGAAGTTGTTTTACAATCTTCCTAGTTCCTCATTCCAGGGTAAAATTTAATATAATATATACAATATGATGGAATAATTTCCTTTCGAAACATTTTGTGCTTGGATTAATATTTTTGAGTGCTTATTCAAGGGTTACACATTGATCAGAAGCTGTTGGCTGTTGTGCTGAAATGTTCTGTCTCCAGGTTCTAATTCACCTGGCAAATGGTCAGTCATGCAACAGTCGTACAGTGAGTCATGCTTCTTCCTTCCAAGTACTGAAGTCCATTTCTAAGGTTTACCTTTGCTATAGTCCTATACACAAGGAAAGTTCATCCTTAGTAAACAGGATTCATTAATATACTCTATAAAGAACTAAAACTAAGTAAATGACGCTATGCATAGCTAAGGACTCATTGAACATGAGCAATTCACATACGATTTAAAGAGATTATACAGTTTGTCTTAAAAAAATGGTCTTTAATTCTGGCTAAACATAATCCGATTTTGTTTGAAGTCTTAATTAATGCTTTTCACTTTGGTTCATTAACATTGTGATGATTCAGTGAGATGACCATCCACAAACCAACCTGACAGACAATAACCAGAAACAAGTGTCTCACATGAGGACAGATGCCAACCAGCCTTATAAACAAATGGCAGTGCTAGCCCACCCACATATGGAACACTTATGAGTGGCAGTCATATTTTTCAGCACATAAAACAAAAAATCAATTCCAGGTAGATCAAAAGACCTGAATGTAAAAAGCAAAACTGAGGCGGGGAGTGGTGGCTCATGCCTGTAATCCCAGCACTTTGGGAGGTTGAGGTGGGTGGATCACCTGAGGTCAGGAGTTTGAGTCCAGCCTGGCCAATAAGGTGAAACCCTATCTCTACTAAAAATACAAAAATTATCTGGGTGTGGTGGTGTGCATCTGTAGTCCCAGTTACTCGGGAGGCTGAGCCAGGAGAATTGCTTGAACCTAGGAGGCGGAGGTTGCAGTGAGCCGAGATCGCGCCACTGCACTCCAGCCTGGGTGAGACAGTGAGACCCTATCTCAAAAAAAAAAAAAAAAAAAAAAAAAAAAAAAAAAAGCACAAGTGAAAAATTTTCAGAAAAAATATAAGAAGTATTTTATGACTTCACCATAAAGATTGGTTTCCCAAAACAAGATGGAAAAAGGAAAAATGTAATAAAAGGTAATCAATTTTAACAAAGCACAGTGTATATCATATTTGAAAAAACGATACAAAATTATTTCCTTCATTAAGAAGAAAAAAGATAAAACAGCCTAGGAAAATATATTTCCAATGCAATACCAAAAAAAAAAAAAAAATAGAATCCAGGATATATAAAGAATTTGTATAATCTATAAGAAAAAAGATAAATGTCTCACTAGAGAAATGGGTAAAAATTATGTTTAAGCAATTCACAGCAAAAAAAAAAAACCTGAATGTTCTATGAAAACATGCTCACCACACTAATAATCAGAAAAGACAAATTAAAACCATTCAACTGGCAAAATTACAAAATGTGACATTATTAAATATTCATGGGGGCTTTCACAAGTATAAGAGATTATACAGTTTGTCTTAAAAAATGGTCTTTAATTCTGGCTAAACATAATTACAAATTATGTAATTTTGCAAATTACAAATACTACAGGGTACTGTTATGGGTTTGGGGGCAAAAAAGAGAAGAAACACATTACACGTCATCAGCAATTTCACTTCTAGGCAAATATCTAAAAAGTATGTGTGCACAGTGAGACATGTGCCAAAAAATTGCTACAGTCTGTTATAGTAAGAAAAATACCTATAAATGAGAGAGAAAAACATAAAATATAATACATATTTTAATACTGTATATATACTATAATATATATGCACTATATTATATATGAAATATATGTACTATATATAAAATATACTATATATTTTTACCATACCTACTAAATATATAATAATAATATATTTAAAAATATAATATATGTATATACTTATAGTATTTATAGAACACTATATTGCAATGAATATGAATAAAGTAACTGTACCCGAAGCAACTTGAATTAATCATAAAAAAATATTTCCAAGAATGCAAACAATATTTGACAATTTAGGCTAATATTTTATTTACTTAAGACAATACTATATATGAATTAAATATGTAATATATACAGTAAACTCAAGAGAAAATGCATAGAAATAATAACAGCAAATTTACCACACTGGTTACCTCTTAGAAGGGAGATTCAATCTGGAAGAGTACCCAGAAAACTTCAATATTACATTTAATCTTTTATTACTTAACCTGGGTGGTAATTCAAGGGAACTTGTTTCACTCATTTTTGTGTCTGCTAATCAAACTTGTCATAATAATAAAAAGTCAGAGTCATTAAAAGCTCCAAGTACTCTGCACAGCAGCACCTCAACTCTAAATGCCATGTTCACATGTGATTACTGAAATTCTGCTCTTGGCAAATCTGCCTTTCTGATGCAGGACTCTTGTACTTCAGTAAGAGTGACTCATGTGATCTAATTTACTATACTCTAAGCAAATCTTTCTCTGAAGCACGGTAATCTGGGAAGACACAAAATAAGATCTAAAAAGCTTTGCAAATGGCTCCTCCCCCAAATGCTAAATTAAGTGCCATATTGATCTGACTGAATTGGAGAGCAATTGTTGTGATAAACTCCCTGTTCCTAGTTACACCTGGAATAGATTCTGTTAATATGTGGACTCAAGTGCCCCACCCCCATATATTCTATTGTAGTAATTCTGATGGGGGATCCTGGGACTGGTGTTTTAAGGGCTACTTTTTTCACTTTTAAGATTTATTTGGTTCAATGGACAAAGTTTGAGACATACTGCTTCACAGAATTTAGAGTCTGTCTTAGTATCTTTAGGGTGCTACAACAAAGTGCTATGGAATAGGTGCCTTGTAAACAATAGAAATGCTTTTCTCATAGTTTTAGAGGCTGGAAAGTCCAATATCAAGGCGCTGGAAGATTTGGTGTCTGGGGAGGACCCACTTTCTGCTTCATAGACAGCCATCTTCTTATGTTTAGTCGGGGGGGAAGGGGCAAGAGAGCTTACTCAGACCTCTTTTATAAGGGCACTAATTCCATTCCTGAGGGCTCTGCTTTCATGGTCTAGTCATCTCCCAAAGGCCCCACTTCCTAATTTTAATTTCAGCATATGAATTTGGAGAAGACACAGCATTCAGAACATAGCGCAGTCTCATAGTAGAAACGAATAAATGATTACAATGGAATTTCAGAGGCATTATTAAATGATCAGAAAGGGAGGAATACTTAAACCTATTTTCTTAACATGAAGGTCTTCACAGAAGAAGTGACACTTGTTTTGTGTTTTCAAACATCGCTAAAAAAATAAGAAAGTGAGAACCATTTGGGGCAGAATTCTGGACAAACACACACACACACACACACACAAAAGCCGAGAGGAATGAAACATCCTGAGTGTTTAAGAAAATGCAAGTAAATTTTCATAGTAATTGATAATTCTGAAGACTGAAAAGAAGAATTCATGCTTCATATCACAGAGTACCTTCAATGACTAAGGAGTTTAGAAATTGTCATTTTTGCCCTGACAGATAGCTCGCCAAACTTGTTGCACATGACTTCAAATGGCTGATCCCAGGAAGTGGAAGTAAGAATTGGAGGGCAGGCCCATGAGGAGAAGAGGTGAAGTTCAAGAGAAAAATCATAATTTTTTTTTTCTTTTCACTACATGATCATAGGGAATGAGGCAGAGGGACATAGCAAAGAGGAATGTGTCTTGATGCATGATGTGCTATTTACCACTTGGAAATCTAAAGAGATAAGCAAGTGTGGCAGGGAGGATGATACCTGTGGCTTTGAATGCTTTCCTTTAGGACAGTTTCCTTTAAAATGCTTGTGATGCATTTCTAGGTGGAGATGAAATTAGATCTTTGGAAATATAGGTATGACAATCAGGAGCAATGCATGGACAAGAAATATAAAATTTGAATGTCATTACTGAAACTCCGGAAATGTATCACAACATCTGGGTGACTATCGAGTGCGAAAAAATAATAAGGGCAAAATGCAGAAATATAATGAAGAAATAGAAATTTATAGTTGATGGATAATGTATGTAAAAGTATATAAGGTAAAGGCTCAAAAAATGTTAGCTTACTCCTCTTAATCCCTGAATAAAGACCAAATTAGACAGCAGATGTTATTGGAAATTACTTGGAATTTCAGAGGTAAGGAACAGCAATAGGGTTGGAATAATAAGAAAAATTTTATGGTGGAGAAGGAACATGAACCACCCTAGACAAATGGATAGGGTTTGGCCAAATGAAGAAGATAATTTTGCAGATTAGAGAAGACACGTGTGCAGAAATGGAAAGGCAGAAAAGAACAACTGGCTGAAACTGACGTACTGGATCCTTAGCAGGCATCCTGGCTACATATGCACAAATTTCAAAGAAAATGGAAAGCCCCTCAGTTTTCCCCAAGTGCTCTGACCCCCAGAGATGATACAGGCAGGGTGGCAGATAGGGGTGGGGTATATTTTCTGAAAAAGTTATTTACTGTTTATGAGATCCTTGGAAAGTAACTGTAAAAGTTTGCTCTTGGAGAAATGCAGATAATGCTTTGGACATGAAAAAGATATCAAGGAGATTAAAAAATTATGAGTACTAAAATAAAATTCAAGGAATAATCAAACTCCTTGTTTAAATATGGGGGAAAATAGGTAGGTCCAGTTAACTGAAGAGAATGGCTCCCTTAAAAGCAGCAGTATGACATACTAGAAAAGCATGTACTCTGTCATGAGAAAGAACTTGTTTTTAATCCTGGCTCTGCCCCTTTTTGGCTGAATAGTCATGTCTATTTTCCTTAAACTCTCTGAGCTTCATTCTCTTCATGTGTTGTAGACATCTAATAAAGCCTACTTTGAAAGGGTTATGTGGGGATTAAGTGAAATATCTATTGCAGGTACGGTGACTAACACTGTTTCTACAGTTTTATCCTATGTAGTTTTGAATTAGTCAGTTAGCCTTCTAGGACCTCAATTTCCTATAGAATTAGGAGAATTGGCACTAATATATTTTAGGTACAAATATGAATACATTAACAGTAACATTGCTCACTTCAACAGCAAGTTTAGAGAGATAAATGATTATGTGACCAGGTCATAATCTAGCCTATTGTATGCTATCATGTTTTTGTCTGTGGTCTCAGAAAGAGGAAAATCAGTTGAGTTTAGGTGGCAAGAAGGAGCTCATTCTCCAGCAGATTGGTGGAAGCTCACCTCAAGATACATTTCAAATGGTGCATTGCACCTGCTCATTCATCAAGCTGCCAGGGGCTTACTTTACTGCCTTGCTTTTTTTCATTTAAAATTCACATCTTTGTGGTGTCTAGAGTTTCTCAGCTTTGTAATGAAAGTAATACATTAAATCTTGCTTAAATAAAAGTAGTTCCTAATGTATTAAGTATAGATGAAGGCCAAAAAGTGAGATTTTATAGCTAAGCACAACACTACTTTCCAAATAGTGCACACAAGTGTATAGCTTCCTTTTCATCTCTGGTCAATGTTATTTTGTATTTGAATTGATTCTACTATGTTATAAGATAAAAGAAAATTATACAGAACAATGCAGTTCTCTTTGGGGAGATATTAGGGTATTTGTTCTTTATTTTGTGCAGTATAGGGTAAGAGAAAGTTGGCATTAAACCTTTGGGACTCCCTAGGCAGCTGTTGAGTCTCTCCCCTCCTCCCATGCTCAGCTCAGTGCTATATCACTGGAAATCACTAACCTTCATAGAGTAGAGCCCAGAAGATGGTAACACTGGTTCAAGGACAGGCTAAGGGAAGCGAAGGGAAGTAAAAGGAAGTAAATAGGAAAATACAACAAACATGTGATTAACAGCTGTTTTCTGAAGCAAGGCTCCACCAGGGATCTGCAGCTGTGTCATTGTGCTTCAATTCTGCAGCTCCTACAGGGCTAAATTGGAAGAGGCATGGAGCAGGAAGATATGTGCGAAAAGGCTAAAGGAAGTCCAAAAACCGTGGCAACAATATAAGGTGAATGCCCCCACTCCTTAGATATCCTAATTTTTATCCCTCATGGGAGAGGTATAGGTCCATAAGAAACAAAGTCATCTTACCAACTGGATATCTGCTCCGAGCTGCTGCTGCTTCCTCTTCCTTTTTTTGGGGGGTGGGGGCCGATTTTGGAAGGGCAAATATTGATGGAACATCTACCAACACTGCCTCTTCCCTTTAACAAAATCAACATGATGCATGCTTACAGATTGCCTTTGAAAGTTACCAGTGCCTCCTCAAGATATAGTAGAGAAGCAGGTTTTAAGGTGTCAGACTGAGGCTTTCAAAATAATAGCTGCTAGGAGAATACAAGTTTGGGCCTGAAAACCCAGTTATGAGGCTTCCAAATAAATCAGTGGATTTTCAACTTTTTTTTGTAATTATTATATCCTAGTTCCCAAACAACCACAGTAAAGGAGGCACATGGAAAGCGAGGAAAAAATGAAATGGCATTGTCTTCCCCCAGGTGCTCAATCAGTATATTTCCTTTGATGTGTAGCCTTCAAGTAACTGACAACCCCAAGTGGCCCATTCTATAGGGTCCTGCATCTACGCTCCTTCCTCTGTGCGCTCAGCCCGGGTTGACAAGCAACCTCCAAATTAAACAACCTCCCACCACTACTTGGAAACAGACAACCATCTCTTAACAGGCCTCTGTAACACACAGCTTGATGAAAATCACTTACACAGGGCAGATGACACAGAGGAGTTTACAAGGTCGGGGCACTCCTTGGCGGGGCGTGAAAGGGTGGGAGGTGCTGAGGTCAGGGTTAAACTACCCTGTGAAATGAGCCTCCTGCCCTGCCCTTTCCTCCCTTCATCTATAGAAGGAGCCTCCAGTGAGTTCCTGCGTCTGGAAATCTGCCCCCTTTAGTGCCGCAGACAGGCCAGGGACAGCATTTCAAAGCTCCTCTAAATCAATCCACTTAAAAGAGCCCAGAAAAGCCTGACCATTGACCATAATTGCCCTAAATTGCTTGTTTTCCTTCCCCTCTTGCAGCCTCATCAACATTTCCCTTCTTTCCCCCTTCGTGTCCTTTTTTCTTGGGGGCGCAGGTCCTCTAGATGCTTGGGGTGCACACTAAGGATATTTGAGTAGTGGGAGCTCCGACTCGAGGCAGGAGTGGGATGTCTTAGCATTCCGTCTCCCCCACCCCACCCATCTGCGTGGGACACAGTGACTCCTAGAAGGGTATCCCAGGATTTTAGCGGCCAGGTGTGAGCGCCCTCCACGCGGTCCTCCGAGACCTCAGGGCGCGTGGCAACTGGGCAGAAGCCGTCTCTGCAGCGCCGCTGCCCCGGGTGGAGCGGCAGCCCAGGCTGCAGCAGTGGGGTTGCCACGCCGAGTTTTCCGCATCGGCCGCCCGCAGGGCTCGCCTGCTTCTCCCCATTGTGTTCTCAGAGCTGTGGGACCCAGCCGCGCGCGCAGCCGCACCCGCGCCAACGCTGGAACCGAAGGCTCATGGAAGCGGGGCTGGCAAGATGGGGCAGGGAGAAGGAGCAAGAAGGGGCCCCAGAAGGGCACGGCGTTTCATCAATAATGCAGAGGCTCCTGGACCTCCCTGCAATACGTTTTCCAGCTAAACGCCACCAACTGGAGCGCTTCCTGGTTCGTCCCACTCGTGTGGTTTTTGTGTGTGAAAGATGGGACGCACCTTTTTCATTCATCTGTCTTCTCTCATTCTTCCTCCTTCCCTCCCTCATTTCCTCCCTCAAAGTCCCCGCTGGCTTAGCTTTAAGCTCTCGTCTTCACATCAGCACCATGTTTTCAAGCAAAATCCTGCAGGTTGGAAATGCAAGTGTCAAAAGTCCCCACTGCCTACATACCGCCAAGAGTTTACCAAAATCCACCTAGTAACGCTTATTTTCAAAGCCCCCACGCGCATCCATTCCTGGAGAATGCTTTCAAAGTTTGGAAGCTCCCTGCAGCCTGCCCGTGTCTATGCCTCAGTCAGCTCACATCACGAACAACGGTGCGGTCAGCGGCACTGAGATTAGGCTGCAAAGTTGCCCGGCCCCAGCCCACTACACCGCTGATGCTCGCCGCATCCCTAGAGCAAATTCCGCTGTGTGCCCCCAAGAAGCCAAAAGCGGCACGAAACCTACTCCAACAAGGGTTAGCCCAGCCACACACACAACAAACAAATTCCAAAACTTCTTTGTTAAGCAGCCGCAGCCTACCTGGAACGGACACTCTGCACAACTGGCAAGGAAGAAACAAACATCGCATCCCTGCAGGAAAACTTGTTGAATCCCTCCCGATCGCAAGGCTGCAATTTCCGATTTAGCCTGAAGGTTTTTGATTCTACCCCAAAACACCCTGGCGCATCAGCCACAATTTCTGGATAAACTGCAGAGTCCTCTCGGCAACCATTCTGCACTCCAACAACCACTAGTGTAAAACCCAGCGTGTCCCCTTTTACAAATCAAAAGCCAGCTGTCACTTCCCTTGCAACCATTTCCGAGACTTACCCTTCCATAAGACTGTTTTCAGCAATCTAGAGGCTCCGTAGTGCAGACGCAGCCCTGCAACTTTGCTGTGCACTGAGACCTTTCCGAGTTTAAACCAAGCGAAAGGTGACAGACTTTTAAACCTAAGAGTGGGGAAATAGGGAGAGAGTGAAGTCGGGTTTCTTCTCTGTATCAGCACCCTGGAAAAATTCAATCCTTCTTCAGTAGAGAATTCTTTCAAACCCGTTATCTGTATTACTATTAATGCGCAGAGCAGAAGGCATTGCATACAAATAGGTCCAAGTGTGCGCTTCTATTGGTGGCTGCGGAGGCCCCTGGGTCCTACTGCTCCGGTCTAAACTACACAGCAACACTAGGCACGCAGCTTTGGAGACGCCGAGGGGAAAATGGATTTAATTGATTCGTTACCTCTGGTATTGTAATGCCTGCTGCGATGTTTAACCGAGGGGGGAGGAAAAAAAAAAAAAAAAACCCTTACATTTAACTCCTGTCATGTGATCTATCATTCCATAGCTGCTTTTAATTGTCTGTGTGGAGTGGCTTTGATCATACAAAGGATTTTAAAAGAACATTTTCGAAGGAAAATTCACACAGACACTTTTGGCAGGAAAACCCTCTTTTGCTCTCTATTATGCATTATTCTCATATAAATCCAGGAAATTTTATATAATCAAATACTTCTGCACTTCACGTAGGTACACACAACACCCAATTGTATTTACAATTCATAGCTACTACAAATAAAATACCTTACATGGGTAGTAGATAGTAGAAGCTAAAATATGAGTCTACCAATTATAAAACACGGGTTATATTAGTCAAATGCTACAGAAAAAATTCCATCAATGACAATGGCGTCAGCATCATTTTTACTTCGCAAAATTAGAAATTCAAAAATATTTTCCTTGTAAATATTGACATAAAGATATAAATCAACATAAAGGTATTATAATGTCACAGTATGTCAAGCATTTACTATTAATTGCTACATTATCTTTTTACAGTTTCTCTCTTAGCAAGTTCATTAGTAATGCAAATTGGCATAACAAGGAGATTTAAAGTGAGGCCGACCTGTGGTGACTAGCAATTTGAAATATTGTAATAGTGTGCAAAATCACTTTAGTTCATCATCGGTAAAGCCAGTTATTTTAAGAATTAGAATATTAAATGCTGAATCTTAATATATATTAATTTGAAGTCTTAAACATGCTGTTTTCTTTGACCTTTAATTTTGTGGAGGAAAAGAGAAATCCTTATTTAAACTAAAATGACATAGACTTTCCACAAAATCCTAGATACGATATTTACTGATATTATAATTTAGGAAGTAACATAATTTTATTGTCTTTGATGTAAATAATTGTGATAAATTCCAATTTAATTACAAAATTATTACATATATGTAATGTACAACTGAATGAACATTGTTGGAAAGGGCCACTCTGGATAAGGTTAACATCAACCAACCTATAAATTCACTACCTATGTGTAAACTAAATAAATGAAAACACAATGCAAAAATACAACAGACTCGAGATCTTATTCCAAATACATGTAAAGCATTTGAATTTATGTAGTGTGTGCTACAATCCCTCTTCATTTCCGTAACTCTTTCCCTTTACAGCCCCTTCCCTTCCCCCAATCAGTAACCCTTGACAACAGAAGTGTTAACTTCAAGTCCAGGTTGCCTTTGCTGCCTTCCAGACCTAACTTACAGATTGCATCCTTGTAGGAAACAGAGTTAACTCTTACACGACTGAGAGGTGAAAGAAGAGAGTTTCTTTCAGGGATTAGAAAATCCAGTATTTTTATGTGTATTTGCAAAGTTTGCACCAAACACATATTTTTAAAAATATCCATGATCACTAATTCAGAGTGAAAAGATGTGATCATTGGCATTGTATCAGAGTCAATTTGCTGTATATATCCATTGCTATTGTGTCACTGAAATAGCTTTTGAATAACTTTTATTCAGGGTTACTTCAATCACTTTACTTCAGGTTAATAATTTCTCCATTTACAATAGAGTTAAAATGAAAATACCAAAGTGTTGCAATATTCAGTATAAGGGTATAAAGGACTTTTTTTTAATCTGTAAAAGAAAAGAAAAGCTATTATTTCATATAGTAAGAAAAGCATAATGACCATGCAAAGTTGAATAAAGATGACTGACATTCATCTTATTTCTAAAACAAGTAAATTATTGGTGTTTCAACTTCTTTCTACAAGGGGATCTGAAAAAAATCATTTGCAACCCAACTACAAGTTGAAAGTTCTGCATTTAATGTGTATCATTTTAGAACTGAGAAAAGATGTGTTTTACACAAGCTGACAGATTTTATACAAAATCAATGCAGCTTATCTATGACCATAATTAAATGGGGAAGTTTGATAGTGGACACATATAATAGTGAACAGAAGAAAATAAATAAACCAAAACTGACCTAATAACAAATTTATTATATAATCTCTTGATAAGTTTTTACTTTCTATATAAAAGACTGATGTAAAAATATAGCAAGCTAAACAGAAACTTAAGTTTAACTTACTATTTTTTTAAAAAAGTTTTCTACATCTCTTCAATAAATTACTTGTTTATCCAAATTATTACCATATGAGATGTATATATATATATATATATATATATATATATATATATATATAAAATAAATATATAGTTGTAAATGTTGCAAATATATTTTCCTTACTTCTTGGATACTAAGGCAAAACATATTTTAAAGAAGGATATTAGAACCACAATAGTTTTCATATATCCTAGATCTGTAGGAATATCCTTGATCTATTCTTTATTATTTGAAGTATTGTTGGACCCCTCATTTTGTCAGTGCAATTTTCAAGGACAATATATGCTATGTCAGAAACTGATATCCATTATGTCCTTGGATCATGATGACAATGCCTTATTGTGGTTACTGTGAACATCTATAAAAGTTGGAAAGCAAAACATACATGGCATATCCCTGTCTGTCATTACTACAATCAGCTTCCTTTCTAAATTTAGGTGGGTAAACACGCAATAGCATGCCACTTGATAAAACTTAATGAAATATAATGACATTCAGCTACTATCCAAGCTATTTAAAAAATTCTGCCTTGAGTAATTTTGAAATATGTATAGTTTAAAAAATTTCAAAGCCACAGGCATTGATCTATGTGTCTCTTTAAATAGAATATTTATCCATGCTTGATTTTGACAGATGAAAAGGAAAACTACCAGACATATAAATTATATTCTGAAAGCAGAAATATAAAGAATGTTAACAGCTAAACAGGCATCTTTAAAAGTGTAAATCAGTACTAAACAGCAATATATATATACACACATATATATGTATATATACACATATATACACACATATATGTATATATACACACATATATACACATATATGTACACACACATATACACATATATGTACACACACATATACACATATATGTACATACACACATATACACATATATGTACATACACATATATACACATATGTGTACATACACACATATACACATATGTACATACACACATATACACACATATGTACATACACACATATATACGCATATATGTACATACACACATATATACGCATATATGTATATACACACATATACGCATATATGTATATACACACTTATATACACACATATACACATATATACACATATACACATATATACACACATATACACATGTATACACATATACGCATATATACACACGCATACACATATACTCATATATACACATGCATACACATATACGCATATATACACATATATACACATATACGTATATAGTCACATGTATACACATACGTATATATACACATGTATACACATATACGTAAATATACATATATATATACACATATACATATGTACACATATGTATACATGCACATATACACACATATGTATACATGCACATATACACACGTATACATGCAACATATACACACATGTATACATGCACATATACACACATGTATACATGCACATATATACACATCTGTATATATGCACATATGCACATATATACACATCTGTATATATACGCATGTATACACATCTGTACATATACACATATATATGCACATATGTGTATATATATGTTGCAAGACACCACATCTAAATACATGGCTCAAAACTAATCTGTATGAATTGCTAAAGTAGGTGAAGAAAGTACAGCTCAAGTGTTAAAAATATCTATATAAGATGATACGTTTGAGAAGAAAGATAGAACTTCAAAAAGGTCAATTAAACTTGACATTAAGTGGAAGGGATGAGAACTTCATGGCACAGTGATTTGGTTAAGATGATCACCATAAATGGAATGCTCATATTAAAATTCCAATAAAAATTTGCAAAGAAAGAGGCTAGAAGAGGATATTTTCTACTATTAACAAGATTATAAAGCAAACAAGATTATAAAGCAAACAAGATAAAAGTTGACAATAAAAGTGTGGAAGTAAAATACTTTGGCAAAACAACACAAACACGAAATAGGGTTGGCATCTACTATAGACTTTCCAGATTAGAGAAAATGTTAATAGATAATTTTAAATTTGAACAGGAAGTTCTTAAGATTTCTACCTATTGTCCTAAGAAATCTGGGAATAAAAGCTCCACATACTTTTGTGAAAACAGACAAAAAATTTAAACCTATGTAAAATGTCAGATAAATTTTGAATTAGAGCAAATAAATGAATATAAATATACATATATACAATATTATGCCACCATTACTCCACTAATTAAGAGCTGAACAACAATTTTCTGTATGTTATATGAAAGTTAATGGTCAGATTTCATGGTTTGCCCTTCAAAAGACACAACTGTTTACACTATTTAGAAGGAAATCTAACCAAACTTTAATGTATTTAAAGGCTATTCATTTGATCTCTTTTAAAGACTCCCAAAGACTTGCTTATAAAGCATAATAAGACAGAAATAATTTTAAACTATATTTTTATTCGTATACCATAATTCTTAGGTAGCTAAATTTAATCATATTCCGTTATTTGCTTTTGTCCTGGACCAACTTCAAAAGCTAACATTAAAGTTATGAATCACTTACTCATTCAGTTAAGGGAGGAGACCACCCCTCATATTGTCTTATGCCCAATGTCTGCCTCCAAAGAAAGAAGAAGTAAAAACTACAAAGGCAGAAATGAAATTCACAGGCAGACAGCCCAGCACTGAGCCCTGGGCCTGGTAGTTAAAAATCAACCCCTGACCTAACTGCTTGTGTTATCTATAGATTTCAGACATCGTATGGAAAAGCATCATTAAAATCCCTGTCCTGTTCTGTTCCATTCTGATTACTGGTGCATGCAGCCCACAGTCACGTACCCCCTGCTTGCTCAATGGATCACGACCCTCTCACGTGGAACCCCTTAGAATTGTAAGCCCTTAAAAGGGACAGGAATTGCTCACTGGGGGAGCTAAGTTTTAGGAGACGTGAGCCTGCCGATGCTCCCAGCTGAATAAAGCCCTTTCCTTCTATAACTCAGTGTCTGAAGTGTTCTTGTCTGCGGCTTGTCCTGCTACATTTCTTGGTTCCCTGACCTGTCTTGGTTCCCTGACCTGGAAGCGAGGTGATTAGCCGAAGGTTGAGGCAGCCCCTTAGGCAGCTTAGGCCTGCCCTGTGGAGCATCCCTGCAGGGGACTCCAGCCAGCTAGAGTGATGTGGATCCTGAGAGCGCTCCCTGGTAGGCAGTTGCCCCAGTGGAATGCCTCACCAGAACAGCTTGTGGCAGGCCCCCATGGAAGATCAATGCAGTGGCTGAACACCGGGAAGGAAGTGACACTTGGAGTCCAGACATCTGAAATTTGGTAAGACTGGTCTTTAGAACTAGCCCACTCCCCCTGAGTGGAAGCATGGCCTGATCACCCATGATGTGCCTGTACAGGCAGTTTGGATTTTGTTTTTGACTTGACTTGGATTGCTTGATACTTTGGTTTTGGTTTTGACCTGGCTTGGATTTCTTGATACTCTGATTTGGGTTTTGATTCTGGTTTGATGTAAACTGTAAAAGTGTGTGTGTGCCCTTTTTACCCATTCTTTGTTTTGTGTTGTGTGTGTGGTGTAAGCGTGGCGTTTGTCTCGAGGAACCACGGGTCAGGCACAAAGTAAACCCACCTCATTAGGAACTATGTTGAAAAAATTCAAAAAGGGATTTAAGGGAGACTATGGAGTTACTATGACACCAGGAAAACTTAGAACTTTGTGTGAGATAGACTGGCCAGCATTAGAGGTGGGTTGGCCATCAGAAGGAAGCCTGGACAGGTCCCTTGTCTTGAAGGTATGGCACAGAGTAACCTGTAAGCCAGGGCACCCAGATCAGTTCCCGTATATAGATTCTTTGTCACAGCTAGTTTTGGATCCCCCACAGCGGTTAAGAGGACAGAAGGCAGCAGTACTAGTAGCAAAGGGACAGTTAGTTAGGGAAGGTTCTCGCTCCACCCGCTGAGGGAAGTCAGCACCAAAAGTCCTGTCTGACCCAACAACAAAAGAATCATGGCAGGAATTGGTCCCAGCAGTGTCCCCTCCTTATCGAGAGGAAGAGCTCCCCACTCCTGAGCCCACAGCTCCTCCATCTCCACCAGATATCCACACTCCTAGACCACCCAGAGTAGACAAAAGAGGAAGTGAAGCCACAGGAGAAACTCCTCCCTTGGCAGCTCTCTTACGGCCCAAGACTGGAATCCAAATGCCCCTGAGAGAGCAGCAATATACTGGGGTAGAGGAGGATGGACACATGGTGGAAAGGCGTTCCTTTGTGTATCAACCTTTCACCTCTGCTGACCTCCTCAGTTGGAAAACTAATACTCCATCTTACACTGAAAAGCCTCAAGCTTTAATTGACTTGCTCCAAACTATTATACAGACTGATAATCCTACTTGGGCTGATTGCCACCAGCTGCTCATGTACCTCTTTAATACAGATGAAAGGTGAAGGTTGCTTCAAGCGGCAACTAAGTGGCTAGAGGAGCACGTCCCAGCCAATTACCAAAATCCCCAAGAATATATAAGAATTCAGCTGCCGGGAACAGACCCCCCAATGGGACCCAAATGAGGGACCAGACATGGAGAGGCTAAGAAGGTACCATGAGGCATTGATATAAGGTCTAAAGAAAGGGGCTTAAAAGGCTACAAATGTAAATAAGATCTCTGAGGTCATCCAATGAAAAGAGGAGAGTCCAGCACAATTCTATGAAAGACTGTGTGAGGCTTACCATATGTACACTCCTTTTGATCCAGATAGCCCTGAAAATCAGCACATGGCATTAGTTAGTCAAAGCACGGGAGATAGCAGGAGAAAATTGCAGAAACAGGCTGGGTTTGTGGGTATGAATAACTCGCAGTTACTGGAAATCAGCAATCAAGTGTTTGTGAATAGAGATGCAACAAGCAGCAGAGAAATCTGTAAGGAAGGCGAACACCAGGCCAGGCGAAACACCAACTTACTGGCTGCAGGCATTAGGGGAATTCCCCTGAAAGGACAGGGAAAAGGGGGTTCCGGGAAGAATACCCAGTCTAATAATTGCCCAAACTTGCAACGTAACCAATGCGCCTATTGTAAGGAAATAGGACATTGGAAAGATAGGTGTCCCCAACTGAAGGAAAAGGAAGGTAATTAGGAGCAAAAGACCTCAGATAAAGATGAGGGAGCTTTGTTCAATCTGGCTGAAGGTCTATTAGACTGAAGGGGACTAGGCTCAAGCGCCCCTGAGGAGCCCACAGTCAGGATTACAATTGGGGGCAAAGACATTAAGTTTTTGGTTGATACTGGTGCTGCACATTCAGTAGTGACCACCCCGGCCATCCCCTTATCCAAGAAAACCATTGATATAATCAGAGTAACAGGGGTTTCCTGCTGCTTTCTTTCTACCACGGACCTGCTCAGTGGGGGGACATGAAATCATTCACCAGTTCTTGTACATGCCTGACTGTCCCTTGACTTTGCTGCGAAGAGACTTGCTTAGCAAGCTGAGAGCCACCATCTCCTTTACAAAACACGGATCTTTACAGCTAAAGTTACTGGGAACATGAGTTATCATGGTCCCTATGGTCAGTCCCCTGGGAAGAAGAATGGAGACTTTTCTTAACTGAGCCAGGCCAAGAGATAAAACCAGCTCTAGCTAAGCAATGGTCCCGAGTATGGGCAGAGGATAATCCTCCAGGACTGGTGGTCAACCAAGCCCCCGTACTCGTAGAAGTTAAGCCTGGGGCCCAACCAATTAGACAAAAGCAGTATCCTTTTCCCAGGGAAGCTCTCAAAGGAATCCAGTTTCATCTCAGGCACTTGAAAGCCTTTGGAATTATAGTTCCTTGCCAGTCTCCATGGAACACCCCCCTCCTGCCTGTCCCTAAGCCAGGGACAAAGGACTATCGGCCAGTACAGGACTTGCGCTTGGTCAACCAAGCTACAGTGACTCTGCACCCAACAGTTCCTAACCCTTACACATTGTTAGGGCTGCTACCTGGCTCCTGAGAGCCAGAAGCTGTTTGCCTTTCAGTGGGAAGCTCCGGAGTCAGGTGTCACTTCTCAATATACTTGGACTCGGCTTCCCCAAGGGTTCAAGAACTCCCCTACTATCTTTGGGGAGGCCCTGGCTCGAGACCTGCAAAAGTTTCCTGCTAAAGACCTAGGCTGCGTCTTACTCATGTACGTGGACGACCTTCTGCTGGGACACTCCATGGCAGCTGGGTGCGCCAAAGGGACGGATGCCCTGTTTCGGCACCTGCAGGACTGTGAGTATAAGGTGTCCAAGAAGAAAGCTCAGATCTGCAGACAGCAGGTATGCTACCTGGGATTCACTATTTGGAAAGGAGGGCACAGCCTGGGGTCAGAAAAAAAGCAGGTCATCTGCAGCCTACCAGAACCTAAAACCAGAAGGCAAGTAAGGGAATTCCTAGGAGCCGTGGGGTTTACAGATTATGGATTCCAAACTTTGCAATACTAGCCAAACCTTTGTACGGGGTGACCGGGAGCCTTCTGAATGGGGACCTTTACGACAGCAAGCCTTTTGTGAGTTAAAGGAAAAACTTATGTCGGCCCCAGCACTAGGACTACCAGATTTGGCAAAGCCCTTTACACTCTATACGTCAGAAAGAAAAAAAATGGCAGCTGGAGTTTTAACCCAGACTGTGGGGCCCTGGCTAAGGCCAGTGGCCTATCTCTCAAAACAACTAGATGGGGTTTCCAAAGGCTGGCCGCCATGTCTAAGGGCCCTGGCAGCAACGGCCCTGTTAGTACAAGAAGCAAATAAACTAACCCTTGGGCAAAACCTGAGTATAAAGGCCCCCCCATGCTATGGTAACTTTGATGAATACCAAAGGACATCATTGGCTAACAAATGCTAGATTAACCAAGTACCAAAGCTTGCTATGTGAAAATCCCCCATAACCATTAAAGTCTGTAACACCCTAAATCCCGCCACCCTGCTCCCAGTATCAGAGAGCCCAGTCAAGCATAACTGTGTAGAGGTGTTAGACGCAGTTTATTCTAGCAGACCTGACCTTTGGGACCAGCCATGGGCAGCAGTAGACTGGGAGTTGTACATGGATAGGAGCAGTTTCATCAACCCACAAGGAGAAAGATGTGCAGGATATGCGATGGTAACTTTGGATGCTGTCACTGAAGCCAAACCGTTGCCACAGGGCACTTCAGCCCAGAAGGCTGAGCTCACTGCTTTAACTCAGGCTCTAGAATTCAGTGAAGCACAATGTGAGGCAAGGCCCCACTGTTCTGCTCGGCATACAAGCTTATGGAGCGGCTCCTTTGAGGATCTTCAGGTGGATTTCACAAAAATGTTGAAATGTGGAGGTAACAAGTATTTGCTGGTTCTTGTGTGTACTTACTCTGGGTGGGTGGAGGCTTATCCAACATGAACTGAAAAGGCCTATGAAGTAACCCGTGTGCTTCTCCGAGATCTTATTCCTAGGTTTGAACTGCCCTTATGAATCGTCTCAGATAATGGGCCAGCGTTTGTGCCTGACTTGGTACAGAAGACAGCAAAGCCATTAGGAATCTCTTGGAATCTACATGCTGCCTACCGACTTCAGAGATCCAGAAAGGTGGAGCAAATGAATCAGACTATCAAAAATAGTTTAGGGAAAGTATATCAGGAAACAGGAATAAAATGGTACAGGCCCTTCCCATGGTATGGTTTAAAATTAGATGCAACCCTCCAAGAAAACAGGATGCTCCCCTTATGAAAAGCTGTATCATAGGCCTCCTTCTATACTCTGGGAGCTTCCAGGCACTCCCCGAGAGTTAGGGGAAATTGAATTACAGTGACAGTTACAGGCTTTAGGAAAAATTACACAGACAATCTCAACTTGGGTAAATGAGAGGTGTCCCATCAACTTATTCTCCCCAGTTCACCCTTTCTCTCCAGGTGATCGCATGTGGATCAAGGACTGGAAGGTAGCCCCTTTGTGGCCATGGTGGAAAGGACCTCAGACCGTCATCCTGACTGCCCCCATGGCTGTAAACGTAGAAGGAATCCCAGCCTAGATCCACCACAGCCATGTGAAACCTGCAGCCGCTGAAACCTGGGAGGCAAAACTGAGCCTGGACAACCCCTGCAAGGTGACTCTGAGGAGGACGACAAGCCCTGCTCCAGTCACACCCGGAAGCTGACTGGTCTACGCAAGGCCGAAGCATGAGGAGGATCATCGTGGGACTCATTTTCCTTACAATTTGTACTTGTATAGTAAAAACTTCCACTGATTTTCCCCACATGGAGGAGTGCTCTCAGTGTATACATCAGGTTACCGAGGTAGGGCAACAAGTTAAAACAATCTTTCTGTTCTATAGTTACTATGAATGCCTAGGAACTTTAAAAGGAGCATGTTTATATAATGACACTCAGGACAAGGTATGTAGCCCAGGAAACGACTGGCCAGATGTTTGTTATGACCCCTCTGAGCCTCCCATGTCCATAGTTTTTAAAATAAGATTAAGGACTGAAGATTGGTGGGGACTCGTAAATGATACAAGTAAAGTATTAGCCAGAACAGAAGAAAAAGGGGTGCCCAGATGCATAATCTTGAAATCTGATGCCTGTGCTCTCATTAATAGCAATAAGTTAGGAAGCGGATGTGGCTCTTTTGATTGGGAAAAAGGCTATATGACCAAAAATAAGTACATATGTCATGAATTAGGACTGTGTGGAAATGAATGTGGATACTGGTCTTGTGTCATTTGGGCCACTTGGGTAAAAAATGAAAAGGATCCAGTCCACCTTCAGAAAGGAAAAAGTGGCCCTTCCTATACCAAGGGACAATGTAACCCCTTAAAGCTAGTAATAACCAATCCCCTTGATCCTCGCTGGAAAAAAGGGGAGCATGTGACCTTAGGAATTGATAGGGCTGGACTGGATCCTCGAGTAAATATCTTGGTTCGAGGAGAAGTTTACAAACACTCTGCTGAGCCAGTGTTTCAAACTTTCTATGATGAACTAAATGTGCCAGTACCAGAAATTCCAGGAAAAACAAGAAATTTGTTTTTGCAATTAGCCAAGCATGTAGCCCAGTCTCTCAATGTCACTTCATGTTATGTATGTGGAGGAACTATAATGGGAGATCAATGGCCATGGGAAGTAAAGAATTAGTACCTACAGACCCAGTTCCTGATAAATTCCTGGCTGAAAAGAATCACCTTGATAATTTCTGGGCCCTAAAAGCCTCAATTATTGGACAATATTGCATAGCTAGAGAAGGAAGAGAATTCACTCACCCCATAGGATGACTTAGTTGTCTGGGACAGAAACTGTATAATGGTACCACAAAAACAGTCACTTGGTAGAGTTCACATCACACAGAAAGGAATCCATTTAGTAAATTCCCAAAGTTACAAACCATGTGGACCCACCAGGAGTCCCACAGGGACTGGACAGCCCCCACTGGATTATACTGGATATGTGGGCATAGAGCTTACACCAAATTACCCGACCAGTGGGCAGGTAGTTGTGTTATTGGCTCTATTAAACCATCTTTCTTCCTACTGCCCATAAAGACAGACGAACTCCTGAGCTTCCCTGTCTATGCTTCCTGCGAAAAGAGAAGCATAGCTATAGGAAATTGAAAAGATGATCAATGCCCCCCTGAGAGAATCATACAATATTATGGGCCTGTTGCTTAGGCACAAGACAGCTCATGGGGATACCAGACCCCCATTTACATGCTCGACCGAATCATACAGTTACAAGCTGTCTTAGAAATAATCACTAATAAAACCAGCAGAGCCTTGACTATTCTGGCCCGGCAAGAAACGCAAAAAAGAAATGTTATCTATCAAAATAGATTGGCTCTTGACTACTTGCTAGCAGCTGAAGGAGGGGTCTGTGGGAAATTTAACCTTACTAATTGCTGTCTACACATAGATGATCAAGTTACAGATAGTTAGAGATATGACAAAACTGGCACATGTGCCTGTGCAAGTGTGGCATGGATTTGATCCTGGGGCCATGTTTGGAAAATGGTTCCCAGCGCTAGGAGGATTTAAAATTCTTACAATAGGAGTTATAATAATAATAGGAACCTACTTACTGCTCCCTTGCTTGCTACCTGTACTTCTTCAAATGATAAAAAGCTTCATCTCTACCTTAGTTCACCAAAATGCTTCAGCACAAGTGTACTATGTAAATCACTATCCATCTGTCTTGCAGAAAGACATGGGTAGTGAGGATGAAAGTGAGCACTCCCACTATTGAGTGAAGTTCTCAAAGTGGGGGAAAAAGGGAGGAGACCACCCCTCATATTGTCTTATGCCCAATTTCTGCCTCCAAAGAAAGAAGAAGTAAAAACTAAATGGCAGAAATGGAATCCACAGGTAGATAGCCCAGCAACGTGCCCTGGGCCTGGTAGTTAAAAATCAACCCCTGACCTAACTGCTTGTGTTATCTATAGATTTCAGACATCGTATGGAAAAGCGCCGTTAAAATCCCTGTCCTGTTCTGTTCCGTTCTGATTACCGGTGCATGCAGCCCCCAGTCATGTACCCCCTGCTTGCTCAATGGATCACGACCCTCTCACATGGACCCCCTTAGAGTTGTAAGCCCTTAAAAGGGACAGGAATTGCTCACTTGGGGAGCTTGGTTTTTGGAGACACCAATGCTCCCAGCTGAATAAAGCCCTTTCCTTCTACAACTTGGTGTCTGAGGGGTTCTTGTCTGCAGCTCGTCCTGCTACATTGTGAATATTAAATCTCATTTTTATGGCACTCTATAGGACACACAAAATAGATAAAGCTGCTATAGAAATTATGAACAACCATTATTTTTATTTAATAGCCAAAGAGAAATGAATACAGTAGAGTCAGCCTCTAATAAGGGAGGGATTGAGGAAAATAAATTTTAATATTAAATAATAGTAAATATATTTGGTGGTTCCTATCCAGAGAAATTAATAATAGAAAATCCACCTGAAAATATAATTGTGCTTCTTTCTCCTTTCTTCATTACTCTTAAAATACTTTCCCTTGCCATTCCCCTCAGAAAGAGACTTTTTTCTTAAGCAGCATTAAATTATAGTCAATCAGTGTACATCATGTTTAGAGACAGAGAATCAAACTGTAGTGGTTTTTAGTACAAATATCAGAAGAACACTTTGCCCAGCAAGTCAGTTTTCTTCTTACTGACTGGTCTGTTTTCTTGAAAAACACAATTTATTTTTCAATTTTATGACTCACCTGGTAGATAATAATAGCTTTACATTAAATAGGTAGATAGATGACAGAGATACATAATTGGGAGAGTAGGTTAAAAGCAGATTATAGCTCTGAAGTTGATGGCAGAAAATGGCTGTGACTATTTTGGTAATATAATAGTATTAAGCATAGTTAAGGAACAATCCTAAATATTTTCTAAATAGTGTTTTACCCAGCGCTTTTAAAATGGGACATGGGTTTTTCAGGGCAGGAGGTCCTAAAAATTATATTTTTACAAGAAGTCAAATTGATACAAAAAAGTAAAAATAGAATGGTAGCCACAAATTTTAAAAACAAAGATTTGCCTACACTGAAAGAAATGATGCTTGGAGTATCAGAATAAAGTCTCTATAACCGACTTCCAAGAAAGATGGTTTAAAGTTAACAGATATCTGCAAATGGGAACTTCCAATCTCCTTCCAAATTTGAAGGGGCTTCCATATTCATAATTAAGGAGAAGAGAGGTTAAACATATTAACAACCATTAATATCTGTGTGTTGTAATTAAGGAGGACTTTTTTTCCTCTTTTGTATGTGTTTACGATTCCACAAGGCAAACGTAAAACGTATAAATGTTACCATTAAATATGAAAGTTAAAAGCAAATAGTAATACTAAATAAACACATATTTTAATCTCCTACTATTTCTATACCCTAGAAAATCACTAGCCTTCTGAGCCTCAGATTACTGCTCTCTAATGTGCTAATAAAACCTTACTATTGTGAGAATACAATACAATTTCGTAAACTCTATACATTAACCAATGTTAGAAAAGCTCTTAGTTATTTTAAGTGCACTTGATTATTTAGCACCAAAAATTTATATATCCATCTTTGCAAGTTGCAAAGATGATCACCAAATCTCATTTTTTTACTTTTTAGAAACTTTATAAGGAGGCATAAAACTGTACCAGTTTTTAACAAAACATAAATGGGGATAAAGGTAATATGTAAGAATAACACAATAATTGGGAAATTTAAAGAATAGGCTTCTTAAAACATCCTTCAATAATTGGGCATCTTAGGACAAAGAGAAAGGCCATGGGCTTACTGAGTAGGAGTCACATGAAGCAACACGTACTTTCTATTTGTACTAAGTTAGCTTTTAGATCTTGACAATGTCTTCAAAATAGTTTATCTTGATTTAAGCTAAGCATTGGATAAGGGCTTTCATCATTTCATAGTATACAAAGTAGAGAAAAACTGACTGGATGCTACTACACTTAGGTGTTGGATTTGTAGCTAATTAAATCAGTAGAGTTCCTGTGCTGACTCTTCAATGTCAACCTGAAAAGGGACCTCCAATGGCCTGACACAAGCCTGTGTACTTGATCCTGTGAAGTTTAATGTAGTTATCAGTGAAGGAATCTTCATGAAATGCACAGTTGTGATACAGCTGAAAGGGAGAGCCAACATCTTAGAACACGAACGGAATATGAAGGAGGAGCTGGTAGCATTCCTTCTGAAGCTATTCCAATCAATAGAAAAAGAGGGAATCCTCCCTAACTCATTTTATGAGGCCAGCATCATCCCGATACGAAAGCCTGGCAGAGACACAACCAAAAAAGAGAATTTTAGACCAATATCCCTGATGAACATCGATGCAAAAATCCTCAGTAAAATACTGGCAAACCAAATCCAGCAGCACATTAAAAAGCTTATCCACAATGATCAAGTGGGCTTCATCCCTGGGATGCGAGGCTGGTTCAACATAGGCAAATCAATAAACGTAATCCAGCATGTAAACAGAATCAATGACAGAAACCACATGATTATCTCAATAGATGCAGAAAAGGCATTTGACAAAATTCAACAACCATTCATGCTAAAAACTCTCAAAAAACTAGGTATTGATGGGACGTATCTCAAAATAATGAGAGCTATCTATGACAAACCCACAGCCAATATCATACTGAATGGGCAAAAACTGGAAGCATTCCCTTTGAAAACTGGCACAAGACAGGGATGCCCTCTCTCACCACTCCTATTCAACATAGTCTTGGAAGTTCTGGCCAGGGCAATCAGGCAGGAGAAGGAAATAAAGGGTATTCAATTAGGAAAAGAGGAAGTCGAATTGTCCCTGTTTGCAGATGACATAATTGTATATCTAGAAAACCCTATCATCTCAGCCCAAAATCTCCTTAAGCTGATAGGCAACTTCAGCAAAGTCTCAGGATACAAAATCAATGTGCAAAAATCACAAGCATTCTTATACACCAATAACAGACAAACAGAGAGCCAAATCATGAGTGAACTCCCATTCACAATTGCTTCAAAGAGAATAAAATACTTAGGAATCCAACTTACAAGGGACGTGAAGGACCTCTTCAAGGAGAACTACAAATCACTGCTCAATGAAATAAAAGAGGCTACACAAATGGAAGAACATTCCATACTCATGGGTAGGAAGAATCAATATCGTCAAAATGGCCATACTGCCCAAGGTAATTTATAGATTCAATGCCATCCCCATCAAGTTACCAATGACTTTCTTCACATAATTGGAAAAAAACTACTTTAAAGTTCATATGGAACCAAAAAAGAGCCCTCATTGCCAAGTCAATCCTAAGCCAAAAGAACAAAGCTGGAGGCATCATGCTACCTGACTTCAAACTATACTACAAGTCTACAGTAACCAAAACAGCATGGTACTGGTACCAAAACAGAGATATAGGCCAATGGAACAGAACAGAGCCCTCAGAAATAATGCCGCATATCTACAACCATCTGATCTTTGACAAACCTGACAAAAACAAGAAATGGGGAAAGATTCCCTATTTAATAAATGGTGCTGGGAAAACTGGCTAGCCATATGTAGAAAGCTGAAACTGGATTCATTCCTTACATCTTATACAAAAATTAATTCAAGATGGATTAAAGACTTACATGTTAGACCTAAAACCATAAAAACCCTAGAAGAAAACCTAGGCATTACCATTCAGGACATAGGCATGGGCAAGGACTTCATGTCTAAAACACCAAAAGCAATGGCAACAAAAGCCAAAATTGACAAATGGGACCTAATTAAACTTAAGAGCTTCTGCACAGCAAAAGAAACTACCATCAGAGTGAGCAGGCAACATACAGAATGGGAGAAAATGTTTGCAATCTACTCATCTGACAAAGGGCTAATATCCAGAATCTACAATGAACTCCAACAAATTTACAAGAAAAACACAATCCTATCAACAAGTGGGTGAAGGATACGAACAGACACTTCTCAAAAGAAGACATTTATGCAGTCAACAGACACATGAAAAAGTGCTCGTCATCACTGGCCATCAGAGAAATGCAAATCAAAACCACAATGAGATACCATCTCACACCAGTTAGAATGGTGATCATTAAAAAGTCAGGAAACAACAGGTGCTGGAGAGGATGTGGAGAAATAGGAACACTTTTACACTGTTGGTGGGACTGTAAACTAGTTCAACCATCGTGGAAGACAGTGTGGCGACTCCTCAGGGATCTAGAACTAGAAATACCATTTGACCCAGCCATCCCATTACTGGGTATATACCCAAAGGTTTATAAAACATGCTGCTATAAAGACACATGCACATGGAGGTTTATTGCGGCACTATTCACAATAGCAAAGACTTGGAACCAAGCAAAATGTCCAACAATGATAGACTGGATTAAAAAATGTGGCACATATACACCACGGAATACTATGCAGCCATAAAAATGATGAGTTCATGTCCTTTGTAGGGACATGGATGAAGCTGGAAACCATCATTCTCAGCAAACTATAGCAAGGACAAAAAACCAAACACCGCATGTTCTCACTCATAGGTGGGAATTGAACAATGAGAACACATGGACACAGGAAGGGGATGGGGGAGGGATAGCATTAAGAGATATACCTAATGTTAAATGACGAGTTAATGGGTGCAGCACTCCAGCATGGCACATGTATATATATGTAACAAACCTGCACGTTGTGCACATGTACCCTAAAACTTAAAGTATAATAAAAAAATAAAATAAATAAAGAAAAAAAGAAAAAAAATTAGGAAAAAAGATGCATCAACAGAGAAAAAGATGAAAGCTGAAATAGAATATTGAGCAACAGAATATTTGAAAAATAAGTTCAGAGATCAATATTAAACCACTTATTGAGTTCAACCAACTACAAACTCAATGCAACCTAATGGTATGCTATGAGAGCTAGCTAACCTATTAGGTTGCAATCACAAAAGTCAGAGTATATCAAATTCCAGGCCTTATATTAAAGAAACAAGAAAAAAAAAGAAGGAGAGAGAGCAAGAGAGATACAAAGAAACTAGGGACTAAGGAGCAGGGCAGAAACCTAGATAGTGATGTATCTGATACTGGCATATAAACAAGAATAAAGAAAATAAAGTTATTTACCCAAGGAAAATATTGTTAGAAAAGATAACTAACTTCTAATATTTTAAGAGTTATTGCATACAGATGGTAAAAAAGACACACAAAAAATGTTCCTCTGAGTCTAAAATTCTATGATTCTTACTTATATAAAGAAAGAAAATGATATTGCTAGTGGACACTCCCATATTGAATATAATACAAACTTTTTGAACCTAAGTACCCTTAAAATCTCGGCAAAGGTTACAAAATTCAATGTATGTTTGGACTACAGTTGCTTGTTGAAATTAAGCTGAGTGGTCATGATTCATCTATGAAAATTTTTCAATTCCAGTTATGCATATAATCATGTGAAAAATAAAGGAAGAAATGAGCAGAAGAAGAAAGATAAAGAGTGCAATATATGCAAGTCACAATATTAACTATATCATTCAGTGAAACATACAAAATAGGCTAATCATGTTCTTTTGCCAGATACTTAATAATGATGGCATAAAGTATGATAAAACTCTGCAAATTCCTGGCATGAAATGGTAATTCAAAGAAGACATATTTTCTAAGAAATAGAGATAAAGTTCTTCAACAAGATAAGTTTTGTGTACTTTGTGATTTGAAACAGGTAATTTATTACTTTCTAACCAGAATAATTTCTAATTAGAAAAAGTTTATGTGTATTTTTACAGGCACTCATTGTATGCATAATGGAAAGAAAAATCTTCTTTGACACTTTTACATAATGAATAAATTCCAGAGTTATGGATGCAGAATCAACATTTAATTATGGTAAGATGGAAAAAAAACTATACAAAATAATGATATCCTGTACATGGTATTTTATACTGCAGATATGTCCAGTTGGGTGTTTATCACATTATTCAATGAACTAAATGTTAAAAATCTTCACTGAATAGGAGAATTAGCTTATCCCTCTCTGTTTGAACATCTAGTATTATTTTACATAGAAGGGAAGCTTCAGTAGTTCAGGCACCTAAGAAAAAGGAGGACAAAAAGTGTGGCCTCTGGTGCCTTTCCTTTCAAAAGGGTCACATATCTTTATGTGAATAGCTACGGCCAATGACATTTTGGCAGATTTTTTAAAGACTACCATGTAGCTTAACATATTTTTCCATTACCAGATGACAGATTGTCTTTCCAGTAGAGACTACCCAGTTCATCAAGGTTTGGTTAAAGACGACAAGGAATAAAGCCACAGGTGACCCACAATGGACATTGAAAGAGGGAGAAATAAACCTTTACTCAGGTAAGCACCTGAAACTTCAGGGACATCAGTTACTACAGCGTAATATAGGAAATCCTAACTAATACAGTATGGAATTGGAGAAATTAGGTTGATTTTTAGAAAGTACTTTATTGAGGAATAATTGACATATAAAAAGCTATTCTTATGTCATGCACACAACCTGATGAGTTTGGAGGTAAGTATATACCCATAAAATCATTACCACAATCTGTCATAAATAGAGCCATCACCTCCAAAAATGTCCACCTGCTCTCCTTATTTATCATCATTATTTGTGTGTATGTGTGTGTGATAAGAAAAATTAACACAAGTACCCCCTTAGAATTTTTTAAAATATACAATACAGTATTGTTAACTATAGGCCCTATACTGTGCAGTAGAGCTCAAGAACTTAGCCATCTTGCATAACTGAGACTCTACCCTTTGACTAATACCTCCCCACTTTCCCCTCATGCTAACCCCTGACAAACACCATTCTACTCTCTGCTTCCATGATTGTCACTATTTTAGATTCCCCATATAAGTTGTATCATTTAGTATTCGTCCTTCTGTGACTGGCTTATTTCACTTAGCATAATGTCTTCCATGGGTGTTTTTACTGCAAATACCATGATTTCCTTACTTTGTCTACAAATATACCATATTGAGAGCCCTTGATCTCCTCTTAGAAGGTAAGCAGGGTTGGCCCTGGTTAGTACTCGCTGGAAAACTAAATTTTTTTTTTCTTTTTTCTACTTTTATTTATTTATTTTTTTTGAGACGGAGTCTCACTCTGTCGCCCAGGCTGGAGTGCAGTGGCGCAATCTCGGCTTACTGCAACCTCGGCCTCCCTGGTTCACGCCATTCTCCTGCCTCAGCCTCCCCGGTAGCTGGGACTACAGGTACCCGCCACCACGCCCAGCTAATTTTTTTCTTTCTTTTTTTTTTTTTTTTGTATTTTTAGTTGAGACGGGGTTTCACCATGTTAGCCAGGATGGTCTCGATCTCCTGACCTCGTGGTCCGCCCGCCTCAGCCTCCCAAAGTGCTGGGTTACAGGCACGAGCCACTGCGCCCGGCCAAAACTAGATTCTTTTAACTTCAGTAACTACTCCAGAAGGAGTTGACATGTATTGTCCCCATGACTACATCTACATAGCTATAAAGACAGTGGCTCCCACACAAAAATAGCCTTTACTCCTCTTACAAGTAATTTCAGAATTGATGGAATTTGAAGTTTCAGTTTAGAGCCTTCATTGAAAGGACAATATCTGTAATAGAAACACTAACTCGATGGAATGTAGGGGCCACAATGAGCGTGCTAACTAATTTGAGCTTATCTTAGGCTTGAATTTTCACATTTAGTTTTCCTGTACAAAACGTAGTAGAAAAAAATCATTCAATTGATTATAAAATACTGGTAATATGACAGCTATAATATTTTTATTTAGATACAGGAAGAAATTCCCAGAAATAATTTTATAGACTATATTGAATATTTACTTAAAAAGAATCAGAAAAGCAAACAAAAACAATGAGATTGCTGATATAAAAGATAAAATTAACCTACCAAATTAATAATTTACATGAGAACCAAACTCACCAAATTTTAGAATAATACACTTATTAATGTCCCATTAGGAATCACTATGTCAAACTTCAAAATAGAAGAAAATGATTGATGTATTATGAAGGATCAAAAGCAAACCTTAAAGCACCTACAAGATAATGGAAACTTTTACTGGAAATAGATGCAGCTTATGAATAATAAATCTTGCCAAAATATGACCACTAATTACTTTGCTTGTATTACAAAGTTTAAAACCCAGTGTTTGGTAGACACAACCAAGTAACTCATACCAAAATTTTTATGTAGATACATATTACTGTGAAAGTGTATGTTTCATTATTGAGTACAAGTAAAGCAAAAGTTATAGAAAATCATTCAATCAGATATCTCATAGAAATATGGTGCTTACAAGGATGCCACAAAAATCAATAATAAATATCATTTCCATAAAGATATTGATTAATGATTTATGAACTAGCATAAAGCACAAATAGCAAATTAAATTTTCAAATTTAAATGACTTGTTTTTTTGAGTGGACATTTGTGTTTTAACTATAGTTACGGAAAGGCACATAATCAGGAAAAACATCTTACGATGTTTTGCCATTATTATCAGGGTCAGCAGTGTAAAATTTCTCAGCAAATTTTGAGAACTAACTTTGCCCAACATAAATAATAGTAAGCCTTTATCAACAATTCAGTTATATCTTACATCCCATATGCTGAATTATATTTTCCCTCTTTCAAGTTATATGGCATTCTAATATATGAAAACAAATTACTTCACTAAAATCTCACTGATAAATGTATTTATATTTTTCTTGTGGCTTCCCTTAAAGGAAATTCTATTTTATAGAGTTAATATAGAATCATAGAATGAACCTTATGTATTAGTCTGTTTTCACTCTGCTGATAAAGACATACCTAAGACTGGGCAATTTACAAATGAAAGAGGTTTAATTGGACTTACAGTTCCACATGGCAGGGGATGCCTCACAATCATGGTGGTAGACAAGAAGGAGCAAGTCACATCTTACATGGATGGCAGCAGGCAAATAAAAAAAAAGCTTATGCAGAGAAACTCTTTTTTTTTAATACCATCAGGTCTCATGAGACCCATTCATTATCACAAGAAGAACATTGGAAAGATCTGCCCACTTGATTCAATCATCTCCCACCAGGTCTCTTCGACAATACCTGGGAATTATGGGAGCTAAAAGATGAGATTTGGCTGGGCACACAGCCAAACCATATCATTACATCCCTCAACTCATTTCAGCATTAACTTGAGTCCACAATCCAAAGTCTCATCCAAGACAAGGCAACTCCTTTCCACCTATGAGCCTGTAAAATCAAAAGCAAGTTAACTACTTCCTAGATATCATGGGAGTACAGGCATTGGGTAAATACAGGCATTCCAAATGGGAGAAATTGGCCAAAACAAAGGGGCTACAGGACCCAGGAAAGTCCAAAATCCAGCAGGGCAGTCAAATCTTAAAGCTTCAAAATGATCTCCTTTGACTCCATGTCTTATATCCAGGTCATGCTGATGTGAGATGTTGGCTTCAGCAGTCTTGGGCAGCTCCACCCCTTGGCTTTGCAGGGTACAGCCTCCCTCCTGGCTCCTTTCAGGGGCTGGCATTGAGTGTCTGTGGCTTTTCCAGGTGAACATTGCAAACTGTCGGTGGATTTACCGTGCTGGGGTCTGGAGGATGGTGGCCCTCTTCTCACATCTCCACTAGGTGGTGCACCAGTATGGATTCTGTGTGGGGGCTCCGACCCCACATTTCCCTTACACACTGCCCTAGCAGAGGTTCTCCATGAGAGCCCTGCCCCTGCAGCAAACTTCTGCCTGGATATCCAGGCATTTCCATAAATCCTCTGAAATCTAGGCGGAGGTTCTCAAAATCCAAATGTTGACTTCTGTGCACTGGCAGGCTCAACACCACATGGAAGCTGCCAAGGCTTTAGGCTTGCACCTTCTGAAGCCACAAGCCATTTATTCCTTCTAGGCTTCCAGGTGTGTGATGGGAGGGACTGCCATGAAGACCTGTGACATGCCTGGAGACATTTTTCCCATTTTCTTGGGGATTAACATGTGGCTCCTTGTTACTTATGCAAATTTCTGCAGCCAGCTTGAATTTCTCATCAAAAACTGTTTTTTTTTTTCCTATGGCATCATCAAGCTGCAAATTTTCTGAACTTTTATGCTCTATTTCCCTTTTAAAACAGAATGCTTTTAACAGCACCCAAGTCACCTCTTGAATGCTTTGCTGCTTAGAAATTTCTTCTGCCAGATACCCTAAATCATCTCTCAAGTTCAAAGTTCCAAAAATCCTTAGGACAGGGGCAAAATGCCACAAGCCTCTTTGCTAAAACATAACAAGAATCACTTTTGCTCCAGTTCCCAACAAGTTGCTTATCTCCATCTGAGACCACCTCAGCCTGGATTTCATTGTATATGTCATTATCAGCATTTTGGTCAAAGCCATTGCACAAGTCTCCAGGGAGTTCTAAACTTTCCCACATTTACCTGTTTTCTTCTAGAGCCCTCCAAATTGATCCAACCTCTGCCTGTTACCCAGTTCCAAAGTTGCTTCCACGTTTTTAGGTATCTTTTCTGCAGCCCCCCCACTGCTGATACCAATTTACTGTATTAGCTCATTTTCACACTGCTGAGAAAGACATAACTGAGACTGGGAAATTTACAAAAGAAAGAGGTTTAATTGGACTTACAGTTCCATATGGCTGGGGATGCCTCACAATCATGGTAGAAAGCAAGGAGCAGCAAGTCACCTCTTACATGGATGGCAAAAAAAGAGCTGGTGCAGAGAAACTCCCATTTTTTTAGAAAACCATCAGATCTAATAAGACCCATTTACTACCATGAGAACAGCACGGAAAAGACCTGCCCTCATGATTCAATCATATCCCACCAGGTTCCTCCAACAACACGTGGGAAATATGGGAGATACAAGATCAGAATTGGGTGGGGACACAGAGCCAAACCATATCACCTTAGTTCTATTTTCTTTCATGATCCAGGAAAGACATGGTTCATACTGCAGTCTATGTCAGGTTGAATTTCCGTATGGTCGACATTACTATATTCACGAAGATATCATTTATTGTGTGAATGCATATGGAAGATTCACCAGAAAAAAGCAAAGCCTTACATTATTTCAATGTAGGTTCTATCTTTCAGTGTTTGTTCTTGTCCATGTTTCTCAATGTCTCTGAGCCTCTGAGTTCTGGGCTGGGCAGAGTTCCTTCTTTTTCTATGAAAGGAAAGACAGTGGCCAAGATTGGAACAGTCCTACCAAGCTACTACAATTTCCTATCAAGCTATCTTACCACACTATTGTGTATCTTATTTTCATTGGGAGCTATGAGCTCTCCATTGAGAATTAAATATTTCATCTGATAAATACTTCATGGTTTTCTGTTTTTAAATCATGGGGAAGTCCACTTTAAAAAATTTGCATTTTGTCTGGAAATTATCTTCATCAAATGAAAGGAACCTCTAATTTTGAGTAACAAAACGATACATGATAGGGTGTGAATTAATAGATACTATGGCTAAGCATGTTTTAGTTCTCTTGAAACTGTTCTCAGTTGGAAAGCCTGAGTATATTCAGTAAATAAAAGGAGGAGGTCTTGCTACAGAAAGAATGCTGTCAAATACTACAGCTCCATTCTTAAGCATGGGGTATGATATTCCTTTTCGGGGCTTACCTAAGCCTAATTCCTGACGAAGCTTAAAAAACCCATTTGCTTTTAAAAATTAAGTGTACATAGCGGTAATGCCACAAAATGGAGAAAAACAATCTATCTTATTAAGAAATGTATAAAAATCACATCATCAAGTAAAAAAAATGCTACAGAGTGCATAATTAATTGTATAGTTAGTAAAATAAAACCTAGGCATAAATGCTATGGAAGACAGCATAAAAGAATCATCTCTGGGAGGTGAGATTAGGCTAGTCAGAAATAATATTAGTTAAATTTCTCACAAAAATGTCCACAGTACACAAAAGAAATATAGATTTCCCATGTGAGAAAAAAAGCAAACAAATGAAACTTCAGGAAGGAACAATGAAAATGATTAAGGGTCTAAATGAAATGATTAATGGACAGAGATTAAAAGACAGTATCCATTTAATTTGGTGAAAAGACTAATGGGAAACTCATTCACTTGAAAGCATAACTAGGGTAAAAAAGGGGTGGGCGAAAGGAGAAAATTTTAGGTTAGTCAAGAGAAAATAACCAGAAGTAATGGGATAAAATTGAGTACAGGAAATCTGTGAGTAACTATCATAGAAAAGGCATCCTTGTTAGGTCTATTAGGCTGAAGAATTGTTTCCTAAGGGATGTAGTAAAAAGCCCCTTTGCTTGAGCCATTTATGTAGACCAGACAAAGAAGTGGGTAATGGTATAGGAAACAATTCTATATTCATGAAATTATGGACATTATGATCTAATAGCTCCTACTCTGCCAGCATGAAAAAAGTCTTTAATGCCTATCATTCATTGGCTTCCAGCTTTTATATTTTCTCTTTTTAGAGAAGAGTTAATATGACACTGAACTGGAACCCTGAAAATGGACTTCTTCCATATCTTACTTCAATAAGTTTTGTAATTGTATTGCTCTTATTTCCATATTATTTAAAATATTAGTTTTATGAATTAAGAAGTCTTTAGGAAGAGATATTCAAATTTATGATTTCTATATAAACATTGTTCTGTAATATCAGAATCATAATGACATAGTTCATTGATCTGCAAACCAACTTAAAACTCAGTAAAGATTACTTTTATTCCCCTGGTTTGGTCTATTTTTAAGATGTCTTACACAAGTAAAAAAGTAACAATTTATCTGAAGGTAAATAAGTGAAAGTTAACATAAAATTATTTTATTTGCATATTATCCTAAAGATAGAACCAGTAGTTGTAAAAATGATTCTGCAACATGCATTCTATTTTATGATTTTCTTTATTAACCACCCTATATATTTTGGTTTATTTGATTGTATTCAAACTGATTTAAAAGGTGGAATCTATGCATTTGATGAACATTAACCATTCAATGTAAAAATAGATCATCTGGAAGAACATAGTCCCCAGAAGAAGTGAATAAATACAAAATTTTACTCTAAATAATCTGATAATACTTTTTGTCATGAAGGGTTTTATCCAGGAGTATGAAAGGATTTACCTGACATTATATGTGGAGTAAAACAAAACAAGTTTGCTAAAAAGCAAACAAAAAAACACAAACAAAACCAACTGGTAATATGTTAAAGTTTAAAAAATGTACCTATACATTTTCTTATTTAATCTTCACTCCCACTTTTTAAGGAAGCTTCAGTTTAAAGAAATTAAGTAACTTGTCCAGGGCCACTCAGTTGATGGCAGAATAGGATGCTGCTGCCATGTCTTCAGGCTTTAAACACTATTATGTTTACACTACATCATTTGATTGCTCCCGGTGAAATATGCAGTAGACTTTCTCAATCATCTAATTTTCTGTTTGTTGGATCATCCTTCTTGGATATGAAACAATGCGGTGTAACTGAAGAAGAAATAGACTGTAAATCAGAAGCCTGGCACCCTCCTACTGGTTCTCCTGCTATCAGATCTTGGATAAGTAGCTTAATCTCATGAGCCTCTTTCCTTGTCTGTCACACAGTTAGTTACACAGAGTTTAGGAATATTATTCAAATCCAAAATCTGACCTAAAACTATAAATGACATGGGTTTCAAATAATGTGAGATCATTTTATAATTTAAGTACAAAATTTAATGTTTTCAACTTTGTATTTCTTTCTTTAACTGTGAAAAGCTATTCAACATACTTTAAACATTTTAAATTTGGAATTTAAAATTTGGTATTTACAATTCCAAATTCATTAATTCTCTACTAGATAATACTATTCCTTAATGAGTAAGTAAACTGAAATATCTAGTGGATATTAGACAACTTCTATAAAAATATTCCTATATTTTAAGTATAAAATTCCTATAATTTAAGTATAAAATTTAATATTTTCAACTTTGTATTTCTTTCTTTAACTGTGAAAAGCTATTCAACAAACTTTAAACATTTTAAATTTGGAATTTAAAATTTCGTATTTACAATTCCAAATTCATTAATTCTCTACTAGATGATACTATTCCTTAATGGGTAAGTAAACTGAAATGTCTAGTGGATATTAGACAACTTCTATAAAAAATATTCCTAACATGTTGTAAAACCTATGTAAAATTTCAGTTATTGGGATTAATGAGATCAATATCTTTATTTTTCCCATTAAGTATAAAATCATGACAGAATCAATGTGAATTTTCCATCAAGGTTAGAAATTTCTATTTTTCAAAGGAAGCAAAGTGATGATGTTTATAATTTTGCTTTCTTCTGCTTTTAGACCACTGAATAATTTCCAGATGTGGCACATTAATACCTGGGATATTTTCAGAAGAGAATGACTAGGAGGGTAAGGAGAGCCAGAAAAATAAAATATGCTGATAATATTGAGGAAACTGAATTTCTATAATGTAAAAGTAGGTTCAGATTATTTTTGTGGGCCAAGAAAAAGATATTTTGTGCCCCTATAATGATTAATATTCTACAAAAATGGCAGACCGGTACATAGAGTTGCTTAATAATGCCAGACCCAGTGTATTCTCTCCTCCTAGCATGGGGTACACATTGTAGAACAGTACCCACTACATACAAATCCAGTACGATAGTCATATATTAGTGAAAATAACATTTGTTTCCATTTTTAAAGGAATCTACCTATCTGAGGAAAAAACTGGGTCTTCCCAGAAGATTTACAAATTCCTACAGATGCCCAGTGCTTTGGTAATCTCTGTGGCTGTCACATCAAGAAAACCTGCGTATTTCCTGCCCTACCTGGTTTATATTCTACTAGGGTGAGACAGACAATAAGTAAGAAAACAAATAAAAGGCAGAGTAATTGCAGGTCATGGCAACTAGTTTGAAAACTACTTAGATGAATAAGCAAGAGGAAAAGGCCACAGTATATAATGTAATCAGATAAGGGTTCTGAGGAGGTGACATTTAAGGAATAGCTTACAAATAAAAGTAAGCCATTGTACGACGAAAAAGAAAGGCAACGAGGGACAGGGATGAAAGATGGGGAAGAGTAAATTTTAAAAGCACAGTGAAAAAAAAAAGATAGCAGCAGCAGGCTAGAGGGCTGGGCTAGGTAGAAGGATCTTCACAACAGGGTGGAAAAGAAAGCTGTGGTGTTAATGGACAGTTAGGCCCCTGTTATTTCAATGGCAGAAGAAAACAGGGAGGCAAGGTATGACTGAATGGTTTCTGATAACTGTGCTAAAGGAAGGAGAATAGCGAAATTAGGAATGTTAGTAAATCCTGAAAAATCACCTCATTGTCTCCTACTTCCCATATTCATTTGAGGCCAGGATGAGAGTGAAGAAACAGCATAATTGTTTTCTTGGGCAGCTTTCAATGCCCCAGGATTACCTAGCTTCTTGGTCATGTGAAGTCAAGTTTTCTGCTGCATTCATATACAACAGTTACTTTGATTTGTAAAGGAAGCTGTGATGATTAACTTTAGATGTCCACTTGGACTATGTCATGCAGTGCCCAGATATTAACATTATCCTGGATGGTTCCGTGAGGGCATTTTTTGCATGAGATTCATATGTGACCTGAGTAGACTGAGTAAAGCAGATGGCACTCTCAGATGTGAGAGGCTCTCATTTAATCAATTGAAGGCCTGAATAGAACGAAAAGGCTTCTCAGAGTAGGACAGAATTCCTCCTGTCTGATAGCCTTTCAGAAATGGACATTAGTTTTTTGTGAAATTGGACTCAAACTGAAACATTGGTTCTTCCCGGGCCCAGAGGCTTCTGGCCTTCAGACTGAAAGAAAACCATTGGTTCTTCTGATTCTCAGGCCTTTGACATACACTGAAATTAAACAATCGGTTCTCTTGGTCTCCAGCTTGCTGGCCCACCCTTCAAATCTTCAGATTTGCAAAACTCTAATCATGAGACCATTCCTTATAATAAATCTCTCTGTCTCTCTCTCTCTAAATATATATAAATATAAATGTATATATACGTATGTATAAAATCAATAGGATCTCACCCTGTTTCATTTGTCCAGAGAGGGTGAGATCCTATTGATTTTTTTGTTTGATCCTAATGATTGGTTTTGCTTTTGTGGGAAACCCTGACTAATACAGAAGCTTTTAAACAACAACAGCAATAAAAGAAAAAATTAGATGACCGAATAGATCTTCTATCTCATATGAATTTTCTATAAAAATTAAATTATATCAATTTATGTATTTAGTGAATAATTTAATTATAAAATAATATTTAAATATGTGAAAGGATATGGCTTGTATGAGACTTGACCATTAATTAATTCATTCATCTATTCAATATTTATTGTTTCTTATGTACCAGGGATTATTCTAAGCAAAGGGAACAAAATATACAAAATGTTTTTATTCACTGAGCTTTATATTCCAGTGGAAGAGACTGAATAACAAGTTAAATGTCGTATAGCTCTGAAAGCCATTTTCAAATCTGATTTCAGATTTATTTTTCATCCTTTTCTGCCCGGTTCTGTATTTCAAGTAATTACACCTTCCAGGTTTCCTTAACTTCATATTTCCAGGTACGTTTTTCAAATAGGAGGCACTTATGAAAGACTGGAGGGTGTAAAGAGAGGAGAAACTAGGGCATTTCATCCCTCCTTCTACTTTTTGTACTGCCCCTTCTTCTGTAGCAGCAGCTGTGTCTCCTGCCTCCTCCAACTCTGCAGCTCCTGCTTGGCAGCCCCTCAGAGAAATGCAAATTAAATGTAAATTAAAAACATAATGAGATACCATTTCACATCCAGATTGACAAAAGTTTAATAATCTGACAAAACCAAACGCTGTCAAGGATGAGAAGACTTACATTCCTTCGGAGGGAGTTAAAATTGGTAAAAACACTTTTGAAAACAAAATGGAATTTTATAGAAAAGTAGAAGACAAACAGATTCTAAAACTCCTCAGTTTTCCTAATTATACACTCTAAAGGTGCACTTGCAACGGGGAACCAAGCAAAATGTACAAGAATGTCTACAGCACTATTATTTTTTTAATAGAGGGCCGAATCTGTAAAACACCTTGATAAACATTTAGAGAAGAATAGATGAATTTTGTTTATACACATACAATGGGATATTCTACAAAATATAAATGAATGAATTAGACATTGTTGAATGAACATGAATGTATTTTAAAAATTACTTTGAGGAAAAGCAATAACAGAATATATTATGTGTCTATATATCTAGGTATGTATCTGCTAAGTGTATATAGTGTGTATATGTGTATCTAGATATGTATCTGTGAGATGTATGTAGTATATATAGCATAATTTCATTTCTATGATAACCAAATGCATAAAACTAAATATTTTTCTACATATACATATTATTTATATATGCATATATGTAAATTATTTATTTAAAATAACAAGGCAATCATAGAAAACAAAACTCAGTATAATGTTTTGGGAGGGCGGTTAGGGAAGTAGAAAAATTTGGGATTGAAAACCCAGGAGTCTTCAAAATGATTAGCAATGTTCTCTCTCTTAAGGTGATACAGTACACAATTGCTCAGTTTTTATTTTGTTTTTTCTTTTATTTGTCAATTATCTAGATATTTTGTACTTTTGTAATTTTTCATAATTAAAGTAGAAAGTGAAGCAAATGTATACATAGCACTTCGGGAGGCCGAGGTAGGAGGATCACCTGAGGTGAGGAGTTCAAGATCAACCTGGTCAACGTGGTGAAACCCCATCTCTGCTAAAAATACAAAAATTAGCTGGGCATGGTGGTAGGCATCTGTAATCCCACCTATTCGGGAGGCTGAGGCAGAAGAATTGCTTGAACCCGGGAGACGGAGGTTACAGTGAGCCGAGATCATGCCACTGCACTCCAGCCTGGGCACCAAGAGCAAAACTCTGTCTCAAAGGAAAAAAAAAAAAAATCACTATCTGCACTGTGACATTATACTTACTGGTGTAATAGTATTAAATAATGCTAACTTGTACACATTTCAAAAACATAAGAAACATGTAGGCAATCTACAATTCAGATACATTAAAGGCTGACAAGCCAGAGAAGCCACACTAGCAGAGAAAATGCTAAGTATTAGGTAGGTACAAAAGTAATTGCAGTCTTTGCCATTAAAAGTACTGGCAAAAACCATAATTACGTGGACATGTCTCTATCCGTTCTGTCATTCTAATGGAAAATGATGATCATATAATAATCCTTTTCACTTTTCCATTTAATTTTAAGAAGAACCATATATATAAAGTAGTATTTTGAATGAGAGTATCACAATCCTAAGTTACTTTTGTGTAAGAGTTATTTTTTTCCAAAATGTTATAAATAAAAAAGATTCTAAGCGTTTGAAGCTCACAGGGAATACACCAATAAGTTGGATCCAGTAGCATCACACGCACCTATTTTATAATGCATTACTTTCTAGAAATCACACCTTAGGCTACACTGTCACAAAGTGGAATGCTCTACATAAGTAATGTATCTGTTTGAAGATATTTGATACTAATGACAAAATTATCAAATAAATATGTAAGTCAACTTTGATTTAGTTGACCAATGAAAAATATTGGTTTCTTTGTTATGGATGCATGCATCTTATCTGAAAGAATGGCTACTTTTTTAAGAGAAATTCTTTCACACTGGAGAAGCTAGAACTTCTGAATTCTATGTCATTTCTCCAACCAAAGTAGTTGTCATTAGAGTTTAGAATTTTTCTAAGTATTCCAAAAGGATGAAGTTTAGCATATGTTTCGATATTTCTATCGTAAATGCAATATAATAGTTACTTATCACAGAACAGTTAAAAATAACATTAATAGCATCAAATGCACATAGAGTACTAATGTTACAGGCAATATTATATATACTTTAAACATAATAAATCATTTACTTCTTAAAACTATAATAGATAGGTGTGATTATTAACTTCCTTTTATAAACAAGGAAACTGAAACAGAGTAGTTACAAATATTTGTCATTATTCACACAGCTGGCAGAAGGGATTTGAAATGAGGAATATGCATTACAAAGTTCTCACCCTCCATCGCTGAAGTATACTGCCCCAAGTGCATATAGAAATTAGCTTACTGATTTGGTTCAAAGCTGGGGTATTTGCAAGAGTAGGTAGGATAAAAGATCTGATTTTGTAGAACCACTGGAGTTGAACCACTTAAGGTAGCTCTCTGGTAAGTTTAACCCTGTAAACAGGGTTAACACAGAGGAAAAAATACAGATGGAGAGAAGGAGAGCTTCAGATAAAAGGGACAAAGTGAGATTAGGTGAGTATCATTCAGTACCTTGGAAAAGTCCCTGGGGATGTACAACTTAACTTTTGTCAATCTACGGAAGCCTTTCAGTTTTACATGCTAGGGGGTGTAAAATTAATTTTCCTTCTTGTGTCTTCAATGCCGATCTTTTTTTTTTTAAGTCATTTTGAAAAATCTCAAACTAAAGGGTAAGTTGTAAGTATGTGACAAAGAGTTCTCTGCCTCCAAAAAATTTGAAAGTAACTATCAGATGGTGCCTAATTTTGGTTTGTCGCATTATGGATAATGTTCACTTCCATCACTTGGTTAAGCTGTTGCCTTCCGTGCTTCTCAACTGTCAAGTTTCTTTTTTTACCCTTTGTAATTACTATGATCTTTTGGGGGGGTAATTTGAAATTATGTCAATAATTACAAATGTACATGGGTGTATGTACAAACACGTCTCTATTATTCTTTCACTTTCTTGCTTCTGGAACATTAAGATGTGTTAGATTAATCTTTGCCATTCCCTGCCCTAGCCCTAAAATCAGGCTTTTCTTCAAAAAGTCATAGCTCCACTAATGCATGCATAAACATGTGTATGTGTTCGTGTTGTGCTCTGTGTTTAAATGTATGTACACATAGAAAGAGAACAAACCTCCCATATGTAACACATCTCCCATCACTTCTACCACTCCCCTCATCCCTTCAGAAGCCTTCCTTACCCTACTGGTTCTCTGACTCCTCACATCGGGTCACAGTGCAATGCAGAAGTCCTTCTCATTCTGCCAGGACACCAATGCTTTGTGTCTGGATGCCCTAGGACTGATTGTTTTTAAAAACTAAAACATATTATCAGTTCTTTCAAAAAGTCTTCACACTGGAAATTAGGTTGAAAAAGCACTTCGCTCCTGACTTGAGAGTCCAAAATGTTGTACGCAACCTCAGAGGGCATTTTAGACTTATCTAGATGTCATTATGCATCTGCTTGTTAGTGTTTTTCGATTCCTAGAAGAACCAATCTTTCTCTTCTAGGATTGTGATCTTTTCACCTTTTGTGATTCAACTTTGCCAAGCTGAGAGAACATGTGCCTTCTTTTATTGGCTACAGATGGGTGACTTTGTAAGGAAGTTTCAGGAAGGAGCTGCAAACTTCCATTCGCCAGATACAAAAATTCTTATGAATACAATTCTTTATTGTTTCTTTAAAACTACAGAGTCCTCTTCATTTCTCTCATTAAATGGATTCATACAGGCTATGAGGATTTTTATAGCCAAAATGTCAGGAAGGAAAATGAAAGCATATGAAGTGCATCTTCATCATTAAGGTATTTAATGTTTAAATGTAATTTTAAAAACTTACTCAAAGGATGAAAAAGAAAAGTGAAGCATCTTTGAAGTGGAAGTAAGGAAATTATTTTTCTTCATGTTCTAGGCTCCAGTAATTTCTTAGAACTTTGAGAAGTCAATGTGTTTTTTTTTTAAATAAAATTAGATTTTATTTTTTCAAAATATTGAGTTCATCATAAGAGTTAGCAACCCACGTACAATGCGGTTGTGAGAGAGGAGAGTAAAAATCATTATTAAAGCTGTAAATTAAGACAGGCTATTCACTGAAAGGCTGTGTGCGAGATCAGTCTGTGAAAATCCGACATCTCTTTAAGAGACATGACCGAGGTCATATTTTACCTTGGCATTTCCAAGATCTAGTTTGACTGAAGCATAATTGTCATTTGGCTGATGTGTGTTAAACAAATTACCATAATAGGATATTATCACCAATGGGGATCTCTTTTACATTGCGGGATGAGGCAGATTCATCAATGCATGTACCATAGTGAATATGGGAATGAGGTGTCTCAGTCATGGAACTCAGTGATGGTCCACAATGACTGTGGACCTTGCTTTAGCAGCACTAGATAATGTTAACTAAGGTCTCTACAATGTGATGGGTGTCTAAACTCTAGAAGTAGTTCAACTTATGAACTACTTAGCACATATACTCCTACAGTCATGGCCATTAATGGTACGGGATATTGCAATGGACATATATTGCATGAACCACAGCAGTTGAAGAGAAGTAGGTCACAGCATTATTTGAGAAAAAGGTTGAACTTGTACTATTAGCAACAGCATATATCCCTTAGATAAGTGCTATTCTTCTAGAGCTAAGGTATATTATTAAACTATTCATTTTAGTATAGAATACTGATAGGAAAATTGCCATATTTCAAGCTGTATGAAGTTAAAAATAAAATCACCCTTAACTTACCATTTCTCTCTTGCTTATGCCCTAATTTCTGTATTCTCTAGTCTCAGTATCCGGAGGTACCAGGTGTGTTTCAACTTGCTTCTATATGGTAGAATAGGATTTCTAATGATGAGGCTCTATGTTCATGTCCTATTTTCAAGTGGCTTTGGGTTTCTATATAATACTGGCTATCAGAAGGTGCTGCATAAAAATGAAATGTGTCAAGACTCAATTCCACTATGTCCTAAAAGTCTTATTTTAGATAATTCCATTCTGATATGGCACAGTATATTTTCTCAACATTTATGATCAAATAAGGGAGTTTGAGAGCTTCAGACTGATGAAATCTTGCTTTGGTAGAAGATAAATATGTTTTCTTCTTTAGTTGATCAGTAGGCAAATATAAAGGGAATATCATTATACTAATGTTTGATTTTTTCTACTGAGCTTCCTTCTAAGGAAGTTTGTAGGATATTTAAGCTATGCATTATTTTTCAACCAAATTCAGCTTGAATAATGTCATTAAGTGATCATCTTTAGGTAAGCTTTTCATTCATTCATTTATTCAACAATTATTTATTAAAGCACTCTGAATTTTTCCTACTTAGTTTCCTTTCAACCTCTAGACAGTTTAGAAGTATTGGAAAATGTTAGGAAGTTTTATGCTTTAGAGATCATGAGTTTTAGCGCAAACATTTTCTTATTTAAGAATGAATAGTTCTGAAAAAGAAATAGTAGCTTTATTGCAATCTATCTCCTGAGCTGTCTTTGAGTCTGAGCCCATTGCTCTCATGGGAGAGAATTTTGGCCTGTGGCTCTGCTGAGTTACCAGAAACTTTGATTATGGATCTGAGGCTGTCATTCTGTCCTAGAAGCTGAGTTTAAAGCCAAGAAGATTAAATTGTACCAGAATGAGGAATATAATTCAAGAATCTTAAAGGGACTTTGTAGAGTTACCTGGGATTTAAAAAGTAATATTACTAAGCTGCTTTTTTTGGGTTCAAGAGACTTCAAATCTGCCATCTCATGCCAGTGTTTCCTGTCTCTTATTTATATAAAATTATTTTTTAAATAAATAACAAAACGACAGAAAGAAAAACAAAAAAGATGAATGGCAAAATTAACATTCCATGAAAAATTACAAATGCAAAGAAAACTCTCTCCAAAGAGTCCAGTTAAACTTTTCACTTAAATTATGTTATCTTAAAGTGACTAGCAAAAGCTCTCTGCCTGTGAATTAAGAAGCCTGGGATTATTTTTCTGGGAGAACGCAAAAGATAGGATGAAATTACTATATCCCTTTTTGAATTCTGAGATTTCTAAGCCACAGGCATGAATTTTTAGCCTGCCACTAATTACTTCTGTATGCTCATACTGTGTTTCATCAACGTGGGTGATAAAAGTTATGCTACAGTTTATTCTGCAGATCACTTTAGGATCTACTGTCAAGTCAAACAAAATGGAATTAATTATGAAAGACTTCCAAAGAACAGGTTCAGGCAAATGGGACGCTGTTTTAGCTCTTGAAAGATCACATTTGTTTGGGGGATTTCAGAAAATTAATCTGTTCTAGAAATCAATGTGTGCAGCATTGTTCAGATGAGAAAAATAAATGGTGTTATAAGGAAGCTTTATTTTAGTTGTAAGTTCCTCTTGCCTCAGTCTTCTGATTTTTATTTCTGCACTACTAATGAAAATTTTCTGTTTACATTGGACTGTTATTTTCATATGACTTGAAGGTTCTTACTAATTTTCCACTTTGAACTTTGTCCTCACTTTCAATTTTCTAATTATCTCTGGTTATTTTGTTTGAATTCCTAATACCCTTTTATTTATTTCCTCTTTAATGCTCAGGTTCTTTTCATCCTGATTCAGAGGTCTGTTTTTATAATCCACAGATCATCGTAATAGGATTAATGTCCATAAAGAAGATGGACATATTTATTTTAAAGATTAATAATGAACGTGTAATAACCAAGTCTATACCACTGACACTAAAGAATGATGATCAGGCTGCTCATAATTAAGAGGATTATCATTTTCATACTATTTATGAATCATATAAACTATTACCAAAATGAATATTCATAATCCTTATAGTTATGGATAAAATTAAGAAAGCAAGCTATAAGGAAAAATAATAGCTCAGAACAATCCAGTAAGTTTTCCAGGGAATTTCAAAATGGATGTTAAGGACAATAACATTAAATGTTGACCCTTTTTCATAAAATAGACTTACATATATCAAAATTCCCAAATAATAATTCATTTTTAGATGGTACATAGCCTGTTTTAAGACAGACTTACTCCTACAACTAATAAAAATTTTATTATTACATTTATGCTAGCCGTTACATAATTTAGTGCTGATAATGTATTAATGATAGGGTTATGTAAACGAGACTATAATATTCTATAATTCTAAAACTATTTTCATTACCTCTACAGAAACAGAGGTATTTTCCAGGAAATCTAAAGGACACACTCTTTTTCTGGATTCCTTCCAAAGCAGTACATTAAATGACCTTGATTGTGCTTAGAATTTCAATTTGAAAACTAAGTTTGTATGTGAATTCTGGTTACAGGTTTTCACAGAATTTCTATTGAGGCAAAATGTGTACTAATACAAAATAAATACTGGAAAAATAAGACTCTAAAATGACATATTTGAAGATAAGTGAAAATATATTAAAATAAAAAATTATTTTTCATAGTATATAAAAGAGGGATATTATTAAGTTCATATTACATGTTTATTTATATAATTAAGATTCCTTCTAACTGTAACATTCAATAAATAATCCCCTTTCATAATTACAAAAACATGTAAAGATGTATTGAAATGATCTTTTTGTTTCTTCCTAGTGCTACTGATTCTGTTTTGATATGAAAAATTATCTCAGCTGATAATGAAAGAAGAATTTATTAGTAAAATTCTTATTATTTCAATTTTCTTACTTTGTACATATTACTAAAATATTACCTCTAATAAAGCACTTACCTTTCTTACATGAACCTCTTGCAGTTTTCCAGCAAACACCATATGGAAATTAAATTAAACAATATTTGATGTAACCTCTCCATTATTATTGCTGAAAAAGCCAAGAGAAATGAACAGACTTCAACTATATTAGAATACTTATGCTTTTAAAATTGATGAATGCAATTAGAAGAGAATATACATCCATGGGAAGAAAGTGACCTAGCCTTACAAATGGTGCCACAAACTGTTTTAGAAAAATACCCAAATCAACGGTTTTGTAGATTTGAAGCCAAATCTTGAGCTCTTGGTAAATATATGGGTGAAATAATAAAGTAATGGCTTTGATAATGACTTTCATAATATTAAAAGGACTAAGCAGTTACTTTATAAAACATTTTAACTTGTTGGCCCACAGTAAAAAGGATTGAGTAGAATGAACCTCTTTTCATTTTTTGAGGTATACAAAGGAAGTGTAAGCTCTTCTTGAAATGCTCACAGTCTTATTAGAAAAAAATGCGTTGTATTAGACTGAGAAAGCACTTTTTATTATATATTAAATTTATGCATTTAGTGTGATGACAATAGTTAAATTTTACTGGATGCTTTATCTTATTTAAGCATCATGCTATGATTTAGGCATCTTCTCATTCCTGATAACATCTATGGTAACTGCATCAATAACATATTAGTTAGCTTGCTCTAATCATAGAGGTTTTTACTCAGGTACAGTGACTACAGCCGCCAAGCTTGGATGCACTGTGCTACATGCTTAAAAGTTTAGAGACGAGACATTAGTGCATGGTAGAAAGGTCAGGAAATGCTTCACACAGTATGTGGCAATTGATTTATTTCTCAAAAAAGTGTTTGGTGTTGGAAAGTATTTACAGGTCTGGAAATCATGTGACAAAGACCAGATTGTCAGAGGGTGTGACAAAATTGGGGATAGAGATGAGTCTAGATTGAATAAAATAAATTGGGTCAGAATTTTATTGATTTGCAAGGCAGTAACAAATTATAGATTTTACGCTTTAGAAGGTGGGAAGATATTGACTCTTTGGGAGATTTATATTAATTATCTATAAACATTTCTTGCACAAACCCTGCAGTCAATGTTAAAGAGTAGTCTAGAATCAATTATTGCAATACAACCTTTAAGTTACAATAATGTAATATAAATGTGCATACCTAAACCAGAAGCAGCACAGCGAGGCCTGCAGATAAAGTGATATATGAGTTTTGTCTTGAAGGATGGAACTAGTGTTTTGGAAAGATTCATCTAACAGTAATGTGCAGAATGAATGAAACAGAAGAAAGACATAATATTGGGTAGAAAAGATAAGAGACACTATCATAAAAGGGATAACGTGTGGTAGAGGCATGATCAGTTGCCAATTTATTTTAAGCATGATAGATTACTGATCAGACACAGAATTTGCCCCAAAGAACTATGGTTTTAGATTAACATTATACATACGTAAGCTTACTCTTGGATAGTTAATTTAGTTTTGCTAACCATGAGGCTAATAAGACCAGGGTTATGGGGTTACTCACTGTTTCATGACATTGGAGTAAAGGCTAGTCAGAAATCTTATAAACCTTTCGCAAAATGACAAATACAGATAACGTAAATATCTCTGTGAATTTCACACCTATGATAATCAACATTGAAGTAAAATCCTCAAAAATATGTATTCAACTAAAAGTAGGCCAAGAGTATCATCACGGATTATAACGAACATAAATAATGGCGTAAAGAATCTACCAAGTACTTTGTCAGAATAAAATATCATGCGAGCTTTCTAGGTAGTGGTAAATATTGGTCTATATTTACAAACGGTTTTATTTGTCCATATAGTATGGCACCCATTATCATCCATGTAAACTAGAATACTCCACTGCTTCTGCCTAATAATGGCAATGATAACAATAAAACCAATAATAAAATAAATACTTATGCCTCAAATAATTTTAGAATTAGGGTAGAAACAAATAGCTACGATTTATTTAGCACATAACATAGTGGCATGATATAGTTTAATTTTCACATACTACAAACTAAAAATTTTTATAATTCTATATTATAGGTGAGTCAATTGAGACTCCTACAGCTAATATGTTTCTGAGCTAGGACTCAAAAGTGGGTAAGATTACAAAGCCCTGTGAAGTAGCTAGTATTTGTATTTCCTCCTTTATAAGTATTAGTTATGAATCACGCAGACATTTTATTTTTAATGCTTTCCTGATCTAGCTGCCTAAAATAAGAGTTTTAATAATTGCAAAATGTAGAAATGTAGGTAGTGAAAACATAAAAAGATCTGTGTACGTAATTAAATCTCAAGCCACACTAGTTCCCATGGTTCCTTTGTGTTACCCCTGAAATTTACATTTTAAATTATAAACCTAAATGCCTAAAGTAAACAGAAGACTATCTATCCTCAAATCCAATCCAATGAAGGACCTAAGATGCATCTCAAGATCCCATCTAATGGACTTCTCTATCACAGACTCTCAGCCTCCCTTTTCTTTTCTCCAGACTTTAATACTGGGTCCAGCTTTTGAGATCTCAGCGGGGAAAAAGGGAGGAGTGAGACTCCATGCATCAACATTTTGTCCTAGATTTTCACTGTGCTCTCATCAAAAGTGGCTTCAATCATTCTCCCAACTGCACTGACCCTCTCTGTCTGTATGCTCTTAAAGAATCATGCCAAGGAAGGCAGAGTCCTGGGAAAAGATGGTATTTTTCTTTTGCGTAAGCTGTTTGGACTCCAAGCTCCAATTAATGTTTAAAAACTCTAGAATTTTAAGAAAGTAAAGCTAATTTTAAGTAATTTGAAGAAAGTGATGTCCAAAGAATTTTAAAAATCTGGAATGTCCTGTTGGAATTTCTCTTCCCTTAGCCTCTTGTTATTTCCAGAGTTCGTTTCCCTTCTGAAAATTTTATCAATGATTTCAAATATTTACTATTCATTCATTTAAACAAGTGGTAAGCTTCTAATATATGTTAGGTCCAGTATTAGGCATAAGGAATGGAAAAAAAAAGTAAAATAGTGGAATTCACTTCCGCAGGAATCCAGGGGATATTTGCTGTCTTTGTGATGTAGCACCTGATAGTCTAGTAAACGAGTGGAGAAAGTCAGATGAAATTACATGACATGTTTTCATCAACATTTTTCCCCCACATAACATAGTTTCTGATGATGGGCAAGACAATAAGAAACATTGTATTGCAGTGATGGTGATGGAGGACTGGTGGTCAAAATCTCCATTATCACCATAAAATAAAATTTTTCTGTATCTTCAGTAGCAGTTTTTAGAGGTCTTGATTTTCCCTATGACATATCTAAACGTAAATAATAATACATCAAGGAAGTCCCTAAGTCAATAGTACTCTGTTGAAAGGAGCCCTTTGATTTAGTTTTCCAGACAGAGCTTTCAGAGATCATAATCATCCTGAATATTCCAGCAATGCTCAGAAAATAAAACTAATTTTAACTTTGCTCTAAAGATATTGCTTTAAATGGGCTTTTGACTGGCTGCCGAAAACTGTTTATTGATTCAATTTTCTGACTAACTGATAACAAAGATTCTAGTATCATCTGCCTGATTAGAATGCTTATTTGTACTGGCAGAACCAGCAGAAATTTTCTTCATCCTGGAAGAAACCTTGAACCCAATAAATATAAAATTATATATGTTGTTTTTTATTTTCATGGTTTTTATTCAGGTGAAATCTGGCGGTCATTAAAAAAATGTAAAAATTTGAAAAGTGCATGCTTGAGAGGAGAAAAAAATTGTAAAATGGCTAATTGCTGGGTTAAGTGGTGAAAGAGCTATTAATCGCTTTTTGTAGCTTGACCATTTAGAGGGTTGGCAGGATAGAAGACTCTAGAATATCCTGATTTAGGTATTAGCTACTAGCAGTAATATTAGTCTATTAGTCTTAGATACCAATTCATTATTCATTAGCTGCCTCCCTGAGGTCACTCCCAACATCAGCAGACAGGGTATTTCCAAAATGAGAGATTTCTGGGAAAATCGTCGTGGTTCAGAGAGAAAATATGCTGTGAAATCTTGATAGCAATGTACTGGTTGGCAGGTCAACAGTGACAGCAGCAGCAGCAAGAATGAATCAAGTTTCTCCTCCTCTTCTCAGGGTGATGCTCCTTCTCCTAAATATCAATAATATGCATTTATCAATTACCTGCCATCTTCTAGATATTGTAATGTGCACTTTAATTATTCATTACTTGATTTAATATTCCCAACCCATGTTTGAGATAAATGTTAAAAATCTCCTTTTATTAGGTGTGGGAAAAAGCCTAACATAAATAAAATAATTAGCGACATTCAACCAGCTAGAAAGTAAAAGAAATGGAATTCAACCTCAGGCATATGTGTCCCCAAAGCCCATGTTTTGTTGGTGTTGTTGTGTTGCAGTGTTCACTGTTTCAAATTTGCACAGAATAGCATAAAAGAATAACTCTCATAATTATTTGTTTCTTTTGTAATTGTGATAATAGGTACACAAATATCTAGTTCTATTTATTTATTGATAGAATAGCTAACTGCATGCTATAAACTACTTGAGCAAAGACTAGATATCTTATTTACTTATGTCCAAAAGTTAGCAGTGTTTGAGAAACAAAACTGGGGCACAAAACATGTTGGCTGGCAATTTGAATGATAAAAGAAAATTTTACCTGAGTATATACAAGTGTATTTTCATTGTGTTTCTAAAATTATTGATCACTTTAGGTGATTAAAAAATTAAAACATTGCTAAAAGACGGCAAAATACCATAGCACCACCATGCATTTTGATTAAAACTATAGCTATAAACAAAGAACATCTCTTAAAAGCTGTTCCACTTGTGACAATGATTGATTAAGCATCTTTAGTAATAACCTGAAAAAGCATCCTCTACATTTAGTCAGCACCTTAACCGCTGTTCCATTACAATAGTTCCCTGAGTCAGATCCTAAGAGCCTCAGGATGTTTGGGTTCTTTGGATCCACCAGCAGCAGACATAAGCAACGATCCCAGCTTGCCCTTCATTTTCTGGTTGAGCCTGGGTTAGGCCCGTCCATTAGGCCTCAGAGTCCTCAACTGACAAATTACCCTAGCAAGATTGCTGTGCAAATTAAATTAACTAATGCATAAAATGTGCTAACTGTACTATCTCATATAAAAAGGTTTTTTAAATACCAGTATTTCAACCTAAATTTCAATTGTTTATATAATGGTGTTTATTGGACTTTATTGCTCTTTATTTATTTATTGTAAGAGAGTTAAATGCTTTAAAATAAGAAGAAAATTATTAAATAAGATCTTAAAATATGAAGCATGATACATTGACAAAAAGCTGAATTATTTATTCTCTAGAAATTGATGAGTTAAGTGTTTCAGCTAGTTCTATCTTCTTTTTCTGTGTGTTTGTTTTTAAATCTGGTTTTGCCTGAATAACCACAGGAAACCCCGTGTTAAACAGTGACTCAGATGCACTTTGCAATAATAGCTATATTAACTGATTTTTAATGCCATTTTGTCTCCCAGTTGCTCTCCACATGTCCCTGAAGTTTAATAAAGCTGAAAACATTTTATTTTATTGTCTCAACTATTGATTATCTGTTTAATGTAATGTGAGAACTCAGTGATATATTGCCTTTGCCACACTGATTAAATGAATTATCTTAAAGAAATAAGGGCTCTGTTTTAAATTAAAGAACCCTAATACAAAATAAAATTGTTTCTTTCATATATTACTTGTGGCTCCATTAGAAAACACACAAACCTGATTCTTAATCTTGCAAAGAAAAGAAATGTGATTGTTTCACAGCTGATTTAGGTATTCCTAAATCATCGGGAGCATTGGGTGACAATTCAGATTTCTACTTCTTTGTTTTATTGCCCACGTTTGGCCTATTTAAAGAAATAAATAACAGACTCACTCACTTCAGAGAAACGAAAAAATAAGGAAAAATCCTTTGAATTTAAACTATTTTTAAAGAAAAAAACAACTATTATAAACAAAATGGAACTATTGAATAAGAGCAAGACAAATGATGCATTACTATTTAAACGAATCCTGAGATTTGTCTAATGATAACAGAGGCTGGTAGGAAACAGAAGTGCTTAACATAAGGATGATGCATACCAGTCTCTGCATCCATTTTGAGAATGTAGTACTTAGCCATGTTACTTGCTACTGGACTAGATTCCCTTGCAGGGATGCATTAACACTGCAGAAACACAAAGCAACTTTTAATGTCACTGACCACATAGCCCCTACCAAGGACACTGGTTTTCCACTCAATACCTTCTCCTTATCAATGAAACAGTATCTATCTTCTATAGGCAAAAGCTCATCATTTCTCTTCCCAGGATCTAAGCATGTCACACAAATGGGGTTGCCCATTTTGTAAATATACTCACATGACTGACCACACTAACTGTCCAAGAAAAGAATATTGAAACTAAACTATCCAATTAAATTTTGAAACCAGAGCTGGAGGAAGGAACTTGTTTCTTTCTGGAGGAAAATCTGAGTCCCAAAGTTCCAAGATCTGCTAATACTATTCTTCTAGAAAAAAGCCATTCTGCAGTAGGACAGGATGAAACAAAAAATGCAGCGATTACAGAGAAAATGGGCAGAGCGAAAGCCTGGAAAATATAAATTCTTTACCATATCTACCTCCTTGATACCCTCTGTGATTACATATGAGTCAAAAAATTCTCCCTATTGCCCTAGTTAGTTCAAATTTGGGTTATATCGTCATTTCCAACCAAAGATTACTGACTTTGTCTTCAAAAGGATAAAGTTAGAAGTAATTTTTGAAAATATTATGACCAGTATTTTTATTATGACTCATGCTATTAGAAAATATTTCTGCTGATTAACCATTCTTCAAACAAGGCATCAGAAGTATATTTTGTTTGTTTTTGCAATCATGAAGGCTGAAAAGCAACAGTTTCATCATGAAAATGCGAATTTAAAATGTATATGTAAAAAGAATAGGTCAGTTTATGGTTCTCCATCAGACCTCCTGATGCTGAGACTGACCATTTACATGATTTGATTTAAAGTCACACGCTCAACAAATACTTTACTAAAGAAGCAAAACAGTTGCTAAATATATCTGCAACATGCTATTAGAATTATTTTAATTACTGAAGTAGTGTTGCAACTTTCTTTTTTCTCATCCTTAGTAAAAGCACCATCTAGATCCATGACCTTAAAAAGAGTAACATAATCTCATGTCACAGGGTGAAGAAGATAGTTATGGTTAATTTTATTGAATAAAATGGAGGTTAAGATTTCCTATGTGCATTAAAATTGGCTTCACCACTTTGCATGTTAAGTGTTCATTTATCTTCCTTGTGGAAGATTCATTTTGAGAAAAAAAGTGTGTTTCATAACAGAATTGGTAGTGGTGTTCTGATTCATTCATTCATTTTCAGCACAGCAACATAGTGTATTTTTCTTATAAGGATTGAATTCTGCTTATAAATTATATTACCTAGTATAGAATAACTTAAAACTACCAATAGACATTTTGCTTGTAAAAAATCTGACTAGAAAAGGCAGGTTAATTCCAACTACAAAAGCACAAGCGAGCAACAGTGGCAAAATTGGCACTTCAACTGCTACTGAGCGTCATTCTTCAGCCATATTACAAAGATAAACATACAACTTTAAAACAATGATAAAATATATCAGCAAATAACTTGTAAAATGGAAAATTTTCAGAGACAACATAAAACAGGACATTACACGCCTTATGTCAAGTGATGAATCTCACTTGAATACTTACAGTTACTTAAAATAGTATGTAGCTATAATGGCAAGCAATATTTTTAAAATATTGCTTACAACACTTTAATCTCATCATTTAATAATTTATGTATGTGTATGCTTAGAACATAAATAATCCATTACTCTAGTAGTATCTATCTATAACTTATAAATAAGTATACACATTTGCTTGTGCATGTTCAATACTTTTTCCTTAATGCGGTGTGCAATTGAAAACGGTGAGATTACAAGGGGGCTAAATGATGTCAACATTATTCTAAATGATACACATACAATGTTACACACACAGAATTTGCTAATAAATTAGTCTTATTTAGGAAGCTAGATATACATTTACGTATGTTCCTTTTACATAAACTAACTTGAAAATAATAAGCAAAAAGTGCCCATAACAATAACATTCAAGAACAGCTTTCTATATGAATGGTTCTTATCTAGTTTACAGTAGCCTTACATAGGGAAGCTGTTTAAATGCACAGATGCCAGAGGTTTTGATCATACGATAAGCCCCAACGAACATAGTTTCAAAAAAGTCTCCTGGTGCTTCCAATCAATATTTTCGATTTATAACATTTAAAATATTTATTTGGATATTTTTATGTACTGATATATAAATTATCTCTCTCTTTCTCCTCCCACCTTCTCTCTATCTCTTTTTCTGGAAAGACACAAGAGATAGATCTATTAAGGCTTTGTAATTCTTAGGCTATTATGAGTTCTCTTTTGGATACAGTATTGCATATATCTTTTCTTTGTGACTTGTGTTTTCACACTGTTAATAAGGTCCATTGATGATAAAAAGTTCTAAATCTAAGGTGATCCAGTTTAACAATTCATTCTAATTATGATTTTTTGTTTCCTATTTGAAAATTTTTTCATACTCCAAAGATTTTCAAATAGGAAACAAAAAATTAATCATAATTAGAATGAATTAGATTTTTTTTCAACTTTTTCATTGAGATTTTCAATCCATCTGAAACTGATTGTTGCATAAAATATGAAATGGGGTCAATATAAAATTGATAATTAGTTTTTTTTTAAAAGTAGTGGGCAAGTTATGGAAAAGGTAATGCTGTTGATCCATACAGATGCAATATAAATTGCTCTGATATTTATTTATTTATTTTTGTCTGCTAGCTTTGAGTTTTGTTTTTCTTGTTTTCTAGCTCCTTAATGTGTGATATTAGCTTGTTAATTTGAAATATTTCTGTCTTTTTGTTGTAGGCATTTAAAACAATTAACTCTCCTCTTAACACTGATTTTGCTGTGTCCCAGAGTCTTTGGTATGTTGTGTCATTCCTTTCATTCATTTCAAAAATTATTTTTGATTTTTGTTTTAATTTTATTGTTTACCCTAAAGCCATTGAGGAGTAAGTAGTTTAGTTTCCAAGTATTTGTGTAATTTTGAGAGCTGCTCTTGGTGTCAATTTCTGATTTATTCTACTGTGGTCCAAGAAGATACTTGATATGATTTTGATTTTTCAGAATTCATTGAAACTTGCTTTATGACTAAGCATATGGTCAATTGGAAAATGTTATCTGTGTACATGAAATAAAAAGTGTTCTCTGAAACTGCTAGGTAGAATGTTCTGTAAATGTCTTTTAGGTCTATTGGTGTAAGTCCAGAGTTTCTTTGTTGGTTTTCTACCTGGATGATTTGTTCACATTTGTTAGTGGAGTGTTGAAGTCTATTATTACTACTCTATTGCTGTCAATCTGTTTTTTTTTTTTTTTTTTGAGACGGAGTCTCGCTCTGTCGCCCAGGCCGGATTGCGGACTGCAGTGGCGCAATCTCGGCTCACTGCAAGCTCCACTTCCCGGGTTCACGCCATTCTCCTGCCTCAGCCTCCCGAGTAGCTGGGACTACAGGCGCCCGCCACCGCGCCCGGCTAATTTTTTGTATTTTTAGTAGAGACGGGGTTTCACCTTGTTAGCCAGGATGGTCTCGATCTCCTGACCTCATGATCCACCCGCCTCGGCCTCCCAAAGTGCTGGGATTACAGGCGTGAGCCACCGCGCCCGGCCAATCTGTTTTCTTAGGCCTAGTAATATGTGTTTAAAATGAATTGTGGTGCTTTTGGTACTGGGTACATATATATAGTTAAATCTGATTATATTGAACTCATTATTATATAATGTCCTGTTTTAATACTGTTTTTGATTTAAATTTTAAGAATGGCTACTCCCACTTGCTTTTGTTTTTCATTTGCATGATGTATCTTTCTCCCTCTTTGAATATGTAGGAATCTTTAGTCATTAGGCGGGTCTATTGTAAGCAGCAGATGGTTGGGTCTTGTTTTTTGTTTTGTTTTATTTTGATTTGTTTTTTTAATCCAATTTTTCCACTTATACTTTAAATGGAACATTTAGGGCATTTTTATGTTCAAGATTGATATTGATATGTGAGGCTTTATCCTGTCATAGTGTTGTTATTAATAGCTAATTCCTTTGGAGTCTATGTTATATCATTGTTTTATAGTATCTGTGACTTTGTGCTTATGGGTATTTTTATGATGGTGTGTATTGTCTTTTTGTTTCCATGTTTAGAACTCCTTTGAGCATTTCTTGTAGGGCTGGTCTAGTGGTAACAAATTCCCTTACCATTTGCTTGTCTGGGAAAGAATTTATTTCTCCTTCACTTATGAAACCTGGTTTGGCATGATATTAAATACTTGGTTGGCATTTATTTTTTCTTTAAGTAGGCTAAAAGTAATCACCTAATCTCTTCTGGCTTGTAAAGTTTCTTCTGAGCAGTCTGCTGTTAGCCTGATTGAGTTTCCTTTATAGGTGATTTGACATTTCTCACTAGTTGCTTTATTTCACATTGACCTTGGATAGTCTGATGAACATATGTCTTGATGAGGTTCATCTAGGACAGTATCTTCCAGATGTTCTCTAAATTTATTTTGGCTACATGCTTATATCTTTAGCAAGATCAGGAAATTTTCCCAAATTATTCCCACAAATATGTTTTCCAAAATTTTACTTTTGGTTCTTCTCCCTCAAGAATGTTTAAAAGTAGTAGGTTTGATTCCTTTACATAATCTCATATTTCTCAAAGAATTTGTTCATTTTTCAATTTTTTTTCACTAGGTTAATTTGAAACACTGGTCTTCATGTTATGTTCAATATGAAACTGTTCTGTCTGTTATGGTCTATTGTTGAAGAATTCAACTGCATTTTAATATTCCTTCAGTAATTTTTTTTTATTTTCAGAAGTTTTTTTTTTAATTATCTATCTGCTCTCTTTCAAATCCTGAACTGTTTTTCTGATTTAAGTTGGTTTACATATTTTTCCTGGTTCTCATTTAGCTTCCTTACTATTCATGTTTTGAATTCTTTATACGTAATTTCATAGTTTTTCTTATGGTCAGGATACATTGTTATGGAGCTATTGAGATCCTTTGGGTATGCTGAAACACTGTCTCTTTTGTACAGCAGTTCTTGCCCCAATTCCCTCTCAACTAAAGATGTTCCTTCTTATTTTTGAGAATTCTATTGTTTGGATGGGACATTTACATTTTTTATTCTTTTCTCTCTTGAAGATGTAACTCTAGTGTATGTTTGTATGATCCTTTGGCTTTGTTTCTGGGTGACTTCAGGGGTCCAAGGATCTGTATGGTTTCCTTGGATATAGATAGCTTTTGAAATATGGCTTTCTCAATTGCTGCTTGTTGTAGTGATATAGTAGATGTATGAGCTGACTCACTATCTTCTGTAGGGCTGGGAATGCAAGGTCTCAGAAAGCTTATCTTGTACCATAGAACCATGTATGCCCTTCTGTTAGCAGGCTTTTAACATGGTGGAGCAGGAAAAGCCTCAGTTGGGTCCATAGCAGTGAATGGGTGGAGCAGGAAGTGACTTCCTCTTTACATCCATGGAGACTACAGGGCTGCCTGTTGCTGTAGTGAAACAACACTCATCCCTTCAAAAATTTCCACCATGCCCAGGCTTCCTTTGGCTCAAGGGACACTTTGGCAGGCTGTGCTCTCCCTTCCTCTAGGACTGGTCCATGCTGAGGGCTAGATCTCCAGGAATCCTGCAGTTCACCAGGGACCTCACATTTTCTGAGGAATCTGCCAATCCTCTGTGATTGCCAAAATCAAAGATGGTTCTGGGGAATGTATGTGGGGGATCTTGTTATGTGGCAACATGAGAACTGAAGTTCTCTGGGCAGGGTAGTGACCCATCATGGGTGCACAAACAGTATGGCACCTGCTGCCTCAGTTTGGCTTTGAGGGGCGTGGAAGTGCACCTGCTTGATCTGGCTGCCGTGAGCTCTGCCTGCTGGAAGTTCCCAAATTGACACTGACAGTGTTGACCAGACTCATGAGGGCTGGGAGCTCTCCAACAATCCAGCAGTCAGCTATCTCTCACAGGGGTGAGGGGAGCAAAGAAATACTTCCCTCTACCCTTTCCAAAAGACCCCAAGTTTCTCAGGGGTGATTCTCTGCCAGGCTCTTGCTGTCTTCCTTTTCTGTAGTGCAGCTTCCTCCTGTGGCATCTTTGACTGCTTTTGGCACTTTTCCCATAGCTTTCCACTCAGACCACGATCACTCACCTGTAACTCTGATATTCTTTCTGAGAACTGGCATTTGACAACTCTAGTCAGCTATCTTGAAAAAAATACAAATCATAATTTTTAAACAAACTTTATAAATATAGTTATTGTTCTATATTTTCTCACCTTTATAGTCAAAATTCATTGAGATTATTGACATATCTCATTAGAATTGTTCTTTCATTATTTATAAGTTTAATTTTCAAATTTCAAATAGCTCTTTTACTGTTTTTATGCTTACACTGTGAATTGTCAGAGAGTTAGTGATTTCAATGATATTCATAATAGAACTGGTCTTTAGATGAAAGTAACTATAAATCTACCCCCTTTGCTTTAACTAAAAAAAGTACTTGTTACAGTAGAATAGGAAGGAAGAATTGACTATATATTCAGGTAACTCTAATAGAAGCCACAGATTGGTGGATCTAGGAAAAATAGTAAAAATTAGTCATTTGTTATATACTTTGAAGGTGGAGTTAAATTTCAGAAAGTGGAAATAGAAGCATTTAAGAGAACCCCATGGAGAAATAACAGCATCAAGGTGAAAAAAATGTAAGTCATGTTCAGGAAGGAGCTGTCCATTTTGCGTTAGCATGGGTTCTATATGGGGTAGAAGTGGACAAGTGTGCTGACAAAGGAGATTTATCTACATTCTTTAAGGTCTTGATTTTCAAATAAGGATCCTGTCCATGACTCTTGCATGTCAGGAATCCATCAAAGATTTTAAATACTTAACTACTATGATCATAATTTACCTGACTACTATATAGAGTATGAATTAGAAGAGTGAGACATTAAACCTAGAGATTCATTTTTTTCATGGAACCCTGGTTTATTTTGGTAGAAATTTTGTTAAAGAACACAGTTGGGATGCTAAACATTTTCATTATCATTAAGTATTTTCGTTTTTTTTCCTAGGCCTTACTAGTACACAAATGGGGAATTTTTATTTTTCAGAAAAACTACAAATCAAATTAAATATTAAAAGATTTCTTGCATAACTTATTTGACTTGATATTTCAGTATCCTTGTCTTACAAGCAAGATTTTGGTCCTTAGTGATGTTGAAAAAAAGGTGTACGTTTTTGCTTCTATATGTAATAGTTTCAAAGTAACAATAACATAATACACTAACAATAAGACAGGTAGCAAAATTACTCTAATAATATGGTTACCAATTGGAATTAAATATCTTTATATCTTCAGGATATGTTCTTAATGATGTAGCTTTCTATAAACATATTGAAAATATGTTTATAGAAAGCCAAAATATTGTTTTATATTCTTTTGAAAAATTCTTCTTAGTGCAAATAATGCTAATAACTACCAGCCTCTCTCTCTCTCTCTCTCTCTATATATATATATATAAATTTGTTTCAGTTAGTTTTCAACATCAAAGTAGGTTTTTCTACTTTTGTATTTCATTTAGTTTTAATGATAAAACACACAAAAAACAAGGTACAATTAGAGGATAATATACTGATGTGTACCAAAAAGTCAGGAATAATAGAAAATTTGTATGGTAATAATACTTTTTATTATTTATGGATTAAATCAACATGAGTATTTCTTGTGGGGTATGTTAAGAGTGTAGGTTTATTATGCATAACAACGTATCGGATGGAACATGTATTGTAATGTAATACCAATAAACCATTTATCAACTACATTTGCCTACAAACTTTCTGGCCACACTAAAATTAGGCCAGAGATTTTTGTAATTTTCTATAGAGTTAAAATTTTTAAGTCTCCTCACTAGTTTCTAGCCTCCGTTTCTCCTCTTTCCCCTCTCCTCTCTGATTTGATGTCACTTTCCTCAGCAAAGCTCTTCAATTGCATCTCATATCCTATGTTAAAAGTGAAAATCTTTACTATGTGCTGCTAGTTCCTACATTACTAGCCCTTCCCATGTCCTCTAACTCATAGTCCTTATCTCTTATTATGGTCTCAGTGCTTCACTCTCTGTTCATGTTGATCACATTTCTAACTGCTATTGACACATTCTGGCCTCAGAGGACAAAGCTGGACCTTGGAATTTTTGGAATCCTTTATCACTAGTGTTGTTGGAGATATTATCTATGATTTGTTTTATTATCTCTTTCAGTCATCCTATTTACTCTGCTTTTCTTGTGGAAGAACTAGGGAGATAAAAAACACTATCAAATCATATTTCCAGAATATAATAATCTGTTCATTTTATTTATGTATTTTTAACTTAACAAATAACATTTTATGTATTTGTCATGTACAGCATGATGTTTCAAGGTATATATGCATTGTGGAATGGTTAACACTAGCTAATTAACAAGCACATCACTTTAGACAGTTATTTTTATGGTGAGAGCTGTCAACATCCATTCTTTTTTCATTTTTCAAGAACACAATATACGAATGAGGAGGAGCTTATCAAAGGATACATAATTATAGTCAGATAAGCATAGATTCAAGAGAGCATTGTACAGCAGAGTGGCTATAGTTAATGACAATATATTTACATTTGATTTTTGAGTAGCGAACCAATAACTACTTACTGAACGGAAAGGCAAATTTACAAAATGCCAAAGAATGTTATGAAGGGTGAAATCTCCCTCCTTCAAAAAGCAGGGTAAAAGCAGTCCCAGGAGACAACCACAGAGAGCTTTCAGAGACACAGAAAGGGGCCAACGTGACATGGTTTCAGTATCTCAAAATATGAAAGAGGAAACACTGTTCTTTGGAGAAGGAGAACAGTAGTATTAAATACTTTCAGAGGTACAGGAGACTGGGAAATATGATTGGTTGATTTTGGAATAATCGATTTAATAGAATAGTGAGTGGAGTCAGAAGTCAGCATGTTGCTGTCCAATATATTATTGAATACCATCAAACATTAATGTGCAGTGCTTGCCTATTTTACAAATTCATTTGTGCTACATCCATTATGAAATAATGTTTAATGAAAAAATAAAAGATGAAAATAGAGACTGTCTTATATGAATGGTGCCTTATTGAAATTGTATTCTAGGGTTGAATTGAATTGTAAACCATGTATAAACATATTAAATTCAAACCACAATAGGTGTGACTTGAATAAACTAAGAAAATTTAAAAATCGTTTTCAAGCATAGCTTTAAAGTGAAAGCAATAACATGCTAAATTTGATTAAAAGTTTCTGTTCTGATTCATTTTGAGAAAGCCTCTACTTAGAATAAGTATCTAAAACTCTGTTAATTATACTTAGAAGCATGAAATGCCTATTTTCTAAAAGCACAGACAAACAAATCTGAATAGTGATCGCCATTCTAACTGGTGTGAGATGATATCTCATTGTGGATTTGATTTGCATTTCTCTGGTGGCCAGTGATGATGAGCATTTTTTCATGTGTCTGTTGGCTACATAAATGTCTTCTTTTGAGAAGTGTCTGTTCATATCCTTCGCCCACTTTTTGATGTGGTTGTTTGCTTTTTTCTTGTAAATTGGTTTGAGTTCTTTGTAGATTCGGGATATTAGCCCTTTGTCCAACATGGCACATGTATACATATGTAACAAACCTGCATGTTGTGCACATGTACCCTAGAACTTAAAGTATAATAAAATATATATATATATGTATATATATATATAAATCTGAATAACCTTGGATTGAAAATATGATGGAATAGCCAGCATGAATGTATGAATAAACATAAAATTTAGATTTAAAGGCTTTTAAAATTCTACTCTTAATGAGTGACAGTCAAGTATTTGGGGACATTGAGAATCTGTTTCAGTCATCACCACAAAATGGTTTAAGTGTAAGAATATCAACAAGAATCAACTTCTTTTTACTTAAATGAAACATTAATTATCTAAATTATCCACCAAAAACACATTACGGTTACTTACTTTTACATTACAATTGCCAATAAATTGTAAAATTTTAAGCTGAATGTATTTTTTCAAATACAAATATTTTGGAAGACAGAAAAATGTGGATGACCCCTTTTAATATTTGCAATAACCATTTCTGAATTCTCATTCCTCCTCTTTATCACTTTTATGCTACACATGCAATGTTATGCCATGATTTTAAAATTAAACATAATTGTATTTCCCCTTTTGGAAATATGCTTCTATAACCTCCTCTCAATGGCTGTGTGGTATTCTGTTGAATGGATACACAGTAATTTTTACAGCCAATTTGGTGAAAAATTTGTGTTTATCTATGACTTAAAAAAAGTTTCAGTATCTATTATTGTAATCACGTATTTGTCTTTATCATATATTCTTTAGAAAATATTTAGGAGGAATTTCAGGAAGAAAGCACCTTAACATCTTCACGATTTTTGCTGTATAAACTGTTCTTCAGAAGAATTTAATTTGCAGTATGCAAGAACTTGTTTACTCCCCTCTCTTTGACATCACTGCATAGTGTCATATAAGTACAAAACATCTAAGAGTATTAATAGTAAAATATTGTCACAACAATGCTGCATAATTAGTCACCTTAAAACTTAGTGGATTATAACAGTTAGACTTTATTTTTCTTGCTCACAACTTTGATTCAGACTGTAGGCTTCTTGCTGGGTCAGGCCTACTTCGCACATTACTTCATTCTTCTTGGGCTAATTGTTCCCTGGGCATGTTCCTTTCATGGTGACCACCAGATTGCATATGGACAAGTAGGAATACATGACACCTTTGAAGACTTGCCTGTAAACCATTGTTTCTGTCAATATCCTGCTGAGCACCAGAGGGCACGTGGCAAAGCTTAGCATCAGTAGGAAAGAAAAGTCACCTACCCATAGAAAAAAGTGTAATTTGCTGAATAATCTGAAATGATTATTGATTCAGTTTGCTTTGTTTTATCATTAAGGATCAATATTTGAGACATTTATCTTTGTCGTGAAGAGCCGACCCATGGAATATAGTAAAAAGCATATATATTTGAGTTCATAAAATATACATTAGAATTTCTACCTCTGATGTAATGTTTATCAGATACTTGCTTATCAGTATGCTGTGTGAATATTCACTTAAAATTTTTAGGGTTTCATAAATATATTTTCACATAGTTGTGTAATATATGTTTAAACATTTAAATAATCTGAATATATTTTGGTATATGACATGAGATAGAAGTCTGCTTTAAAATTATTATCAATTTTATTACTTTATTGAATATTTAATTTGCTAATTTTCATTTATTATATATTTATTAAATTTATTTATTGAATAATTCAACAAATAATATACTACCTTTTTGCCAGTTTTATTAAAAACAATTCCATGCCTATTATTGTTGCTTAAATTTTTGTTTCTTATAGTTTTTGATCAACCTAGCCAGAAGTTTAACTATTGGATTGGTCCCTTCAACTGATTATTAGGTAAATTTATGAATTCAACCTTTTCTTTTCCTCCTTCCTCATTTACAAATTGGTTCTAATCTAAATTTATAGAATAAATGGTGTCATCTTAATTAATTTCTTCAACTTATTTTCTTATTTATTTTTCTAGGTTTTTAAATTCAATACTTCAATTACTTTTTTTATTCATTAATAAAAGATTAAATATTTTGAATTTTTTCTACAATATTGATCATTTCCAATAAATATTGGCAATAATGCATTTGTCATTAATGTCTAAATCTTTTGCATATAGTTTGCTTTTCTAATTTGTAGACTATAGCTACTATCAATCCATGTATTTGATTTCAATTTTTATATTTTATATTTTTATAATTTATGTAAATTTATGAATTGAGTGTATATTTACACTTAATTTTTGGTACATAGACTATTGTCACTTAGTTTTGCTTGATTTTGAAACAAGATATTTAGAGATGTTTCTTTTTGAAATTTCTGCTTACTTAAATTTGTTGCTTTTATTTTTATTACCTATTTCAAATATTTTTGTGGTATGATCAGAAAATGTTGCTTGTAATATTTCTATTAAATTTTGGGCAGTTTCTTTTATGTTGTTACCTTATCAGAATTTATAAATACATAATACATAGACTTTCTAAAAACATATTTTTCTATGCTTGCTTGCAAATATATCTATAGACCTAATTAGGATTTTGTTTTATTTCAACTCTTGTGTCCTTATATTCTATCTAATAGATTATTTTGTGGTCTCATAGAGAAACATGGTAATCATTGAGTTTTCCTTATTTTGGAGCTTGTGTTAATTCTATTTTTAATAATTTAAATCTCTCTTTTAAGTTTTCTGTTTTGGTCATTTATTGTTTTTCACAATTTATTAAATAGTTTCACTGTATTTTCTTGAAGTTCGTTGGTCATTCTTAAAAGTTATTTTGGATCTTTTTAAGGCAGTTTAGTGAAGTAATACATCTTAATTTCTTTAGGGTCAGTAAGTGGTGCATTATTTTGTCCCTCTGGTGATGTCATATTTTCCAGATTCTTCTTGATTCTTGCTGTGGTGTTCTGTTGCCTGCAAATTTAGAGATGTAGGTAATTATTCCAATCTTTGCAAACTGGCTTTGAATGAGAATGCACTTCAACATCTCTGGGCAGGCCATCTGCTATGGTTCATTAGCTGGCTTGCTGCTGGAATCCTCGGGCTCTCTGGCCTCGTGTCTGATTCAACAGGCGAGCAGACCTCTGGAACTTGGATCCACTTCGGTGGATCTGCTGATTGGGTCTACTAATGTAGGCCAGCCTGGTTTAAAGCCATGTGACTGTCGGGCCAGTGGTGGCAGCTGAGGTTGGCGTGGTGCGAGGACTGGCCTAGCAATGGGGCAGCCGAAAGTCCAGGACCAGCTGGTCCAAGCCTGTCGTCACTGAGAACTGTTTCGAGCCTGATGTGGCTAAAATGAGCCTGGCAGTGGTGTGGACCAGAGATTAACTCTGCTGTGCAGGTCTCAAACCAGGAGCTTCAGGGATCCAGCCTGGCACCAGGGTGAGTCTGGAGGCTTAGCGCACAGGTACCAGCCTGGAGTCTATGGATTTGGGGGCATTCCCAATGCTGTGGTTGGAACAGTACTGGGAATCAAGGCAAAGTGCTGTGTTCACTCCCCTTTTACCCCTAAATGGAGGATATCTTTCTCAATGATGTGCTGCCTGGGGTTGGGGGATGGGTGACAAAAGTAGCGTAAAACTGTTCTTTCTGCTCTTTTTGATGCATCTTGTCTTATTTCTATGCTACACTCAGGCACTATGACGTCTCACTTGGCTCCTTGAGGCTTTTTGAAGGAGTTTCATGCATAGATAGTTGTTCAAATTAATGTTTCTACAGGGGGACAATTGCTGCAGAGTCCTATTTCACCATCTTGCTTTTTGTGAGCTGTGTTGACAACGTTCTTTTCCACCCATTTAAAATTAGATTTGCACAAGTGACTTGCTTTGGACAGTGAAATAATAGGGAAAATAATGTGTGTCATTCACTTTTGGGTAAAAAAATTTAATCAAAACTTAATTCTTATATTTCATTGAAATATGGTGATCTTAGAAGCATGAAAGAAGATTGAACTTTCTTCAGCCTGAATATTTGAGTGACCACAATGAGCAGAGGCCCTTGCCAACCCTAGTTGGATATTGGCATGAGAAAGAAATACACCTTTGTGGTTTTAAGCCACTACAATTTTGAGGTTATTAGTTCCCATAGCAGTGTTCATGGTTGTCCACTAAAAGATTGCCCTAGATTTTAAAATATTGGAATCAAATCAAATTTAAACATAAAACAAACAGTCTGAAGAGTAATATAAGGCAGCTATAGTAAAGATAATTGTGGGTCAAATTAGACCCATATGCCACCAGTTTAAACTTCTGTATGTTTTTTTTTCATTATGATTGATTTTTTTTGCTAACTTCTCTTTGAATTTCTAAAAGGTTTTGTTTTATATATTTTTATGACTGAGTTTACATGTTAATACTTCATTGGATATTTGTTTAAAACCACTTTAACCAAGCATTTTGTAAAACAGAGTATTTAGACATGAGTAAAATACTCACCATCTATAATGGCACACACATACCTATATACGACATGTAAAAATGTACATACAAATGTGTGACTCACATAGATACATGCTAAACCTACACGTATGTGCCTCATATATATGGTGAAATTTCACTATATTTCCAGCCAATCAATTCTCAAATGTCCAGTGTGTGCGTGTGTGTGTGTGTGTGTGTGTGTGTGTGTGTGTGAAGTATCTTCTAAACAATAAAAATGTTTTGAAAGAAACATATAAATAATCCAGAAAATAATAAGTAATACTTAATGGATTCCTGTTCTAAAGTCAACTTGATATTCCTAAATTCCTATAAAGTATGTACTATTATTATCCCCATTTGGAAAGTGGAAAAAATGAATTAAAGTTCAGAGATGTAAATGGGCGTATAGTTTGTTAATGGAGAAAATGGGCCTTGAAACCAGTCTGTCTGATTTGCAGTCCAGGTGTATGAAATCTGTCTGATTCCAGTCCTTCTTTCACAAAGGGCTGAACATAGAGCAGACAGCTTTGAGACTACAGTCAGTGTGGGAATGAGAGGCAGTGGGAATGTTTTTGCTTGGGGATCTGTAGGCTCACTTACTGCTTTACATGTTTCATTCCTGGTCATTTTTTCCATTCATCTATATTCTCTGCTGGTTCACTCTTAAAATTGTCAACTCTTGTTTGTCAAATGCAAACACATTTTCTAGGTTTTTGCTTGTTTTTTTTCATTCCAGAGAAGAATATCAAATGTAGTCTCTTAATTTCTCTACATCAGTGTTTTCATTTGACAACTAAAAGCTTAAGCTAAAGTGCTATAATAAGGTTCAATATTCAATAAAATGTAAAAAAATCTAATAATTATGAGATAATAGAATTTATAATAAATGACAATTATACCGCTGATTTTAAACAACTTATTGCATTTAATTATTGTTTTTTGATTTTTACAAGAGATGCTATCATTAACTCATTATTTCCAAAGAAGTGAGACTTCACGTACTTTTAAATTTGGCTCAAAATCATGCCACCAGTAAGTGAGGGGTCTCGACTCAGATCCAGGATTGCACTCGAAATATTTATTTCTCAGTGAATGCATATTGCAGAGTTGGAGAGAACAGCCCGGAATGGTAAATAGCATTAAATTATCTGTTTAATGTCTTGTTTTTTCCTTATTTATATTTGCATACATTTTTAAACTCATAGAACCTTTATTGCCATTAGGTTGTTTGCTTTTTAGGTTGTTCATATTCTCCCTCTTGCTTCTCCCTTTCTGTTTTAAAAGTCCAAATCCATTTTAGCAGTTACCTCATCAACTATTTATTAATTTCTTTATGGCCACTGTTCTATTACCTTTTATTGTTCCTCAGTGTTTATTCACCTATACACTTATCCTCCCAACTTTGATATTCTTTCTTTTAAAATTCAACCAATGTTATAGCCATATGGTAATTGCAGGTTGTATGATCAGCTGTCGTGGTGCAAATTTTCAAATAATATACATACTTATCAGAATCAGAAGATTGTTTTAAAAAGCTTGCCTTTTATTCTAGTGACTTATAGATTAAATATTTTTTTCAAAGAATTTTGATATATGTGGCTCTAACAATTCTTATTCTGGGGATTTTCCAAAGTAACAGTTGGTCTAGGGTTACTATGGCTAGTTATTAAGACAGAGAAGCCTCCTTAACATTGCAATTAAGGGTTTGGTTTAGTTTCCTTAAAAATGATTTTATATGTCATTTGCAGTTTGAATAATTACTAGTTTCACCTCCTATACTTTACTCTGAAACAGCCTAGTTTTAGAGTATGAATGATTTTTTTAAAGAAAAAGTTTAGGAAATTGGTGTTAAATATAGTGCTTTCCTTTTTGCAAGACTTCTCAGAGTCTTCATTACTTTAATATTTAAATTTATTCAATATGAATTTCCATGGTCACATAAAACTCAATAATATACTTTGGGATGCCAGTGTTCCTCAGTGTACAGTTTGAGACATACAACTATTTTATCACCATAATTTTTATAGTATCTTAAGTTGCCAGGAATCAAATAAAATATCATCCTCAAGTCTATACATATAAAAAATTACATTTGTTGAAAAATTTGACATAAGCAATTGATGTTTTTATTTCTTGCTTCTGTGTTTTTCATACTGTGCTAGAGAAAGTGGAGACCAAAACACAAATCAAACACATTTTGAAAAGAACAAGATATGGGTCTTGTTTCTAAGAATCTTATTCATTAACCCTGTATGTTTACTATGTCTAGTTATGAAATGTGATAATTGTTTTAAAGGTACAATGTAACAATCATTTTCTTCAAAATATGCTGGCATTAGCATTGTCTGGTGTTCTTTGCCATAGAAAGTGCTATATTTATAAATTTATATGACAACCGAAATAAGTCTTGCATAGTATGTTTACATTATTATAAAAATTTATTTTTTGTTTGGTTAACTCTTGGTATTTGTAAATACATGCTTACTAGAGTCTCATAGCAACTTAATAGGACAGGACAGTTTATTAAACTAACTTAAACATAGTAAACATGGATTGTAAGAAAATAGAAAAGAAAAAAATGAGAGAAGGGATGGACAATCATGCCATTTTTGCAAAGCATTTACAAATTCAACTAAAAAATTCTATCCTGCTTTATCTGAATTTTTCTAGGTGGGACAGCTCTTTAAAATAATTATTAGTTCTATGTCTGTGGTAATTTCCCTACAGCAGAGAAGAAACATTCATACTATTGTAAAGATATAATAGCTACCATATACAAATAAATGTCTGAATGATTGTATGACAGGCATTAATATTCTTAATACCTAAGTGCAATAACATTATAACTAACTCTGACTGATTAAAAGGATGGTACTAGGTTCAATAGCTGGTTGTGATGCCATATGGTTTGGTTGTGTTAGTTTCCTAAAGAAGAAAGACAAAATATAAACCAAAGGCAGGAAAACATTGTTAAATAATAAATCTCATATTCACTCAAATTGAAAGCAAATAATAAGACAGAAAAAAGTGTGTATGATCATTTAAACAGATATTTTCTAGTAACATTGTACCATGATGGCACAATAGAAAATCCTGGATTCGCCTTTCCACCATTTCGACAGCAAAATATTAATCAATTCCCTTTGTAAGAAAACCAGAAACTAGTTAAGAGGCTCCTGCACTCCAGAAAAATGTGAAACCAGCAATATAAAAAACAGTAGAAAACGTTGAGGCATTCTCTTGCTAATTTCCACCACAAGCACAGGGCCATATGATCAGGAGGAAACACCCAGCTCACAGCTCCTCTCTGAGGAGGAAAGAAGTTGGACTGAACATCTAATGCCCCAATTTGTCTGGGTCCTGCACAAGGGACTGGTTTCTATCTCACCTGTCTTTGAGAGCTGATGGGGCCTAGGATATGCAAGTTCCCTAGGGCCTATAGGGAGCAAAATGGTAGTTAGAGCTAGTATGTAGGCATTATCACATCTCCTTTCCCTAGATCAGCACAGAGTGAATGAGCAGTAAATCCTAGCTCCCAGCTTCTATCTGAGGAGGGAAAGAGTTGGCTTATGCACCCAAAATTTCAACTTTATCAGCAGCTAACTGAGGGTTTGGTTTCTGTCCCACCTGTATCTCAGCACTTAAGAGATTTTGCATACTCTAGGTGCATGAGACTGCTAAGAATAAAGATGACAGTTTTAAATAACATAAAAGTTTAAGAGGCCCATAGAACCTCAAGACAGGTTGATTGGTGAAGATTTTCTTCTGTATAAGATCAATCCGGTAAAAGGAGAGTTTTTTTAATGAGTAAATACTGACCCAATGGGTCAAGGAAAATGAAGAAGCAGGAAAGCACAATCCAAACAAAGGAACAAGATAGAACTCCAGATTGAACCCTAATGAAATGGACATATACAAATTTCCAAAGACGGAATTCAAAATAACTGTCATAAAAATGCTTGATGAGTACGGGAGAGCAATGCACAAACAAAAGGAGAATTTCAAGAGAGATAGAAATTTTTTTTAAAAAAGAACTAGACGTTAACCTTGGAGACAAAGAATAAAATAACTAAACTGAAAAATTCAATAGAAGGTTTCAACAGCAAACAAGTCTCCAAAGCAATCTCGAAAAAGATGTACAAAGCTGGAAACATCACACTTTATGATTTCAATATATATTACAAAGGTACTAATATTAAAACAGCATAGTAATGGCATAAAGGCTGACAAATAGACCAATGAAATATAATAGAGAGCTCAGAAGTAAATCCACACATTTATAGTCAACTGATCTTCACTAAGAATACCAACGATACACAACAGAGAAAGGACAGTCTTTTCAACAAAAAGTGTGGGGAAAACTGGATATCCACAGGCAAAAAATTAGGTTAGACCCAATCTTATAAAAAAAATTAAATGTATTAAATACTTAAATGTAAAATCTGAACCTGTAAAACTCTTGGAAGAAAACATATGTGAAAAGCTTCATGACATCGGCCTTGGCAAGAATTTTATTGATATTGAAACAAGATAGTTTCCTGACACCTTTGTGGGACTCTCGAAGGGTTGGTTCATTTACTCAGCTCGCAGCTCTCGACCCCTTACAGGAGGGGCAGCACACAGGTGACTGGGTGCAGAGGCCAGGATGAGCTCATCTGGGCAACTGGCAGTAGCAGTATTCTGTGTGGACTCACAGTAGCATCCAGGGGTTGCCCACGACCCATAGAGTACCAGAGGGCGTGGATGGCTTAAGTGCTAAACAGCTCATGAGGCAGGAGAATGGCGTGAACCCAGGAGGTGGAGCTTGCAGTGAGCCGAGATCGCACCACTGCACTCCAGCCTGGGTGACAGAGTGAGACTCCATCTCAAAAAAAAAAAAAAAAAAGAAAAGTGTTAAACAGTTCGGTGGAGAGTCAGTGTGACAGCCTCTTGGACCCGCATCCCAGTCCTTGTCTAGAGTCTCACAGCAACTTATGAGGCGTCCAGAAAGAATCACATCACTCAACAAATTGAAGGGTGGTGAATGTGGAGGATTTTGTTGAGTGGTGGGAGTGGCTCTCAGCAGGATGGCAGCTGGAAAAGGGATGGAGTGGGAAGGTGGTATTCCCCTGGAGTTCCGCCATTCCCAGCCGAACTCTTCTCCAATGTCCCGCCATCAAGTCGTCTCTCTGAAGTCAAGCTGCTTCTCTCTGACAACCAGCTGCTTCATCTCTTGTCTCCTTCTCTGCCACTCTGCCATTGGGGTCTGGGGTTTCTATGGATACAGGATGGGGACATTGCAGGCCAGGGTGGTTTTGGAAAAGGTAACATTGAGGCAGGAAAACAGGAATGCATGTCCTCACTTTAGGCCATGGGTCCAGGCTTGAGGGTGTGGTCCTTGCCAGTACCGCCCTCTTTGCCCAGTATTTCCCTGCCTCTCATCTGTATCAATATGACACCAAAAACACAGGCAAGAAAAGCAAAAATAGACACACTGGACTATATCAAACTAAAAGTTTCTTGCCCAGCAATGGAAATAATCAAGAGTGGCAAGTTCACCTATGGGATAGAAAAAAAATGTGAACCATATACTTGATATGAGGTTAATTTCCAAAATATATAAGGAACTCTTGTAACTCAATAACAAAAAAAAAACAAACTAATACTTTAATTTTAAAATAGGCTGGGGATTAAAATAGACATTTCTCCAAAGAAGACATAAATATGATAAACAGATATACGAAAATATGCTTAACACAAATCATCAGTAAAAAACAAATCAAAACTATAATGATATATCACCTCACATCTGTTAGGATGGTTGTTATCAAAAACTAAAGGATAAAAAGTGGTTAGGATGTAGACAAAAGAGAACCCTAATACTTATTGGTGGCAATCCAAAATTGTACACCCACTATAGAAAACAGTGTGAAGTTTCCCTAAATAATTAAAAACAAAACTACTGTATAATCCAGGAATCTTACCTCTTGGTGTTTATCTAAAATAATTGAAATTGGGTTCTTAAAGAGATATTAGCATTCTCATGTTTATTGCAACACTATTCACAATGGCCAAAATGCAGATACAATTTAAATGTCCATCAATGGATGGAGGATGAATGGATTTTTTTAAAATGTGAGATAAATGTGTGTGTGTGTGTATATGTGTGTGTTTGTGTGTGTGACATGTAAATATGTTAGGTGTCATATGAAATATATGAAATATGAAAAAAATTAAATTTTTTTCAACCTTAAGAAAGAACAATACCCTATAATGTACAACAACATGGACTAACCTGCAGGACATTACGGTAAGTGAAATATGCTAGTGACAGAAGAACAACTACTCCATGATTCTTCTTCATGAAATATCTAAAATAGTCAAATTCATGGAAGAAAAGAATAGAATGGTGGGTTTCAGGTGGTCAGGGAAGGGGATAATTAGAAGCTGCCAATCAATAAGTGTAAAATTTCAGTTACACAAGATAATAAGTTGCAGATATGTGGTGTATAACATTGTACCTATAAATAACAATACTACATAGTACACTGAAAATCTGTTATGAGGACAAATCTCATGTTGATTGTTCTTACCACAATAAAATTAAATGACAATAAAAAACAAAGTCCAAATGGACAGAAGGCACACACACCAGTTTCATTTTTTAGCAAAGTTATTTTCTACTTTTCAAAGAACTATTATAAGTCTTTAAGATAAAAGTGTTTTTAAATTTTCTCATATTTATATAATGATTAGAAAGGGAAGTGGCAGGTCAGATGTTAAAACCTCTTAAAAGAGGCTCACCTCTAGGACCCTCAGGACCTGTCCTGGGACTTGCTGGTGCTTCAACTGTAGATATTGGCAGAAATGTTGGGGACAAAAGCTGTGAACATTGTAAGCTAGAACAACAATCAAATCAACAGGAGTCATGAAGCACCTGTGCTAAAGCCATCTGTGCAGGTATCTATTGATACCCTGCCCAACATCTCTGAGCTGAATCTGAGTGACATATCCTCCTTATTCCCTATTTCCTGCTCTGTCTGATATCATGTAAAATGCAATAGATGAAGAAATCTCTGCCTGGGTCAGAAGTGACAGTTTCCACTGAAGACACATGTAAAAAAGAAGCCCCCTCTCTCACCACTCCTATTCAACATAGTATTGGAAGTTCTGGCCAAGGCAATCAAGCAAGATAAAGAGATAAAGCGTATTCAAATAGGAAGAAAGGAAGTCAAATTGTCTCTGATTGTAGATGACATGATTGTATATTTAGAAAACCCCATCGTCTCAGCCCAAAATCTCATTAAGCTGATAAGCAACTTCAGCAAACTCTCAGGATACAAAAATCAATGTGCAAAAACCACATGCATTCCTATACACCAATAATAGGCAAATACAGAGCCACATCATGAGTGAACTCCCATTCACAATTGCTACAAAGAGAATAAAATACCTAGAAATACAACTTACAAGGGATATGAAGGACCTCTTCAAGGAGAACTACAAACCACTGCTCAAGGAAATAAGAGAGGATACAAACAAATGGAAAAACATTCCATGCTCATGGGTAGGAAGAATCAATATCATGAAAATGGCCATACTGCCCAAAGTAATTTACAGATCCAATGCCATCCCCATCAAGCTACCATTGACTTTCTTCACAGAATTAGAAAAAAAAAAACTACATTAAATTTCATATGGAACCCAAAATGAGCCTGTATAGCCAAGACAATTCTAAGCAAAGAGAACAAAGTTGGAGGCATCACGCTACCTGACTTCAAACTATACTACAAGGCTACAGTAACCAAAACAGTATGGTACTGGTACCAAAATAGATATATAGACCAATGGAACTGAACAGAGGCCTCAGAAATAACACCACACATCTACAACCATCTGATCTTTGACAAACCTGACAAAAACAAGCAATGGGGAAAGGATTCCCTATTTAATAAATGGTGTTGGGAAAACTGGCTAGCCATATGCAGAAAACTGAAACTGGACCTCTTCCTTACACCTTATACACAAATTAACTCGAGATAGATTAAAGACTTAAACATAAAACCTAAAACCACAAAAACCCTAGAAGAAAACCTAGGCAATAGTCACTCAGGACAAAGGCAAGGGCAAAGACTTCATGTCTAAAACACCAAAAGCAATAGCAACAAAAGCTAAAATTGACGAATGGGATCTAATTAAGCTAAAGAGCTTCTGCACAGCAAAAGAAACTATCATCAGAGTGAACAGGCAACCTACAATATGGGAGAAAATTTTTGCAATCTATCCGTCTGACAAAGGGTTAACATCCAGAATCTATAAAAAACTTAAACAAATTTACAAGAAAAAAACAAGCCCATCAAAAAGTGGGCAAAGGATATGAACAGACACTTCTCAAAAGAAGACATTCATGTAGCCAAAAAAACGTACGAAGAAAAGCTCATCATCACTGGTCATTAGAGAAATGCAAATCGAAACCACAATGAGATACCATCTCATGCCAGTTAGAATGGCGATCATTAAACAGTCAGGAAACAACAGATGCTGGAGGGGATGTGGAGAAATAGGAGCGCTTTTACACTACTGGTGGGAGTGTAAATTAGTTCAACCACTGTGGAAGACTGTGGTGATTCCTCAAGGATCTAAAACTAGAAACACCATTTGACCCAGCCATCCCATTACTGGGCATATACCCAAAGGATTATAAATCATTCTACTATAAAGACACATGCACACGTATGCTTATTGCAAAACTGTTCACAATAGCAAAGACTTGGAACCAACCCAAATGCCCATCAATGATAGACTGGATAAACAACATGTGGCAATATATACCATGGAATACTATACAGCCATAAAAATGGCTGAGTTCATGTCTTTGCAGGGACATGAATGAAGCTCAGCAAGCTAACACAAGAACAGAAAACCAAACACCGCAGATTCTTACTCATAAGTGGGAGTTGAACAATAAGAACACATGGACACAGAGAGGGGAACATCACACATTGGGGCCTGTCGTGGGGTGGGGGGATAGGGGAGGAATAGCATTAGGAGAAATACCTAATGTAGATGTTGAGTTGATGGGTGAAACAAACCACAATGCACATGTACACCTATGTAACAAACCTGCGCGTTCTGCACATGTACCCCAGAAATTAAAGTATAATTTTAAAAAAAGAAGCCTCCTATTTGTCATGTAGAAAATGTCTTATTGTCCAATTTACACAGGCCAAGAAAAAGCTCTCCCCTGAGGAAGTCAGGCTTGCTGATGCTAATCCAAATTTAAGAGCTGCAGCCAGAGCTGAGCTGCCTATACAGCCAGTTTTGGGGTTTGGTTTTGTTTTGTTTTCCAGAAACAGGATCTCCCTCTGTCACCCAGGCTGGAGTGTGGTGGTATGATCATAGCTCACTGTAGCTTCAAACTCCTGCGCTCAAACAATCTTTTTGCTTTTGCCTCCCAAAGTGCTAGGATTATTGGAACCACCATGCTTGGCCACAGCCAGCCCGTTAAGGGAATGGCAACCAAGGAGTTCAAATGTGTCCTCTCCCTTGTTTTGGATCCTATGTTTACTCTGTAACTTTATCATTAGTAACATCATAGAAGGGACCTACATAGTGGTGACTGGGATTCAACCAGTCCCCTTTCTTTTATCTGGCATCCCTGCTCAGCATTGTAGACATGATGGTATCCTAAAGGACTTTTACCCAATAAGACACAGTCAAGTTCTTAAGTGGAGTTTATTAAAAAACAAAACAAACAAACAAAAAAACCTATCAACTTCATCTCCAAGATCTTAAGGGATTTTGCTCACTCTTAGAAGTACTTTATTTGATAGTTCCACATCACACATTGTTTTGCATCTTAATTAGAAAATATTTTCTACTTGAAACTTGCTGAGAGGCTAGACTGACCTGTAACAAAAGACCTGGTCTATACGTTTTCTTCAATTCATTCAATTCATAACTTAGCAGAAGACTTGTCAGTGAGGCTTTTCTTTTCTTTCTTTACAACTGTCCTTTTTTTAAACAGGTAATTTTATTGCTTGAAGTGTTCTAGTTTGAAGGGCTACAGAGACATTTGTTTTTCCTTGTCTTTCCATGAAAATATGTCTTAAAAGAATGACTTGTGACACAGTCTTAAAAATGACAAAATAGGCTTCACTAGCCTATTACCAGTGCTCACTTTCACCTCCTTCCTTGTAGCATAGTGGATGGACAGAAGAGTGCTAAATGTATGTACATGTGCATGTACTCATGCCCCCAGGCAGTGGAAACTATGCTGCTGGATTGTCATACTGCACCACTGTCCAGCAGGCATGTTTCCTTGCATGTTTCCCCCTTCCTGCCCAATACTGACGTAAGAGTCAGGCTGCATAACGTCACACACTTGGACTGCTGCTGGGAGATCAGGGCTGCTTTTCCTAATCAAATCTAAAATCAAATCTACCTTTCATAAGTACTGAAGCCTTACCTGTTCCGCTGCATTGAAAAATCTCTTTCATGTCATTCAGTACTATGAACTAACAAACATTCAAGAATAGCTAAGAAAACACGAAAAAATAAAAGCTGCAAGGAAACATTAATCCTAGAAGATACAGGAATATAATATGAAGCCTATATTATTAAAACAATATGGCCAGGCACAGTGCCTCACGCATGTAATCCCAGCATTTTGGGAGGCTGAGGTGGGTGGATCACTTTAGGTAAGGAGTTCAAGACCAGCCTGGCCAACATGGTGAAAACCCGTCACTACTAAAAATACAAAAATTAGTGGGGCGTGGTAGCACAGGCTTGTAATCCCAGCTACTTGGGTGGCTGAAGCACAACAATTGCTTGAACCCAGGAGGCAGAGGTTGCAGTGAGCTGAGATCATACCACTGCACTCCAGCCTGGGCAACAAAGCAAGACTCTGTCTCAAAAAAACAGCAATAACAACAACAACATGTTCTTCTCACAAGTATGGACACATAGACCAGTGGAATAGAATAGAAAATCAAGAAATCGAGTAACACACATATGGGAATTCAGCATATAAAACAAGTGGCATTTTAATAACTAGGGCAAAAATGAACATTTTAATAAATGGTGCTTAAATAACCAAATAGCCATTTGGAACAATATGAAATTAGATACACATCCAAACCCTGAGAACAAACTTCAAAATAGTGAGATCTAAATGTAAAGAATTACACCATGGAAATAGTAGAAGAAAAATGAATTACTCTATAACACATGTGTTGGAAAGTTTTTCTATGTATGATTTAAAATACATTGAAAGTAATAGTTGATATTTTAATCATTTAATTATAATATTAATAATGATAATAATAATAATAATAAATTTTGCATGGCAAAAAAGTGTTATAAGCAAAGGCCAAAGCGTAAAAAAGACCAACCAGGAGAAAATATAACATATCACTACAGATAAAAGGCTAATACTCCTAACATATTAGGTACTCTTAAAATTTGAAGGAAAAAAATCCCAAAACAAACAGACAAAAACTATAAGCAGAACATTTATCAAAATATATGAAAATGGCTTCTGAATATAAGAAAATATATAATAATGATTATAGGATATGGATGGGAATAGGATGGACAGAATGGGATAGTGATAAATGACTAAGTACATCCTTTTATGAAGTTTTGACTTTGGTGGTATGTTAATATTTTCACTGCTCAATAAATGAAACCAAAAACTATGTGTTTAAAAAATAAAATTGTTTACAAACAGAATAGCTTTATTTTCAATGAAACATCACCACACTGATAATGAGAAAACAGAACTAATCTTAGTAAATTATGCAGGCTTTTAAAAAGCTTGCAGTGGGAATCGTTAATAATTCTCACAGTATTTTCTATATATTCTGTAATTGAGTACATAAGTAAAATATATTGAACATAATGGAAGCTAGGCTCTCCCTGTTGAGGAAGATTTACACAGCAAAGACTAAAATGTCCAACAATGATAGACTGGATTAAGAAAATGTGGCACATATACACCATGGAATACTATGCAGCCATAAAAAATGATGAGTTCATGTCCTTTGTAGGGACATGGATGAAATTGGAAATCATCATTCTCAGTAAACTATCGCAAGAACAAAAAACCAAACATCGCATATTCTCACTCTTAGGTGGGAATTGAACAATGAGAACACATGGACACAGGAAGGGGAACATCACACTCTGGGGACTGTTGTGGGTTGGGGGGAGGGGGGAGGGATAGCATTGGGAGATGTACCTAATGCTAGATGACGAGTTAGTGGGTGCAGTGCACCAGCATGGCACATGTATACATATGTAACTAACCTGCACATTGTGCACATGTACCCTAAAACTTAAAGTATAATAATAATAAATAAAAAATAAAAATTAAAAAAAAAACTTAAAAAAAAAGACTAAAATGAATCCTGTGCTTTTGGATTGCTGTGCGCTTTACCAGGATGAGCTTTTGAACTCATAGTACATATTTAGCTATATGTCATCTATATCTGCATCTGCCTAATACCAATATGTGTGTGTGTGTGTGTGTGTCCATGTGAATAATTTCCTAGCTATGTCCACTACAAGAGCTTCAAAGCAGGGGCACACCAATAGTGATGAACACACCTGATGTTCACTTAAGGCAATGAGGACTTCTTGGAGAAATGACTGTTTCCAGCACTAAGGAAGAAGAAAGACAAGATGAGCCTGATATGATATGCCAACAATTATGCCAGAAAGTAAAAGTGCTGGAAACCTGTCAAAGAACATGGTAATTAGCTTGAATGGGCTCTACTACGCTTTGAATGTGTCCCCCAAATTTCATATGTTGGAAATACAATCCTCAATGTGGCAGTATTGAAAGGTGGACCTTTAAAAGGTGATTGGATTAATCCATCCATGGATTAATGGATTAAGGAATTTTGGGGTTAATGGATTGATGGATATCATGGGAGGAGAATGGGTGGCTTTGTCAGAAGAGAAAGAGAGACCTGAACACAGTAGCCTGCTCAGCCATCCCACCATGTGATGCTTGTGCTGCCGCAGGACTCTTCAGAGAGCCCCTATCAGCAAGAAGCCTCTCACCAGATGCAGCCCTCAACTTTGGACTTCTTGGCATCCATAACTGAGAAGTAAATTCATTTTCTGTATAAATTATGCAGTTTCAGGTATTCTGTTATAGAAAATACAAAAGGAACTGATGCAGTCTCTCACTAGCCAAATATAGATCAATTTGAACAATTAAACAATGAAAATACAAAATGAACTGATATAGTCTCTCACTAGCCAACTGTAGATCAATTTGAACAATTAAATAATGATAGTAACAGGTTATTACCCACTGAATAAAATAATAATCTATTAGTTAATACTGATGTAAGTACAGAAATGAATAAATAAATAGAGGCATGAAGAAAGCTTTACGTTAGAGTAACATGACAATTAATAAACTTAAGTAGAATTATGGAGTTAGAAAATCACCTTTTATTATCATTATAGAAATTGATTCTGGCAAGAGTTAGCAACAGATGCAATACTAATGGGTGAGAATATGATGAGAGAGGAGATATTGTCATAGTCTGAAAGCCTCCCCACAAATTATTTATTAATTACAAAGAGGAAACAGACATCTTAGAGTAGAGAAGTTTGGCAGACACTATCATATGTAATTGATTAAAGTTAACATTATCAATACTGGTACAAGCCAAAAGTACTTACCTCCTGATTTGATGTATGGAGGAAAATACAACATTACTTCTGTGGTGTTTCTTCTGAGATGCATAATCTGAATCTAATCATGGTGAAACAGAAGAAAAAAACAAATTGAAGTGCCTTCTAAAATCTAACCGTACTTTTAAAAAAAGTTAATAACGTAAAAGACAATAAAAATCTGATGATACAGGTGAAAATAGACAAAAGAGACATGTATCTTAAATGTGATATTACTCTGGATTGTATTTGGGAGTAGAAACAAATATTTATCAAAGACAATTTAAAAATTTAAACTGAAAATTTGAGTTATATAATAGCATTGTATCAAGGTTAAATTTTCTGTTTGTTAATAAACTTCAGTAAGACAATGTAATGCCCTTGTTTAAACTAAGTGCATGCTAAGTTAATTAGATTTAAATCATCATAATATCTACTAGTTATTCTAAAATAATTGAGAAGGTAGAAAAAATATATAGACCATTGTATTAGTCTGTTTTCACACTACTATAAAGAACTGCCAGGGATTTGGTAATTTATAAAGGAAAAAAGTTTAATTGGCTCACAATTCCTCATGACTGGGGAGGCCTCAGAAAAATTACAATCATGGCAGAAGGCATCTATTCACAGGGTGGCAGGAGAGAGAATGAGAGTCGAGCAAAGGGAGAAAAGCCCTTATAAAATCATCAGATCTTGTGAGACCTAATTCACTATCATGAGAACAGGGTGGGGAAAACCGCCCCCATGATTAAATTATCTCCACCTGGTCCTTCCCACGACAGATGTGGATTGTGGGAACTATAATTCAAAATGAGATTTGGGTGGGGACACAGCCAAACCATATCAACCATTGATGAGGGGATGAGAGAGAGAGAGACAGAGAGAGAGAGAGAACAAATCTAAATAAATAAAAAATATTAGTATCTGGTGAATCCTAATAAAGGATATATCATAGCTCTTTGTACTAGTAGCCTTGAAAATTTTCTGTAAATTAAACATTATATAAAAATAAAAGGTATACAAACTGTGAGCATAAATATCATGGATAAAAATAAAAACAGTGACTCAAAATATAGGTATATGTATGAATACATACATAATTTTTCACTTAGTTTCTTTGGAAACTTTGGAAGCTTTGGGACTTTTACATTTCATACCTTATTTATAAATGGAAGTAAATGATTGTTTGTGAGAAAAAGAGCATTTTTCTTATGTAAGAGATGAGTAACCTGAGGCTTATGGATATTTTGAACTAAGTTTAAATTCACACTAACTAGTCATACAATTTAATAGCAAATATTCCAATTCCAAATTAATTTTTAATAGTTCTATGAGGTCATCATTTGGGTGGGAAATTTTAAGTGAAATTTTCCTTTTCCCTATCTTATCCCTGTCAGAGTCAAGGTCCAGTTAAACAAGTTTTCTTTTGTGACAAAGTGGATCAAAAAATAATAATTGTTCATATCAAATTTGGAGTATTTTGTTTTACTCAGGAGTTCTCTGATATAAAGTTTTTTGTTTCCTGGCTTTTTCGCATTCCCCAAAAATGGCCCATTAAAATCTGAAGCTTGGCTTGCTGGAAATTGACAGCTGCCTGCTTGAGCACTCGTACCCCTGGATTTGGGTTTTCTTATTTGTTTAGGTCTCTGAGACTTTCCCTGCCTGCTTGCCAGCAAGCCAATTTTGAATGGTTGCTTTGAATTGTTTTATCCAGCATTTTTAGAGGTTTGGCAATAGAGGGGTTTCAGAAACATTAACTGACATTTCACCTTGAAATGGAAGGTTCTATTTGTTGTTGTTGTTGTTTACCCTCTTGGATAGTAAGATTGGGACATGGAAGTAAGAGTCACACATTGGTGGCTGGTAGTGTCTCACTTTATCTGAAATTTTGGTACATTTATTAAAATAACAAACAGAAAACTAATAAATAATTTTTCAAAATTTTAGTTAGCCACCGTCAAATCTTATTACATTGATTGTAACTATAAGCAAATGTGCTATTACTTTTTTCATTTAATTGTGTTAGAATATTTTAGGTTCTGCCTTATAAATGCATTATTATAATTAACAACCTACATGGACATTGTCTGAGTAGATTAAAACTTATAATAGGTAAGGAGATCTTATAAAGCTTATTATGCCTTGACAAAAGGCATAATAAGCTAATACAAAAATGGTTGATGCTTATAAAATAGATTTTTCCAGAAAATTAAATACAAACACTCAATAAATATATGTAAAGCTATGGTCAATTTCATTATAAATCATGTTCTTTTACTGTAAAAAACAAAAGGCCGACTGCACCCTATTTCTACCAGAGCTTAAAGAAAACAATACTTTGACATATTGCTGGTGCTACTGGATAGCTACTGATATGGTTTGGCTCTGTGTCTCCACCCAAATCTCATATTGAATTGTAATTGTAATCCTCATGTGTTGAAGGAGGGATCTGGTGGGAGGTAATTGGATCATTGGAGCGGTTTCCCCCATGCTTTTCTCATGATAGTGACTGAGTTCTCAGGAGAGCTGATGGTTGTAAAGTTTGTGGCAGTTCCTCTTCCTCCTTCTTCCTCTTCCTCTTTCTCTTCCTCCTCCTCCTCTTCTCCTTCTCCTTCTTCTTCTTCTTCTTCTTCTTCTTCCTCTCTCTCTCTCTCTCTCTCTCCTGCTGCCATGTAAGATGTGCCTTGCTTCCCCTTCGCCTTCTGCCATGATTGAAAGTTTCCTGGAGGCCTCACTAGTTATGCAGAACTGTGAGTCAATTAAATCTCTTTTATTTATAAATTATCCAATCCCATGTATTCTTTATAGCAGTCTGAAAATGGACTAATACAACAACTCTCTGGAAAACAATTTGTCATTATTCGTATAGTCTTCAATAAAGCAAATTCATTCTTCTAAGGAAATCAACCTGTCTTAGAAAAATATCCACCAGTAGCAGAGAATATAGACACAAGAATGTTTAATGCAGCATTCTTTTTATTGGCAACAATCTACAAAAATGGGAATGTCCAAAGCATGTGAAAAGTTGAAAAAATCATGGCATAGCTGCAAATTGATATATTATGCAGTCAGTAAAAATAATAATTTTGGAATCTATTAACATGAAGATATATCCATAAAATATTAAGTAGAGAAAGCTAGTTGCAATAGAATGTGTACAAATATGCTCCCATTTTAAGGAGAAAATGTAAAGATTTTTTTATGTGGAATCGTATACATTAATACAATATTCACACACATCTATTCATGGTATGTATATATGATTTGTAAAGGTATATCTATATATTTGTGTAAAATAATGTAGGCTTAGAGAAAAATATGGGAACACATACCTAAGAACTCTTTTAAAAAGTAATATGGGCTGAAAAGAAGGGTGAGGTAAGGTGAAAAGAAGGCAAGCAAAAACGCAGAAAAGAAATTCTGTATTCTTCAAAAAGTAGAGTTACGTGTGCATTTATATAACAAATATGTAGGTAAAACATACTTAGAGTACCCCAGATAGGCATTATATTAAACACTATTTTAAATCATCCTAAAATTATCAATGCTATGTTTAAAATGCATTTCCTTTGAAATGTTATTGCAATTTCTCCAGAGTATTAGCTATAGAATCTTAGAGGTGGAGTAGACCTTTGCCTACAAGTACATTTATTTGATGCTCTGCAATTTTAAAGTGCAAATGGTTATTTTTTTAAAAGCATGTGTCTAGATGAGCTCTTTAATAACTTTGAAAGATGTAATAAATTTCAAGCAACTATACATCCTTAAAGGGCAAATTAAAAACACCCTAGAATTAAATTTAATTTCGACATTATCAGAAATAATAGGAGCATAAATGAATTTATCCTGTGTATTGGCAACTCAATACACAGGCAACCCGATACACAGAAACTCAATAGCCTGAATTATTGCAAGTTTATAATATCACCAATAATACCAGATAGGTACTTGGCCAAATAGATCTAATACCAGCCCTGACCTTGGGAAAAGTGGCATGTATGCTTTATACCATAGCATTTTAAATTGGCAATAACTAATGGGGTTGGCAGTGATAACCATCAAATACAAAACATAAGTAATTTCTGAATCAATGTAGAGAGGATACATCAGTATGGGAAATGAGCCAAGATAAAGGTTATAGTAAGTGTGTTTTTTAAAATGATGAATAGGACCTAGAGGGTAAAAGGAAATTTTGTTGCCAAAAAAAATATGATGGTGCTAATTCTTAACTCATGACTCTAGATAAAACAGACAGCATGGAAAGAAAAAAAAATATAGTTGACATACAATCAGATTCAAAAATCCCCAAATTAATTTTACTTTCCTAACACATATATAACTTATTTTCCTATTTTGTGTAATAAATTATAATCTCATTGATTTAAAAACACACACACACACTTAAGAACAATGTGTGAGGCAATTGCTTTTAATTTAGTTAATTCAAGCAATATTCACAGAGACATTGAATTTACATTTTAATACATAAGTATGCATAAACTAGACACCTCTAGGTCTACCGAAGATGCTTCATGACATAGGAAGAGGATAGCGTTTAGCTTGGAGAAGAGTCTATGAATATGTCAGAGCACTGGAGAACTGTGAATGTAATGTAAACTAACATGTAAATGAAATGTTGGATTTTCAAACAATCAAGAAACTAAAAGGAGGTCGAAATAACTGCCATACAGATATTTCGTGAATATTACAGCACTTGTTCAAGACAGCAGAGGTTTGGACAAAAGTACCAATCAAGAGTCCAGAGAAATGTAGCTTTCATTTTATATTTTTTATGTTACACAATCACACACAAGGGCAAGCTACCATGATAAAAATGTAAGAACTTTGTCTATCTATCTATCTATCTATCTATCTATCTATCTATCTATCATCTACCTACCTACCTACCTATCTGGTCTATATCTATATCTATATGTGATCTGTGTTTATAGGTACCTCTATATCTATCTATATCTATATTTATATCTATTTCTATATCAATATAAGCAGACTGAGCATGACAAGGAAGGATATAGAATGTAGTGAATGTTGAAGAATCATGTAATGAGAGAACTAAACAGAAATAGATTTCTTTGGCTTTTAGCCAACTATAACTTCAATTTTCCAGAAACTTTCCTCTGAGTGACCTAGATTCTCTACCTACTGAACAATCACTATAGCTACCAAAATGTTTTAATGTTTGCTTCAGCTGTCTGGTAACTGATGGGTGTAATTAGGCAAAGGGGAGTATTAGGTGGCTGCACCTTGTGAATTAATAACCCTAACCTCCCAATCTCATCTCTGAACATGTATAAGTCGTTACAGCTCGATTGAGTCATGTCAGTGAAATGAAGGAAATGATAATTATTTTCAATGATATTATTTTGCAGATTGATATTTAATCACATTTTTGGCATTATAATTTTCCAATTTTACACACTTTAATGAATTATCACTTACAACAAAGGTTGTTGTCATTAAATTGACTATGTCCTTGAACTGATAGATCTATAACTTGAAAATTCCACTTCCTAATATTATTAAATGGATTCAACATATATCTAAACTTTATCTAATAATTACAGATGACTCTTTATTATCTAGGAGTTATATATCCAACTTGCAAATCAGGTCGGTTGTTCCTCCTATTAGCTGTATAATTTTGGCCCTTTAGCTATTTTATTGTTCATTAATTCATCACTCTGAAGACTTTTTTTCTGTTTGCAATAGTTGTGACAAAGATTTGTCAAAATCAAAGCAAAATTAATAGCAAATATTTTATGCATTCATACTTCCATAATTGTTTGGCTATACATGTTGAACATTTTTACAACAAACTACTTAAATATAAAATCAATTTTCATTTGGTTTCAAGCATTCTTCGACCAAAAAAATCTGATTATCTTTCAAATTAGAAAATTGCGTTTATTTTATACATTCTTATGAGCTTTTTACCTTAACAAATATGAAGTAAAAAGACATAAAAATGGTGATGGAGAGAGTTCTGATTCTGCTTAGGATGTAGAAATCATTGGTAAAGAGACCGTTAAAAATTAAAATGTAGGATTTTTTAAAAAAGTTCATAACACCACAGACTTTCATATGTTACTATGTTCAATGAGGAGAAAAGCTTCATCTGTGTTATACATCCCATATCTCTAGCTTGTAAGAGAGAGAGATGGGGCTCTCAACTTTAGTTGAATTACAATACAGTTTTACTTACCCAAGTAGAGACCATCAAGTATCCTACTATAAGTAGGGCTAGTGTTAGTATGAGGCGTAAGGATTGGGTTAGATTCTAAAGTCTGTGCGTTGAAAATAACTATTAGTCATTGATTGATAAGAAAATGGTTGCTTATTTCTTTGGAGTAACCCTATTGAGAAGTGTGGAAAGGGCATGAACCGATATTTCTCAAAAGATGATATACAAGCAGCCAACAAATATATGAAAAAACTATACAAGGCTGAATTTTAAAAAAATGTGAGAAAATTCCCAACATTACCAATCATCGAGAAATGCAAATTAAAACCACAAAGAGATGCCATCTTATACCAGTCAGAATGGTGCTATTAAAAAGAAAAAAAAAACAACACGTTGGCAAGAATGCCGAGAAAAGGGAATGCTTATACACTTTAGAAATGTAAATTAGTATAATCTTTATAGAAAACAGTATAGAAATTTCTCAAAGAACTGAAAATAAAACTACCATTTGACTCAGCAGTCCTACTCCTTGGTATCTGCACAAAGGAAAATAAATGTTTATATCAAAAGCACACCTGCACTCGTATGTTTTTTGCAGCACTATTCACAATAGCAAAGCCATGGAATCAACCTAAATGTCCATCAACGGATGATTGAGTAAGAAAAATGTGGTCTATATTCACCATGGAATATTCTACAACCATAAAAAGAATAAAAGTATGCAGCAATGTGAATGGGGCTGGAGGCCATTATCCTAAGTGAAATAACTCAGAAGCAGAAGGTCAAATACCACATGTTCTCACTTAAAAGTGAGAGCTAAGCAATGGGTACACATGGACATACAGAGGAAAGCAACACACACTTGGTAATCCCAAAAAGGGGGAGGGTGGGTAGTGAGTGAGGATTTCAAAATTGTCTCTTGGGTACAATGTTCACTGCTGGAGTGATGGGCACACTGGAAGCCCAAAGTTCAGCATGACGCAACAAATCGTGTAACAAAACTGCACCTATGCCCCTTGAATTTATAAATAAATAGATGAGTATCTAGGCGACTGGAAGAATTGGATAAATATACTAAATAAAAATGATTACTTTAAAGGTTGTAATCATTACTTTAAAGGCTTGTAATCCAACCTGCTCTAAAGGCTTGTTTCATTAGAAAAAATACAATGAGTGACAATATCTTAGGAGAAAACACGATGGTAAATATATAATAATCCCAGTGCTCAGCAACATGGAGCACATGGAGAGAGGGAAACTGGGGTCTCACCTGGAGGGTAGACCGTGTTGTGTTTAACCGCTGAGAGGTCCAAATAGGTAGGCGCCCCCTGCTGTTGAGGAAGAGTAACAACATCAGTCGACATCTAGGTTTTTAATTTGTTGGGGAGAGGATTTCTTCTCAGGAATCATGCAGAAGGACTGCCATTTTCTGAGAGATTCTTTGGTGGCTGTAGATAGACCATGAGCTGTGTTAGGGCCCATGCTGTGATCACTGAAGAGGATGTCGGATGTCCAAGTAGGGAGGGAGGCTTGTGGACTACCAGAGTAAATGAAAATAGTGTAGGATAGTCACAATACAGCAGCACTGGTGCTAAATTTAAGGGTCACCTGGTGAGGAACGTGGAAACCAAACAGTTAACACAAGACTCTCATCGTTAGACCTTAAAAATATTTCTGAGTGTTTAAGGAGAGCAAAAGCCAGCACAAATGAGCAGCAGATGCCAAGGCCAACTCAGTAACAGAGGATCTTTGCCCTGCCTCTCTCTTTTTTTCTTTTTTTTTTTCTTTTAATTTCCAGCTGTGCATAGAAAATTCAAGACCCACAGGTCTTAATTGGAGACAAAGTCATTTCAAAGTTTCTTCTTAATTGGGAAAGGGATATTAGGAAAGTTCTTCTGTGTTGTTTTTCTTCTCTTTCAGTTATTCTGAGATAGAGTTCATGTCTTATCAACTGGCCTTGAAGGAGAAACAAAACAAAACAAAAAATAAGCAAACCACGTCTTGACAGCATCCTCAATAACATAGTCGTTTTGGTAAACACACCAAAAAATAATTTCCCAGGATGCTAGAGCTCTGGACCTCAGTTCTGAAAGAGCTTAGCAGTATTTTTATTTTGTTTATTTCCTAATGGAAGTGCCAGTTTTCTTACTGATTTTTCAACCTCCCCTGACCGTATTCTCAAATGTCTGTGTAGTATTCCACACAATCTTCAGGTCCATGCTGGCAGTCATCTAAGCCTATCAATCAGAAAGGATTTATTAAACACAAGCTGTGTGCCCAGGATTATAGGGAATAAGAAAGAAGTGAAAGACACATCCCTTGCTGTAAAATGATGAATCAATATTTTGTCATAATCAGCAATGAAACTGTGTGTGTGTGAATAGGAAGTATAGAATCTAGTAAATAATATGATTTCTCTAGCTGCTTTAAGACAGGATGGAAATATTAACGATAAATTTGGCCCATTGACTCTTTGGGGATACAATATTTTGCTACTCCATGTTTTTTTCTTGGTTTTAATTGTATCACATTAAACTTTCTAAAATGTATTTCATTCTGTTTATCTTTCCAGCTACCTTTCGGGTGACTGACATTTACACTTTTCCTGGTCTAATTTTTAGATTGTGTCCTCCTGTATGTTGGTTCTCTTGTTTCAGGACTATGGTGATAGCACATGGGACGGAATGAATACTCATATTTGCTTACCTCAGCATGATTGTTTCTGTGTTTTCAGTGTCTTAGGAAGAAATTGAAAAAATATAAGTATCTTCAGTTCTAATTCCTGGCAGTTCACAAATACAAACTGTAACTTGAACTAAATAAGCTTGTTTCAGTTTCAGGATGTATTTGGCTAAGAGTGGAAGGCATGGAATATGGTGGCATCATGTATACGGTAACACTGTGAGTGGGATGAATTCTTTAATCACCACTGTCTTCTACTCATCTTCTCCCAAAGTTTTAGTTTACTCTCTCAACTAGATGAGTCATGATTTCCCTAGTTCTCCAAAAGGGATGATCAAAACCTCCACTTTGCTGCTAAAGACTACTCTTATTCTCTTATGTCTTGTAGCTTCGAAATGGACAAATTCTCCATTCCGCATATTTTAGTCAGTAGTCACGTTACTTTTTTTATGAAAATTTAAAAAATGAAACATAACCACAAGTAGGAAAGTACAAAATGGCTGCAAAAATAAAGATTATAGCATATTTTTTATCATGTAGAATCAAGGTACAGTTTGGCATATCTGCCACAAATATCCAGGTACACATATAGAAACATAATTTAATCAATATATTTATCAGATGTGTGAGTAGGCCTGCTTCTTTACCTACTTCTGGTAACCTAATAACATTAGTTAGTGTCTAGGGCTAACTGCTTGTTCTCTCCTCTCCTCTCCTCTCCTCTCCTCTCCTCTCCTCTCCTCTCCCCTCTCCTCTCCTCTCCTCTCCTCTCCTCTCCTCTCCTCTCCTCTGCTCTCTTCTCCCCTCCCCTCCCCTTTTCTCCCCTCCCGACAGTAAACACAAAAGTATCTGAGGCAGGTCTCAATCAATTTAGAAAGTCTTTTCTTTTTCTTTGCCAAGGTTAAGGACACACCTGTGACACAGCCTCAGGAGCAGAAGGATGACAGAGTTCTGTCTGTCCTTTGTCGAGCACCTGTGAATATTTAACTTATATACAATACCTCTATGTGTTTCACAACTGAACTGAGTCAGAAGCATGGAGAGGCCAAATATCTCATTCAGTTATTAACATACCCAGAACTGCTTTATACCCAGAACTAGTTTATTTTAATGTGTATGCTTATTTATTTATTTTTTTTTGAGACGGAGTTTCGCTCTTATTGCCCAGACTGGAGTGCAATGGCATGATCTCAGCTCACTGCAACCTCTGCCTCCCGGGTTCACGCCATTCTCCGGTCTCAGCCTCCTGAGTAGCTGGGATTACAGGCGCCCACCACCATACCCAGCTAATTTTTATATTTTTAGTAGAGACGGGATTTCATCAAATTGGTCAGGCTTGTCTCGAACTCCTGACCTCAGGTGATCTGCCCCCCTTGGTCTCCCAAAGTGCTGGGATTACAGGTATGAGCCACCGCGCCCAGGCAAGTCTATGCTTTTTAACCCAATATTATAATACAGTGTTTCTGTTTCTGACACATATTAAAATATTACTTAGCCATGAGAAGTATTGTGAGAATTAACTAAAACTGACTGACTGGCTGTGTGTATGCGTGCACGTCTGTGTATCAGTTCTCCAGGATCTTAGACTTTCTTGAATTTGTAGATACATTCTCTTTCTGAAGTTTGATAGCATAGACTTGGTTGGGTTTGAACGTTGGTACTTTATATGTTGATTAAATATGTATGTAAGCATATTGGAGAATATGATTATGTTAAATATATATAATGTAAATGTGTTTTAATCTATTACACATAGACACACAAGCCCACAACCACACTCCCCACATTTATATTTTATAATATATAAAAATGTATATTTTATATATATTTATATTATTTATATATAGTGTATATATGTGTGTGTGTACGTGTATATATATATATTTATTTATTTATTTATTTATTTTTGGTAAGTTTATGCATTTTTGACCAGTAGGGAACAGATTGGTCTCGGTAGGTCTGAGTCCAGATATTCTACAATTGATAAGCCCTGTAGGGGCTATAACAGTACAGTACTTTTCAAATGTTTTGGTTTTTTATACTTCCATATACAGAACATTATACAATTGGTATTTATTATACATCTAATACAGAGGGTAGCATCAGAATAAAAGTACTTTCCTCAGCTTCTATTTCTAATAATTTGCTTAACCTCTACATTTTCACAATTTGTTGGAGCTATGAACTAAGGAATTGTGCCCTGGCCTCTGAATAACTTGGCGTACTCCCTGTACACTATGATCTATCTAACATAAATGCAAAATTTCAACATACAATCCATAGAGCTTTGCAATTTGTAGATGACACTTTAAAGATCTTTCTCTCTAGTAGTTTTCTCACTGGATTACAAGGACTGGGCTGATCTTTAATAAACCAGATATCAAGGACTTTGTTAGAATAATCATGGGTATACTTGAAAAACTATCTCAACAATTTCATAATTTCTAGAATGTTTGTGACAATCCCAGCTGCAAGTAAACCTGAGGTTTGTTTTCTTGACACTGAAGCTGTGCTACAGGCATCCTCTTATTCAGTTCATTCATTTGTTCATTCAGAGTTAAAGAAATACTTATTGAGTATCTACTATTACCAGGCCAATGTGCTGGGCACAGGAAGTACACATCTCACTTTGCCACCATGGAGCTTACAGCATAGTACAAGGGCTATGACAATTTCAGTCATAGAAACTGTGACACATAGTATAAAAATTATGTTCAGAGAATGTGGGGGGTATAGGTCATAATGATCAATCTACTATGGGAGTTAAAGAAGACGTCTATGAAGAAATTTGAGTGGAATTTGAACTGAATGAGTAATAATTTATCTCAATGAAAAGTAAAACAATATTTTAGGCAAAGGAGACAATATATGCAGTAGCAAATTAGTAGAAGGAAGCAGTAGACATTTGATAAACTGAACTAAGTCTTACAGAGTTGAAGCCAGTGAATAAAGAAAGAATGAGGAGAGATGCAAATGAAGATATTTTGCAGGATTAAGCTCATGCACCACCTTATAGACTATGCCAAGGTTGGAGTCTTTATTTCAATGTTCATGGGAAGCCAATAAAAGAATTTTTAGTTTTATTTTTTGAGACAGAGTCTTGTTCTGTCTCCCAGGCTTGAGTGCAATGGTGCAATCTCAGCTCACGGCAACCTCTGCCTCCCGGGTTCAAGCAATTCTCCTCGCTCAGCCTCCAGAGCAGTTGGGACTACAGGTGTCTGCCATTGCGCCCAGCTAATTTTTGCATTTTTTTAAGTAGAGATGGGGTTTTGCCATGTTGGCCAGGCTGGTCTCGAACTCCTGACCTCGGGTGAGCCATCTGCCTCGGCCTCCCAAAGAGCTGGGGCCAATAAAGTATTTTACATGCATCAATGTGCGGATGCTTAAAGAAATCTGAGATGTGGCATGCTAGCATTTTAGTTAGAAAAGTTTATACCGGTTGCATTATGAAAGGGAGAATTGATTCACAAAGAAAAAGAGACCAGTTAGTAGACTGTTGCTGAAGGCCAGAAGAGAGATTATTCATAAGGATTAGATTTATAATAGCAATATGGAAGAAGTACAAACATTTGAAAGACTTCAATAGAGTGAAACCTGAAAATGTTGTTGATAAACCATACTAAGGAGAAGGTGAACAAAAAACACAATGTCAGAGATGATTTGCAAGTCTCTAGTATGTGTAGCTGGTTTGCCGGCCATGTCATTTCATGGATATAGAAAATACTGGAAAAGTCAAATATGAGTAAAATTATGAGCTTCGTTTTGGGCACATTACATTTCATATTCGTATGCAATATCTAACAGACAGGTTGCGTATATAGTAGGATATATATGGTTTGAAAGTCAGAGAGAAGCCTAAGCTATAAATGTGGATGCAGAGTAATAGATAATGATTGAATCCATAAAAGTAGTTGATACTTCCTTGGGAAAGAATAGAACAACAAGGAATGATTCAGATCAACCCTCAAAAAACTTTAAGATATGTTTACTGGCCGGGCATGGTGGCTCATGCCTGTAATTCCAGTAATTTGGGAGGACGAGGCTGGTTGATCACCTGAGGTCAGGAGTTCAGGACCAGCCTGGCTAATGTGGTGAAACCCCGTCTCAGCTAAAAATACAAAAATTAGCTGGGCATGGTGGCACGCACCTGTAGTCCCAGCTATTAGGGAGGCCGAGACAGGAGAATTGCTTGAAATCAGGAGGCAGAGGTTTCAGTGAGCCAAGATCATGCCACTGGAGTGTAGCCTGCATGACAGAGTGAGTCTCTGTCTCAAAAAAAAAAAAAAAAAAAGATATATTTACTAATTCAAGAAGGATGAATGATCAGGATACAGTGAGCAGAAAAGCTAGAGATGGAGGGGAAAAAATCAGAAGAGTGTAGTGTGATAGAAAACAAGATAAAGTGTTTCCAGAGGGATGACATCAAAAGTATTGAATGCCACAAAACGGTTCAGTAAATGAGAACTATTAAAGGTCCATTGGCTTTAGTTACAGAAAGATTATTTTTGACATAAGCAAGAGCTACTTCATTTGAGTAATAAGAGCAAAAGGCAGATTGGAGCAGGTTGGAAATTTCCTGGGAAGTAAAGCAAAGGACTCTAAGATGTAACAGAGCTTGTTAAATAAATCTGATGGTAAAGAGAGTCAGAGGGGCAGAATATTAGTTAGAGGAGGAGTTGAGGCTGAATAATCAATCATTTTAATATAATGGTGTAGCAGCTTGGTTTGAGGGGTTGATCAGAAATTAGAGTTATTTTATAAATGTGTAAAAAAGTTATTCTGCTTTTCATGGAGTCCAGTAAAATAAAACTAGATATAAACAGAAATAAGAGATTTAGGCAAGATGTTAGAAGATGTCCTTGAATTAAACGCTGATATTTTAGATGCGTTAAATCTGTTTTCCCATTTATTTCTAAAGAAAGTAATCCTCTTGGTTTTGTTTGAATTGTGGTCTCACCCAGGGGAAAGGAAACAGAACAGATAATTTTCTTCATATTTTACCTTCCATTCTCTGTTTCTAAATACCAAGATTATAGTATATTAGTTTCTGATAGATAGCCCTCCCCACAAACTTTTTCTTTCTTAGACTAGATATATGTCCTGATTTTATACAGATTTTGGTTAAATTCTGCTTCACACCTTAAAAGACAATTCAAGGACAATAACATGTTGGAGAATTTTGAAACTGTATTTTCACCAATATATTATACACAAGTATCTCTAATGTTTTATAGGCAATTATTATTATATGACTGCATTTAAAAGCTATTTATATCTATACTGACATGTACACATTTGAAATAAAGGAATATTTTTATAAATGTGTGATTTTTCAATATATCATCTATAGAAACATTGAAAGAAAATCTTTCTAAATATGTGACTCATCAATATATCACAGACAAAACATTCAAAGAAAATCATGCTTGTGTTATTTCAATGTGAGATCTCACCTAAAGTTTTAAAAAATATTTTCATAGAATGCATTACAGAAAATTTTGTGATAATCTTCACATATATGGAACTAATCACATAACCCTAGGGCAATATAATTCACCTATTCAACGTTGATCCAAATTATATGGCTTGATCAACCATATGACAAAAGTGCAGCACTTATACTGACTATAAGGCTTAGGAGACAATCACAAGAAAAAAATTAAAAATATTCTACCTTTACTGTAATAATTATTGGATGAGCTATATGATATAATAGCTTTATAATTTTATTAAAATACAGAATGTATTTTCTTCAAGCATTATTAAGGTAGGATGTTTTAGAGCATAGATATCTTTTCTGTTGAAAATGAAGACTTAAAATGAAGTCACTTATTTCAACTTATAATATAACATGTTGAATGTCAACATAATGAGGACGTTATTGAGCTTCCCAGGATTATTAATTTAACTTGTGACACTTTTGCCAATTTAGGATTAGAATTGTGTGTATAAATCTAAATAGCAATGCTTGCATTTAGTATTAAGTGTTTGCTTTATTGATACTGGAAAATACTTTTCTGGGTTATTATAGGATTGATTTACATAATTTAATTTTAGTCTGTTACCTTTTTTTTTCTAAAAAGAAACGAAGTTTTATGAAAAACAAATAGGCAACAAATAGGTAAATCTTAGCACTGGGAAAATACAGACATAATATTTAAATGAGTTACCCTTTTACATCTTTAAATTATGCAATAGTCTTCTTTTCTTTGGAAGTTCAATGATCTGATGACCTTGGTAACAAAGTAATAATACTACATACCTATCTCTATATATGAAAATTTGATATCATAAGACATCTGGATTTCTGGAGAAATAAAATAGCTTTGTAAGAATTGGCCACATAATAATTCCTTATATGTATATATTTTGTAAGATATCTACTCATCTGATGAGGTTCAGGTACAGTTATGGTAAAGAAGTGAAATGGCTAGAAGTCAATACGTATTTTCTTCAACGTAAAATACTTTCCATTGAAATATAAACAAATGAGTTAACATTTTTGTTATTTTTTTCTTTTTCACCTAAATAATTACTGCATTCTTGTATTTGGATTGCCAAGGAATTGATGTAAGACATTCATTTTTTTATGATTCTCCTTTCTCATGATACATTTTGCTTATTTTGAACTACTACATCAAATGACCAATAAGCATATTATTATTAGATTTTGTTATGCTTTCTTTTTGTCCCAGTAAACAAAAAGTCTAAATAAATGTCGTATACACCTGTCTTATGCCCAGACAGGTGAATGGTAATCAGTTAGTGTTGTCATATTTCTAAAATCAATATATCTTCTTCTTTCCATAAGTGTTTTCATAGTAATACATTACCAAATATTTCATTTTTTTAATAATTTCATAATCTTCCCTGCCATAACATTGTTTAGCTTATATATTTGAATCTGTTCATATATCTGGGAGACAAAGTTGACATAGACTCCTCTGCTTCTTTGCCAATTCTAATTCAATTTTTTTGACAAATGTAAAAATAAATGTTTCATTAATGTGCCTGTATTTTGTTCTGTATCAATTGAATTAGTTCACTATGATCCCATAGATTTAAAAAATTTAAAATCATGTGTAACTTGAGGCTAGGTGTCAAGTGTCAGGATTAAAGCTTAGTTGTTTATCTAAACCTTCATTCATTACCTAAGATATATTTAAATTTAAATTAGTTATTTTGGAAGATTTCTAAATTACTATGAAAAATAAACTATCTGCAGTCTGAATGCATTATCAAATATGATACTCATGATATTGATGTTAGGAAATAAATGAGTCATTAATCAAATTAGTTTATAGTTTATTAAGATTAGTTTATATCAGGGCAATCCAAATATTAGCTAATTCAAAGTTTAGAAAATGTCTTTGATTTCTAAGTAAGTAAATGTTATAAGCATTTGAATTATATATGGCTGAGTTTCTATCTCATCACACAATTGTGTCACAAATTTTTGCATTATTTGATTTAAAATATTCAACAAGGCAGGATCCCATTTGTATTAACCTGCAATGTTGACATGTGGAGTAAGGACATCTGAATAGAGCCTCTGGAAGATTTAAAATTTCCAGACATCTGAAAATTCTGAGTCTACAGTAGTGGCCTATGCCTTCTCATCAAGAATTGATTCACGTTCCATGTTGGAAGACACTATAGAGGCCTTTCTTCCACAAAGAAATAGATGCTCCAGTTTTCAGTTGTCCCTATATCCTCCCCTGGCTGCCCAGCCAAAGACCAGGTTATATCCATCCAGGGGTGTGCTGGGCCTGATTAGGAAGGAGCAACTAAAAAGCCAAAGCAGCAAAATCTGCCCAACATGAACTGGCAGGGGCTTGAGTGTATTCACGAGACTGGATTGATTAGGAAGTTACTTCACTAAGGAGACCAGAAAACAAAGAACCACTTAGGGAGAGTTTACGGACTTGGGGAAATTCTTTTGTGATATAGGGATTGAACTTCTTGGCTTTGACTTAAGGGAATGGATTTTGAAGCTGTGTAAATGTAATCTCAAAATTAGAGTGATCCCTAGAAACTTTGAAAAAAGTGGTAGTTCACACTGAACAAGGTGGAAATACCTGAGTGAGAAAGGGAGGGGTGAAAAGCTCATGAAAATGGGCACGCTGGGATAGATATAAGAACCCAGAACCCTCACCAGAGAATTCTATTCCATGGGAAAGAACAGAGGACATCACATTTGCCCAGATCATCGGAACGTATTGTGAAAAGGCACCGCAGCATCGTTAAGTTCAGTGGTGGCTCTCCACTGAACAGAATTTGGCTTACTGATAATGGAGATTTTAGGGCCTCTGAAACAATGGACACCAGTTAGGAGTGCTTAACTACCAGAAGCCAGGTGTAGGAGACAATGATTATAATGACTGATAATTCTGACTGCCAGCCAAAGGAGTCTGACCTGTAGACAGTTATGGGAATGGTGGATAAAGCCTGATATTCCTAGGGAAACAATAGGTGGTCAGGCAATGAGGGAATTCCTTAATGAAGTTATTCAAGAAAAGGCAATATTGGATAAACTGGAAGCTGACAGCAGTTGTCTTAAAAAAAAAATTAAAAAGCCATTGACCAGTTTTTTGGAACTGATCCAGTTTTCAGAGTTCAACCCCCAGATGGAAGAGGTGGTTGGTTTCCCATGAGAAAAGACTGATCAACAGCATGGTCAATATATATTATAAAGGGATTCCTTAGTCCTTTCCCAAAGAGATTTATGGCCATTAACTTAAGTGATTTTTACAATGAATAATGAATATTTTACGGTTGGACACTAGCTTTCAGTAAACATTGATACCTGGAGAACTGCAGCAGCACCATCGCTCCTCAATTAGAGTATCTAGGACGCCAGAAATCAATGGACTCCTGACTGAGGTTTGGCTTTCAGTCTGTCTGCAAATTTACCTGTTGAATATGTTATGAGTATATAACTGAGATGAACATATTTAATAGATGGCTTGACACCCACATTATGTTATAATGATGAAAGCAAGTGAAGACTCTAAAACAAGGAACTGGCCAAAATCAAAAGTATCACATTGGAGGCATTGGAGGATGTAAGTGGCAGAGATTAATGCCAATCTTAAAAATCTGAAAGACGCAGGAGTAATAGTCCCTATCATACCTTCTTCATGTAATTCCTCATTCTCATACCCAAAGAAACTCAGTGGGTCTTGGGTGATGGCATTGGATTACTGCAAGCCTCAATCTCTATTAGCCATGACCATGGCTGCTGTGCCATATGTGGTATCTTAGCTAAAACAGGTTAATATGGCCTCAGGTATATGATGTGCATTTATTTAATAAGTAAATGAATTTCTTTATCTTCCAATCAGGAGAGAGAAACACAAACAATTTGCATTCACAACAATATACACTTTTATTTTCCCCCCAGAGCTAAGTTAACTCTCCCATCCTTTGACATAATATAATCTAAAGAGACCTGGACCATCTGGATATCCTACAGAACATCATATATATTCATTACATCAGTAGAATCATGCTGATCAGACAGAAGGAGCAAGAGATGGCTAGATGTTGGAGGACTTAGTGAGACATATGTGATCCGAAAGGTGAGAAATAAATCCTGCAAAGATTTGGCTCTGTCACTTCAGTGTTAGGGGTTCAGTGATCAGGGACATGCCAGAACAGCTCCTCCAAAGTAAAAGACAAATTGCTGTCCCTTGGATTCCCTATCACAGAAAATGAAATACCAATCTAGTAGACTCTTTAGGTTCTGGAGATAATATATTCCATACTTGGGCACATGTTTTGGTCTTTATATTGGATGACATGGAAGGCTGAAACAGCAAAGTACAGGTCCAGTCTGCAGAACAAAGAGTTCTGTCATTTGGGTCATACAATTCGACAGACCCTACAATACCTGGAAGTTTCAGGGGTGAAAAAGATGCAGTATGCAACTTGGAGTAAGTGCAATTGGAAGTACAACATCGGCTCTTGAGATTCCGGATAAGGTCATTTGATATGCAGCAGAGAAATAACAACTTTAAAAGACAGCTTTTGGGGTTTGACTCACAAAATACCTGACTATAGCATACCAAATGACAGTGCACTTGAAACTGCCCATCACAGGCTGAGTTAGTTTGAACTCACAAGTCATACAGCCAGGTGAACATAGTGACTGACCATCGTTATATGTTGGAAATGAAACATCTAATAACAAGCAAAACTAAGAAGAGTTGGTACAACAAGGAACATGCACAGTTATCCTAGATTCCCATGTGACTAGCATGGTTGCATCTGCATTCCTCTCTCAGCTTACATCCATTGATCCGTGAAGCGTTCTGTATATTTGACATATAATAGAGCAAAAGGCATAGGTTGGTTTATGGATGTGTCAACTCGGTATAAAAAAGCAGTTGAAAAATGAATGGTAGTTGCAATGCTGCCCCACTCAGAAGAAGCCTTAGAATATGGCATGAGGAAAAGCCTTCCAAATGGGCAAAGCTGTAGGTGGCCCACCTGATTATCCACTTTCTGTGGAAGGAGAAGTGGCCCAAGTTTGAAATATATGTGAGCTTATCAAAGATGGAAAATGATCTGGCAGCTGGTGAGGGGCCTGGTAGGAAAAATAGTGGAACATCAAAGACAAAGAGGGACCTTTGGTAGAGACACATACGTGGACACGGGAGAGTGGTTATAAAGTGTGAAGAAGTTTGTATTATGGGCTAATTCTCACCAGAATATATCCACCACAGAAGCAGCACTAAGGAGCCAATTAGTCAAAATCACTCAGTCCATTTGTGTCAGCCAGAGTTTGCTAGAATTTACCCCAATGCTGAGATGATTGGCACATGAATTAGGTGACCACTGTGGAACAGATGGGGGCATGTATGGCTCAATAGCACAGATTCCCACCTATCAGCGCCCCTCTAGCCATTACTGCCACTGTGGCCAACAACATAGTAGCTCTGTGACACTATTCCTCAATTAAACACACTGGCCAGTTGATGACAATTTGACTACATTTTCCTCTTCTGTCCCGGAGGGGCCATTGGCTTGTTCTCTAAGAATAAAGATTTATTTTAGGCTCAAGTTTTTCCTCCCTGTCTGTAAGACCTCCAATATCGTAATCCAGGGTCTTACAGAAATCCTGATTCAAAGACATGGGAATCCCATACAATACAGCATCCAATCAGTAAAAATAAAATATAAAACAAACAAAAACATCACAATAGAAGAGATGTCAGGATGGACTCATCACCATCATCACCAAGTGATTTATTGAGTATCTTGTATTCTGTACCACCCAGAAACTACAGGCATTATGAGCGTCTGCTGAAGGTGAAGCTGAAGTGATAACTCAGAGGCAATGCTTTGTGAGGATGAGATACTACTTTCCAGGATGCATGTAGGCATTAAATCAGAGACCACTATATGGCACAATGTCCTCAAAAGGAAGAATACACAGATTTGGGAACCAAGGCATAGAAGCAGAAGAGGCCTGCTTACCATTATTCCCAGTGACCTTCTGGATATTTTGTGCTTCCCATCCCTTCAATTTTGGATGCTGCAGGATTAGAGAGCCTGGTTTTGGTACCCAACTGAGGTACACTCTTACCAGGACTCAGCACGATATTCAAGTTACTGCAAAGCTAATGATGCCACCTGGGCACTTTAGGAATCAGTCAGCGAGAAAATAAATTACCAGCTTTTCAGAGGCAATAAAACCTGATCATCCCAAGAGAAGGTAGTGTTGCTGTTTTACAATGGATACAGGTAGCAATGTGTATGGAGCTTGGGTTACTCACGTGAGTGACTTATGGTATTCCTTCACCTAATTCCAACAATAAATGGACAAGGGCAACATTTCTAGCCTGAAAGATAACGGTTACTACGGCTTTTATTAGGACACTTCAGGAGTGAGAGTTAAGTTCACCCTGTCAGATAAACCACTGTGACCAACAAAAGGGGTAGCTGAGGGTGAGGAGAAATTAGATTGGATAGGGAAAGAGGAAAAATATGTGTACTAATTGTGAACATGTGAAGACCGGGAGGGACTGGACCAGTGGTTCTTCCCTCTTTCTCCCACTTTTAATTTTCCCATCTGAAAGGGGCTCTCACAGGAACCATGGAAGAGCTTCTTCCCAAACCTACGTAGAGAAGTGGGTCAATGCAGTACTATTGGTAGACTGCGGCAGACATGGAGCTGTGCTACTGAAATCCTCTTAGGAAAGTACTGACTACCCAGATGTGAAATGTTCATCTGAAAGCCTCCAGCTGTTAGCTTCTTCAGGACCCACCCTGGTTTTCGAGCTGAGGTAATGCTTTTCTGAGGTGACTCCAGCAAAAGACCAAGCAAAGTGGTGTTAGGTGAGAGCATGCTCTCCCTCAGGAAAGCCCCCAACAGTGACTGAGCAAGATGTTAGTAGAAGGCTTCACCATCTCTACCTCACAAAGGACTCCTCTAAGGAGACAAATTTTTTTGGACGTTTTCGGTTTGGCTGACAGAGACATAATTGTGACCTAATGTCTCCACTTGCCCAATTCTGATTCCTCTCTGTGATGCATAATTTTTGATGTCAGCTTGACTGAGTGAGGGATGCCCAAATAGCTGGTAAAACATTATTTCTGAGTATGTCTGTGAGGGTGTTTTCAGAAGAGATTAGTCTTTGAATCAGTTGACTGAATAAGGAAGATCCACTCTCATCCAGTATGGGTTGGCACCATCCAATTAGCTGAGCACCAAATAGAACAAAAAGGCAGAGGAAAGGTGAATTCACCCTCTCTTTTATAGAGCCAGAACACACTTCTTCTCTTGCCATTGGACATAAAAACTACAGGTTTTTTGGTCTTCTAACTCCAGGACTTGAAGCAGTAGATCCCTAGGTTTTCAGGTCTTTGATCTCACACTGAGAGTTATACCATCCTCTTTCCTGGTTCTGAAGCCTTCAGACTTGCAGAGCCACACTATTGTCTTTCTTAGTTATTCAGCTTCCAGAAGCATAACGTAGAGTTTCTCGGCCTCCACAATTATGTGACCAATTCTCACAGTAAATCCCCTCTCATCTACCTGTATATTTATCTGTCAACTATCATTCTCTCTTTCTCTCGTCTATCTCTCTATCCATCCTCATGATATGTTGTGGTTCTGTGTTTCCACCAAAATATCATCTCAAATTTTAATCTCAATTTGTCAAGGGAAGAACCTGTTGTGAGGTGATTGGATCATAGGGTCATTTTTCCCCATGCTGTTTTCATGATAATGAATGAGTTCTCATGAGATCTAATGGTTTAAAATTGTGGCACTTCACTCTCTCTCTCCTACTCCAATGTAAGATGTGTCTTGTTCCACCTTTGCCTTCCACCATAATTGTAAGTTTCCTGAGGCCTCCACAGCCATGCAGAACTATGAGTCAATTTAACCCGTTCTTTATAAATTAGCCAGTCTTAGGGAGTTCTTTATAGCAGTGTGGAAAGGGACTAATATAGAAAATTGGTACTAAGTGGGGCATTGTTATAAAGACACCCGAAAATGAGGAAGCAAATTTGGAACTGGGTAATCGTCAGAGATTGGGACTCTTTGGAGTGCTCAGAAGAAGATAGAAAGATGAGGGAAAGTTTGAAGCTTCCTAGAGACTTGTTGAATGGCTGTGACCCAAATGCTTATAGTGATATGGACAATAAAATCCAGGCTGAGGTGGTCTCAGATAGAGATAAGAAACTTACTGAGAACTTGACTAAAGGTCACTCTTGCTAGGCTTTAGCAAGGAGACTGGCAGCATTTTCCCCCTGCCCTATAGATCTGTGGAAATTTGAACTTGAGAGAGATGATCTAGGGTATATGGCAGAAGAATTGTTGAGCAGCAAAGCATTCAAGATGTGACCTGGCTTTTTCTCAAATTATATGCTCATATGCATGCAGAAAGAGAGGGTTTGAAATTGGAACTTATGTTTAAAAGGGAAGCAGAGCATAAAAGCTTGAAAAACTTGCAGCCTGACCATGTGGTAGGAAAGAAAAATCCATTTTCTGGGAAGGAATTCAAGCCCAAGCCAGCTGCAGAAATTTGCGTAAGTAACAAGGAACTGAATGCTAGTAGCTGAGACAATGGGGAAAGTGTCTCCAGGGCATTTCAGAGACCTTCACAACAGCCCCTTCAATCATTGGCCCAGAGACCTAGAAGGGAAAAATGGTTTTGTGGGCAGCCAGGCCCAGGACTCTATTGCTCTTTGCAGCCTCAGAACATGGTGTCCCCGGTCTAGCCATGGCTAAAAAGGGCCAAGGTATAGTTTGGGCCATTGCTTCAGAGGGTGCAAGCAACAAGCCTTGGTGGCCTCCACATGGTGTTGAGCCTGCAGGTGCACTGAAGACAAGAGTTGAGCTTTGGGAGCCTCTGCCTAGATTTCAGAGGATGTTTGGAAAGACCTAGATGTCCAGGCAGAAGTCTGCTGCAGGAGTGGAACCCTCGTGGAGAACCTCTACTAGGGCAATGCAGAGGGAAAATGTGGGGTTAGAGCCCACACACAGAGTCCCCATTGTGGCACTGCCTAGTGGAGCTGTGAGAAGGCCACCATCCTCCAGATCCCAGAATGGTAGATCCACTGACAGCTTGCACTGTGCACTTGAAAAAGCCACAGGCACTCCACACCAGCCCATGAAAGCAGCTGCAGGGGCTATACCCTGAAGAACCACAGAAGTGGAGCTGTCCAAGGCCTTGAGAGGACACCCCTTGCATCAGTGTGCCCTGGATGTGAAATATGGAGTCAAAGGAAATCATTTCAGAGCTTTAAAATTTAAGGACTGCCCCATTGGTTTTTGGACTTGCATGGGCCCCTTTGTTTTGGCCAATTTCTCTCATTTGGAACAGGAATATTTACCCAATGCCTGTACCTCCATTGTATCTTGGAAGTAACTAATGTGTTTTTGATTTTACACGCTCCTAGTTAGAAGGGGCTTGCCTTTTGTCAAATGAGACTTTGGACTTGAACTTTTGAGTTAATGCTGGAACAAGTTAAGACTTTAGGGGACTGTTGGGAAGGCATGATTGGTTTTGAAATATAAAAAGAGCATGAGATTTGAAAGGGGCCAGAGGCAGATAATATAATTTGGCTCTTTGTCACCACCCAAATCCCATTTCAAATTATAATCCCTATGTATCAAGGGAGGGACTTGGTGTGAGGTGATTGGATCATGGGGGTGGTTTCCCCACACTGTTCTCATGATAGTGAGTGAGTTCTCATAATATTTGATGGTTTAAAGGTGTGGAACTTTCTCTTTCTCTCTCTATCCTGCCACCAAGTAAAACGTGCCTTACTTCCCCTTCCACCATGATTGTAAGTTTCCTGAGACCTCCTAAGCCATGTGGAACTATAAGCCAATTAAACCTCTTTTCTTTATAAATTGCCTAGTCTTGGGTAGTTCTTTATAGTAGTTTGAAAACAGACTAGTGCACTCTTGATTCTGTTTATCAGGAAAAGCCTCACAATATACATCTCTTTTTCTTCACGAGTATTATTTCATTATAAAAGTTTTACTCCCACCTTTTCTCAGTGCTTGTTTCCCAGAGAACTAAACTTGTGACAAAAATGATCTTAATAATGTATACAGTATTGGTGATTTTATCCCTATTGCCTAAGAGAATGCCTAGAAGATGTTTGTTACTCAATAAATCTAGTTGAATGATTTAATACTATATTCTATATATAATTTCTGAGAAAAGTGAGTGAAATTAGTCATTATCCAATTCTTCCTTGTTCTTTATGGTAAATGCTTGAAACTGGATATTAGTTGAAGCAAAGATACTGGTAATTTTTTTCTTTAAATTTAAATAGCTTTTAGTGAATATTAAGAAAAATAAGAATAAACCACTAAAATTATATAACAGCAACATTTTTATTGTTATTGTTGTTGCATGTATTTTTTTCCCCAAAACACTTCTAGAACTTTGACAATTAAACTGAGACTCATACAGCGTTGATGTTTGTGGCCACTTTTATGAGGCAACACCAAGGACACTCTCATACTCTAAGGGTCTCAAAATCTCTCTTATGTCTCTATGTCTTAAACCTCCTAAACCTAATGCTGTTAGTGCCTTCAACTCTGATGGTAGTAGTTTTATTAGTCAGAGTTTTCCAGAAAAACAGAACACACAGGGAGAGATGGAGACAGACAGATTTATAGACATAGATTTATTGTAGATAATTGGCTGTCATGATTGTGGGAGCAGGCAAGTATGTAAATTGTAAGGCAAACTGGCAAGCTGGAAATTAAGATAAGAATTGTGATTGCAGTTTTGAGTCTGAAGTCTGTGCAAAAGCAGGCTGGAAACTCAGGCAGAGTGTCTATTTTGAACTCTTGAGGAGAATTCCCTCTTTGAAATTTTCATTCTTTGCTCTTACAGCCCTCGATTTATTGGATGAGGTCCACTCACACTATGAAAGGCAATGTGCTTTATTCAAAGTCTATGGATTTAAATATTAATTCTATCTAAAATATACCTTCACAGCAACTTGTACACTGGTGTTTGACCAAACAACTGGGCACCATAGCCTAGACAAGTTGACAGCCATATCATACTGGTATTTTATCTAAATGACCAAATTGAAGCACATAAACTCTTTCTGAAAAAAAAAAAAAAAAAGAAACTGTGGAGTTCTTCTATCATCTCATACTTGCAGACATAAGCTTTCCAAATCATCTAGGAAATATGACAACAGGGTTTTATGAACAAATGAGTTTCAATTGAAGTGATTAGAATGAAGGAGCAGAATGGGATGCTGGGCTTGGGAGGGATGGTCCTTGACTCTCAGGTCTCCACTTATGAAAAGAGAAGTCAAGTGATCTCTAGAGGTTAAGAAAACTGGTAATATACTCTGCTTTTTATGTTTCTGAATAACTGTCTTATTCAGAATATCTGATTAAAGTGATCTGGGGCTGGGCGTGGTGGCTCACTCCTATAATCCCTGCACTTTGGGAGGTCAAGGAGGGTGGATCACCTGAGGTCAAGAGTTTGAGATCAGCCTGGCCAACATAATGAAACCCCATCTCTACTAAAAATACAAAAAATTAGCCGGGTGTGGTGGCACGTGCCTGTAATCCCAGCTACTCAGGAGACTGAGGCAGAAGAATCGCTTGAACCCGGGAGGCAGAGGTTGCAGTGAGCCAAGATTGCACCACTGCACTCCAGCTTGGGCAACAAGAGCGAAACTCTATCTCAAACTCCAAAAAAAAAAGCAAAATTAAAAAAAAAAATAAAATAAAAGATAAAGTGATCTGAGGGTTCACTGCAGAGGCAGACATAGGAAATAAAAGAAATCCTATGTTGATGAGAAATAAGGAGAGAGGTCATTGTCTGTTCTTTCTTTATCCTCTTTCGTTGGAACAAGACATTTCACAATTACTATTAAAATATTTACATATTAGAGAAATATGGAACTAGAATGTGTTTTAAGCATATTTAGCATAGAGTCTCTCATTTTAGATGATTGAAATTTGGTATTTAGGGAGAGGAAACCAATAGTAAAAGTTGTTAATTTTACCCCTTCTCATATTGTCAGGCTTAATTTCATTTTAAAAGGAGAGTTTATTTTAAATAAAATGATTGCCCAGAGTCAAATGAAGATCATGCTTAAAATTGCAGTGAATTTTATGTAATCAGTGATTTAAAGGACAGTTTTCTAATACTATGCTGCATCGGTGAATGCAGTAATAGAAATGGAGGATATGTGAGACTGTCCACATTTGCTTTGGGATCAGGACCTTTGAAGAGGAGAGAGATCCTTGTTAAGTTCACTTACCCTCCAAATCCACTCTCCAGCAAGCTTGACTAGGCAAGAAAGAAACACCATGTCGTCTTATCAAAAGCTTTGATGTCTCTATCTCAAATAAATGTTTCATTTAATAAAACCATGTTGCTGAACTAAAAGTTTATTTTTACTGTGATCCTCCATTTATCCTCATTTTTAAAAACCTGTTCACAATAGTCTTTCTTTGATTTTATAGAACTTGCATTAAAGATCTGATCTACAATCTCAGCGATAAAGTTCTATAAAATCAAAGAAAGACTATTGACATAGTTCCAGATGGGGAGAGTGATGAAAGATTTTCCTTACAGTTTTATAGTTTGAAAACCAACAAGAGATGGTCATTTTTTGTATTAATTTGTGTAAAATTTGTGTTGTAATGTATTGTTTATTTTTCTGATGGCTTTAAACTCAGATTAATTTAATGCATATTTACTTTGTTGATCCCTTTGTTTGAAAAAGCCTTACTTCTTATGTGTTTGTGCATTTGCAATGGGGTATTGAAGGGATTAGTAATCTTGTGATTTCTGTAATTGAACATTTCCGCATATTGCTTTTTGGCATGCAAGATTTGTTTTATGTACTGATCAATTCTATCTTAGTATAATAATTACTATCCAGTTCATATTATGTTTGGAGAAGCTAATGGGTGGCCATTCTATTTGATACGTGGATATTTGAAACTCACCCTAGTAGAATTCCTGCTAGTCCCAAGGGTATGCCTACAGGTATTACTTGAGCCTTCATTATATAGAATAAAAATCTTGATAAAAAACAAAGGTTCTCAACTAACCAACAGAGTAGAGGGTCCAGAAACATGCCTGCACACATAAGATTAATTGATGATGGAGAAGGTGACACTGCAGCATAGTGGGGAAAGGGTAATCATTGGAATAAATGGTGCAGGGTTAATTTCATTTCTACATGAAAAATAATAAATGCTGACCCCAACTTTACAACATGTCAGAAAAGAAAATTAATCCAGACAGATTGTATATCTAAATGTAAAAGATAATCTTTTGACAAAAGATAACTGTTTACCCTCACATTTCCAGCAGTTACCAGAACCTAGCTATCCCTCTCTCCCACCCTACTCATTTTTAACCCTCACCCTTCCCTGCTCCTTCTTTCTCAGCTCATGAAATACTTTGCAAATAGATACCATTAGAGGAGAAGTTTCCCATTAAAGAAATAAACCTGCTTGCCTTCATGTCCAAATTCTTTGTTTTACTTTTATTAAAATACAAGCTCTATTTCTATTAAAAAACAAAACCTAAAACCAACTAACACAAATATGCCAGTTTTATTCTGAATCTTCTCTTTGTGCTTTCTTAATCTGCAAGAAAATAAGGCTCCTACTCATTTGGTTATTGTGAGTATTAAATCAATTACGTGTAAAGTACTTAAAATAGTGCCTGGCACTTGGTAAGCACTCAATATGTGTTAGTTACTGCTATACCCACACAAACAATATCTTAAGAAGGTTGACAATACTTGTGGTCTCCACTTCCTCATCTCTTCAATATAAAAATCAAATAGGATTTTACCCATGGAGAAAAATAATTATAACTCCCTAAAATCTTCTATTGCACATGGAAAAAATCTTGGATCCTTTGCGGCTATGCCCTTTGAGGCCCTAGGTGATCTATCCCTTAATTGTGTCTTATACTTTGTCTTAAAACAGTTCCCATTTTGTTCACTACGGCCCAAGTATAATGGTTCCCCTAACATGGCAACGTCATTCCCACCTTTGTCATTTTTTTTAATCTGCCTTATTCACATAAATTGTCAAGAAAGTATGGATTGTTTTTCTCCACCAAAATATTCCTGACACCCATAATAATATCTGGCACATATTGGGTATTCTCAAGTTATGTGTAAACTAAAAGAATTACTTCTCCATTATGCTAATGGAGCTGCTTCACATTTCCTAGTCCAATACACACATCTTTTTATATATGTTACTTTTTTCCAATTAGCCTACAATTTACTCCTTAAAATTTTCCTTTTTTTTTTGGCTTTGGTGACTCTTTTCTGTTTATTATTATTTTTTCTTCTTCCACCAGTCCCGCTGTGTTTTCTCCATGTAGGTATTCTTTGCAAGAAATATCTTGGATATCTCTGGACATCTCAATTTTGAATACCCTAAAATTTGTTCTTCTTTATTTATTCTGTCCTTTCTCTCCAGGTAACACATTCAGCCCTATGACTAATGATTCCTAAGTTTCTATCAATGGTCTGAACTTACCCTTAAGCTCCAGACTTGTATGACTAGTCAGCTATTTACCATCTCTACATGTCTACAGTGAAATGTATATATGCCTTTTTTCCTCAAACCTGTTTTAGCCCACGCTCCACACATCAGTAAATAGTGCTGTTAGCCATCCAGTCGCTCAAGGCAAACACATAAGTGTTCTCTATTATTCCTTCTCTCTCCTCCACATCACAAGTCATCTTACCTCAAAAATCAGTCTTAGACTCTCCTACTCTCTCTGGGTTCAATGAATCATAATCATTGTTGATCTCTACAATTCTATAATAAACAACTACTACTACTACTATCACTCCCACCACCACCCTTACTACTAGCAGTTAGTTATCTAAACCTGCTTTCTCAATAGTTTTCATGCCTATACTTTTGTTCTTCTCTAATATGTTCCCCACAAATTAAAGATTTTGCCCATTTCTACTGAAATAACTAAATACTCCTTGAATAAATTTTCATTAATCTTAGAATGATAAAACATCCAAAGTCTAAAGGCCCTACTAAGATGAAAGGGCCCTTCAAGATCGGCCTTCAGTCTCCCAGCACTTGCTGTGCTTCAGCTGTGCTGGTCTCCTCTTTCTATACTTTAAATTCCCTCAATCTTGTTAGATTAGACTTCGTACTAATTTCTCTGGAGGCTGTTTTCTTCCATGCTGCAGGATTGACTCCTTTAACTTTCTTCAATTTACTGTTTATTTGCTACTTCCTCAGAAAATTGGTTCTTCCTGAAACATATTAAGTGAACTACACTTTTCCCATTTATTCTATAGTATGGACGATATTTTCGTTGTTGACCTTATGAAAGATTTTAAAATTTTATATTATTACTCAATTATCCAGTGGAATGTGAATCCGAGATTCAAGGATCTTGATTGTTTTGCTCAGTAGTTAATCATTACAGTCCGGTGCAGTGCAATGCTTGCTGTTTCAGTTGTAGTTAATGTTGAGTAAATATTTTCAATAATTGATTATATCATTCCCAAGGGATGTCAGATATTGATAGAGTAACACCTTGCTACTCGAAGCACGGTCTAGATGGGCAGCAGTGGCATCACCTGGGAGCTAGTTAGATTTGCAGAGCCTGAATTTTAGAAACATCCTAGTTGGTTTATGCACATTAATGTTTAAGAAGCATGGATTAATATACATAGATTTTTTGTTTAAACATGTACTACCTGAGACTCCAAGAATATTTTCTCCAAGTATGTTTAATCATAAAATGCTCTTAGAAATGAAGAATATTAAGTAGTTCTTGAAAAGGGGCAAATGGACCAAATGAATATGCAGTAGGTAGGAGCCTTAGGTGGTAGGGCATATCCGTAGTCCCAGCACTCAGGGAGGCTCAGGCAGGAGTTGAGTCCTGCTTGAGTCCAAGAGTTCCAGGCTGCAGTGAGTTATGTTTGCACCAATGAACTCCAGCCTGGGAGACAGAATGAGACCCTCTCTCCCTGAACAAACCCAAACAAAACAAAACACAACAGAATAAGTAGGAAAAAATTGAGTGTTTTAAGAAAGGCTTGTTGGCAAGAGCTAGTGAACCATATGTAAAAGCAATCAAGACTAGAAAAAGAGTTCTATGTCAGCATGGTAGTTGCATAGGATCAGGCATGCAGATCAGGATAAATGAAAACCAATTTTAAGTGAAGCCAGCAATTGGAAATTTAAATGTCTTCTTCAGATCTAAAGAAAAGTTGCAATCACAGAGATACTCAAAATAGAGTATTTAATACCACATGCGGGAGAGTTTATAACATATTGCTGTGATTGCTGAGGAAGTGGAAGTTGGCTATAGCTTTATTCTAGATGTGATTCAATTTGTATATCCACCTAATTTATATATAGTGTACTAAGAAAAATGGTACTATGACACAGTGTTCTATTTCCTACCATCTTCCTAAAACACAAAATAACTGAACTTAAATTTCCTAAAACGTAAACACAAAATTGATACAAAAAGTTGGCCTTTGGATGGATTTTTCGGTGTGGACATTTTTATTAGCTGTTAGAAGCGACAAGACTCTAACCAACCCAACCAACATTTTTTACAAGAGCAGGAAAACCAGAAAGTGATGTGGCTGAGGATTTCACATGAGTGAGAAGCAGCAAAAAAAAAAAAAAAAAAGAAAAACAAAATTCCTAGCATATTTTGATGAATTTCTTAAAATACAGTTTGAATAAAAATAAAGAAAAATATTAAATACAATAAAGCTACCCAATGGATATATGACACCTTTTCCTGACAACCCCTTTTTATGAAAATGCACTTCCTGAAGAGACAGGCCACCTGGTATCACACAGAATTCCCACATGGACTTTGTTAAGTGGTGGCATAGGATCATAGGATCATAAAGAATTTTTTGCTGAAAGTTTTTTATAAAATGCTAAATTTGGTTCTCACAACTGAATAAAGGGAAATGTACACATTTTCAAATATTCAAAAATATTCAATAAATTAAGCTGTAAAGTTATGCAACCATACACATCCAAATTCTTCTGAAACCAAAATAAATATAACAAGGGAAAATATGCTTTTGAATTATTTCTGCAGGAATCCTGTCTCAATGTAAGATATAGATTGGAATAACCCTGATGGTGCTTAGCACGAACTCTAAATATTTTGTTAGGTTGCTAACTAGAGTGGGAAAAATATAAAAAATAAACTTGGAATTCTATCTCTTTGGACATATGTATTCTAATTAATATATAGACATGCGCCTCAGCTGTAGTAAGATTATCAACGTAATCTAAATAGTTTTTTTATAATTTCATTCTTTGCACAGGGTGTTTTCTCAGCTTAGAATAATGTCCTTAGAGCAATGGTTCCCATGGAAAGCTTGACCACCTGCAAAATCGACTAATGTGAACCCACTACAAAATAAATTTCTTATTATTTTATTTAATTACATCTCAGAAATTCACATTAGAATATAAGGTTACTGAGGTCGAGGACCACAACTAATTCATCTTTATACTCCCAAGTCTAGTAAAGTTATCAATGTTATCCTAACCCTCCAATGTTTCCTGAATGAATAAGTACAAGGAATACAGATCTTAAATTAATACTCGATTGTGATTGTTGGTTCAGGTTTTCCATGAGAGTTCAGTCCCAGAGCAGTAAGTTAAAATTCCCACTTGTATCAGGATACGCTAACGTGTGATGCAGTATTCAAATGCAAAAGTCTTGATGACTTAAAATAAAGAAGGTTTGTTTCTCAGTCATGCCTTATTTCTATCGTGGTTGGCAGAGGTCTCTGTTAATTGTGGTCAGTAAAGGGTCCAGGCTGATGGTGTGGTCAGTGTTTTAATAGTGCCCGTTATCATGCCAGAGAGAGAGAATGATTAGTTACAAATTAGCTTTAAAAGCTTCTCTCTACAGCTACTAACAGCACTTCACACATTTTGCTGGCCAAAACAAATTAAAAAGCCAAATTCAATTCCAAGAGTAGAGAATTCCAAAGGAAGGGAGGAATCCTACCATGTGCCTAAAAAAGAAAAGCTGGGAATATTTGGCTAATAGCAGTAATGATTATTCCAACAAAGTTTTTCAAAGGTTTATAGGATCAGAATATAGTAGTCTATCACCATCTCTCATATTTCCAAAAATGGTATGTTGTGGTGGTGCTAGGCGTGGGAAGGGTCAATATTTTGTGAGAAATGCTGAGTAATGATTTTAATGCTGGAGGAGTTTTAACCAGATAAAAATGTTGTTGCTAAGGTTATCATAGATAAAATGCACATTTGTGTAACATGAGAGCTAGCTTAAGATATGACAAATGCATCTCCCATGCTGCTTTGTGATGCTTTGCATATTTTGAGTTATAATTGAATCTTTTGAATCTAGGGTCATATTTATACCTACATATAGCATCTCACTTCAAGCCCAAGCCAAAGAAAGACCTACAGCAGCAACCTGTACATAATTGGTGGCAATCAGTAAATTTTGCTTGTTCTTACTGCTCATATAGAACTCATTCAGAGTTCACATACAACTCTTACTACATTTTATTAAAATCTTAAGCATAATATTAAACAAGTTTTAGTTGAAAATTCTTGTTCCTCTTATGTCCAGGTTTAGAACTATAAGATTACAGAATTAGATATCCCTGTGGCCTTACTTCAAAAGAATTGAAAAGTAAACATACAGGATATATACAAAAAAATGTATGTTTTCAGGTAACATTTGTACCAAGAAAGAGATCTTCAACGTAGATTTTTGGCATCATATCTAATAAAGACTATGAATTGTTAATAATAATTATTATTTTATTCATATCATTAGTAAGTATATCTTTATACTTATTTTATTTTGAAGTCAAACAATTATTTCTTTGAGTGGTTGTGATTTTAAAGGGCATGGGATACTGAAGTCTGAAGACATCTTTATTTAAAGTATACCCATGTTTTTAAATGCCTTGTTGAAGTGAGTTACATTCTGGAAAAGAATTCTCAGGGCATATGCAGGTCAAATCCCTCTTACGTGCACCATTGCAATAAAAAGTTTATCATAACAAAAAGTTCATGTAAGTGCTGGCTGGTAGCCTATGTTAACAGAGTCCTGCATATCTAGCAAAAATGAATTCCCCAGCACTGAGTAAGAGTTCCAGAAGATTTTATCTCCAAAAGTCATACTAATTTTTAATTGCCCAAAGATTTATTCTTTATTATGAGATTTTTGACTCTTTTATTTCATTGAGCAATTGTTCATTTTTTTTCTGTGAGATGTATTGGTGAACTACCTGATTCCCAGAATTTTTTCTTTCTTTCTGTAATATTTCATATTCTTGAGATCCAGGAGGTTCAGGGAAGGAAGTACATACTATCTGTGTCCTAAGGTAAAGATTCCATACATTGCTGAGATTTCAGAGACTACTGCTTTCTATAGTTGAATTATTGTATTACAATAAACAATATTTAGTGAATAGTGAGTATCAGGTATTTATTTTTTCAGAGATCAAAAATATTAATACTGTTGAGCTAGGGCCTACCCACCCGCCTGCATACACACATAATGTACTAAGTATAAAGAGGTAAGCTTCACTTCCCTAGTAGAATGGTGGTATAAAATAAAGGCCTCCCAACTCTTTCTTTCCTATTTGCATGGGGGATAAGGGTGGCAGAGGTTGTATACAACCATCTATGGCTTCTGGGAATTCGTACTATGTTGGGACACAGCAAAATATGTGGTCTTATACATAAGGTCTTGGTGATATTCTATGGAAAGTCAATGGGGACTTGAGGATAAATGAGTGTACTGCTAAAATGAGTGCACTGATAAAATTATCAGTTACCAGATTCATGACATGGAGATGTGAGGACAGGGGAAGGAGGTGGCAAAGAAATTTAGAAGGGACCTGATTGTTTGCCAGACTTAGAAGTTTGAATGCCCACAAATCACAAAGATGTCAGAGATCAGATTCAGTGAGAGTAAGGGAGTGGGGAAGTAGAAGGACAGGAGATGATGGTGTGAGAGGGACCTATAGAGAAAGGTTTTGGAAGTGAATGAATATTACATGGTAATAACGCAGCCATGCTAGTAAGCAGCTCAGGCATGGTGACTGCAGAGAACACTGGGACTGGGCAACTGAGAATCCAGTGGAATAAAAGGAATGTAAAAATTATGAAGCTATTTTTTTGAGCAAAATTTATGACTAACAGTAATTACAGTTACTACATGTTGGGAAGCAGATTAAAAGTGGAAAAATTTACACTAACAACAGGTAGAGTTTAGGTTGAATAATTCTTACCTCAATCATACTTAGCTTCCATGACAAATGCTCCTAGTTGCCTACTTGATATTTGTTTCCTCATCCTTCTTTTCTAAGAGAACTGTGATTTGTGTGCAAATGTGTGACAGTATTCCGGTGTTCCCAGTTGTATGTACTCGCAGTGAGGCCTCTCCTAAGAGTTAAGGGTTCTCATCTGATATAGTCATCACCAGTGAGATTTCAGTGGAAATAGCCAGTTGTGTATTCCCGGTAACGATTTTTGTTTTTGTTTAAGAGAACTGACTTAGCTGGCTGCTAAGTGTGTGCTCCCCCAAAATTAATATGTTAAAATCCTATCCCCCTAATGTGATGGTATTAGGCAGTAGGGCGTTTGGTAGAAGAATATACCACAAGGGGTCCACACTTATGAATGAAATTAGTGCCCTATGAAAGAGACTTGGAGTTTGCCCCTTCCATCATGGGAGGATGCAATGAGAAGACGGCTGCCTATCAAGAATGGGAGCCTTACCAGACTAATGTGGCCATGCTTTGACGTCAGACTTTCCAGCCTCCAGAATTATGAAAAATAAATTCCTGGTATATTGTATTCTGGTAAAGCAGCCTGAACACACCAAGGCACTGACACTGCCAGTCTTTTTCTTTTGTCTTTTGTCCTTGATTCTTTTAACTGCATGGAGCAAGAATGCAATCTCTAGACATGAAGTTGCCAACTTTTGAACATCAAAATGAAGGCCTTAAATTAAAGATATCTGAGCAGAGATAGGTAAAGAGCCTGGACTTGGATGGTTTGGAGAAGTCACTTTATTATCATCCCTGGATTTTCTCACTATGTGATAAAATTTATCCCTATGCGATTAAGCCCCTATAGACAGGTTTCTGCTATAGGCAGCCAAACATGATCCTTAATTGGAAAAGCATCCAGTTGCAATGATGTTGCTATGGAACAGTTATGTCTTAAGGAATGAAACCCTGACTCTTCAGATGACTGACGTGACCTAATGGTGAACTCACCGATTTAAAAACAGGGCAGTAGTTGGCTGCTATCCTGCCATTTCAAATCTGGCTCTTCAGGTGTTCAGGAATATTCATAATCAAAAGAACGTTAATTTATTTATGAAAATCTATACTATGCTACTCAGTTTTCTTAAAATGTTATTGTTCTGTGAAATTGATCCTCAGGTTAATTTGGAGGGGTAAATAACTTGCCAGGTCAAAGTTTGAATAAATTAGAAAATGAAAGGCAGCATATGTTCTAAAAAATCTGAAAATTAGTTGCAAAGTCACAGTTAATTTAATTATCTGGTCTTACTGCCTTGGAATAATAATGCAAAATGAGAATTATAATAAAATTAGCCTCAAATATAGTCCATGGAAAATTTTAAGACATGATTTGGTTATCTACTTTAAATATAACTTTTAAAATCAAAGATATAATTTTAATGATAATAATCTATTTCATAAAGCCACATTTCCATTTCTATTGTGCAACCTAATGGAACACATTTGTTATCTACCACTATATTACATACTTTCATTGAATATTTTCAAATACAAATATGCAGACTAAAGATATAGAAAATAATGTGCAAATACAGAGTTGAATAAAACCTCTTATATAAATATGGTTGAAATACCGAGTAATGTATAATTATTCCAAGAAGCATAAGTAGGCAGATCTGGTATTTTCTTGAGTATGGCTATATAAACTGTGGAAATGCATGGTATGCACACAATTTAAAATGTTTACTTGTAAGACATCTCTGCTTCTAGGGTTTAAACACTACGCCAGGTCCAGTTTGAGTTACCTTTGGAAGAAAAAATAGAACTTCCTATTCTGTACAAATTTCAGGCCACTAATCTGCCTATTAATTATATTAAACACACACATGCATACGCATACACAAGAGCCCGTGGTTTATTGTTCCCAAAACTCTGTTTACAAATTAAAGAATTTTCTGGTAGGATTCAGAATGATTTATGTCCATTAAATTGACTTGGTAACCACCAAGCATCATCTAATTTAGAGTCCTTAGAATTGACAGTTAAATAAAACGAATGTTATTGAAGGTATTTTTCATAAAGTAAGCCTTCTTGCCTAGATAAAATCTCTTATTATCCATTTTGGATCTTACCTATCTTAGTAAAATACGATCATATTAAATTCCAAAGTCCAAGATGGGTTTTGCACATACATTGTAGTTTCTAAAGTCTTTCTAAAAAAAATCTCAATCCATGAAAAGATATGGAGGAACCATGAATGCATATTACTAATGTAAAAAAAAGGCTAATGTAAAAAAGCTACATACTGTATGATTCCAAATATATGACATTATGGAAAGAACAAATCTATGGAGACAGTAAAAAGATATTTGCCAGCAGTTTCACGGAAGGAGGATAAATAGGCTGAGCACAAAGGAGGGGCAGTGAAATTATTTTGTATGATGCTATAATGGTAGATATATGTCAGTACATATGAGTCAAAATCCATAAGAACGGACAACACTGAGAGTGAACTCTTTGGGTGATATTGGTATGTGGATGTGGGTTCACTGATTGTTAAAAAATGTACCACTCTGGTGAAGGATGTGTGGCACAGACCTGTAGCGGCAGTGTAGGGGATATATAAGAATTTTGTATTTCTTGCTTGAAGCTGCTCCAAAAATAGTAATTTAAAAAAAAATTACTAAAGCTTATATTTTCACCAGCAGCATTTGATATGAAAACAACTAATTGAAAATTTGGGATGTAACAAGCGCATTATACCTGTAGTTTTTCTTTGGTCCAATGGCCTCAAGTCAAAATCTGTTTAAGTAGATAAATAAGAACCCCTCCTCAAAAATAAACAAAAAAAAGATCACTCAGACACTACTTCCTTACGCCATTTTACCTTTTGACACAGCATGAAAAAGCATTTGAAACTTTTTTAAACATGTGGCTCTATTGATATATAATAGTTGTACATATTTTGGAGTACATGTGATATTTTGATACTTGTATACTTAAAATGTGTAATGACCAATCAAGGTAATTGGGATATTCATTGCCTCTTATCTTTTCTTGTGTTGGGAACATTACAAATCTTATCATCTAGGTACTTTGAAATATGTATGTAATAAAGTATTACTAGCTATAATCTCCTTACTGTACTATTGAATAGTAGAACCTATTTCTTCTATCTAAGTGTATTTTTGTATCCCTTAACCAACTTCTTTTCTTCCCTACCTCTCTTCCTCTTCTCAGGCTCTGGTTACCACGATTCTACTCTTCTACTTCCATTAGGTCCACTTTTTCAGCTCCCTCATAGGATGGAAAACATGTGATATTTGTCTTTGTGTTTCTGGCTTATTACACTTAACATAATTGCTTCTATATTGCTGAAAATGACAACATTTCATTCTTTTTTATGGCTCAACAATATTCCATTATGTAAACATACCACATTGTCTTTATTCATTTGTTGATGATATTTAATTACATTTTCATTCATTTAGTAACTGTCTCTCCTAGTAAAACTTGAGCAAATCACAGGAGATCTGGGACTTGGGCTATATTGATCACTGATGTGTAGGCTTTGCACTTAACATATTGCCCAGCACGTTAAGTGTTTCAAAGTATCTGGGGACTATTATATCACTGATGACTTGTGTTTGATTAAAATATGTATTTGGAGGCTGAGCATGGTGGCTTACGCCTGTAACCCTGGCACTTTGGGAGGCCAAGGCAGGCAGATCACCTGAGGTGGGGAGTTCGAGACCAGCCTGACCAACATGGAGAAACCCTGTCTCTACTAAAAATACAAAATTAGCTGGTCATGGTGGCACATGCCTGTAATCCCAGCTACTTGGGAGGCTGAGGCAAGAGAATCGCTTGAACCTGGGAGGCGGAGGTTGCAGTGAGCCGAGATTGCACCATTGCACTCCAGCCTGGGCAACAAGAGTGAAACTCTTGTCTCTCTCTTTCTCTCTCAATCTCTCTCTCTCTCTCTCTCTCTCTATCTACCTATCTATATATATATGGAACAATTACAACAAAATGTTAAGATAGTTAAAGTTGTGTGGTAAATATATGTCTTCATTATAGTATTTTCTATAGATCCCAATATGTTTGAAATACCCCATAAGTGAAGAAAATGAAAAGCTCTGTAAGTAGCTAGAATATGTTTTGAATTCAGTAAAATATTGGCAAACAACAAAAAATGAACAAATGATTAATCAAATTAAATATTTTAGTTTGTGTTTGAAGAACACATTAATTTTGAAAATGTGTATATAGAATGCTTGATTGTGGATTTTTAGTGATTGTATGTTTAATTTGAATCAGAATATTTCCCTGACCCCTTTGTGGGCGGGAACTGGAGTACACAAATGCTGGAATCAGCCGGCCATTCTGGCACAGGCAGTGGTGAACTCTACTCACTGGAACCTGCTGCATTCCACCCCTTGTGGGAGGGAGCATAGAGGTGAGTGGGGGCAGAAGCCAGGGAGAATGCTTTTGGTTGCCGGCAGGAACAAACTCTGTACTAGCCCTGCTGCAGTGTCTGGGAGGGGTGCTCAGGACCCCTCAAGCTCCAAAGGAAGTGTTACAGAGCTCTTGTAGCTCAGCCATCCACAGACGGCTTAAGTGTTAACAGCTCAGTGGACACTCTTCCTTTTTGCGTGAGGTGGCTGGGGTCTGCCAGTGAGGGCAAAGGGTCAGTGTGACAGCCTTTTGCCTCCACACTCGTTGCACCTGAGCTCTTGTCTAGTGTCCAGGAGAAATGAGGTAGCATGAATGAATTCAAGGATGGTAAATAGGGGGGATTTGATTGCCAATGGAGGTGGCTCTCAGTGGGAAGGGGAGCTAAAAAGGGGAGTGGACAGGAAGATAATCTCCTGAAGTCTGGCTATCTCTGGATGGATTCTTCTCCAAAGTTATGCCATCAAACTGTCTCTCTGAAGTCAAGCTGCTTCTCTCTGACGTACAGCCATAGTCTCTGATGTCCAGCTGCTTCTCCTGTCTCTGCCGGCTGAGCCTGGGGTTTTTATGGGCACAGGATAGGGGGTGGGGCAGACCATGCATGGTTTAGGAAAAGATAACATTCGAGCAGGAAAACAGGAATGTCAGTTCTCACTTTAGTGGGTGGTTTCAGGCTCTTCGCCCTTGCCAGGGACCTGCCCTCTTCTGCCCAGAATTTCCTGCCTCCTGTCCCTATAAAATTGTCATATAAAGCCTATTCAGTCTTGATGAAAATAATTTTTAGTATGTTAGTAACATGTCATCTTATTCTTTAGGAATTACACAAGTGATATGAAATATTTTCATTTTATGTACAGGATTTTCACATATAAATATTTCTTGTTCTTCAGACTATGCTTCCTTTTTATTTAGTTACAAAACTTAAATTACCCCCTTATTTTGTCAAATGCTAGTAATTTGGGTTTGTGGTTATTATATTTCAGTTTAATTTTGAATATAGCCTGAGACAAAAGCCACACCCAGTGGTGTCTCCTAGTGAACACAGCTGGTTTTATTCCAGTTCCTTGTAAATCCTCACCTATTTCACAGAAAATTCCAACCTAATTGGCAACCTTCCTGTTTGTATCTATGAAAAAGCTGCAAGTTGAATACACTGTTACTGATCCTCAAGAATAAACAGAAAACATCAACAAGTCGATTTGTATCTCTAAGGAAATATGCAACAAATCAATATAAAAGCCAAGTGTGATTTTGGAATGGCATTACATTTTCAGGGTTATTTATTAAAAGTAATTTAAAATTTTCAATTCAGAAAACTGAGAGACTCAAAACAACTTATGACATTTAATTTTAGCAAGAGCCACATGTTTCTTTTCACAATAGCTAGTATTAAACAATTGTTATGTTAAGGCTAATCATTTCCTTAAAAAGGTATTTAAAAGACATTTTAATGGAATGAATGTCCTGATTATTTTGGATTTATTAATGCATTCATTTAAAGCATTTGTGGTCATTACTTCAGTATAAACTGAAATTCTATCCTCTTATATTTTTCTGAACACATAAAAGACCCTGCTGCAAGTTAGCACATTCAATAAGACATTTAAATCCACAAATATACCTTAAAACTACTCAATATTTTAACTATTTAGGATGTCAATGACATCCTTAGGAGTTCCAAATACTTTGTGAGGAATGAATTTTTTTTAATTAGATTTTTAAAACTTTTAAGTGAAGCCTTAGGTTGGTGTTTCCCAAACTCCTTAAAAAATTGAGAGCCATAAACCAAGCCTAGTCTGTTTAATTCCAAAGCTTCACATGCACTATGATTTTATGTATCAGAAGCAATGTTTCAGATTAGGATTCAGAAAACTTTAATCCTTACTCTGTGTTGATACACTTTTGTGCTGCTGGTATAAAAAAATACAGATTATTTTAAAAACTTTGATTACTTTGAAAAGTAGCCATGTTTATTTTACACATAATATTTATACAGAAAAATTAAAAATTTAAAAATTTGGATAAGCAAAATCAAAAAGAGAATAATTATGTGAGAAAAAAACAAGAGATAATTTATACTATCATTTTAGTTTGTTGTCCTCCATTATTTTTCTATAATTATTATTTGTATACATACATTATGAATATGAAGCACAAATAGCTGATGTTTTTAGTTACAAATATTTTACGAGTATTTATCTATTAATAAATATAAATGTACCATAATTTTAATATTAATAGCTGAACAGTGTCCTTATATGAGTGTAGAATAGTTATTATTTACTCAATCTACAATTTCTAGATAAATAACTTTCTAATTTATTTGCTCTCTCGTATATCTATGTATCTATATCTATTTTTGCTACATATGTTATCCTATATGCCATATATAATACAGATATATACTAGTCTTTCTGTCTCCCAAATTCCAGAGAACATTTAAAAGCTCTCTAAGAAGTACTTCTAAAGCGTGTTCTCTTTGCCTGTGGTGATAGAAAAAAAACTACCGCGCTTTTTGTGTGTATGTGTGTACACCTGTGTGTGTATGCATGTATGTGTGCGTGTGTATGTTCCATTCACAAAACACTGAAAACTGTCTCTGAAATATTCCCCACACTCCAAGTTCATCAACTCCCGTATACAGTCTGGAGGCAGGCATACTGGGTAACGCAGGCAGAATTATTTTCACAGTGGTTTGACACTGGCCGCATGGATGATATAGCATCTTCTTTATGATACGGAGTACTTGGCAGTTACCATTTTGTTTTGATCTTTGAACTTCTGATGAAACACTAGGAAGGGAAGGAAACTATTACATGCTTTGGTAGATAGTTTAGACACATTGCAATGTAATTATGTTCTTTATCTTTGGAGTAGACTAAAAATATCTAAGAAACAATACTTACAGTAAAAAAAAAATTGTTCTTACTTTTTCTTCTATGTCATTTAGGTTTATTTAGTTGCAAGTAACAAAGAGTGACCCTAACTGACAAACAGAAATTGAATTTTTTAAAAGAACAAGACTGCATGCAAGATAAACAACAACAACCAAGAATAAAAATAAAAACTGAAAACCAGACTTAGAACAGACAAGAATAGGGGGAACACAGGCAAAGTTAGCCACCTGATATCCACTGCTAGAATGCTTGAAGCTAAAGTAAAGATTGATATTTGGAGACAGAATCTGATGCAAGGAACTTCCAGGCATTCCTTTGACTTTTAGGAGGGGAAGAAAGAACCAACACACTGTTTTATCATTCCATTATCTGTAGGGTGCACAGTGTGGGAGATATAATGTCCCAGGGGGAAATCAGATGCTGTTACAAATGAGTCCGAGGAGCTAGGAAGCCAGAAACAACAAAAGTTGGCTGCACACCCAGAAAGTCTTACTCTTCTGCACAGCTCAAATGGGAAAATATTGATATGTTCAGAGATTTCAAGGAAATCAGCACCAATAACACTCTATTAAATATTAGAATGTATTAAATTTTATTCAGCCTACCTAATCAATTTATGTAGTATCTTCACTCACATGATATATAGACAAAAATCTCACTAGGAAATGTTTTTACATCAAAAGTAACTTAGCAGACAAAATCTCCAGTGGAAAGTTTATACTGTGATTCTACTCCTGATTTGGACTTAAAGCATAAAACATTATTTTAATTTTAAAATGTGATAGAAATGTCTATACTGCAAAATGAAGAACCTTAAGTGTAGAGTGTCTGGGGAGTTCTGGTACAGACTCCTGGTGCTTAACGTTACTTCATATCACTCAGTGAAGCACTGTTTTGGACATAATAAATTTGCATCATGAATTCCAGGTGAAAAAAACCAACTCTTAAATTTCTTTCTATATTATGTGCCAATCAAAACCTCTTCTGATGATGAATTAACGTTAATCAAGTTTGATTATTAAAATACAAAACATTTTGGGGAGACTCTAATTATCACATTAGTAGATAGAAAATGGGAGGCTTTAGGTCACCACAGAATATTACTTTAGGGATTTTATCAGGCAAAAACACAAGTATTAAAGAACAGCATCCTCTGAGATATCAGGGACCTGAGAAGAATTATTGTTCTCTTTGTTACTTTACTATTATATTTCCTTGGGTTTCTGAACCCCAAGGTAATACAATATAAAAACTAAAGCTAAGTTATTCTACACAAAATGTTCCAAATGGCTCTGTTTTGTCCAGTCATATTAGTAAACATGTTTTCTCAAGGAATTAGTGTGCTAATTGTATACTCACCCATCTGGAGTTCACCTTGGGACTCTGTTGAATATGACCCCATCACTTAGAATGGACCAGAGAAGGGACAGGTACATGAATACTTCTGAGAAAGTTCAATCTCCAGTTATTAACCTTTCTTGACCTTTTGTCAATAGGACAATGGGACAATGACAAATCTGGGGTTAGCAATGAGCTGAGACATGGTAGTGAGATGCCTCAGGAAGTATTAACAAGTGTTGCTAAGAGTTGCACAGTGGCAGGTGGCCAGGTGGGTACCTTATTAGCTTCAGATTTTTAACATTTACCTAGCTTACTGAGATTTAGGGGAAGATTTTAGTCACAATATTAGAAAAATCAGAATTATGTAAAGTGTATAAAAAGAATTTTGAAAAAGAATGTGGGCAAAAATAGAAAACCTGAGAAAAGTTTTCTATTAAAAAAATGAACTTTGGAAAAAACAGAGCTATTTTTGTTAAACTCAGAATTGAGAAATGGAAACTAAGTTAAACCAATGTCAGCTAGCATGAGTGTGATAGTGGTAAACCCTAGAACACAGGGTTAGGGCTAGAATCCACTGTCCAAGTATTTAAAAACCAGGCCGGGTGCACTGGTTCACGCCTGTAATCTCAGCTCTTTGGGAGGCCTAGGCGGGTGCATCACTTGAGGTCGGGAGTTTGAGACCAGCCTGGCCAACATGGTGAAACCCCGTCTCTATTAAAAATACAAAAATTAGCAGGGCATGGTGGAGGGCATCTGTAATCCCAGCTACTTGGAAGGTTGAGGCAGGAGAATTACCTGAACCCGGGAGGCAGAGGTTGCAGTGAGCCAAGGTCATGCCACTGCCACTGCACTCCAACCAGGGTGACAGCTGAGACTCTTTCAAAAACAAAACAATGCAAAACAAAAACAAACAAACAAAAAAACCCACAAAAATCAGTTCACAACTTGCATGGGTTTCTGTCTCCCCTAAGTCTCCATATCTCAATGAATTTCTCCAGTTCTTGCAAACTGTCTCTTAAAATTTTCTTGTTTTCATGACTTCAGCTCAATTTATATTCTTTAACATATGCCCAGATAATTCTTCTTTGTTATTTCATCTATATTGTCAACCATTTGGCTTTAACAGGCAGCAATTTTAATTGAAAGGCCTCATAATTGTGTATATGACTTGTTTACTGAATGGCAGCAAACAATGAATAACTTAGCTTTAAAGATGAAGGCAGAGAAGAGGCAGAGGGAAAAACCTTAATTCTTTACGGTGACAGTTCCCAAAGAGTGATCTGCAGACCTTTAGGGACACTTGGAACATTTCCATGGAGTTCCTGAGATCAAAATGATGGAAATGATAATTGCATGTGGCCATTTGCCTTTTTCATTTTTTTCTCTCATGTTGTACAGAATATTTTTTTCAAAGACTACATTATCTGTGATATCACAACATTAAATGCAGAAGCATAAAGACAGTTGACTTCTATTGTCAGACATTAACAAGGCTTATAAAAATAAAAATAATACCATACTACTTATGATTTTTTTAAAGAGAGTTTTTAAAAAAATGTAATTATTCATGTTAACATGTAGGGGTCTATTATCTTAAAAAATAAATTGATGAAGTTTCTTTTAGTTTTAATTTATAATTTTTGGATATTGACTGATTTAATCCAAATCAATAATAATTCTTTGGGGTTTCAAAAAATATTTAGGAGTATAAAGGAGTTCTGAGGCCAAACATGTTGAGAATTGCTATTCTGTGTGGTTACTGACATTTCAAGACCTGGGAGTCTCAAAATCCTCTAGAGAAATGGAAACTTCCTGCAGCTCTGTTCAAAGAAGTATGCTAGGCACAGGCAATATTTATGAATGCAACATACAACTGAGCACTTTAACAAGATGCATATTCAGATTTAACACAGCGTGCTGAACACTGTCAACTTATTTATTTATCTTTATACCTTTGGAAGTGTGTCAGGGACTTTCCATATGAGCCCAAGCTTCCACCCATGAGCAACTGTTGCTGTCTCTGTGTTGACATGAATACTTCACGCTCTCAGGGCTTGATAGCATTAAGCAATAAAACATCCAATTAACTGCTCTCGCTTTATTCCCATGTTGACTGTGAAATCATATAATTATAATTTAACTTGCCTATAGGGAAGGAATATGCTGATCAGTAAGTAAATAGAAGTATTCTGTCCTCCTGATAGCTGTATGTTTTATTTAATAATAATCAGGTCTCACTTGGTTGTCTTATGAGTATGGTTAGCTTAACTTAACCCTCTGAAGACACTGATTCAGGGTCCAAAAATAATCCCATTTCTGAGCCTTCACAGCTGAGTGCCATGTGTAGAAATGGAATTCCTGTAAGTGAGTACCTCTGGAGGGTAGCCACCTCTCTCTTCTCTCTTAAATATGTGCCTTTTTGAAATTTGCAGTATTAATTTAAAATTTGTTTTACTCAGCATCGGACCTATAAGAGACACCAAAGATCCAACTCCCTTTATAACCACCTACATTGACTTTCACCTACAAGGTACACTGAGCATTGAAAGACTTTTTCAGTGTACAGATTTTAGCCAATATCTTTGTGTCTTAAATATTATGGTGAAATATACAACCATTGCACTTCATAGAAAAAAAATGCGGCTGAGGAGTGAATTGACCATTGATCTCCATAAAAACACTTTTAGGCTGTTTGAGCATTAAGTGCTCTTAGAAGCTTATTGAACTTTTGAGCTATAACTTCAGATTTTCTACTAACTCTTTATTGCCATGATTTCTACGAGGGAGATGAGTGTTTCAAATTATGAGTGGAAAAATAAAAACCATTAACCTTTTCAGGTTAATTGTGTTACTTTTTTCACTACTGTAAACTATATAACTGGAACTAATGTTGTATAAACGTGCCAAGGATGGTGCCTTTGACCCACCTTTAAAAGGCAATGTACACATTTGTGTTTTCTGGAGTGACGCATTTGTGTTGATGATATCAGACTCTTCCCAGAGTTGCCCCAAGCATATATATCTACAGTTCACTGCATTTCACTGAGAAGACTGTGACTCCTGTCAGCCTGTGTTAACAAAATCAAAACAAAAACCGTGAGGCTCATATAATCACACTTCCTTCATCCAATCAGCTGGTATGTGAGGTTTGTTTACCTGCCTGGCAGGCACCATCATTTTATAATGATTTTTCCTCTCCCAAACATTTATTTTGTCCGTATTGTGCCTGGACCCATGGGTGGACTAGACATCAATGTGTTAAGCCAGGATTATCATAGTTCCTTAAGAATAACTCCATTTCGACCCCACTTAGACCCTTGGAAACAATGGAACACATATTTAAAACAATTAGTAGGGGTCAAGTGTACATTCTGTAACTGTGGAACCATTCATTCATTGCATCCTAAAAAATCTAATATCTATTTTTCACTCAGGAACAAAATAATTAGTCCAGAGAATTCTGATCTGCGATGGTCTGAATATAAATGGGCTGGTAGAGCAGAATTTTCCGTCTATAAAAAGTAAAATAACAGTGAAATCATTTTCTTCCCCTCACACATGTTCCTATGATTTTCACCCATAGGAAATGTTAAGGATTTATCAGGCAGAAAATTGTCAAAGGGATGTGTCTGGTCAGTATTAAGAAGCCACGGCTTTGCCACTTTCTCACAACTATGGCTAACTTATCGAAGGGGGAAATAAAGCCCTTCAGGCTGCTCTCAGAGGGAACAAGAAAAGGCTACATTGCTTCAAAAGCCTGGAGAGAATTCCAGTCAAATAGAGCTAGCTATAGAGACAGAAAGATAAGAACACCTCTCTCAGCACTGACACATGAACTGCAGAGGAGGCCTCCTTCTATCTCTGCTTACTGCTGCAGGCAATCTGCCCAACACAAGCCTTAGCTAGTGCAATCAAAAGCAGCTTTCGGCCCTGGTCTTTGGAGCCTCATTTTGTTGCAGCAGCACTTTAGTTATCAGCACTATTTTTCAAAACACTCCTTCATTTAAAATTTACCTGCATCAAGAGTCGTAGATATAATAAGAGTTGTGCGTAAAGATGTTCACTTATAAATGCTAAAATGCCTCTAAAGTTTTCTAGTAGAAAAAAATATTTTTCTCGGTAGGATAAAGTCAAATAGAAGTCACTTAAAAATAAATAATTAACATGCAAATAAAAATTTCCTTCTCCCCTTTTCTGGAATAAAACAAAAATAAATTTTATCTTTCTAACATAGGAAGCAATAAAAAATATTGGCTGGTTCTTCCACTGGATCCTATATTAAATTCAAAAATGGCAATCTTTTAAAACCTAATATTCTGGTAAATCATTATTATAATATGTAACAAATTATTCAAACTGCAGACTTTTTCAATAGTCAAAAGTATTAATTACACAAACATTTATTTAGCGCTTGCTATGTGCCAGGAAATAGGCTATATGAAGAGAATATGACAAAAAATTAATCCTTGCCTTTAAAGCTTTATGCAGCCAATTTATAATGTAGTATAAACTATTAGACAACAAAAGAGAAATGATATGTGGATAAGAGATATGTGGATAATTTCTTTTGTAAGATAAACTATAAAATACAGTATAAAACAGTTATCCATATTTAATCCTGGGCTGCATAATAATTCTCTAATTTTGGAGAGTCATTTTTGGAGCACTGGATTTTTTCAAGTAATCTATCTCCTGGGAGCCTTGTATTTCAGCAACAAGATCAGGAGGAATTAATGGTATATTTGATTTACACAGGCCCAGATGTCTTCCTTGACAATGTCTTTCTTCACTCTTTATACCAAATGGATTCATTCTCCTTGACTGCTGTGAAAAGGAGGGAGACTATTCCCTTATTCTAGTAGGCTGTCATAAAGCTGCGATCCCAGTTCAACTCAAGAGTGTTGCTTAGAAACTGAACGATCCCATCTTCCAGTCTTAGGACCAGTGTAAGATTGGTGGAGGAGATAAAACAACTTAATTTCCTTAACACTGAGTTCATTTGCTGATTTATTAATGGTTACAGGAAACTATGTCAAGGAATAAAATGATCATATTTTCTCAAATGCAGATAGTTTGATTTACATGAGTTCTACAAAACATCAACCCTTTCCAATCTTGGTTCCTTGATCGGCTGTGCTTGTATTTTTCCTTCCTACATCTGTTTGTTCTCCTTGTTACTCCTGAAGAATCCCTTAGTGCCTTCTTAGCTATGCCCGAATTTGGCTGTTTTAATCTACTTTAAATTATCATGCCAATAATAAGAACAGTATTTTTATATCCCAGGCCACCTTGTTAGATTTATAGGCATGCCCCCCTGATGGCAATTCTAAGTTGATTTTATCTAAATATTAGTAAACCGCAGGGTGCTACTGTATTGACTATTATGCAAAATATCAGATGCTTATTTTCCATTATATTGTATAGAAAGTTGTTGGTTTAAAACTGACATGTGTGTTTTTCCACTGTCCTTGTAGTTTTGGTTTGATTTTTGGTATAAATCTGTTCTTCTTATATATTTAGAATAAATTTCACATACATTATTTTTCTCCCTCACATTCTATACATCGTACCGTGATTTTTAAATTGGACACTTTGAAAAGAAAGTAGGCAATTGGAAACAAAGCAAAAAGACTATGAATAAACAATAGATAATATTCCAGTTTATTAAACTATTAATTGGCATGGTTGCTTGTTGTCAACTGAGCATAGATAGGAACTTTGAAGAACCAAGTGTGAAAATTTGATGACAAGGATGCCTGTGGAAGAGTTATGCAGATGAACCCCCATAAATATGGAGATAATATGAAACTGGGACCATGTGAATGTCACCAGTCATATAAGGCCTTACTGGTCATGGCATTCTGTGTAGAGACATACTAAATATTCATCACTTTCAGACTTTCAAAGACTCCCTCCATCTAGTTCCTCTTTGTTTCTAATATGATTTATTATTTTATTTTGTGTAAACTGAAATATTGAACATATACATACAAATTGAACATATACATAATTGAACATATATACACATATTTAGTTGAACACATATATACAAAAAGTGTATTAAAAGTAGGTGTATACATCAATGAATTTTCACAATATGACAAGTATCCTGACTCCTAACACAACAGATTAATTTTACCTGTGTTTGACATGCATATAAATATAATTATTCAATATATATTTCTTTGTGTCTGGTTTCTTTAACTTTACATTATGTTATAAGATTCATTCATGTTTGCTATTTACAGTAGTAGTTCAAAATTCTCACTGCTGTATAGTCTATTCCATTTTATTAATATGCCATAAATTCTTTATTAATTCTTCCATTGATAGAAGTTTGAAGTATCCTGGTTACTATAATCAATGCTCCTATAAACATTTATTTACTTGCTTTTTGTTGACTATATGACATTTATTTTGTTGGGTATATACCTAGAAGAATTGTTGGATCAGAACTTATGCTTTGGTGTATGCAACAAATACTTTTCATGAGTAATCGTGCCAATTTATACTTGGTATTTGCATGACCCAGAGAATAAGTGCCACCTTAAATTTTGTGTCTTAGGCACTTCACTCAGCTCAGCCTAGTCCTGGCCTTCTTTTATTAAGCAGTGTATGAGATTTCATTGCTGGTAGTTATCCCATACATTTTCTGAAATCTTGATCATTTTACCTTTCTAATTTAGGTCTATAATTCATGTGGAAATAATTTTTATGTTCGGTTTGAGGTAGGGGCCAAGACTGCATTTTTCTATGTGGATAGTCAGTTGACCCAGCACCATTTTGTAAAATATCACCTTTTCTCACTACCCTGCAAGGTCATCACCTCGATCACAGATCAGATAACCATATACATATGAATACTGGACTCTATGTTATTCCATTTATTAATTTTTCAGTTCTTACATTAATATTATACTAACATCATTGATGTAGTGTTATTATAGTTCTTTATATCTTAAATATAATTCTTCCGCCTTCTTCTTTTTCTTCTTCAAGAGTCCCTTAGCTATTCTTGATTGATTTTCCACTTACATCTGACTTTTTAAATATTTTCAGTCAATTCCTCCCACCATTCACCCCCTAAAAAATTAACTTTATGAGATTTTAAGGTATTGTATTGAAACTACTTCCTTATTATGCCTGGGAGCAATGTTGGAGTGGCTTTATACTAAAGCATTTATCTTGTCATTCAGGCTATCGCAGTTTAGAAAGAGAGAACAATTTCCACCCACAAATTACTACTGTTCAAACTTTAGAATCCTTGCTTAAAAGGCAATCTCGAATAGCTGCACAATGGGTACTTGTCACTGTTGCCCATTATATACCCAAGGTCAATCAAGAAAAATAACATGTATAGAGTACTGCCTGAACATCTATTTCTTAAATTAACTGATAGCATCCAGGATTCTCCTCTCATGCCATGCCCAGCTCACTGGCAGTCGTTCCCTGGGGCCACATATGAACCTAGGCAAAAGGATTTAACAATCACTTAAAAATACCTGCCATCAGTGAGGGAGATTCCATGAGTGACAGATATGGATAGCATGTCATTCTGATCCCACACCTGGATACTATCGTCTTCCTCTGCATGAGATCAGCATTTTGAAGTCTCTTGCCTGAACCGTTTTGTTTTGGTTCCTCATAGAATCATTTTTTTTTTCTGAATTTCAAGTTATGTTATGATATTGACATACCTTAAAATAAATATCTCTAAAAGTCATAGTTTTGCTCACTTTAAGTATATGGTGAAGATAATAGGAAAAATACTGCTTTCTGGTTCTTTTTGCTTGTTTGAAACAGGATCTCATTCTGCCGTCCAGCCTGGAGTGTAATGGAGCAATTTGCTGCAGCATTGACCTCCCAGGCTCAAGCGATCCTCCCATCTCAGCCTCCTGAGTAGCTAAGACTACAGGCTCATGCCACCACACCTGGCTACTTTTCGTACTTTTTGTAGAGATGGGGTTTTGCCATGTTGCCCAGGCTGGTCTCCATTTCCTGGGTTCCAGGGATCCTCCTGCCTCAGCCTTCCAGAGGGCTGGGATCACAGGCGTGAGCCACGTGCCTGGCCCGCTTTCAGATTTCTACTTGGGAGACTTGAGTTTTCAAACAGTTTTGTTTTTATCTTAGGGAGACTATACATTTTACAACTAATTATATGCTTCAAGTTGGGATTAAAACGTTAGAAACTATTCTACAGATGATAGTACGTGGGTAATTTTTTAAAGAATCAATTTGAGTCTAATATTATTCTTGTCTTTATGTCTTTATCCTATATTTCTTTTTGTTCTCATTTTCCTCTCCACTTATTTTTTCATCTTATTTATTTGTTTTTGTAATATTGTTACTTTTGTTGTACTATTTCCAGTTTTAAGGTTTTTTTTTTTTTTTCTTGAAAGTGTTTGGGAATGAAGAAATGAATGACTATATCAGTCATAGCATAGAAGATAGGTAGAGAGAATTGGGGAAACACTGCTTGAGAGAAAAATATTGAAATGGTTTTAAAAGGGTTTTGTGGGTAAATACATTAATAACCTTTGACCATGAAATCAACAGTTATGAGTTGAAAATAATTTAAATAGAAAAAATACTATTAAAAGAAGAAGAAAAAAGGCGGCATGTTAGAGGACCCTGTGATAACCACTGAGGGACAAGCCAATGACAGCTTGTTTATTGTCCAAAGCAAACCATGAGATCAAGGTATCAGATGGGATAATAAGTTTTGTAGGCTAGGGAAAGCAGTTTTCTATATCCGAGGCCATTGACAAGTTAGGTTTTCAAACATACAATGGCATTATAAAGTTTTAAAGTTACTCTGAATTCTAAGATAATGTTTCCTTGCAGAAGATCACTTCACTCAACATCAGCCAGGAATGGGAGAAATGGTGAGCTGGGCAGTCCCACAGGCTGACCACATAGGTTCTGCGAATGCAAAACAGATAAAGCGTTGGGCTACATGAAGACAGTGTGCACTGACAGCCATTAAATGTTTTAACCAATCCCTGCCATAAAGTTGAATCAGGAATTAGGAGCTTTCCTCTGGAAGTCAGGAAGAAAGACACACAAACACATACTGACACACACACACACTTCTGAGAACAATATTGGAAGGGTTGCACTGAAAGAGGAATCTGCCTTGTGATTTAGGGAAGAAAATTATGAGGTCAGACCTGCTCTAAGGACTAAAGACAAGTAGATTAAAACATTGCTTGGTAGTGAAGGGTTCTCTTGAGGCCAGACTTACAGCTTCTTTCCCCTGACCATTCTGGAGCTAGTAAGGAAAATTCTCAAGTGGGGATGGACAGCAGCATGGCCTAACATATAAATACTAGCCATTTTTAAACAACCTAAAATTTACTTTGTATCCTAATAAACTAATGAAATTTCACTATAATATTTCCACAGAAATACTATAACATAAAAAAATACATAAAATAGTTTTCTGCTTTCTATATGTATTAAATGCACAAATGCCTTAAACTATTGAGAAACGTTTATGGCACATAAGCACATCTAAAGCAAATGCTAGTTTATTTCATTAAGTTATATTCAGAACGTTACCTTAGAGAATTTTTTAAACTCTACCACTTAAATTCTCCAAGAACCCATTTCACATCAGCAAAATATGAGTGCTTTCAGACTATTAAACTGTAAAGCCCTTTAATTATGTATAACTACTGGAGGTTGAGTTTGCCCACAGTATCTCATGGACAACCACAGTGTCATATATACTTGGAAGATAAAATGTAGATTTTAGTTTATGTTGCTTAAGTTTAAATAAACTTATTAAAATGTGTTTCTCACCAAAATAATTATTTCACACAAATATACTTTAAAAATATATTATTAAAATGTGCTTCTCACCAAAATAATTATTTCCTACAAATGTACTTTAAAAATATATTTCCCCATTCTAATTGCTCAAAATAATAATAAAGTATGATTTTCTTCAATAATACTGTAATAACAGTTTAAAATATTACATACGGTGAAAGCAGAATATTACATTAAAATAGCATTAGCAATTATTTTAATTTTGCCCAACAATATAATTACCCTTATGCCTTATTTTCATGTATAACAACTGTGCAAGAGATAGTTGGACAAAGATGCTGTAGATGTAGGCAATTCCACCAAAGAGTCACACATGACATAAAATACAATAGGTGTTGAAAAATAAATACCCTACAATGGCAGCATATTGTGTTGTCTAAAGAAGGTTTATGGTAAGGGAGGGACATTCAAATTAGAACTTATAAATGTATAATAAAAGTACTAGGCTTATTGGTTTATAAATTTTTGAAAATATTTTCTCCCTTCAATGTTAGAATTAGCAGTTGGGAAAAGAGTACACAAACATTTGGAAAGAATGATAAAATATATGTGTCAGTTTTAAGGTGGGTGAAAAAGGTTAAAACATAAACGAAAATTACTGTAGGACTGTAGATAAAATATTTTCATTTCTTTGCTTGGCTAGGGCTTTCCAAACAAATGGGACTTGGGGTAAGGGACAGCTTGGGATTCAAAGAGCTGACTAAAAAGATATAATTCTGAAAAGAGTTAAACTTTCCATAGGTGTGTATTTAAATATCAAAATGGAATGGACTCTGGAGCTATGAAGACACTTCAGGGGTTGTCAATCTGGAGACACTTACCTTGTATTTCCCTGGAGTCATTTATTTATTCAAAACACAAGATATTTAGGAAACTTCCCTTTCTCTCCCTAAGGGGAATTTATTTACATTGAGAGGGGTTTCTCTCCCTATCCTTAAGAAGGAGGAAAGAGGAAGGCAATATATGTAAGATCTCAATTCAAGTTTGTTTGATTCACCTCTTGTGGTGTTAAGAGTCCCCATTTTGCACATGTGCAGAGTCTATCTGGTTCTCATAGCACCAGCTAACGGGCACTAATAAGGGGGAAAGGTTGGCACATGTGAAACCAATGCTGCCGGTGCTGCAGTAACTGACAATAACTCTCATCTGTGCTCCATAAACCTCACTTGTATTCAGGATAATAAAAGTATAGAAATGAAAAAGCTATCAGTCATCAGACAAATGAGAGCTTTTCATATACTCCAGTTTACACCGCTTGTTTTTATTACTCAGTTACAAGGAAATATTTAGTCACTGTAACTTTCTCTTAAAGTCTGCAATTCTTAATAAAATAACAACAGAACTTCAAAATAGAGTGTGATATTTTCATTTCATATGGAGTATGGAATTCCGACATAATTTTATCAATGTGCATACGCAAATTTTCTAGTTTCATTTATTTATTTCCACTTCACCGGCATTTAATATTCTGCTTCCTCATATTCTCTGTTCAGTAAAACTTCTAAATTACTGACAATAATAAAACATGTATTTTTTTCTTTTTATTCTCATCCTGTGAGTAGCAAACATTTTTTCAGATGACTTCAAAATCATTTTTGAAACATCTCCTTGTCTTTTTCAAATCAAGGTATATTTAATGCTTTATTTATTTTTGCATTATTTGCATTGCTTTAGATCAATTTAATGAAAAAATAAGAAAAACTTCATTTTCCTATTCACTTTCATTCTAATGGTCAGTGTATTTTTAGGAACAGAATTCCTGTGGGGTGGTGAGGACAGGCAGCTAAACTGACTAAGATTGTGTTCAGGCCTGTGATTTATTAGAAATGGAGTAATAAAAGTCATTTGACAATATGTTTGTTATTATAAAACTTTCATTTTTTTCTCTAAAGTGGTTTATTAGAAAAGGAGTTGTACTGCAATGCAGTAGAATTGTGCCACAATTTCTGTTCTTCCAATTTTATATTTGTGATTTCAAATTCCCTAACATTTACAGCCTTCAATTTCTCACCAATTTAAAAAGCAAAACAAAAACAGATTGTGTAAATAAGTTCTACAAATCAATAAAAAAAAAGAGAGACTAAACTTTGAAAAGCAGAGAAAATTCTTGAACAGGTACTTCATCTTAGTATATAAAAATGGCCAATAAGTATATGAAATGGTTGTCAATGTCATTAGTCATCAGGGTAATGGATATTTAAACAAAAATGAGATATTACCAAAACAAAATAAGAAAAGAACAATAATAAATATTGGCAAGAATATGCAGCCACTAACATATTCACAATGTTGGTGAAAGTATAAATTGCCACAAAAACTATGAAAAAAATTCTAAAACCCCTACTAAAGATAAAGATATATTTACCTTGTGACTCAAGAATTCTATTCCATGGTATATACCAAAAACATATAAGCAGTTATGATCAACAAAAAGGTGGACAAGAATGTTTATATAAGTTCTAGACATGATAGGTAAAACCTTCAAACAGGTAAAATGTCCACTTAAAAGAAGGCTATATAAACAGTGGTATCGAGGTAGGAGGTGAGATTTGACTCTGGAGGCAGGCTTCAGACACCAGATCAAATTGAAGACTAGCTGAAACAGGGATGGGGAGAAGGAGCTTTCCATAAAACATACCCACCAATGTGCCATGTCAGTTTAGCATTGCCATGGCAACACCTGGAAGTTACTGCTCCTTTCCATGGCTATGACCTGGCAACCAGGAAGTTACCACCTTTTTCTAGAAATTTCTGCATAATATACTCCTTCATTTGCATGTAATTAAAAGTGGGTATAAATATGACTACAGAACTGCCTTTGGGCTGCTACTCTGGGCACACTGCCTATGGGTTAGCCCTGCTCTGCAAGAAGGAGTATCTCTGCTGATGCTGTACACTGATGCTTCAGTGAAGGTTCCTGTTTAACAGCACTGGCTCACCCTTGAATTCTTTCCTGGGTGAAGCCGAGAGCCCTTCTAGACTAAGCACCAGTTTTAGGGCTCTCCTGCCCTACCTCAGTATAACCACAAAATATATTATTATATGGCATTCTGTAATTCTTTACAATTCTCAATTACTTTTCTATTCTTCTTATTATTTTTATCTATGTTTACCTACTATCCTTTGCTTCATCTCCTTCCCGGACAATATGAACTGTTACCGTGCCTGGCAGTTTCCTAAAACTCAAATGAATTATTTGACTTACAGCTATGTCTTTAACATTTCCACTGCATCACGGGCAACTTACACTTAACTATCTTACCCACCCTAAACAAATATTTATAATTTATATTGCAAACAGACCAAAGTAGCAATATCATGCTCCAATTATAAGCTGATTTTCTACAATGGATTGGTAGAAGGGCATCAAAAGATACTAATCCTATAATTTGATGTTAGTATGTACACTTTTGAATAACTGTTACATTAATTCTGATTCAATGTTTGGTCTTATACTGAGGCCTCAACTTCAACATCTAGAAAATATATTATTGAAGAATTATTTCTTCAATTTGAAATTCATTAAAATAAATAAATACATATATTACATTTCTTAATAAATCCAGGTATTTACTTATTTTATTTTTTATCTTTTACTATTTAAATAATACTCTTAGGGATCAGTCATTATTTGTTGGCATGTGTTTTCTAAAAATGATAAAATAAGGTAAAACAAAGCTTTATATAAAATCCACATCTCTTATGGTATAATAAAACTGTGATATTTTTCTCTTTTTTCTGAGGAATTTGTCATAGCATACATCTCAGATTATTCCTCACACACACACGTGTGTTTTCAATCCCATGTTATTTTAAGAGCACCTTCTCCATAACAATGTGATAGCACATGGAAATTCTAGGGGATTTTATACCTCAGGAAACATCAATACAATGCAAATGATGATTTACTGGTTTTCTTTTATCTATGATCTTTTATTCATTGCCTCATGTAGAGCAAATGTGAGATGTAGTCTTTGTTCCTCAAATACAGAGAGAGGTTGCAGAATTCCTGAATCAGTGATCCTTTATTGAAAAAAAAATATGAGAAGACAAGGACTCATTATTTTTACATTGTATTTTGTGCTAAATCTTTTTAGCATTTAAAAAATTCTAATAGAAATGATTTCTCTTTGGAAAGTGAGTTTGATTTTGGCTTTTAAGTGTCATATATAATGGTTTTTTAAGTTAAAAAAAGGATTTTTATTAAATAAAAATTTAAAATACAATTTTGTTAAATTCAAATAGTCATTGTTGGCATCCATAAACCTACTTTAAATTTTCTTCACTTGAGCTGTGATGGCATGATGAGAAGCAAAGTGTAAATACCAGAAATCAAGCATTAGTGCTATTTGCTAAATAGATGATATTGCTTTTGAAAAGTAACAGTATTTAATATTTAATTTCAATACTTAATTTACAAATATAACAAGTTATAGGGTTGACACAGTCTCAGAGCTGAAGAGAACCCTGTCATTAAAACCAAGGATTTTCTAATGAATGAATTTCCTTAAAAATTTTCTCCAAGTCATTTCTAATGAAAAAAAAATGAGTGTCCAAGTGTCTCTGGCAAGAAGCTGTTCATTTCATTTTTGGATAGTCAGTGCTTTGTTAATTTGATTTTTGTGGTTGTTTGCTCATTTTCAGATTGGGACATAACTATCTACATGTAAATTTTGACCGGTAGTTCCATATAAGTTCTGTATTCTGAGTACACAAAGAAGACATGTAATCACACGACAGCATAGAAAATTAATATAGACACTTCTTATGACCTTTCAGAGATGGCTCCCCCAGGCTAATCATCTTCTTACTCATGTCTTTTAACCATTTTCTCTCTTTTAGTACCATTTCCCTCTCTCTCCGTCCTTTCTTTCTTTCCATCTTCATTCTTTGACTGTTTTGAATAAGCATCTAACTGTAATCCAGTATATGTCAAACATTGCAGTGGCTCTTTGGGTTATAAAGTTAAATGGAGAGATACCGCCTTCAAATAACTTTAATAAACTGCCTAGTGGGAGCTAAGCAAATGATTTCAGACCAATAAAACAATGGCTATACTGGAAAGAAACACATAGATTATTAATGTGTTCATTCCTGACAATAACGCTCCAGACATGGTTATTAAGCTCTTTATTTTTCTAACGATAAAGGTAATATATGCCCATAATAGAAAAATGTAATGTAATTATAATAACCATTATTATTATTATTATGGTGAGCATTTATTATGCATTTACTTGGTGTTAAGCAATTTACTAAGTAGTTTGCATGTATTATCTTGGCTAAAATTCACAATGAAACTTTGCTGTATGTCCTGTTGTTGTCATTTTCAGGTGTAAAAAGCATACAAAACGACATTAAGTGATTTGCATTTGTTTATACTTCTACAGATTGGAAGTTCTACGTTTGAGCCAAGGTCATTTGATTCCTGAGCCTGCACTTTCTTAATGCTCTAAATAATATCAATATTACTCAAATTGCATTGATGAACCTGTTCTGTTCTTGACTTCTCACATTCATTTTCCCTTTCCTTTAGTCACAGCACTTTGCTTTTTTTTTTTTTTAATTCAAGTATTCATTCCAAACTGTGAAGCTTGCTTCATTACGTACAGCCCTAAGCGTGTGCCACAAAGAAATCAGCAATACCTTCTTCCTCTGGATATATGAATGTTTCATAGATGACCATGACAGTCCACTTTAGCCAAGGAGATATTGAGTATGGACCTCTGAAAAAGAAAAATCCCTCATTCTGCTGCAGAAGACACCCAAAGAAACGTAAATTTATCCTGAGAGTGAACAAGGAAGAAAACAACCCTTTGAAGCCTTCGGAAGTCATCCTGTGAACAGGGGAAGAACTTAGCTTATGTATCTTAAAAGGCAAAAAATATAAACAAAATTTGCCAAACCATGTTACAAGATCAATCCTTATTTGAAATATTCAGATAGTTTGTCAAAACTGTTCCCTTCCTAATCTGGCCTGTTTGGATTGGGTATCTGTTATTTGAAAGCAAATTATTCCAATCTGATATTGTTCCATAAACAGGACATTATTTATTAGCCTCATAGTGGAGAAAAATACAAAGCCGTGCTTCTTATTATCCCCTTCAAATCTTCTCCAACCACAGTCTTGCTGACTCAGTGAGCCTTGACACAGAACTCTCCCACTTCTCCTTCGAAATTCATATAGATACTTAAATTTGAAATGTTACTGAAATAATATGGTTATAAAAACAGATTCTTCCTTAAAAGACTCATGTTAAGAACCATGCAGGGAAGTTTGAAGATTGGAGTGGGATAAGTGATATCCATTTATACATTTTTTTCAACAACATTAATTAAGTATCTATTGTGTGTCTGCCCTGGGGGTTGAAATTTGGGCACATAAACACAACACCAGGGCTCAGAGAACTTACGGAGTTTACAGTATAGTTCTCTTCCAATATATACATAGTCTTTAGTGAGACTAAAAGCAGACACAGTGATCAAACAGTTTAGAGATTAATAGAAAATAAATGTAAAAACATGTAACACAAATTTTTCTAGTAACATAATCAATCTAAAATGTCAAAATGAACCAAATGTTCGTGTGTTTAACAAGTGACCTTCAACTACTTGGACATGAAATGATCGATAATTAGAAAAATGTCATAAAGGTTTCATGTTGTTCCTGTAGGAATCTTTGCTACACAGAAGAAGTGACATACATTCCACTGTTTTGACATGATTAAGTGTCAAGGGAGTGACATTTCTGAGGTAATGCAAGGGTGACTTACGCTGACCAAAAAGGCAGAGTTCTATTACCAGGTGTTCAAAGAATATGGATGTACAACATTCACGATTGTAAATGATTAATAATTTAACATAACTGGATGCTTCTTTTGAATAGGAAGAGAAAAATTACTGAAATAAAGAAACACATCCCAACACAAAGAGCAAGCAACATTACCTTGGAAATGTTCAGTGTTTCTTTTTTTCATTTTTATACTGTTACTTATAGATTTTGCTAAAAATAAGTACGTTAGGTAAACTGGATGGATGTTAAATGAAACAATATGAGTCAGGCATTTCCAAAAAGTCTGGCCTTATTTAACTATTTAAGGGTAATTATTATTGGTTAAATATTATTAGTTATCTATTCTATATTTTAAAATTAGGTGTATTTGAAAGTAAAATATGTAAAATAATTTCCTTATACTATTTTAGAGAAAAATATATTATATATTTTATTCGAGAAAAACATGACATAAAATATGCATTTTTCTGATCTATTTATAAATAAAATATTATTGTTAGAGTGGAAAAACTAAAAAATCTATAATTTACAAAAAATAGTTATCTGAATTTTATTTATGTTTATGAAAAGTAGACATCCTTTCTTTTCTGTTCTTCAATTAGCACATTGTGAAATTATTCATGTAGGCAAGATTCAGTTAAATTTGTCACTAACTTGGTTAAGAATAGTATGTAAATTTTTAAAAAAATTTTTAAAAATGTGTGTTTAAATACAAAGCTTATAATTGTAATGTGGGAGGAACTTCTTTGAATGACAAAAGATTGTAATATGGAATATTATCAGTTTAAGAAACAGATTGGAGGAAGATCAAAAATAGATCTAACTTAAAACTACAGTAGAAAACAGAAGAAATAAGGAGAGTAGTGTTAAAAAAATTATTTAATGTTGCTTGTTAAAGCATGGTAAGGAAGACTTTACACAGGATCATCATAAGGGTAGGACCACTGCCTGGCGGGTTGTGGGTGTCGGGGAGAGACAGACTGGGCTCAACACTGAATACAGCATGGGCAGTTAGGAACTTATAACCAAAGAGTACAGTGGGGTGGAGGTCAGTGGATCAGGGTAAGGGGGATTCTGGCTAAATGATTCAAACAGGATTCTTTCTAAGACTAGCCAGGGTGATCAGAACAACCTAAGGGATGTTGGAAAATGAGGAACTGCATTAGATATCAAGGATGATCAAATAGCAAGGATGGGGTTTCTGGTAAACTGATTTAGCTGGGTTCTTTGCTAAAACTGAAGTTTACAAGGAAGTGCATAGAAGTGCCTAGGAGAAGGTTCAGAATCTCAGCTGACGTTTGGCCAGGTGAATAATCTTTGTCAGCGTTTATAAAAGTCATGTTATCTCCATGCATTATTGCATTCAGCAGATATTTATTATGGGTAAATAAAAACAGTTGAGATTTATTAATTCAGCCATTCAATATTTAATGGGCACCAGTCAAGCCATTTAGAAGATAATTCTGAAAAAAAGAGACAAAATCTCTTTCCTCATGAAATGTACATTATAATGGAAAAACAGACAAAACGGAACAATAAAGAAATGCATATTTATTATATGGGTTAACAGTGCCATGAGGAAAAGTTAAGCAGGATAAAATTTCTGTGGGACAGGCTCTTTTAGAAAAAATAATTGGAGAAGGCCTCACTCACCATGTACAAATGTAAGATTATATGAAAAGAAGAAAATATTGTGAGCCATTATTTCGTCTTCCCCTCTCTGAATTTCTCCATTATTAATAAAAAACAGAATATTTTAATTAATTGCACACTATTCAATATTTTTTGGAAATTATACAGTGTTTCAAATTAAAGTGTATGTTCAATTTAAACCATTATATCACAGCTAGAATACATTCTGAAGTCATTACCTTGGGCCCAACATAAGGTGCATCCTCCCGCTTTCTTGCCATGATCCTTCCACTAACCTTCTCTCCCCTTGTCAGCATGGATGCAGGTACCCCAAAACATTACTCCTTTCTGTCTCGAGACTTTTGAACTTGCTTTTTTTGTCCTTTCTGGAACATTTTCCTTTCATGCATTTATGTAGCTCTTCCCAAACCCCCACTTCCATTTCTTTTAAGTCTCTGTGATGGCAAAGTCATTATATCTAACATAGCAGTCCTGTCACACTCTATCCTCATACACTGCTGTACTTTTCTCATATTGACATATTTAATATTGCCTCTGCCAGTCCAGAAACATGGTCTTTCTTATTCATTCCTCATTTTGCACTGCCTAGCACATAGTGAATATGTGCACCCACTATATACCTGCACTGCAATTTTGGTAAGATGACATGAGGAGTGTCCTAGACAAAGTGGAACCTCCAACACAGTGGTGTATTTGCCTGTTTTTACTACAAGACTACAAGTCTTCAGGACTGAATGGATCATATCTTTCTTACTTACATAAAAAAGCACTTAGTAAAAAATTTCATAACCAAGAAAGGCACATGCTATACACATCTAAAGGAAAAATAGAGTTTGTAGGAAAACTCCAAAAATCAGCCTAAAATTATTTTTAATGCATAGAAAAAATGTTTGTTTTAAGGAGAGTTGAAATGGAAAAAAATAATAGATGAAGAAATATTGAATTGTATAAATTGGGAAATAGATTGAATGGGAGAGAATCAAGAAGATCATAGGACAGAAAAGAGTTAATGAGATTAGGTAAATGAGAAAGTGTGTTTTTACTTGGCATTAAAAATGAGTAAAAAATGCTCATTTTTTTAAACTAATGTACTTATTGATAGTAAGTAAAATTGAATAGCATCTCAATTATATAAGATGTAGACTTTTGGGTCACTGAATAATTACAAAATAATTACTATTTTTATAATACCATTTCTATGCTGTTGCAGTTACTCATAAATTAATATTTTCCATATTTTTGCATATTTAATATTTCAAGTCACCTTTCATCTTTTCGGTTTATATTTTGGTTAATTTTGATAAAGTTAAAATTAATTATATGTTATTTAAAATGATGTCAATTTTAAAATGACTATTAGTTGCCTATGAATTTCAACTTGCGTAAAATACGTACTATTAATTTTAAGAATAAAATGTATCCTTGTGACTATTTAAGCCAGACAGAATTTCATGTCACTGGAGAGTGTAATGTGGGGATGATCTTGGGATTTGCATAGTAATTAGTTTGACACACATGCTGTACTGTACAAAGCTATGTACACAGATGGTAATGAATATACCAGCCATGGTCCCTGAGATCGGTATAAAAATATGATGAAATTGATTTTTTCATTCTTTGAAGTTTATAAGCAACCATTCTGGCTAATGAGCTAATGTAGATAAGCTTAAACAAGAATATAATCACATAAATGGTAATTAGTAGAAAGCAGGAAAAATGAAGCTTTTTAGTTTTTATCTCAAGTTTTAATGAACAATTAGAAGACAAGTTGTTTGACCTATATGACTAAGTTTCAATATATTCTTACAGTTTTTATATATTTAATATAGGTTTAGAAGTATTTTTTACATAAAAATATCTACAAATAACGTATTTCTAATTATCATTTAAGTAATAAATATTCTAAAATATATATTTAAATTAAATAGTGGAAATGCAACACAGTTATGAGTATTCTTATATAAAAATTAAGCTCTAATAAATGGAACCAGAGAAAGTTGTAAAGGAAAACAATATTTTCCTAACCGACATTAGTTTAGAAACTAATGTTGATTCTTAAGGTATTAAAAGTCATATAATTGTCAAACTGTCTGTGGCATGGTGTGCCATAACCATTATCACTTGTTAATATGTAAAAATATTTTAATTGGCAAATAAACAAAAAGCATTAAATGTTTTCCTGAATATCTTTTTTTGCCACTTCAGTCATAAAATTTATATAATAAAATATTTACAGAAAATGTTATTGCAAATTATATGAAATATTAGAAAATGACAAACAGCATGTTAGGCTTAGTGGTACAGAGTAGATTGCAATGTAATTCCTGATAACTCTAACCATGTCAATTGGACAGGTCCACAATAGTAGAAAAGGATTTTTAATTGAGAAGTATTAAAATATTTACTATCTTGGAGACTATCTAGGATCATTTTTTTAAATCAGGATTAATTCATTAGCAAAACTTTTAAAAAGTATTAATGTGGCAACTTTCCAAGTTACAGTTTTCATATATATCTTATGAATGTTCCTGAGCCCTTTTCATATTTTATTTTCACAGTGTATTTCCTGCTCATATCTTCTCCCCAGGGATGGGAGCACCATTCTTGTAAGACAAATTCTGTGATTATTCATCTTGAAAAATCTATTATTTTTAGTCCTGACACAGAGTAGGTACTCTAATGTTTGCTGAATGCATGAGCAAATCCAGCTTTATCTGCTCTTGTCTATAAAGGAAACCTTTTCAATATAGTAACTAGGGTTATTCACATTTTTTAAAGCTCTGATATGCTAATAATTCCACTCTAATAATACATATTACATTAAACTGCAAATATATTTCAAAACACTGTTAACCACAAAGCTTTATCAAATGTCCTTCCTACTACTTTTAAGCATGAAGACTTAATAGTGTAATAAAATCTTATCAGGTCATAATACCTAGAAAATATTTACTTTGCATGGCCCAGAGTTAGCTACTAAAGTGTCTGTCTTAAGAAAAAACAGGTAATATAATTTGCACTTTAGGTTTTCCTGCTTCTCCAACAGAGAAAATGGAGCATAATTTAACGTGTCCTTGATGACTTGGGATCATTATCTTAAATCTCACCTGTGACATTGTATGTTGTTACAGATACAATGGTGACTATAGATATGGAGGGCATGAATCTTATCATCAGTTTTAATAGTCTGATGTAATTAGATGTGAGATACATTGCAAAGCAGCAAGTATATTATTCTTCTATATGATTTGCTTTCATATTTTTCTTCCATATTATTTTTTCCATATTAATTGCTTTCTTTATTACTGCCTATGTCTCTGTAATTAGCAAAGTAAGAAGTTCAGGACTAAAGCTTGAGTAATTTGATTAGAGCGCAGGACATTTGGGGGTGTGGGAGAAGGTAGTAAGTAAAACAAAATATAAAGCAAGCTATATTCAGAAAAAAATCTTGAGGACAATACATAATCTTCTTAAAATTGTTCAGTGGATTTGTCTTCATACATTACCTGATACTTACAGTGACCTCTAAAACAGGAGAAATTTCCCAAAACACTGGCATCTGAACATGATGCCAGATGTTTTATTTAACAGTTTTGAAACTAAAAATCAATTTTGTTGTCATTCATTGCCCTTTTGAGGATTTAATCATAAAATAAATCAATACGAAGAAGAAAAAGAAGATAGCAAGAATATCTATTTTACATTAAATGTAAAAGGAAACCTTTTTGTAATATCCATCCATTATTATAACAGAATTATTTTATATAGGCAGATAATAAATGGGTTTGCACACATATTCATAAACTCATAGCAAGTCTATTTGCTCTTAAAGATACTTTATAAAAAACCTATATAACAAGAATGATATATTCAAATATTTTTCAAATGGCTTTCAAATATTTTAATGTGAACTTTTGAAATAATTTAGTGTATTTCTCTTCATTTAAATGTTTAAGCTTGCAAAACCTTTACAAATAAGAGAGATTGTTACTTTTTGAAAAATATGACTCATGGTCAAGCGTATATTATTAAAAGTAAGAACACCCAACTTTGCAGCTTGTCTAATCAAGTGCGTGGTTACTGGCTAACCCTGTCTTTGGCTTGAGTACACCACCTAAAGGCTTTCAATTTCATCTCCCAAGTTCCCTTAAAGGCCTTCCAGTTAGAAGAAGTTTCTTTTAATTTTTATTTTTTCATTATTATACTTTAAGTTCTAGGCTGAGCAAAGTATCCCAAGGACAGAAAACCAAACACTGCATGTTCTCACTCATAGGTGGGAATTGAACAATGAGAACACTTGGACACAGCATGGGGAACATCACACACCGGGGCCTGTCGCGGTTAATTCCTAAGTGAAACCAGGAAACACCGCATTTACTTTTCTCAAAAATACCTTGCTCTTTTTTATTAGCTTTGGTGTTCGCTCATGTCTCTTCTTTATGGAATTCATTTTACTGCACATTTTGGTGGTAGCTAACACCACCTCTTCCTTCAAGATGCAAAGAAGCACTTCTACAATGCCAGATTAACTACCCCTCTCATTTACAGGCTCCTGGGATAAATCCATTGCTCCCACTCCATCGCTCTTCACCAAGCCATGCTGCACTTGACTGCTCACTCACATACTGCCTAGATACCTCCTGCTTTGCACGCATATTCATTCTTAAGCCATTGTGTATGTTCTAAGTTTTCATCGTTTCTTCCCAAATACACTGAATATATAACAAATGAATCTTAATCATATTCTTCAAATATGATAAAAATAGTTATATCTTGTATTATTATAGATATACTCATTAACTAAAAATTATTCTCTCTGTTTAATTTTCAGTTCCATTAAAGATTTAAAGGTATCACAATAGACACCCAGGGCTCTCTGCAATCTAGTGCTTTTCCTAGTTTTCAATTTATGAAGCTTGCTGGATTTAAGACAAAGATTTTACCTGTCAGAGATAAGATATGGAACATAAACATAAAACCAATGCAGTAAATTTTCATAAAGCTTAATTCATTCTAAAAATACTTAAGATTATTTTCTCTGTAAATTTGTAGGTTGCTATTACTTTATTAAAAAAAGCTCGACACAGAAAAAAAGATGATAGTTTTCCAATGATTTTTACTTGGAAAGAGAAAATAAAATAACATTGAGAAACAAAACAGCCTTCATCTGTGGAGCATTCCAATTTTTGTTCTTGTTGCTGTCGAAATATCCCTGGCCCCTGATTTCCAGCCCTGAGAAGGGTTTTTCTGGAGCAGATGCTAAATTTTACTCCTGGAGATGAATTTTTGTGGATCCAATCGCAGGCAATATATCTAAAGCATTTGTTTAGAAGTAGATCTCTAAGTGATAAATACATGAACGTGACTAGGAAAAAATACCTTTCAAATAATTTGCACTGTGTAGAGTTGTAATATGAATCTTGTTTTCAAAATAAAACAGCAGTATCTTTTTCGCTCAAAATGAGTAATCTGTAGCCTTGAGGTTTATGTGAGGCAAGCTTGCATTCCAACACTATTCCTTGACTGAGGTCTCAGAAGTCCACTAGAGCCTTCCTAGCATTTGCATTAGACACGTTTGTGCCTTGCAGCCACTCAGGAGCTCAGTGAGAGAAAAGACATTATGATTATATGTTGGAGGAATAAAAAAGTAATATGAAGGATGGAAAAATACTCCGTAGATCCTAAGATAATACAAAGGAAAAGAAAATCCGTTTTCAAATATTAAGTAGCAAATTCAAGGAATATACAACTAAAAGTCATGTTGCACCATTTACGTTTTGCAATTAAAATGTTATTACCCTTTCTAAATTAAGATTTCTTTAATTATCATTCAGAACCAGGAATCCTTATATTTCATATTACAGAAGAGCAGTTTGTTCACTAAGATTGAGAGGAAATTGTAAGACATTTTTGAAGTAGTTCAACATACTGATATGTCTGGAAATTCACTAATGACTTATTTCAATTGATTTAGCTATCACTTCCTAACTATAAAATTATTGCTATGGCTAGATATTTAAGTTGAAGAGGGAAAACTTTGAAGAAAATTATTACCACTTAATATATAATATGATTTTTAAAGCCCAAAACCAAAGTATGGTTAAGGCAATATGTCTAATGTGCAGGAACTGAATTTACAGATTTAAGCCAATTAAATGCTTTTCTTAATTAAGTGTCAGGCAAAAGCAATGCACAGAACTTTTTCTTTAATTTAAAAACATCTTGATACCTCTAACAGTAAATATTTGTTGATTGATCTTAAAGTAATTTTAAAAATATTATTTCTTAGCACCATTATCATTATGACATTGTAAATAACTTGTTCCAGGTTTTAATTTTATTTACAGCTCTAATAAACATACTTTTAAATAAGTCATCCTGGGATATGTGCTTTGATCTAGGGCTGTGGCATTTATTCACATGTCTTCATTTAGTGCTCACAGTCTTTTTGCTATTTTTGTGCCTCCATCATCTCCAATCAAAGAGATTATTATAGCGTTGCTTCTTCAATTTCCAGCATCTGGGTTGCCTGATACCACTTTTTTTTTTTTTTTGGTAGAAACCAAAGTAATGAGGAGAAAAGTCCTCAAGATAGATTTACATCCTACAAGAATCATTTCATCTTATCAAAAACAGACTCTTTTTCCAATCCTTGCCTCCCTTCTGATAATTTCTTTTCCTCTGATGAATAGCTACTGGGGTGGATTAGAGGCAGCCAGTTATTTAAATGTAATAGTTTTTCTCCAATTTCTTCAGATTCCTATGGGCAACCCACAATTTATCTTAAGTCAAGAATTTTTTTTTTTTAATTTAACTCTCCACGTGGTGCTTTTGCTAATTATATCGTCCCTTGTCAATTCCCTCAAGGGGCTAACAGTCTAAGAAAAATAGAATATGAATTTTAGTAAAAAAAATTCAAACGTTATTTAATAAGGATAGAAATGTAAAAAGAATTTTAGGACAGAGTTAAGTTCATAATAAAGAGTTAAAAATGTTAACTAAGGAGAATTAGTCCCTGGACACAAAAGAATTTGCTTCTTTTTAACATTGGTAAGACATTTTTGTATTAGAGATTTTTTTTTTCTCTTTATAAGATGTTGTTCTGATTAAAGCACTTCTTAATCAGAGTTGATGTTTCTTGTTATATAAGAGACATCAATAACAATGCAATCTAGGAATAGAATAGAGAAGGCTCAATATGGTGCCCTTGCTCAGACCTTAATTTTGGCCTTGACTAGGATATTCATTGCTAACAGTTAATGCAAATTCCACTTCCAAAATAGGTTAATCCCTCTTCTCTCATAGAAATGTGGTCTTGGTTTTATAAGTAAGGTAGGAAAAAGAAAAAGAATAATAGAAAAGCAATTAATGGTTTCTAACCTGAACACTGAAATACGAAAAAATTATTTAAGCAGAACAAGATCTTTGGGATGTAAACCTGAAATTTTAATAAAAATGGACAGATAACTCTTGTCTATATTCTATTAATCCTAAAAATCAGTCCTTTTACCTTAAAAAAGTCATTTGCTTTGCACCATTGACTTTCAAGTAATCTATTCATTGGTTCATTTATTCATTCATTCATAGAACAAATATTTGAACTCTACTGTACCAACTATGTGTGAGATTTGGTACCTACCCTCAAGAAGCCCAAAACATAGTTAGGGAAACTCACGTACTGTATTAGTCCATTTTCATACTGCTATAAGAACTGACTGAGACTCAGTAATTTATAAAGAAAAGAGGTTTAGTTAACTCACAGTTCCAAATGGCTGGGGAAGCCTCAGGAAACTTACAATCATGGCAGAAGGGGGAGAGGAAGCAAGGCACCTTCTTCACAAGGCGGCAGGTAGGACAAATGCCAAGGGAAGGGGGAAGAGCCCTTTATTAAGCCATCAGACCTCATGAGAACTCACTAGCTATTACAAGAACAGCATGGGGGAAGCCACCCCCCGATTCAATTACTTCCACCTGGTCCCTCCCTTGACATATGGCGATTATGAGGCTTACAATTCAAGATGAGATTTGGGTAGGGACACAAAGCCGATGCACATGCACAAAGCCTATGGTAACATACGTACCATACCACGTATGTATGTTAAAGAGTATTAGAATTTATATGTGACTGCTAACTAAATGCTTGTTATAGAATATAATACTCACTTACTGAAATTAGTCTTGGATCTCCTCATAAACCTAATACGTACAATAAATAAGAATAAAATTGGATTTATTAAAAATCTTAGGTGAGTTTCTTGGTATTGCATATTCTTGTTTCCACTAGGCTCCCGGTACAAGCTTAGGATCATCTGAAGAGAATTTCACAAAAAGTCTGTTTACCAAAGGATAGACATGGTATAAAGGAAACAAAAAGAGACAAATCTATTTCTGTGGAGCTGTTCTCATCCTGAGCCAGAAGAGCCAGAGGAGGCAGCAGCTACTAGTTGTTGGAACCCAAAAAGACACAGATGTAGCTAGGTAAGCTGGTAAAGATGCCTGGGAATAAATGCACTGACCTACCTTACTTGCTTCACTCCCTCTGATAGAGTGCAATGAATGAGTACAAAGACCAAGAGAGAAGCAGACAGACACTTCTGTCAGAGGTGTTTCAGCCAGAGCAACTCCATCCTGAATAGGAGCTGAGTAAACTAAGACTTACACCTACTGGGCTGCATTCCCAGACATTTACAAAAGTCACAGGATGAAACAGGAGGTCAGCTCAAGATGAAGGTCATAAAGACCTGGCTGAGAAAACAGCTTACGAAGCCACCTAAAATTCACCAAAACCAAGATGGCAATGAGGGTGACCTCTGTTCATCCTCACTGCTACACTCCCACCAGTGCCATGAAAGTTTACAAATGCCATGACAATGTCAGGAAGTCACCCTATGGGGCCTAAAAAGGGAAAGCATGAATAATACACCCCTTTTTTTTAGCATATAATCAAGAAATAATCATAAAAAATGGGCAAACAGCCACCCTGGGGGCAGGAGGCTGGTGGTGCTGCTGCCTATGGGTTAGCCATTCTTTACCCCTTTACTTTCTAAATAAACTTGCTTTCATTTATTCTATGGATCAGCCTCAAATTCTTTCTTGTGTGAGATCCAAGAACCCTCTCTTGGGGTCTGGATGGGGCCCCTTTCTGGAAACACTTGTACAGAGCACTAGGAATATTTCTCATTCGATTATTGGCTATATGGTTTTATTCTGTAAGGCAAAGAATAGGTTTCTAATTCTTGAAAAGTTCTGGCTATGTAGCTGCTAAGACACTTTTATGCCTTCTGTATTTTATGTGCTTAAAATAAAACTTTTTTTTTTTAGCCTGACCATTTCTTCCTTCTTTGAGACTGGAAAGAGTTGATAACTGGAGTTTTTTTCCTTAAGAGTTTAACTATCCCAGCAATAATAAAGCCAGCCATGGATGGAGGAAGAATGTGCTGAGGATGTGAATGTCAGGGGGAAGGAGCAGTGCTTCATGCCTTGTTAATATTTAGGGCTCTACTTAATAAAATATTTCCTGGGATTTTTTTTTTTGCTGTTTCCCAGTCTTGCATTCTCTTCTTCACCTTCTCCTACTGAGTGTACAGAAAAGAAACACAAGTAGCTGCATTTACTTACTCTTCCTTTCACTGTCTGTCTTAGTTCCTGAGTATCCAGGGATTCCCTGCAGGAAATTCAGTTGTACATAACCCTACAGTATCTCTGATTGCCTCAGGCCAAGGAACCCTGACTGAGTTGTTAGCCTGGTACGCTGCCTGTAGCGTCTTTGTATTTTCCTTTTGTTGGTTAGTGTTATCTTCCAACATTTTAGTTTTTACTTCCTGTTTTACTATTTTAATATTAGTTCACCTACTTATTCTCATAGCAGAGTTATTATTATTCTAATGCTTAAAACCCTCAAAAATTTGTCCAGCATCCTCCATTTTCATTGTCTAATTGTCTGTCTCCCTCAATTCTCTGTGAAGTTCCTCAGTTTTTTTATGGACGACACTTAGCATAATGGCTGGTCCTAATTACATGCTTGACATAACAGTAAAAATGAATTTTTTAAGAAACTCTGAATCTTGAGTATTTTCTTTCTATAAATATGTGACATAGCATAATACAGCTATGTTCTTCCTGTGTGGATCTATAATAAGAAAATAGTCATGGCCAATATTGTGAAAAATAATCACAGAGTCAGCTTCTCCAGTTTATGTACTTCAGGAGTTCTAATCTCATTCACTCTCTTAACACAGAGGCTGAAAGACAGAACAATAATTTTATATATAGGCTTATTAGGAATCTCTGAAATCATTTTTTGTTTCATAACATAGCTGATAAGCACTCTAATAAAGCATTACTTTTTTTAGTACTATTTAAGGTTGTGCTTAGGGCTGAATATTCTGGAAATTACCCATGACCTCCCTAGGACTACTCAGATACACAGATTTAATTTCAAGTAGGTTGGTACAGCAGGATTTAGTCCATGTAGCAAGTATGATACCCACATGTTTGAAGGTGCCTTAAGACAATACCACACACGCGCACATGTAGGAAAATGAATTTCATAAGGATGTTTTTAATTGAAATAGGCATTTTTTGAAAACATTTTCACATAACTAACACCGCTGATATTTTCCTCCTGACATAGACCATTGTCACTGTTAAACAACAACACACACTCCCCTATGTCCACTTCTACACACTCATAAGCTATTTATTCTTAAATAAAGATAAATTTTAATATAACTTTATTGTTTGCCTACAACTAGGAGGTAGCTTATAGACTAGGAAAACGTGTGATTACACAATCATTGTTTTCTATAAATGTTTTCTTGGTGCTGCCGCTTTGATTAGCTCTCTATGGTTCACCCCCAAATATAAGCTGCCCAATATTCATAACTTGAACTGATACAATACTAGTTCTTCCTGATACACACTCCCACAATACTCAGTTTTTATTCTATTCTAACACCATATTATTATATTATCATAATTTGCTAACGTGTCTGACTAAGTTCACAACTGTGAGCTTCTCAGTGGCAAAGATGGTGGCCTATTTATTGATGTGAGTATTATAACTAAGGAAACAGCAGGTGATCAACATGTGTTCATAGAATGGATGTATAAATGAATGAATGGATAAATTAATGAATGAAAGAATAAGCTAGGTTTAGCTTATAAATTAATTTCATGTATTCAATGTTTTTTTCTTTCAATAGCTTTTGGGGGTGCAAGTGGTTTTCAGTTACATGGATGAATTATATAGTGTTAAATTCTGAGATTTTAGTGTAACTGTCACCCGAGTAGTGTACATTGTAGCTAATGTGCAGCTTTTATTATCCCTGAAAGTATTCAATTATTTGAAAAGGCTTTCACGCTTCGCATTGGTTTGAAATTACAAACACATACTTGCATTCATATATGTGTGGGTTTGCATGCACACATACACACGTATACACACATAAGATCTGAATTTCTACATTATTCCAGGTATTAGACCCAGTGTTTTATGTACAAGTTTATTGAACCTCACTTTACATATAAGAGAAGTGAGCCAGAAAGATCAAAAACTTATTGTAAGTCACTACCTAAAAAGTGACTTGCAAGCTACAATATCCAGGCCTATAATTTTTAATTACAGATTGATATGTGATTTTGATGTTCTCCAATAATATTTTAAACTGGTAAAACAACCCCTGTAAAACCCCATCTTTGATAATTAGGTTTAACGAGATAGGTGACTGAAAAACATTAGAAAAGGTAAAAATGCAAGTAACAACCAAGTGATTCTAAAAATAGGCAGAACTGTAACTTCCAAGAGACTATGAAAGTCTCAAAATTAATTAAAAGAAGTAAGTATGCCTCTAGTTTATAGTAAGAAGCAACGTTGAAATGATGAATTCTCTTTATAGAAACAACAGAGAAATTATAAAAAGCATTGATGCAATGGAGAAGTCATTAATATTTATGAGGAAAATATAGAAATAAGAACATTGTAATAGTTATTGAGGAGAAGGAAAATAATCAATATCTAGATATCTTGTTTTTAGGTGATACCTGACATTTTAATTTTGGATTAAGGATGAATTGAATTGTATCATTGTGTTGTGTGTCATTGACTATTGGTCGAGCACCTACTATATACTAAGATTTTTACTATGCAATACAGCCGTAAAATAAAAATAAATATTCTGTTCTAACAAATTTTAGACTTTTTCATTAAAGACATACATTTAAAAATGATTGCATTAACTTGTGATGAATGGTCTAACAGGAAACATACATGGTGTTACAGGAAGTAAAAGTGAGGATATAATATAATGTAGGGATCATAAAAGATCTCTCAGTGAAGCAAACATTTAGACTGACTCTTGTAGGACCTTACCTTCCACAACTCACCTGCTATTAGGTATCATCCTTAAATAACAGGGTCTATATTATTATATTAATAGTCTATATTTAGATAGGATTGTTCTGTGTTTCCATCAAAACCTAAAGTTAACCATATATAAAAAAACTGTGACATCTGTGCACGACCAGTTTAGTTATCTTCTAAGCAAGGAAACAAGTCCAAGGTAAAAATCACAAAAGAGAACTCTAGAATATAGCCACCTTGTTCCTCTTTTTCCAGCATGTGTTTGTTTTCCCTTATTGAACTTTTTTTTTTTTTTTTTTTGAGACGGAATCTGACTCTGTTGCCCAGGCTGAAGTGCAGTGGTGCGATCTCAGCTCACTGCAACCTCCATTTCAGGGGTTCCAGCAATTCTCGTGCCTCGGTATCCCAAATAGCTGGGATTACAGGCAAGCGCCACCATGCCCAGCTGACTTTTTGTGTTTTGTGTAGGGACAGGGTCTATGCTATGTTGCCCAGTCTGGTCTCGAACTCCTGAGCTCAGGCAATTTGCCCTCCTCAGCTTCCCAAAGTGCTAGGATTATAGGTGTCAACCACTGCGCCTGACCCTTTTATTGAACTTTTAAGGTCCCATTTCCTTCTCCCTACCAAGGAAGCATTGTTTGCCCTGAGCTGTAAAATATCTGTTCCTTTAAAAAAGATTCAGCGAAGCTGACCACCTTTTCTATACCCATATGTAAAGCAGAAAGAAGAAACTTTCCCTCCTGCCTTATCCTCACCCTATTATCTGTCTATCTATCTACCTATCTATCATCTATCTATCTATCTATCTATCTATCTATCTATCTATCTATCTATCATGTGTCCATCATCTTTCTACCTATTTGGAGATAAAGGTAGGAGATGGAGTCAGTATGGCAGAAGGATGACAAGGAGACAAGCCAATAGACTGTGTATTGCTTAAAAATGGAACTTTGAATCTCCCCTCCATTCACACAGATATGCAGATATGGCTAGTCTTCTTATCCATGATATTTTCTTTTCCTTTTTTTTTTTTTTTTTTTTTTTTTTGAGGTGGAGTTCGCTCTTGCTCAGGCTGGAGTGAAGTGGCATGATCTCAGTTCACCGCAACCTCCCCCTCCCAGGTTCAAGCAATTCTCCTGCCTCAGCCTCCCCAGTAGCTAAGATTATAGGCACCTGCCACCATGCTTGGCTAGTTTTTGTATTTTTAGTAGAGACGGGGTTTCACTGTGTTGGCCAGGCTCGTCTCGAACTCCTGACCTCAGGCAATCCACCCACCTCGGCCTCCCAAAGTGCTGGGATTACAGACATGAGCCACCACACCTGGCCTCATGCTATTTCCTTAAAAAAAAAGGTATTAAGCTATGATTGACACACACAAAGCTGTACATATTTAATGGACACAACTAGATGAGTTTGGAGACAGTATACACCCATGAAGGCGTAACCACAGTCTATGATATACATGTATTTATTACCTCCAAAAGTTTCCTCTGGCCTTCTTTATTTAATGCTATCATCTTACATTCTGGTTTTCAAGATCAAGTAACATGGTTTTTTCTATTGTCTACTATATTGTTTAAAGGCAAGGCAATGCTAGAGATAAATGGGGCTTAAGTAAATGTAAATGGCGGTACTTCTTGATTCATTCCATTTTAATTTGAAGAGAACAGCCTCCTAAATAGTCCACCTCAGCTTATAAACAATTTTGAAGATCATCCATGTGAATTAAGAACTTAGTTCTTTTTAAAAATGAAGTGGCAGTGTTTGTAGAACCGATCCTACCTATGGCATCAATGCAATAAAGGCGGGCTAAGAAGGTAAACAAGAAGGATATCTGAGGAAGGCAGTCCTGATCACATTCCAGTCCCACCTACTGCAGAATTCAGACCATAGTGTCATTCCTTGACTCTTTCAGACATAAAGCGTTTTCTCATTTGCAGATAATAATGATGCTCATCAGGAAAATTGTGCTCATGTGGTAGGATCAGCAGTTTTCATCACTAATCCATACATCTTGAGGCTGAATATAAGTTATGGATTCCATTATTATAATAGTCCTTTTGTGCTAATCCTGGCCATGACTATTATTTCTTTGTATCCTTGGCTACTTGACAGTTTTGTTGGTATATTATCAGCAACAGGGAATTTTCATCACAATGACTTCATACATTGATAGGGATTTCTAAAGGTAGCTCTATTGATCCATCATGTAAACATACCCTTAGGAGGCAGAGATGCTCTAATTTCCACAGTGCTGTATTTATTTGAACTATAGACAAAGAATGTAGACTTTTATCTTTCGTAAAAATTTTCTATACTGTAACACAAGGATTTGAATCTTAGTTAATGACATAAAAGTTCCTATGCTCTAAATAACTCATTAAAAATCCTACATAAGTAAACCCTTTGAATGAATATAAGCTATGAGAAATCATGTTATTTATTATTCTTGTGATTCTTTTATACAGAAACAGGATATTATAATGGAGAAGATTCTTTTTAAAAATTTTAAAAGGAGAAAATACAAATAATGATAATTTGAACAATGCTGTTAAATTAGCTTCCAGTTCATTCATGTCTTTAATTTATGTAGTTAATCTATGCCAGAATCTCGTCATCACCAGTGAATGGATGTCCATAACTGACAGATCACACTGCTACTCTTTTTGTGAAACTAAACTTTTATGTATACATTGTCTTTTGTTATTCTCATCCTTAAGATTATTTAGTGCTTAACTATCAAATTATATATTTCAAATGGTAAATCCACTCTCAATACTTACCTGAAATTTTAAATTTTCTTCCAAATATATTTTCTCTTGAGAAGCCACATTTCTTTCTATTTCTCATGTGTTGCTTATTCTTTTATATTATGCTTCATCTGCAGTGTCTTTCCAATTTTATCTTCTCTCTCTCTCTCTCTCCCTCTCTCTCTCTCCCTCTCTCTCTCTCCCTCTCTCTCTCTCTCTTGCTCTCTCTTTGAGACACAGTCTCACTCCATCACTCAAGGCTGGAGTGCAGTGGTCCCATCTCAACTTAATGTAACTCCCCGGGCTCAAGCGATTTTCCTGCTTCAGCCTCTTGAGTAGCTGGAACTACAGGCATGCGCCAACAACCCGGCTAATTTTTGCATTTTTAGTGTGGACGGGGTTTCACCACGTTGGCCAGGCTAGTCTTGAACTCCTGACTTCAAGTGATCTTCCCTCCTTGGCCTCCCAAAGTGCTGGGATTACAAGTGTGAGCCACCAAACCCGGCCAATTTTCTCTCCAAGGTAAATATGTACACTTTCCCTTTCTTGGATTAAATGGTCACTAAATCAAAATATATCATCTTGACGGCTGGAAAATAGATAATGATTCTTATTTTCAAAATCATATATGGTTTGGGCTTGGTGGCTTATGTCTGTAATCCTAGCACTTTGGGAGGCCAAGGCAGGCGGATCACTTGAGGTCAGGATTTCACAACCAGACTGGCCCACATGGTGAAACCTTATTTCTACTAAAAATACAAAAATTTAGCTGAATGTGGTGGCGGCGCGCACTTCTAATCCTAGCTACTCAGGAGGCTGAGGCAGGAGAATTGCTTGAATCCGGGAGGTGAAGGTTTCAGTGAGCTGAGATCAGACCACTGCACTCCAGCCTGGGCAACAAGAGCAAAATTCTGTCTCAAAAAACAAACAAACAAACAAACAAACAAACAAACAAACTATATCTATATATCTATATCTATATATCTGTGTGTGATATATATGTTATATATACAGTAGAAAATTAAATGGGCAAGATTCAAAAATTTTATTTCTCCCTTCTTTTCTCCACATTCAGCAAATAGGCCATACTATGTGCCACACAATGTACAGGGCATGGTTTAAGGTTCTGAAAGAGTTTCATTTGAACATTTAATTTGGAACCAAATTTGGCTTATTGATGAGTGTATATAAAAATGGTCTATTGAAAAATGGACCAATCTGTAATCTTCAGCTCAGATCTACTGTCACTTATGTTGAATTCATTTAATCCATTAAGAAATATCTGCTATGTGTTTAGTTCTGTAAGTAGTACATGGGTTGAGCTTGTTTAGAGGGGAGGACAGATGGACTAGATAAAAAAGGGTGGTATTAGAAAATAAGTAGAAGGAAAAAGAAGGAAAGAAGGAAAGAAGGGAAGAAAGAAGGAAAAAGGAAGTGAGGAAGGAAGGAAGGGAAGCAGGGAGGGAGGAAGGAAGAGAAGGAAGGAGGGAGGAAAGGAAGAAAGGAGAAAAGAGGGAAGAGAAGGAGGGAGGAAGGAAGGAAGGGAGGGAGGGAGGGAGAAAGGAAAGAATGGAGGGAGGGAGAAAGGAAAGAATGGAGGGAGGGAGTGGGAGGGAGAGAGGGAGGTAGTGGGAGGGAGAGAGGGAGGGAGTGGGAAGGGGAGTTGGGAGGGAGAGAGGGAATGAGGAAAACTATCTGGTTCATGCTTTCAAATAATTAAGATCTAGTCAGTTAACTGAGGGAGAACTAGGCAAGTGCTAAAATGCGTAAGTTACTGGTGCATGCCGTTCTGTAGTACTGCCCAGACTGCCCACAGAGCCTTGATTGATGTGAGTGATCAACATATTCTCAGCTGAGAAAGGTCAGAGGAACCCAGAGGTAGGAACTCTGCTATGTGGGAACAGTCACAGCAGCACTCAAGGGCTTATCTAGTAACATTTTAGGAAATTCTCTTCTGGGTTGCAGATATATATTCTGATGTTCTAGTGTTGCTGTCATTAAGGTTACCAGGAAGAAAATTATAAGTTGATATTTTATCTTTTTTTTTTTTTTTTTGAGATGGAGTTTTGCTCTGTTGCTGAGACTGGAGTGCAGTGGCGCCATCTCAGCTCACTGCAGCATCTGCCTTCTGGGTTTAAGCCATTCTCTTGCCCCAGCCTCCCGAGTAGCTGGGATTATAGGCATGCACCACCACATCTGGATAATTTTTGAATTTTTAGTAGAGATGAAGGTTCACCATGTTGGCCAGGCTGGTCTCAAACTCCTGACCTCAAGTAATCTGCCCTCCTTGGCCTCCCAGATTGCTGGGATTACAGGCATGAGCCACCGCACCAGGTCTCAAATTTTAGAACATATTTATGGATGATATTGCTTTTGGGAATCCAGAGAGAGGAAATACATATTTTCTCTCTTTCTCATGATGTATCATAGAATATTTGGTCATAAATTAGTCCTTGTTGGTAGCACAGGGCTTGAATAGCAGACATAATTGAAACATTTTAAAAATATATATTTAAATTAACCTTCCAAATGCTTTGTTTTGGAATGGAATAGTGGAATAAGCTCAATGCTGGATCCATACAAATACAGATTCAAATATTAACTCATGATTTAATTTTGGGATTAATTAATTAAAGAGATGAGTTCACCTCTTTGATCCTCATTTTCCCCATCAGAAGAATTAACATCATATTACTTGCTTCATAGGATTGCTTTGTAAACTGAATAAAGTAAATTTACATCATTTGTGAAGCATCTAATGCAAGGCTTGACAATGGTAGGTGTTAAAGGAATGGTGGATGATGATCATGATGATAATGATATTGAAGAAGAAGATGACAATAATGAAGATGATGATACTTGGCGTTGAAGATATTAAATAAATATTAGTATAATTTCTTTTGAACATACTATATTGACTTAGTGCAAGATTGCAGTGTGGTACAAATAGAACTCATAAGCCTAGGATCCATTTTAAAAGTGTACTGAATAGGCCGGGCACAGTGGCTCACACCTGTAATCCCAGCACTTTGAGAGGCCAAGGCGGGCGGATCACGAGGTCAAGAGATCGAGATGATCCTGGCCAACATGGTGAAACCCTGTCTCTACTAAAAATACAAAACTTAGGTGGGCGTGGTGGCACGCACCTGTAGTCTCAGCTACTTGGGAGGCTGACGCAGGAGAATCGCTTGAACCCAGGAGGTGGAGGCTGCAGTGAGCCGAGATTGGCACTCCAGCCTGGTGACAGAGCAAGGCTCCGTCTCAAAAAAAAAAAAAAAAAAAAAAAAAAAAAAAAAAAAAAAAGAAAGAAAGAAAAAAAAGTGCACTGAGTAAATTCAGAATTTATGCAATATAATTATATTATGAAAGAAAAATAATATTAGCTTTTGGATTTCATTAGGAAGAAATTCCATTCCAGCAGTGGGATGAGGAGATTGAGAAGGGCAGAGAGAGAGAGAAGAAAGAGGCTCAGTAACTTTGAAAAGAAGGCATAATAAATAAGCAAGAAGTGAAGAACAGTTTCCTAGTTGATTTGGCTAATTCTCCTAGACATCATTTTACTTTTGGCTTAGCCCCTTTCTTAGTGAATGAAACAGAAAGTTATCTTGTGGAATCTTATCATTAATCATCTGATTATACTGAACAGAAATATATAGAAAATTATAATGATAATTTGATAATATACAATTGAATTATCTTTGAACAGTCTTGATAATATGTAATGATTTGCAAAATACACTTAAACCACTTGGCATGAATACTCAATAGTGTCTTCAAAGAAGAACATCTCCATTTTATCTCCTTTTCTAAGCTTTGTGGCCTTTGAAGAAATGTTAGCTCTCATACAAAAAGTTATCTATAAAATACATTTTTTTGTACTGTAAGAATAAGCTTCACTGAAGGGATTGCCACAGATCATATGCCATAATATTGAACAGCTTATTTCTTGAATGCAGGCAAAGATATATGAGAAATTTTTGCCTACCTCTTAAATAAAGTAGGAGGTGCATTTTCTAATGTAGAAAGTAAGCCAGACCTGTATTACAGACTGGAAAAAAGACAGAAAGTATTTTTAATTGTTATTTTAAAGCGATTTTAAAGTAAAATCTTTGTTTTTGTAGACATACAGAATTCTTACATTTCTAAAGAAAATCTTGGACTAAAGAGACTTCAAAAGGAGGAATTTTGTTTTTTGCTTTCTATATATAATTTTATACTTGAAAATAAAAGGAAAAACCATTGTCCAGCTCTGTATTTTTAGTGATAGGAAACAGACTGTCTGTCATGTCTCCCTTTTTCTCTCTCTCAGATACATCCGTGTATATATGATACCACCTTACTGTATTAACTTAAATATTGTATAATTATACTAATACATTTATGTGTATGCAAGCATGTTTTTATATTTTTTCTTTGGAGTAGTGCTCTCAGGAAAAATTCATGAATTAGTACTTCTGATAAGATTATTCAATAACAGTTCTGTAGTTAAAATGATACAAGAAAAAACTATCTACATGGTATGTAAACAACATTGTTTCACATTTTACAAAATGAAATTTAATTTGGATGATCATTTAAAAAGTTATTGCTTTTCTTTGTAAAAAGGTATCATCATGTGATACTACACATTGGGGAAGAGTATATTTAATTAATAAGTAAATTCCCAGAAGGAAATATAGTTATCTGAGTTTAAGCATTTTTTTTTTTTTTTTTTGAGATGGAGTTTCACTCTTATTGCCCGGGCTTGAATGCAATGGCATGATCTCGGCTCACTGCAACCTTCGCCTTGTGGGTTCAAGTGATTCTCCTGTCTCAGCCTCCCAAGTAGCTGGGATTACAGGCACATGCCAAAACGCCCAGCTAATTTTTGCATTTTTAGTAGAGACGGGATTTCATCATATTGGTCAGGCTGGTCTCAAACTCCTGACCTCAGATGATCCGCCCACCTGGCCCTCCCAAGTGCTGGGATTACAGGAGTCAGCCACCGTGTCTGGCCTAACATTTTTTATGTAATGCTGCTGATACAATTGAATTTTGATTAATATTATTAATACTATTTTAGGACCCATTGTTTTACCAGATATTGTTCTAGGAATAATAACAACAGAAAACACCAAGGTTTTAGACATTGAAGTGTTATGCGCTTAGTGGAGAAGAGAAATATTTAAATGGATACAGTTTAGTGGAACATTATAGTACGTACTAATTAAACTATAAATGTTGTTCTATGGGAACTCGGTAACCATAATTTATTTTTTTCCTCAACATCATGTTATATATTCTAGTTCATAAGTTTAAGATCATTTTGGTTTTCACTATTTCTATAACATTTAATATTAATTGATTTATGACAAATGATCTTGCCTTTTGCAAGCTCTATGTAACATTGATGGTGAATAAACAAAAAAAAACCAACAGTGGTATAAAACATTTGTATTACATTTAGTTATTATATTAAGGAAAATACATTATCCATATATTTGCATCAATTTACTTTAAAATGACACAATTAAACATATGTAAACAAAACTTACTGTTTTGACAACAGTGAAATCCATTTGAAATGAACACACTGGAATAAATAGGGATCAAAAACACTTCAAATAACATGTAGTATTACCCTTAAATCTCTATTCAATAATACCAATGTCAATATCTAACACAATGTTTTAATTCTACCTGTTCTTAGTGTCTGTTTTGGCATTTTTAGAATGTTTGTCCGAGTTTTAATTTAGAAAGCATGAGTTTTTGCACGCAAAGGTGCAAACTATCAGGATAGCATTGAGTAATATGATGAGTAAAATACAACCTTTGCCATCGAGGAATTCACAAGATAGTAAGAGGGGCTGTCAACAGGAGACTACAATACTAAATGAGACTACATAAAACATACAATGGAGAAAATTTGGAGTAGGACAAATCAATTCTCAGTCAAGGTTTGAGTGTTAGACCGAGCATCGAAGATGAGTACTGCGGGATACATTAAAGTTAATAGGATCGAAGAACAGTGCTGGTAAGAGGAGACAAAGGGATGAGGAAGAGTAACATACCTGCAGATCAAGAATGAAGAGAAAGTGACACATGAGAGACTACACTAGAGTTAGGATTGTGTTAAAATCATGTGAAGATTTAAGTGAAGCCCATTTAAGTGAAGATTTAAGTGCTATTTCATGACATCCTTGTGAGATTATACCAAAAGCAAAATACAGAACATCAAAGATGGCAACAAAAAATGATAACTCATGTTTTAGAAAAGTCACCAGCAATTAACATGGTAAGCATTCATATATGACAATATGACTACATGTTAACAGCATATGAATCCTCTGTTAGGAGTACTTCTTTCTTTTTGGATGTTTGGGAAGAAAGAAAAAAGTGTTGCCTTGAATTGTAGTGTTTTGTACACACTAAATATAAGCTTCCAAAGGATAGAGGCCATAACTTTTACTTCACACAGAGCATTTTACTTAATATGATATCAGTGATCATGTTTTGAACTGATGAACTGCTTTTGCCTTGTTTAGGGATATTAAGACATATACAAGATTATGTGGATTATGGTTTTAATAAAGAATAGCCTCTTCTTTGTGGAGCCTGCTGCTCTTTCCCTTCAGCAACAATCAGCAGTCAGTTACACTGACTTCTATTTTAACCTTTTAAAAAAACTAAACACATTAATTATAGACATCTCAATAAGATAAGAAGATAAATTGACTTTTTCTGCTTCTATATATCAGTATCTCAGTGGTAAAATAAAGTATTTTTCCCTGGTCTCTGTTAGAGGGGATTATTTTATAGAAGTCCAATGCTACCAAGAAATTGGCAGTGTTTATTGCTTGTCTCTAATGGAAATTACATTTTATGGGGAATTGAGATTGATTACCCTTATCTTGACAAGTGAAGATTGAGGGTGTGTACTATGGAATAGTGTGCAACCTCAACAGCAACAGGGAGATGTTTAACACTTTAGTTACTAGGTTTTAAAGCCTAGGATTATAGAAATGAGGTGTTGTTAATGCACCATTTCTAATTTTAAAAATAATATTAAGATCTGTATAGTGAATTATTATACTTCCACTGATTTGTTTTCTTAAAGGCAACAAAATGGTCCCACATTATTGATTTTAAAAATTTGTTTTGGTCTCTATTTTATTTATTTACCAAGAATATAAGGGAAGGTGGGTGATAAACATGGGATGAAACTAAGTTATAATTATTATTAGAAACTTAACCGCGTATTTTTCCAACACCAGATGTAGGAAAATAGTAAATAATTTATCATGATATTGATCTCTATGAAACATATTTCTCAATCCTTGTAACTTTCTGAAAATTACTAATAAAAGGAGCATGTTTCCTAATATGAAATATTATCTTAGCTATATAGTTTCCATGAAATATAAAATTCAGGCCCAATTATATTATAATTTACTCATATTTATAAAACCACCTATAAACGTATTGAGCTAACTGGATCCCCTGCCATGAAATCATTGGTTTAATGATCACAATGTAAAAAATGATTAAAAATTAATCAAGACTTGAAATTTCTATTTTATTCCTAATTTAGAAGCCAACCTTTAGAAAAATATATGAGATTACATAAATATATATTTGGTATTACAAATTGCTGAATCTCATTATATTGTCCCATTTCAGTGTTAAGATACCAAGAAACTAAATATTACACTACATTTTGGAGAATATGAATTGGGATAATTTTAAATGGAACGATTATCTATAGATACAGAAAAGGCTCAACATTCTGAAGATATTTTTATACCATTCTTTAATATTTTACTGCTTAGGAGACATTGAATTGTTTGCAGTTAGACTATAAATACCCTCATAAGACATAATCCCATAATTTTAGAACCATTTGATAAATTTATTAATATTATTTAGCTATCAACTTGCATTCCAGGTGACAACTAATTCCTAAAGTATAGTAAATTTTTATACAAGGGAGAGTAAGCTTGAAGCATGAAACATTGCAAAGAGGGCCACTCTGGTTAGGCATCGTGCATCCAAAATATAGTGAGGAAGAGCAAGCCACCTGGGGGAATGAACACAAGGGTCAGTGAGGTAGGTCAGTAGACTTATAGGAGCTTGCGAGAAGGACAATGATTATGAGAACTATGTCATGATTTTGCCTAAGGCAGGGCTCGACCTCAAGTAATGTTTCCATCTAGAGCTAGAAACAGTCTATAACCTTCAGTTAATTTACTTAACCTACTGAACAAGAGTGGTTCCTTAGTTATCGTTGTGAATATAATACCTAAATGTGTAGCATACAGTGTTATAATGAAAATCAAGCTATGGGAAATCATTAGGATTAATAGCATTTTATCTGGAAGATCAATGTACAACCTCTTTGAATTTAAATTATTGACTATCTTTATGTTATTAAATAATTATTCGTTGTCTGAAAGGGAAGATTTACTGACCATTAATACAATTCAAACTAGAGATCATTTTATTCTACAATATAATATACATTAGGTTTGTTTTAAAAAAGTTATGTTAAATAAATATGTATTTTTGGGCTGGGCATGGTGGCTCATGCCTGTAATCCCAGCACTTTGGAAGGCCGAGGCAGGTGAATCACCTGAGGTTGGGAGTTCAAGACCAGCCTGACCAACATGGAGAAACCCCATATCTACTAAAAATTAGCCAGGCATGGTGGCGCAGGCCTGTAATCCCAGTTACTCAGGAGGCCGAGGCAGGAGGATTGTTTGAATCCAGGAGGCGGAGGTTGTGGTGAGCCAAGATCACAAGAGTGAAACACCATAAAAGAAAGAAAGAAAGAGAGAGAGAGAGAGAGAGAGAAAAGATGGAAAAGAATATGGAAAAATACGGCAAAGAAAAATGGAAATGTCTTCCATTTTTGAAATGAAAGAAAATTGGTTACTATTTTACCATCCAATGGCAGTTTGAAATTTAGTTTATTTAGAAGTGTATTATCAAATAATATATTGACTGATATGAAATTTTCAATATTGAAAAGGAATACTAATGCATGTTTTTCTTTCATAGAACTTCAAAGATAATTTTGTCACAGTACTATTATTTTTTTCAATTAAAGCTTATAAACAATCTTGAATTATAATGTTGATGATATAGTTTTCAACACATCAGCATGCTTTATAAATGCAGGTAATGTATTTGTATATTGTACTAGGAGATGGCAAAACTGGATTTTGAAGGCAATAATAGTACTGTTTTTTAAGTTAATTTAGTACAAATATGTTGTCTCAAACTTCACATATCCATAGAATGTACTCTATATTTGGTGAACAAAGGTTTATATAATAATTACTTTATATAATAATCAGTTTAATAATATGAACAAAAGTTTATATAGTAATTATATAATAATTAGTTTATAATAATATGAATGAAAGTTTATATAATAGTTCATATAATTCAGCTAATGTTGAAAATCTAATTTTATCTAGATGTTATTTCACATAAAATATCAATATTAAACAATAACTTTAAAGAAAATTAAATTTGAAGTATAAATTAAATGATAACATTTAATTTGACCGTGATAGTCAGAGTTTATGAAATTTGGCATTTCATCCCTCATTTGAGTTACCCACTCAGCCTAATGCCTCCTTACTTTCATTTTATGAATCCGAATGAATATAGTACTGTCCCTGTGGCAATTGCATATTCGACTTTATCCATCAACACTGCTAATGATTATTTGACTCTGAAGATTAAGTATATCCTCTTCAGTATGCCCTTTCCTGTACTTTGTGAATGTATTAGCCCCTTTGACCTTCCCTGACTAATCAGGGGACACAGTTGTAAGTTGCAGATTGGGAGCAATTCTTTAGTTCTTTGATGTTTTCAAAGCAATTGAATAATTTCATGCTGAGTGTAAAGTAACCGGAGGTAAAGAATGTTTCAAAATATATGAACTAAAAGGTGTGAGATGGATGACTAATAGTATTTCTTTTTAATAGTGTATCTAATTCACCCTTATTTATAACTATTCTCTTCTAAGAAAATTTTTCTGTTAAAAAATTCCTGAAATTTCACATAGAAATCCAAAATAAGAGTTGTAATAAAAATTACAGGTTGTAGTATAAATCACTACACATAAATAGTATCAATATAATGGCTAATCTTTTTTCAACCAGAAACTTACATTGAAATTAACCAGCCAGGCAATGTGTAAAATGCAATATTTGCAGCAAGTAGTGGAGAAAAACAAACGTTATGACAGATTTAGATAGGCACCCCAATTCTGCATTTTTTTGGTCATTTTAGGAAGACTACTTAATCTTTAAACCTCAATGTCTTCTGTTGGATAGGGGCACTCATATGAAATTCACGAATTGTTATCATGGGTAAATATTGCAGTACGTACAAAGCACATGCACAGTGCCTAGCATTTAGTTGGTACTCATTGAATAGCCGCTCTCTCCCCTTTTCCTTTTTCAGTTCCATATATTTAAGCCAAGTAAGTCGCAAAATTTTCAGTATTTCAAAAATCTATCTTTAGATATACATTTTCCCCCTTTTCATTGGGATACAGAATATTTACTTTAAAATTCCGGTACATATGGGCTATCTTATTTCTGAGCATGGATTCAGAAGTATCTCAAAACAAGAACTGTAACATTTGCCTCAGCTGCTGTAATAGATTCAAAACTGTCATTTTAAGAGGATTGTGAGATACTGACCTATAAAACTCAAAACTCTACGGTTCCTTTTAATTTTGCATTCTCCCCAGATTTTGAGAGCTATATTTGCTGACTGCTACAATATCCTTTAAAAATCTGATCTAAACTCACTTCATGCAAAAGCTTTCCTTGAATACACGAAGCTTACCATAACTGCTCATTTTTTCTTTATTCTCCCAGTAATTATGTTAAAATTGTAGAATAGCATATATTGGAATTATAGAATTTGATTTTTGCTAATTTTGTTAAGAATTGGGATAATGTATACTTACGTTTACATATTAAGAAAGTTTGCTAGGTAAACGTAGAATCTGAGTAAGATATTTTGGTGGGCTAGGGAGATATTGGAAACACAAGTGAAAATATCTTTTCAAGTAACATTTTTAAAAATTTTCGAACTAGTTAAAAAGATTGTATGTTAATTAGACAGAATATCTATTCATAAGTGTAGTTTAAGCTAATCTACTTGGCAACTCTACTTTGCTACATACTTTCAGATATTGTGAATAATTGGGAAGAATAAGGCTTTACTTTTTCTTTACAAGAATCTATTATTTAAACATTTGACTAATAAAAAATGTGCATTCAAATTATTACTTTTTGGCATATTTGAATGTATTAATTGTACTTATTGGCTTTTTTTTGTTTTTGCACATCTTCAGTGTTGCAAGTTTTTAGGTATTTTAAAAATTATACATTCTGTTACTTAAAGAAAACCTAGAAGCTCTTTTAAGATAGAAAACTTCTTCTTTCACTGGCATCTTTCTTTTTGTCCCAGTTCCATGGTGTCAGCATGTAGTCTTAAATATTGGCCACAATCTGATATTTTTACACATTAGTTTTTCTTTAGTGAAACAAAAGTAAAATTGCCTCAATGCTTTCCCACATTCTCCAACAATGCTTGTAAAGTGTACATTGACTATGGACATGTCCTTATACTTGGAGGTTAAGTATTTTAGAAAAGTGGAAGTGACAATGAGTCCATGAAAAAAATGAGTTAGAATTGTTAGAATTTTATTTTATTTATTTTTTTAGATTTTATTTATTTTAAGTTCTGGGGTACATGTGCAGGATGTGCAAATTTGTTACATAGGTAAACATGTGCCGTGGTTGTTTGCTGCACCCATCAACCCCTCACCAAGGTGGTAAGTCCTGCATGCATTACATAGATTTCCTGATGTTCTTTCTCCTCCCACCCCCACACAGGCCCCAGTGTGTGTTGTTCCCTCCCTGTGTCTATGTGTTCACATTGTGCAGCTCCTACTTACAAGAGAGAACATGCAGTGTTCGGTTTTCTGTTCCTGCTTTAGTTTGGTGAGAATAATGGCTTCCATCTCCATCCATGTCCATGCAAAGGACATGATCTCGTTCCTTTTATGGCTGCATAGTATTCCATGGTGTATATGTACCACATATTCTTTATCCAGTCTATCATTGAACATGTGCCTGAGGTCCCAGCTGCTTGGGAGGCTGAGATGGGAAGATCCCTTGAGCTCAGGAAGTTGAGAGTGCAGTGAGCCTTAAACAGGCCACTGCACTCCAGCCTGGGTAATAGAGTGAGATCCTGTCTTAAAAAAATGAATAAATAAAGTAAAAAAAAAAGAGGAAGAAAGTATTTGCTTAGGGTACCTCAATTGTTTCCTATTGTCCTGAGAATGTTAAGTCATTAAAAAATAGCAATGATTCACTATTATTGAGTTTAGATTAATGTTAATGATGTTATGGCTATAAAAACAATATCACTCAACTGTATTAATTATATTATGCATAAAGTGTAATCCAATGAACTCTCTAAAATAAAGATTGACCCTCAACTTCAAGATCAAAATTATCTTCCTTCCTTTATTCTGCCTACCCTACTTCCGCTTTCAAATGTGCATAATTTTTTACCAACAGTAATTTGAATTTTGTGGTCAAATGCATTCACTCAATTCTTTCAAAGTAGTCAAATTTGCTTAGATTTTATTCTCTCATCCCAAATTAAAAATTTTTTAGAGTTCTTATTTGCTACACTTCAAAATGTCTGGTTTTCAAAATATTGTGTCAATGGATTCTCAAAATCTATTTTACATATACATATGCCATATGTCCATTTATGTATATATCTGACCAAATTTGATTGTTCCAGTTGTACAATTTAAAAAATATATAACTCATTTTGATGCCTGTGACGACCTGTCTGGAGTGGCCACTGTGAGGGTGTCAGCTGTAGCAGAGGAGGCACAGCTGGGGCTGTGTGCTTCACGGTCCAGTGAGAGCCAAGAAAAAGTGAGAGCCCCACACCCTACCAGGTTGGTGGGGCAGGAGCCTGTGATCTTGGGCATAGCTGCAGCCACCCAGCCACAGCTCCAGACCCCAGCATCCCTGTGCTCTCAGGGGCTCAGGAAGCCCCTTGCCCCTGCAGGTTTGGAACTACCTGCTCCTGTTCCCTGGCCTCTCCCCACTCCCACTCCCCACTGCTTTGGGGTGGAGCCAAGTTGTGGCTGAACCTGGGTTCTGTCACAACACACCCAGGTGTGAGTGCACTCAGGATGGTGCCACCTTGGCCACCTCCACACTTTGGGCACTGATGAGCACAGGAAGGAGGCTGAGGGAGTGCTGAGGGTGGCTCAGTGTGGGCCTGCAAGCACCCTTCAGCATGAACAGCCTGAGTGTCATGGAAGGAGGCTGAGGGGTGGCTCAGGGTGAGCGTGCAAGCACTGCTCAGCATGAACAGTCTGGGTGTCATGGAAGGAGGCTGAGGGGGTGCTGAGAGCGGCTCAGTGTGGGCCTGAAAGCACATCTAGGCATGAACAGCCTGGGTGCTGTGGATGGCATTTTGATGGCAGCAGGAGGTAGACGGGCCCCTGGGCAGAAAAAGGCAGGTCCCTGGTGAAACCCTACCTTCAAGCCAGGGATGGCCTGAAGCCTAGAGGCCAGGCTGCCAGTTCTCCTTGGAGTCCATGGCACAGAGTGAGAGCTTATGGTGCTTTTTCCAGGCCCCCTCATGGCCACCCCTTGACCAATCAGTATGCATTTCCTCCCTTCAGAGCCCATAAAAACCCAGACTCAGCTAGACTCAGACAGACATTGGGACTACCAGCTGTGGGAAGGAGCTACCCACTTTGAGTCTCCACGACTGGAGATGACCTGCCTTTGGAAAGGAGCTACCTGCTAAATGTTTCCTCTCCACTGAGAGCTGGAAAGCTTTTTGGGACAACCTGCCTGTTGAAAGGAGCTACCCACTGTGGGTCTCCTGAGAGCTGTTTTGTTGCTCACTGAAGCTCCTATTTGCCTTGCTCACCTATCAGTTGCCTGCGTACTTCATTCTTCCAGGACGCAGGACAAGAACTTGGGACCAACCAAATGGATGGAATGAAAGAACTGTAACACAAACAGGGCTGAAACACTCTCTCCCACTCACCATGTTGTGGGCGAGGAGAAGGAGAGAAGCGATGTGGCCCTTTGGGGAGCCCATACTTAGGGGCTCCCTATACCAGGGCCATGACACCCTCTTTGGGGCTCTGCAGTTCCTGGTGTCTCCATGCCTCCAGGTGCCAAAGAGTTTCCCTCATCCAGATGCAGGTGCCCACAGCAGAAGCCGCATGCAGAACATCTGGTCCAGCCACAGCCTCACTCAGAGCCAGCACCTGTGCCAGCACCTGGAACTGCCCGCCCTACCACAGCAGCCAGCATGCCTGGCTGTGCCCTGTGGCTGGACCCCACACTCGCTAGCCCACACATCCCTCACTGCTCCACGCCTGGCTCGCCCTTGGCAGGTGTGTGATCCAGGCCGGTAGTGCAGGCTGAGTGCTGACTGCCAAGCCAAGTGGGTGGAATGAGCCCAGCAGGTGTGACCAATACTCAGGCGGAAGACACTCCTGGCCACAGAGGTTTCTGGCTGGTAAAGCGACACCCCAATTATCCTGTGACATTTTGTTTGCAGCCATTTCTCATTATTCACAAACACACCAGATGTGGAAAAAATACTAGTTATAAAGACGAGATGTCATTTTACAATTCAATATTTGTTAAAATTGTAATTTTGGTCAGTTACTACCTTCAAGTAGTTGCTGACTTGGTCAAAAACAAAATCTTAAAAAGCAAAGGAAATATGTTTCCACGTTCAAAATGTCAAACTAAGCCTTAAGACCTTATCATTCTAATGCACTGCATAAGTCTTAGAATTTTCTTCATTTTCCCTGTATCTCCAGGCAAGCATCACATGATAAACGTCCACTCATATCTGACAAGTGGAAACTGTTCATTCTTTTTTCAAACACAAATGAAAATAATTCTTTGGATGTTAAATGTATTTATTATTTCTCCACTTTAATACTAATTTTGAATATTAGCTGAATTTTCTACATAGCAGATGCAAACAAAGCATACCAAGGAGAATACATGAATATTTTCAGCCTTAGCAATAATTATATTCAGTATCTGTGGAAGAGCAAACTTGATAGTTTGTTTATCTATTTATCTATATTTCTATCACTTATGGTTGCTAGTGTACCAATAGAAACATAATATTTTCCTAGTATTTAATTTCTGGATTGCAGACACAACCATCTACACAACTGACTCTGATATGTTCTAATACTCTCAGAATCATTATTTTTTTAATCTCCCTTACAACCTACATATAGCCAGAGAGTGAATCCTGCATACCTTAGAAATAACCTCTTCATTCTCTGTTTGACAAAATAATTTGGTTTAGGCCATTACATATATATTTGTCACAGCTACTTGTAGTGAATGCTACCAAATGCTACTTGTGCTTCTAGTTGCTTCTCATCTCCTCATTAGTTTGTAATTTTTAATCACCAACCAAATCTTCTTAAAAAACAAAGCCAATGTTAGATAACATTTGCATACAGGACAATGTATAGACTTCTAAGCATACCATACAAGAAAATTGATCTTCTCATTTCTAACTATTTTGCCTAAATTTATGTCACTGGAACATTTGTCCATCACCTTTTCTAAACACAAACTTTATATTCCATCCAAACTGACTGCCCTGTTCATTGGAAATGGCATTATATTTTATTGTATTACACGTATATATACAGACATATGTAATTTATTTATATATAATATATATTATATATAATATATACTTATTTATATATGTATATAATTTCATGTTCTTATCTCTCCCTGAATTGTTCTTCCAGCTGCTTTTCCTGAAATGTTCAGCTAAGATATTAAATTAAGCCTCACATATTACCAGGTGCTATTAAATAATCACAACCTCTCTCATTCAATCTAGGCTAAGTAGTAATTACTTCGGATTCCCAAAGTGCTTTACACCTATAACACTTTCAACATATTTATCAATTTATTTATGCATTTCCCTGACTCAACTGAGGTCTTAGATGATCATTGACACTTTGGGGAGTTTCTCGTAAAGTATTTGATAAATGTTGAATAAATGAATATGAAAATATTTAATTATTCTCTAAAAAACCTGATTTACAGAATGATAAATGATTTTACGAAAAAGAACAGAAATCAGTGAGTCATGGATTTTCCTTTTAATTTCTTTTAAGAAATAGTGCAGCACTGTACTTACCCTTTAAATAATTAAAATCAGAGTCAAAACTTCATTAAATAATTACTTGGATTAAAATAAAAAGATATTACACATAGCCTCAAGCTTTTTTAATTTTTGGAGTTCATAAGAGGTAATTAATTAACCAGGAATATCTTGTGAACGTCTACATAATTTTTTTCTCTTTTTACTATCAGTGTAACAAAATCATAATCCTTGTCAAAATTATTAAAGCTATACCCTTTAGAAAATAAATCTTTCACAATTGTCACCCACATTTAACAGTCATATTTCATTTTGTTATTTTCTATGTATTTTCATTTTTAAAACACATTAATATAATTTCAATAGGTTGTTTTGACTAAGAAATAATCTTATTAAAAACAACAAGTATACAAAATCATTATATATAAGTATATGGCAAAGACCATTATTCAGTCACTAAATTAATTCACTCGATTTTTCCCCCTGGACAAAGAGCTAGGGTGAATGAGGTATACTGCTGAGTGTCTATGAATTGTGGGTAGAATATAATGTAAACTTTCTGAATCATGATCCTCCATGGTTTTTCACGCTTTCAGGTGATTAGGATGAAAGCAATGACAACAATCTTGAAAGCTGTATGTTAAAGATGGCAGAGCTTCTGTCAGCCTGAACCAGCAGTAACTGCATAGAAAGAACTGCTACTGGCCAGGCGCGGTGGCTCACGCCTGTAATCCCAGCACTTTGGGAGGCCAAGGCGGGCAGATCATGAGGTCAAGAGATCGAGACCATCTGGCCAACATGGTGAAGCCCCATCTCTACTAAAAACACAAAAATTAGCAGGGCGTGGTGGCACACGCCTGTAGTCCCAGCTACTTGGGAGGCTGAGGCAGGAGAATCACTTGAGCTCAGCAGGTGGAGGTTATAGGGAGCCAAGATCGTGCCAGACTCTATCTAAACAACAACAACAACAGCAGCAACAACAACAACAAAAAAGAACTGCTACTGCAGTAGAACCTCCACCTGTATTACATGAGAGAAAAAAATAAAATCAGTTTTCTAAACCACAGAATTTTGACAATCTGTTTGTTAATGCAACTCAGCAAACCCTAACTAATATGCACATGCAATTATAGTAACACTGTCAATAATAATAATCTCTAACATCATATTCTGCCCTAGGCAAAATACTAAGATTTTTACATGCAGTATTTTTTTGTGTTTATTCCAGTAACTCACCGTTGGGATTATTATTTCCAGATGACAATTAGATGGCATTAAGAATGTGCACAAATCTTGTATCTAATAAATGAAATGTAAGATTCTTATTCCTAACAAGATAGAATTCTCCTGTCTAAACTTTTTATTAATTTATAAATACAATAGTAATGAACTTTCTCATATATTTCATATTTTTTTCAATTGAGTATTTGTAATAAAATTACTGGATCAATAGCAAGAAACCCATTTAAGGCTTTGGGGACAGATCAAATTAATTTCTAGAAAGGTTAAGCAAATTTTCACTTTTCTAAAAAGTATAGAACTTGCATGTCTCTTCACTAAGTGCCATAATTTTGAATATTACTTATTTAAATATGACAATATCTATATATTTATTTTTTCATTCTCCTCCCACTCCGATTCCAGTTCTAAGTCCTGTTCCTAACAGCACTATCTAACATTGACGGGTAGCTTTAATTGGACAGTCACTGTTCTGAAGACTTGACATTCATATATTATTTCATTGTATCACCACAGTATTACTTCAGAAACAATAAAATGAATTGTTGATAAGTTTTAACATTTGTATTTTGTACTTATTCTTGACTAATTTTTATTTGTGAAACCTCTAATCACAATTTAAAAAACTTTATCACTGCCCAATATGTCATTTTCTATCTTTTATACCTTATTTTTACTGTACCTTTTCTATGTTTAAGTATGCTTAGATACACAAACACCATTATATTACAACTGCCAACAGTATTCAGTAAAGTAACATACTGTACAGGTTTGTAGTCTAGGAGTAGTAGGCTACACCATATAGCCTAGACCTGTAGTAGGGTTTATTATGTGGTTTGGCTCTGTGTTCCCACCCAAATCTCATTTAATTATAATCCCCACATGTTGAAGGAGGGGCCTGTAATCCTCACATGTATAGAGTGGGAAGTGATGATTGAATTATGGGCCATTTTCACCACACTGTTCTACTGATGGTGAGTGAATTCTCATGGGATCTGATGGTTTTAAAAGAGGCAGTGTTTTCCTGCACTCTCACTTCTCTCTCTCCTTCTTCTATGTAAGATGCACCTGCCTCCCCTTCTGCCATGATTGTAAGTTTCCTGAGGCCTCCCCAGCCATGGAGAACTGTGAGTCAATTAAACCTCTTCTCTTTATAAATTACCCAGTCTCAGGTATTTCTTTATAGCAGTGTGGAAAACAGATAAATACAGTATACCACCTAGTTTTATGCACATAAGTACACTCTACGATGACAGGATAAAGATGAAATTGCCTGATAACACATTTCTCAGAATATATCCCCATCCTGTCATTAAGTGATGCAAGACTGTATAAAGATACTTCATCCAGCCAGGCGTGGTGTATCACGCTTATAATTCTAGCATTTTGTGAGGCCAAGGTGGGTGGATCACCTGAGGTCAGGAGTTCAAGACCAGCCTGGCCAACATGGTGAAACCCAGTCTCTACTAAAATACAAAAATTAGCCAGGCATGATGGCAGGTGCTTGTAATCCCAGCTACTTGGGAGGCTGAGATGACAGAATTGCTTGAACCCAGGAGATGGTTGTTGTAGTGAGCCGAGATTTGCCACGGCACTTCAGCCAATGTGGCCGAGTGAGACCCTGTCTCAAAAAAAAAAAAAAAAAAAAAAAAAAAAAACTTTATCCAAAGATTAAATATTCCCTTATATTTCCTCTTATAATTTATAGTTTTTTTAACACTAATTTGACTGAAATATTATTTTTGAATGGTTTCACCTCATAACTTAAAGAACTAAACATTGTTACACCTTGTATTTCTAGAAAGATAAAGCACTATATATCATTTTCTTTCTCATATGGAAATAAAATGGCAACCCTATTATTGTGTATTTAAATTAAACTGTATTATCAAGTATCAGGTGATTGCGAGTAACTATTATACGGGTAAATAAATAATTTTCATTGCTGTCCTCATGTACCTTGATTTATTTTTAGTATTATTGGGATTTTAATTTTAATGGTATAATAGAAGAAATGACAAATATGATTTGATTAATGTATTAGTCTTTTCTCATGCTGCTATAGAGAACTGCCTGAGACTTGGCAATTTATAAAGAAAAGAGATTTAATTGACTCACAGTTCCACATGGCTTGGGAGGCCTCAGGAAACTTACAATCATGGAGGAAGCCACCTCTTTACAGGGCAGCAGGAGAGAGAATGAGTTTCGGCAGGGGAAATGCCAGATGCTTATAAAACCATCCAATCTCATGAGAACTCACTCACTATCATGAGAATAGCATGGGGGAACACCTCCCCCATGATTCAGTTACCTCCACCTGCTCCTGCCCTTGACACATGGGGATTATTACAACTCAAGGTGAGATTTGGGTGGGGACACAGCCAAACCATATCAATTAATAAACCTATTATAGTCAGTTATTTGATAAGCTTTCTATTCATTTTTATGAGGAACATTGCGTATGACTGTTGGTTAAATTATTCTTGGTTAGAAGTAACAAAATTAAAATGTGTAGCATCACCTATAGAGTCTCTTTATGTAAATCACAAAAAATCCAGGAATAGTGAGAATAATCTGACTGCCCCCTGTCAGTGATGGAGCAATCTGGGTGACCCTAAAAGCCGTATTGATGTCAGGATCAATAATCACCTCCTAAATATCAGATCAGCTGAATTCTGGTTCCCACCAGCCAATACTTCAGTCATGAAACTGGACTATGTTTTAATCAGAGATTGGTAACTTTGATTTCAAGGAAAGAAAACAAATTGTTTCCCAATGTTTACCTTAACTATGTCTTAGGTTTATATTTATCCCCACATCTGAAATACGTAGAGTGATGAAACTCTAAACTATATATTACAACCTTCTGTTTAAAGCACTATATTGTTTTATTACAATGGCGATTTCACAAATACTTTTCTTGAACAACGTCTTAATCAGATCATCTCCATCTCATCTTTGCCTAGCTCATGGGCTCTGAGAGGTAAATAATTATTTTTTTTTTAGACTAATGATATTGGTATATATAGGTCATTTTGTTTTACAAGTTCAAATAAATTTTAGTTTTCTGATAAATGAGAATACTTGTAAATAAACTATGAATATGCTCTCTCAAATACTGTAATTTACACATTGCTAGAATAAGAAAATGGATATTACCATTTTTATGAATTCATTAAACCAATAGGTGGCTGCTATATTGTTCATATCTTTCTATTGAAATATAGTCTGTGTAAAAACTAATGTTACTAAAGCTAGAATTCTCCATACAACATTATTTATTCATACATGAAATTGGAAGAAGTTACCCCTTAAGGACCATACCCTGTGGCCTAATATTTACTCCAGATAGCAGAGCAGAATGAAATAATTATCAAAGCACAATAGAAAATGTATGTTATTTTTTTCTTTTTTTAATGCTGTTGGAGCTGAGGGTCAGGAATAAATCTGAAAACAAAGCAGAAAGAAATGCAATGCTATTATTTCCAAGGATTAATATTAATTTGTTACTGAGTATGATTAAGAAAATAACTTTACAGATAAAGTAATATAACTGAAATTAATAAACATTTAGTAATTATGCTAATTTGTAATGAAGAGTAAAGAAATGACTAGAGGCCAAATGTGATAAACCAAATAATTGTGTAATATACGGATACTGAGGGGAGGTAGAATTAAAGTATGTTCTCCCTTCAAATCTCAATAGTTTTATGAGTATATTTCGCCTAGATAAATTTGGTTTTGCCTTTTTAATGTCTTTTAAATTAGTTTAACATATGACAAATTTTAATTTACTGTAAATATGACTCTTCTCATTTATCCTCAGAGAATTGATTTCATGCTAGATTATTAAGCTAAATCATAATGTTCGTCATCCTTAAACATTTATAAAAGGTACTAATCTAAAATAGCAGGAGTTATTTGCAGTGAAATAGATAATTCCAAACATAAATTGCATCTTGAAGTTTGAGATATTAGGTCCTTTTTTAATGGTGTAAATTTGACTAAAACTTTTTTTTGAACTTGCTGTCAAGAAGCATATTTGTAAAATTGTGTTCATATGAAGGCACCAAACATTTCAAATTATTTTTCAGGACATTTCATGTTATAAATGACACAAAAATAACTCCAATTGGGTTAAAGGGGAAGTAATATTTACTGGTTCAATCAACTATATAGCTAGGAGAGCTAACTTCACTTAACTTCTATACAATGGCTCAAACAATGGCTCTCTGCTGGTAGGCCCTAATCTCCAGTTACCCAGCTGAGGATAAGGCCTCTCCAATGTGTTAGCTAAGTGGCTGCAGCAGTTTCGTACTACACATTCTTCCATGAAAGAGCTTGGTCTCTCTCACTGAATTACCTGTGGAATGTGGGTGTGTCTCCTGACATCTCCAACCAAGATCTCACTGTTTCTCAATGACCAGGAAATATGATCTGTTGATTGGCTTAAACAAATTATGACACATTCTTGGAGCTGAAAACACAATAATTCTCACATGAATAACATAGATAAGAAAGGGGGAGGAGCAAATTTCTCAAAGAAAAGTCCTGTGGATGAGAGAAGAGAGAAAAGGAGAGCCAAGGAGCACTTGTCTATGATAAGTAATACTTTAAGTGGAACTGGTGGATTTGAGTAAGTGCAGCTAATGATACATAATCAAAATGCATTAATATATATAATTTAAGAACATGTCTTTCCCTCCACCCCATTCCACCTAGGTCTTGGTTGCTGGTGGGTTCCTGGCTTCTTAGAAGAGAATATAGCTCATTTACCCTGTACTCATCCATTTACTCAGTGCAGTTACTGATCCCTCTGAGATTGGAGTATCTGGAGAGAGCGAGAGAAGGGAAGGAAATATTCTCCCCTAACTGAAACCCTTTTAAGATTTCTCAGGCCCTTTGGTAATGGCAGATGCTTGAAATTCAGTCTTGGAACCTTTGATGATGTCATGAAATCTTCAGAGGGCTCTTGCTGGATCAGAAAGCAACACCCACGGGTAAGGGGCTTCCCTTAGCTCTTGATTGTCAAGTGTTCTCCTCACATCCACTGATAGAAATTCTCTTGATTCAAATTCAATTTTAAATGACTCTAGACTGACTGCATGTTTGGCCCACACATGAGGAACACATTGCTACAAACTTTACTTTGCCATTGTTGGAAGGGCGGGTACTTCTCAGATGTAAGTCCCTGTTTTGTCTCTGCCCAGCTGCTCAGGCTAATAACCATATCCTCATATTAAGATTTCTCTGGATAACTCCTATGTAGCCATTCAGTATGCCTTGGTAGGAACTCATGAGTTATCCAAAGCCATTTCCTTAAAGTTTCTTCTACTAGCACTTCATCTCCCTTCTGAAAGAAGGTACAAAACATTAGCCCTCCCTCAAGACATTTCCACATAAATTCTTGTGACCCTTTTTGGACTCTGAGCGAGTGGTTCTAAGTGACAAGAAATACGTTTTAGTTTCTAGTAGTACTCCCTTTCTCCCCAGTATATTTTTAAACCTTCTGTTCAAGGTACTATATTGTTTTATTACAATGGTCATTTCACAAATACTTTTCTTGAGCAACATCTTAATCAGAACTTAATTGTCTTAATTCATAACTTAATTTGTTTTAAAACTAATTTTAGAATTTTAGTATTGGCTATCAAGGGCATTGCAGTTTAAATTTTTCAATTTAAATACTATAAAAATAGCCATACCTGCCTATATTATCAACACTTAATAAAAGTAAGTACTATCATCTACACTATTTCTTAAATTTTGATTTCTACAACAATTGGTCTGTTAAATGACACCTGACAAAATGTTGAAACGTTAGTCAGTACTAGCAGCTATTTATTGAGTTCTTATTATATGAAAGCCTCTTTTGAAAGTGGTTTACATGTGCTAATGTATTTAATCTTTTTTAGTGTTCCATGACATATATACAAGTTTAATTTTACAAATAATGGAGTGGAGGCAAAAAAAAGGTGAAATAATCTTGCCCCAAATTGCAGACTTAATATAATATGCAGACCTAGAATTTAAACTTAAGACGTCTGACTAGATCTACAATTCTTAACTAGCTATAGGATTTCTTTCTAAAGAGTTTCAAATGCTTGCATGTCTCAAAGAATTTTATGTTGCATAGAAAGCAATGTTGTAAGAGGGTTACTTTTGTGTAACAGATAAACTGGAAATCAAGAAAAAAGGGGGGTTAATCTGTGACCAAGTATGATATTAACATACTGTTTTCTTTCGCTCAAAAAAAAAGGGGAGTCTTTTCACTCGGAATTGCATATTTTACTGGCTATTTTACACTCTTTAAACTAATTGTCCTTGGTGGCTGCAGCTCTTAGAGGGAACAGTTTCTGGAGAGAATATAGGCAGTGACTCCTTTAGCACTGCTCCCCCACTGCTAAGTGAGTTTAAGGCGTAAGTGCAGACGGAGAACTCGCCTCAGTAGAAACACACCACACTCATACTTTTCCATGATACAAAGATTCATTTAGTGATAAAAACATAATTTAAAAACTCTGTCACAGGAAGTTAAATTTTTAAGTAAATGACAGCCTTACCATTTAAAAGGGCTCCGTGGCTGGAAGTTCCCAGTGATAAAACGTGTGTCATGCCACATGAGCCTTTCTTTCTCTACTTGCCCACAAGCTGCCATTAGGGTCATGTCATGCCATATTCTGCACACGGTGATTGTTTAACGTTGCACTCCGGTGTTGCACTAAGTACCATACCATTCATCCTAAATGACTCCCTTGAAAATTGCTTCTAAAAGTTTGTGCCAAAAATGCTCATGAGGTGAACAATTTACTATCCTTTAGCTATTAAGATACTGAAAACTGTCACTTCAGGAAATTGAATACTGTATACCCTGTAAAACATGTTGTTCTGAAGCTTTGCTTCAACAATTACTACTTATCATCTGTCAGCTTGTGAGTATTGTGGTTAGTCAGTTGTTAAATTTAATACTGCAATAACATTCTGATATGAGAAAAAGAGAAATACTGGAATCTCAGTGCAGTGATTTGAATCTGAACAAACTGAAGGTGTTCATATCTGTATTATTGTTTGTATTTTATAAATTCTTCATTGAGCTGTCAAGAAACTCAAGTTATTGTGGGGAACTCACAGGGTTCTACATTTTTAATTATGGTTACTTTCATTTACTTCAGTAGACACCATATTGGCCATCATTTGACTATATATCAAGCACAAAGGACTAAAATTTTCAAATCAAGTCTTTCCCAACAATATCTATTGTTGTTAATTGAATTTCTATAAATTTCTTTAATGTTGAATAGACCAAATTTATTTTTGGCCAATTTAAATGGCAGAAATAAGCCTATAAAATACCTATATATGTATATACATACAAATATATATTACATATTTCTACTATATAGAAATATATAAATAATTATAATTGTATATATAATATATAACATAAATATATAATTAAAATTATATATAGAATATATAATATAAATATGTATATATAACATATGTCACATATTATAGATTATATTTCAATAATACATTTATTTCTCTCTATATATTCATATGTATATTTCTTGTTATATGCTTATTTATATAAGGTATACCTGAAACAAAATTAAAAAGTTGATTACAATTCAAATACATATTCAACTTTCGAAGCTCAACTTCAGCTCCTATTCTAGCAGAAAAGTGAAAAGTGTTCCAGACTTTTTCCCCTGCAGTGACTTCTCTTTGTTTTGAATTCACAGCACTTATCCTTTTATCTAACAATTAATCAAGTACAGTCACTTGGCATCTTTTAAATTTATATATTTCCATTTAACATATGTGTTAATATTTCATATTTTAAACCCTATAGCAATGAGCATAATAAATTTGTAGTTTGTTCAAACTGTTGTGAAAAACACAGTAAGAATGATAAATTCTAGTTCTGGTATTGAATGAGTCAGTTAAAGTCTCTCTAACTCAGGGATTTATTCACTTTTAAAAATTGAGCTATAATTTACCTGCAATAAAATGCATTAATATTAAATATTCAGTTCAAAGAGTTCTGGAAATTTTACACACCTTTATGACCATAACTCAAACATTTGTATCACCCAGCGTTCCCTCATGCCCCTTTTCAGTTCCTACCACCAACCCACCATCTGGGGCAACCACTCTCTAATTTCTATGACCATAGACGATTTGCCTGACTCTGACTTCATAGGAATGGAAGGACCCAGAATGTATTATTTTGTGCCTGTCTTCTTTTATTTAAGATGATTATCTTTGAGATTCATCCATGTTGCTGCAAGTATTTATAATCATTTGTTGTTTGTGCTGGATGTTGATCCATTGTTATGAATAAAATACAATTTGCTTTCTTTCCCTGTTCTTGGATATTTGGGTTGTTAAAAAGTTGTTGCTATTATTAATCTATGTTTTAACTTCTCTTGAGTAAAATGGGTATGTTTACTAGATCTTGAGTAAATCTTCTATGTTAATATTTAAAACTATAGAAAAAATTGTATATTATTTTCGTCTTTTTTTTTTTTTTTTTTTTTTTTTTGAGACAGAGTCTCGCTCTGTCGCCCAGGCTGGAGTGCAGTGGCGCGATCTCGGCTCACTGCAAGCTCCGCCTCCTGGGTTCACGCCATTCTCCTGCCTCAGCCTCCCGAGTAGCTGGGACTACAGGCGCCCGCCACCACGCCCGGCTAATTTTTTGTATTTTTAGTAGAGACGGGGTTTCACCGTGTTAGCCAGGATGGTCTCGATCTCCTGACCTCGTGATCCGCCCGCCTCGGCCTCCCAAAGTGCTGGGATTACAGGCATGAGCCACCGCGCCCGGCCTTCGTCATCTTTTTAAATTAACTTATTACGGTAATTTTCTTAGTAGATTTCTTCAGATTATCTAAGTAGACAATCATTCCACATAAGAATAAAGACTATTTTATTTTTTACATTCCAATATTCATGTAATTAACTTTATGTTTGTGCATTATTGCACTAGTTACTACTTTTGAGTACCATGTTGAACATGATTAGTGAGAGCAAACATTTTTACTTTATGATGATATTGTACCATTAAGCAGGATATTTGCTATAGGTTTTTTTGTAGATAGTTTTTAACTAATTAAATAAGTTCTTTTATATTCCCAGTTTACTGAGAATTTTTGTCATGAAAGGTGTGGAATTTTGTCAATGACTTTTTCTATATCATTAAAAGTATTTTATCCTTTATCCTCTTAATGCATTGAATTTCACTGATTGATTTCAATTAATGAGGCAATCTTTTATTTCTGAGATAAACCCGCTTAGTCACGATTCATTCTCTCTCCTACCCTTCTCTCCTCCCTGAGGAGATATCTCATTTCTTTCATTCTTCTTTAGTATAAGGGTTCAGCTGGCCTTCCTACCTCCTTCAGTATTTTCTGAAAGTGTTTTTATAGAATTTGTATAGTATCTTTTTTAAATGGTTGAGAAATTTCACTGGTGCCACTGGTGACTCCATCCGGGTGTTGAATTGTATGGTTGGAATAACTTTAATTAGGAATTACATTTTTCAATAGATACAGGTATATTATGATAATCTATTTTTTATTGTTTTAATTTTGGTAACTTGTATTTTTCAAGTCTTTTCTCAAAGGAAAAAAAGTAGTTAAATTTGTCCGCATTCAGTATTCTGTTGCCTGTGGGTTTGTCATAGATGACTTTTATTACATTAAGGTATGTCCTTTCTATTTCAATTTTTCTAAGGGTTTTAATCTTAAAGTGATGCTGGATTTTGTCAAACACCTTTTCTGAGTCTATTGAGATTATCACGTGATTTTTGTTTTTAATTCTGTTTGTGTGGTATACAACATTTATTGACTTGCATATGTTAAACCATCCCTTCATTCTCTTTGAGAACTGGAAAAAGATAAGGATGCCCTCTCTCACCACTTCTGTTCAACATAGTACTGAACGTCCTAGCCAGCGCAATCAGACAAGAGAAAGAAATAAAGGGCATCCAAATCAGTGAAGAAGAAGTCAAACTGTAGCTGTTTGCTGATGATATGATAGTATACCTAGAAAACCCTAATGGCTCCTCCAAAAAGCTCCAAGAACTGATAATCGAATTCAGCAAAGTTTCAAGATACAAAATTAATGTACACAAATCAGTAGCTCTGCTATCCACCAGCAGTGACCACGCTGAGAATCAAATCAAGAATTCAACCTCTTTTACAATAGATGCAAAAAAATAAATTAAAATACTTAGGAATATACCTAACCAAGGAGGTGAGAGACCTCTACATGAAAAACTACAAAACACTGCTGAAAGAGATCATAGATGACACAAACAAATGGAAACACATCCCGTGCTCATGGATGGGTAGAATCATTATTGTGAAAATGACCATACTGCCAAGAGTAATCTACAAATTCAGTGCAATCCCCATTAAAACACCACTACCATTCTTCACAGAACTAGAAAAGACAATCTTAGAATTCATATTGAATGAAAAAAAATAAGTCTGTATAGACAAAACAAGACTAAGCAAAAAGAACAAATCTGGAAGCATCATATTACCCGACTTCAAACTGTACTAAAAGCCAGAGTCATCAAAACAACATGGTACTGGTATAAAAATAGGCACATAGACCAATGGAACACAGAATAGAAAACACTGAAATAAACCCAAATACTTACAGCCAAATGATCTTTGACAAATCAAACAAAAACGTAAGTGGGGAAAAGACACCGTTTCAACAAATGGTGCTGGAATAATTGGCAAGCCACACATAGAAGAATGAAACTGGATCCTCATTTTTCACCTTATACAAAAATCAACCCAAGATGGATCAAGAACTTAAATCTAAGACCTGAAACCATAGGAATTCTAGAAGGTAACATTCGAAAAACCCTTCTAGACATTGGCTTAGCAAAGAGGCTTAGGCAAAGACTTTACGACCAAGAACTCAAAAGCAAATGCAACAAAAACAATGATAAACAGGTGGGGCTCAATTAAATTAAACAATTTCTGCACAAGGAAAGAAGCAATCAGCAGAGTAAACAGACAACCCACAGAGTGGGAGAAAATCTTCACAATCTATATAACTGACAAAGGACTAATATCCAGAATCTACAAGGAACTCAAATTAGCAAGAAAAACAAACAAACAAATAAACATTTCCATCAACAAGGGCTAAGGACATGAATAGACAATTTTTGAAAGAAGATATACGAATGGCCAACAAACATGAAAAAATGCTCAGCATCAGTAATTACCAGGGAAATGCAAATCAAAATCACAATGTGATACCACCTTACTTTTGCAAGAATGGACACAATCAAAAAATTAAAAAATAATAGAGGTCAATGGGAATGCTGTGAAAAGGGAACAATTTTACACTGTAAGTAGGAATGCAAAATAGTACAACCACTGTGGAAAACAGTGTGGGGATCCCTCAAATAACTAAAAGTAGAACTACCCTTTGATCTAGCAATCCCACTCCTGGTTATCTACCCAGAGGAAAAAATGTCACTATATAAAAAAGATATTTGCACACACATGTTTAGAGCAGCACAATTCACAATTGCAAAAATATGAAACCAGCCCACATGTCCATAAATCAATGAGTGAATAAAGAAATTGTGATATATATATATATATATATATGTATGTATGTATGTATGTATATATGCACACACACACACACACACACGCCATGGAATACTATTCAGACATAACAAGGGAATGAAATAATGGCATTCTTCACAACCTGGATGGAATTGGAGACCATTATTCTAAGTGAAGTAACTCAGGAATGGAAAACTAAACATTGTATGTTCTCACTCACAAGTGGGAGCTAAGCCATGAGGATGCAAAGGCATAAGAATGATACAATGGACAGCTGGGCACAGTGGCTCACGCCTGTAATCCCAGCACTTTGGGAGGCTGAGGCGGGCGGATCATGAGGTCAGGAGTTCGAGACCAGCTTGACTAACAGGCTGAAACTCCGTCTGTATTAAAAATACAAAAATTAGCTGGGCATCGTGGTGCACACCTGTAATCCCAGCTACTCTGGAGGCTGAGGCAGGAGAATTGCTTGAACCCTGGAGGTGGAGGTTGCCGTGAGCCAAGATTGCAACACTATGCTCCAGCCTGGATGACAGAGCAAGACTCTGTCTCAAAAAACAAACAAACAGAAAAACATGCAATGGACTTTGGGGACTTGGAGGAAAGGACGGGAAGGAGGTGAGGTATAAATAACCACAAATTGGGTTCAGTGTATATTTCTCGGGTGATGTGTGCACCAAAATCTCACAAATCACCACTAAAGAACTTATTCATATAACCAAACACCACCTGTTCTCCCAAACCTATGGAAATTAAAACAAAATTGTAAAATTTATTGAAATTAAGTTGTTCCTAATATTCCTTTATTATCCTTTTATTATCAATAGGAGCAATAATGATTTGCTCCTGGTATTGGGAATTTGTGTTATTTTGTTCTGGGTCAGTCTTTCTCTGGGCATATCAATCTTATTAATCATATTGAAGAAACAATGTTTTACTCTGTTGCTTTTCTCTATTGTTTTTCTCTGTCTTTTATAAAACAAATTTTATCTCCTATGATTAAGCTTTTCTTCTACATGTGTTGCAGTTAATTTGCCTTTCTTTTTTTTTTTTTTTCTTTCCAAAGTGGAACTTTAAAATCGCGATATTGTCTTTCCTGGTCACTTACATACAAATGTAAACCTATAAATGTTTCCGTAAGCAGTGCTTTAGCTGTATCAACATATTTTTAATTTAATTTTTCTTTATCATTCAGTTCAAAATGCTTTCTAATTTCCTTTGTGACTTCTTAGACTTACAGGAAAATGGAACAATTGTTCTGTTTTAATTAAAAGAAACATACATACTAATTGTTTGTATATGTTGGCTAATACTTTTCCTGACAAAACTATAACTGAGATATTAATTAATAGCTTTTTTAAACTAGGTAATAAGATAAGCAAGACCATCAGCTTTTTGTTTGATTTAAAGTATCTGTAAAATTTCAACTTGTTTTTAAAAAGGGCTTATATAGTATTCCTGATAAAGAGGAGATCATCTTGACAAATCAGGTTCAGCTTAAAAACAACTCTATATCTTCTCCCCATTTTATCACCACTTGAAAATTATGCTAACGAAATTTATGTGTTAGCACAATTGTGCGATTAATTGCCTGTAATTTAAAGTTTTAGATCAATTTTTTTATATTTTTTAACATGTGCAGTGAGTTATCATTTTTCCTCAAATTATATTTGCAAAAATATAAAAATTTGTTGGGTTATCCTTTGCTGTATGAAACTGAAACATCTAACTTAGCTTTAACATAAATGTATTCTTGTTGGTCTTTCGCTGGTGGTCTTTATTTAATACAGTCTCAATAAATATCAAAGAAAAAGTGGTATATAAAACACAGTTGTTGACCACAATATAACTAAGTTACAGAGCAATGAAAATTTAAATAGAAATATACAAACAAACTGAAATACTGTTATAACCTAGAAAAATGAACTGTAATAAAAATTTAAACTCTTTTTATAATACGTAACACTGAAACTACTACATTTTAGAACTTGTTAAGTGCAAATAAGAGTTGTTAGATGGAATTTTATAGTATTCCATGCTTATCCCATCCAGGTTCTTTTTTTCCAGTATTCAGGTTCTTTGTTAGAAACTAGATATTCATTTTGATCAAAACACATACAGCCCTTGCCTTCTAGCAGCTTAGATTCATTTATATCTTTTATTCTTAATCATTTATGCATTTGTTCATCAAATTGCATCTTTAAATGTAAAAGTTGGTGCAGTAATAAGTGGATTATATACCTGTTTTCTAGATACTTGTATATATGATTAGAGAGAATATAATGACTATATTATATGTTATGTTATATATTATATATATAATATGACTATATATTGACACTATATAATAACTAACAATAAAGAAATAGCTAACAAAAATGAGGCAGTATGTTGAAAAAGATATAGATAGAAAATATAGCATGAGATAAAAGCAGAAAAAATATTGTATTTGGGGGAATTTACCAGGAAAACACACAAAAAAAGGGTGGGGAATTAAAAAGAAAAAAGATTGTGTGCAGGAGTAGAATTATAGTATTTCATTTAGCAGGTATAAAACATTTCTGAAGTTATTTGTCATTACTTAAGGTTGTGATAAAGAGAAACTTTTCTGAAGTAACCTCACATGAGAACATACTCAGAGGCATGGAATTTGGGCAGAGTGATATCTGTTACTTACAGAATCCTTGGTGCTTTGCCTTCAGGCAAGAAGTATTGAAGAGCCGGGGCAATAAGGATCTCTTGGGAGACAAGTTTCCTTACATCTCTCAATGTCTGCATGTCTATCTAGAAAAGGCACTGATGGCCTTTGTTATTAACCATCTTTTCAGGGATGTTTGTAGTGCCTACATCTGGAACACCCACTAAATATATTTATTTTCCAGTATAATAAAGACATGATATCTCCTTCCAGGGCATAGAACAAGCAGGCTTAAAGCCTATCAGAAAAGATGTATGTTTTCAGAGATGGAAGTTCTCCAACACTCACTGTGTGTACAGCATCCACATAAGTCCCTCCACATTGCCCCGTGAAACATGGGGCTCAATGGGAAAAACAAAACAAAACAAAAAACAAAAAAAACAAACATGAAGCTTGTTGTGCCATGAATAATAAGTCCTATGTCTCTGATCCAGAAATCTTATGTCTTCTGCCAGCATACATCAACTGTGGCACACTAACATGTCAGCTGACAACTAAAGTGAGATCTCTATTTGACTCAAACAGGAGAGTTTACTCGCATTGAAGAGTGACACTTAATGCAGGCTGTCTAAAGTTTCAAACCATGGAGGGGTTAAGGGCTCTGGTAGAAGTGGGTTTAACCACTACCTCCAATTCTTTATCATGTGAGGGCTGAAATGGGTGAAATATATGGGTGAAATATACAGCTTGAAATATATGGGTGAAATATACAGCATGCCTACCATATACAATAATCCTTTGCAATCCATCAAAATTTGGTGTTGATGCTTCATCAAGTAATTTGGAGATTGCCTGTACCATTTTCTTTCCCTTCTCCTAAGAATGACATTGGTTTAAGGAAGAAAATGGGCATTCTGTCTGGTCATGTTAAATAAAATTATTGATGTCATTCTGACTGTGCTTGAACCGAATAGTGATGCCATAGACCTAATTCAAAGATGTTCTGCCATAAAATATAAATCATTCAGCATTTGACACATGGGTTTTAACCATGTTTTTTTCTTTTAACATGGTCAAACCATGATTAACTGTGCATTTTAACCAGCGATCTGGAAGTGAAACATGGCAAGTTATACAGATGAGTTCATGGTCAATGAGAAATGGTAGGTATGCCAATATTGTGTGCTCAACAATTTGGCAAATAGGTAAATGACTGTAGAAATAGAAGGTGGACAACTGAGCAAGAGAGTAGAGGTGGTAGGAAACAGTGTTAAATCTGACAGCAGTTTCTTCATCCAAATTGCCCTGGACAGGAAGTAAGACAAACAATATAGTCTTTGTTGAAATATTAGTAATATGTATGATTGTGGGTTGCTCTGGCCAGAGCCACAGGAAGAGAAGTTTGAATTCTTTGCAGAATAAATAGAAATGTAGCAAAAAAGGAATATATTGGATCTTGAGCAGCACAGGGATGATGTTAAATTTGAACGAACTTGAGTTAGTAATGGCGTGGAATTCAAGATTGCATCAGCCCCTGTGTCAGACCAGCTTAAAATTCATTCACGTCCCTATTGACAGAAATCATTTTATCAAAAGAGGAAAAAGCTGAAGCTATCTGAAAATTTTAAAAAAATGCAGAAAAGCAACCAGGATAGGGACACCAACTAACACTTTTGTGAATGAAGAGAAGTAGATTGGGAGAGCAAGTCCGTCTTGAAAAAGCTAATAAGGAAATGAAATCCACACCCTATTTTAGGGGAATACGGAGCTTCTCTGAAAGAACATCCTGTATTTTAATATGGGATATGGTAGTAGAAAAGAAGGATGAACTGCATCTTCCTAAGGAAACTTTTCCTAAGTGTTGGAAAAAGATGCAAGTCTATGTACGTGGAGTATAGGAGGTATAGAAAGTGAAATTTCTCCTGCTCCCCTCTTTGACTTCACTGGTCCCTGGTGGGTGTTGAGACCACATACAACTCCTCTTATTCAGTCATTCTGTGGAAAACATCCTTTGCTTCAGATGGATTAAATGTGGTTACACTTCTACTTGTGTCCTTATGATGACCCTGAAATTTCCAGAGAAATTTGTGGTGTTGTCAGGAAAAATGGTTACATGTGTTAGGTGTCCAGCCTCGGGGAAACATCTGTAACTATTTTCATTTTGAATTTGTTGCTTTACTAATAGCCTGGGGCCTATTGTCCAGCTATGCTTCTCATTCATGTGTTGTTGTATCAAACAGAAAGTGGGAAGAGAAGAGAGCTGAATCTGGTGGACCACAGCTGGCATGTTTCTGAGTTTAGATAGTTTTGATTCACTGATGCCCAGCAATCAAAGACAGGACCAAGGGAAAAGCAAAACAAAGACACTGAGCAAATGGAATCACTCTCCCTTACTGGGGCGGGGGGAACATTGATGTGTTTTAGAACAGTAGCATACACTTGAGCTAAAGAACAAGGACAAAGAGCACATTAGATGTGCCACGCAGGAGGTCAGCATAGCAACGAAAAAGAGCTAGGGTTCCAGTTCTGGCACTGTTAACAGCAGGCATATCTTCCTGCTTAATTTGATCATCCCAGTCAGCGTATGCATTGGATACCCACTACAATACTTACCAATCTATGGAGGGTAATCGGAGACTCACTGGAGCTACAGATGTAGTCTGCTGCAACCACCTGCTACCTGGAGAAACTGCTCAGCAGCTCAGAATCTCCACTCACTGTAGATTTCATATTGTTTAAACTACAGAATGTAACTCCAGATAAGTATTTTGTAGATTTTTCTAGAGCATTGATTCTTGAGAAGAAAGAAGGCATTTCCTACAAAAATCATGGAGATTTGTGTGTGTGTCCGGAATTGGTGGGTTCTTGGTCTCACTGACTTCAAGAATGAAGCCGCGGACCCTGGCAGTGAGTGCTACAGCTCTTAAGGTGGAGCGTCTGGTGTTTATTCCTTCTGATGTTCGGATGTTTGCGGAGTTTCTTCCTTCTGGTGGATTCGTGGTCTCGCTGGCTCAGGAGTGAAGCTGCGGACCTTCACAGTGAGTGTTACAGCTCATAAAAGCAGTGTGGACCCAAAGTGTGGGCAGTAGCAAGACTTATTGCAAATAGCAAAAGAACAAAGCTTCCACAGTGTGGAAGGGGACCCAAGCGGGTTGCCACTGCTGGCTCCCGCAGCCTGCTTTTATTCTCTTATCTGGCCCCACCCACATCCTGCTGATTGGTAGAGCCGAGTGGTCTGTTTTGACAGGGCGCTGGTTGGTGTGTTCACAATCCCTGAGCTAGACACAAAGGTTCTCCACCTCCCCACCAGATTAGCTAGATACAGAGTGTGACACAAAGATTCTCCAAGGCCCCACCAGAGTAGCTAGATACAGAGTGTCGATTGGTGCATTCACAAACCCTGAGCTAGACACAGGGTGCTGATTGGTGTGTTTACAAACCTTGAGCTAGATACAGAGTGCCCCTTGGTGTATGTACAATCCCTGAGCTAGACATAAAGGTTCTCCAAGGCCCCACCAGAGTAGCTAGGTACAGAGTGCTGATTGGTGCATTCACAAACCCTGAGCTAGACACAGGCTGCTGATTGGTGTATTTACAATCCCTTAGCTAGACATAAAGGTTCTCTACTTCCCCACCAGACTCAGGAGCCCAGCTGGCTTCACCCAGTGGATCCCGCATGGGGGCTGCAGGTGGAGCTGCCTGCCAGTCCCGTGCCGTGTGCCCGCACCCCTCAGCCCTTGGGTGGTCGATGGGACTGGGCACCGTGGAGCAGGGGGTGGTGCTCATCCGGGAGGCTCGGGCCACACAGGAGCCCACGGAGGGGGTGGGAGGCTCAGGCATGGCAGGCTGCAGGTCCCCAGCCCTGCCCCCCGGGAAGGCAGCTAAGGCCCGGTGAGAAATCGAGTGCAGCGCTGGTGGGCCAGCACTGCTGGGGGACCTAGTACACCCTCCGCAGCCGCTGGCCAGGGTTCTAAGCCCCTCATTGCCCGGGGCCGGCAGTGCCGGCCGGCTGCTCCGAGTGTGGGGCCCGCCAAGCCCACGCCCACCCGGAACTCCAGCTGGCCCAGAAGCGCCACACGCAGCCCCGGTTCCCGCTCCCGCCTCTCCCTCCACACCTCCCTGCAAGCTGAGCGAGCTGGCTCTGGCCTTGGTCAGCCCAGAAAGGGGCTCCCACAGTGCAGCAGTGGGCTGAAGGGCTCCTCAAGTGCCGCCAAAGTGGGAGCCCAGGCAGAGGAGGCGCCGAGAGCAAGCGAGGGCTGTGAGGACTGCCAGCACGCGGTCACCTCTCATGGGGATTGTTTTGCTTGTCACAGTACTGGTGGGGAGAGATGTCAGGTGCTAAAAGCTTTTAATGGGCAGAGCTAGGAATGTAAGACATTCCGGAATGTCTGGGATAAACTTTCATAGTGAAGAATTTCTCTGTATTTCATACAATGTAAAACACCCCCCCCAGCTAATCAATTATGAGAAAAGCCCGTTTAAATCCTATAACAACAAAAAATGTTTTGTATTCAAACATAAAATATTTTTATGGATTTAATATGTACTAAAATTGTCGTGGTAAGATATTATAATATGTATTGAAAGAAGAGCATAAGCTTTTTTTTTTTAAATGACCAAGGATTAGGGTTAATTTAAAGAAACTGCATAATTGATGTCAATAATAATCAAGGTACTTCAGTTATCAGCACAACATTCCTGACACACTATGAATTTGTAACTAGGTTTTATTGTGATTATATGTATGTGTCTGTGTGTGCACGTGCGTGTGTAGATATGTGAGTAGTCATCATTCATTAGGTTATTTTAGTGTGAATATGCTTGAGGGTTTAAAATAAAACTATTTTGTTATAAATCACATAATCTTTTTTCTTCTTTCTGTTAGTTTGTATATTTTGAAATTCTGTGTGCAATAAAAGAGGTGTTACAAAATATTTCATACTAAGGCTTCAATTCTGCGATACTTGAGAACTATTTTTCTAGACTATGCATGCATTTGATGGGGCAATATGATCAAATATGCTGCCACCTTCAGTGCTCTCCCCTGTCACTGTGCTGCCCACCAAGTGACTCACATAGCTGAGTGCTAGCTGGGCTTGTACTTCCAAACCTTCTGGAAATGATTGCAAGGACACTCAGTAGGATACCATGTTAACTCTGTTTATGCTGGTGATGGGTTGGATGGTTCTCTGTTTTCCTCGAGCAGGAATATCATTCCTTTCCTCAACCATTTCTGCACATACTTTTCTTTGAACTCTCTAATAGTATTCCAGTTTTTTAAAAAATTAATATCAGCAACCAATTGAATGCATTTGTCTTTCATTGATGATCATACTTAATCAGCAAATTATAAAATTTCCCCTTCTGTTAACACTGTTTCACAATTAATTTGAAATTGATAAAATTTATATAAAATTAGAAAATAAAGCAGGCTCTAGAAGAGATATAGAAAACCTTGATTATTGTATTTAGTATTACATGAATTATTTCCTTCAGTGTTTCTTTGGAAAGCTCTCTTTTTATTCTTGACTGAATCAACAATATGTTGCTTCATACAATAAGTTCTTGTAGGACCATAGTTGTGTTTGGGTCACTTTGTGCAGTTTTTAATAGAGGGTCATATAAAAATGCTTTAAAGACGTAAAAACAGGACAGAGCTGATAGCTTCCTTTTCATCATTCTCTTTCTCTCTCTCTCTCTCTTTATTGTAATTTGAAAGTTGGCCTATTTTAAAGCAGTTCTGTTAATGCAACAGTGGTTTTGAAACACTGTATTAAAAGAGACCAGTTTAAAGGAGCCACTCAAGAAATCGTGAACAGATTACATAAAAAGAAAATGCCATATAAGGTACACTTTTATGGCTGAGATCTGACATTCACAACTGAGAGAAAGGTAGGGGAGAAGTCTTTCTTCATTAGCAGCATGACCAAAGCACTTAGGGATTTCACTCCCTCACATCCATTATTCCATCTATTGTCCTAATTTAATTTTCCATGATTTTCCTGACAGTGAAGGTTGGCAACTCTTAAGTACAGTACAAAAGGTTTGCAGCATTCATGCTAATAATTACACAAGCTGTTGAGGCTTTTTGCTGAAGGGTGTATTGTCAAAAATATCAAATTTAGACAAAAGCAGAAGCTACAGATGTGAGTGGAGCTGGAATCCCTGAGTGCCTTTGTTTTTATCCATAGAAAGAAGCCACCTCGTGAGGTCTAAATGTTAATAAAGCATTCATACCCTTTGGGGCCTTTGGGGAGCTCTAAACAGGAAAACACTTGGAGAATTGCCATCAAATTGTTGCTGCTATTGTCTCTACTGTCGCTTACCAGGGTTGTCCTGACAATGTAGAATCTATTATTTTTATATTCTTTCTTAGTCAAATAGATTTCTTTTCTCATGATTTGTATAGGCCAGTTTTAGAACACTTAATCTAAAAATGTGTCTTCTTAACTGTAGAAAAAGGTAAACTTTAATCCATTATCCTTCTATCTTTTCTTTAAGGATGCAATCATTTGCTTTCCTTTCTTCTTTTGTTTGTCACAGAAGGCCGAATTCCTTGCAGTGTGAAACTGCCTTGTACCACCCATGCCCATGAATTACCAATTATCCCCACCTGTAAACCATACTCCAAGCAAATAAGGTGGCCATGGCTTATTAGGAGTCATTCAATATCTGTGCTCATTAAATATTGACCATAGGCTGAATTAATAAGATTCCATTTACTTTGTACCAAACCTTTTCAACTACAAGTAGATTTAGTGTCCAATAATACACAAATATACTTATAAGTGTATTTAGATTCCTAATGTAGTATAGGTTTATAGACATATTTGAGATATAAAACCAACACGTTTATCTCACAATCCTACCTTTTCTCCACCCGTTAGATAAATACCATTGTAAGCCTAGAGAAGGCTAGAACTATAAGCAGAGAGTTGCTCATCTTTGAATCGTAATTAAGGTTTTTGAGCCAACTGGATAATAATAATTTTTCCGAAATGTGTCATTTGGAGAGAAAAATGGTCTTTTTAAATTTCAAAGTCTTCAAGAACAAAGTTTGCCATAAGTAATTATTTAAAGAATTTGAATACAAGGACTATTTCTTCCCCACAGAAAGGAGTGTGAAGTCCTTGTACGTCCTGAAAGATAAGCCCAAATGACAGGTTTGCAGGGAAAATACCAGGTGACGACTCTGCCTGAATTGATATAAAGGGTCTTAGCACAAGCCAACATTCCAACCCCGATACCTGTAGCATTTCATATAGATTGAAAGTGAAACCTAAAGTACAGAAAGTATGTCCCATTTCCTCTTTGGAGTCCATGACGCATAACAAAGCAGCTGCATTAGGACAGAAGTGATGATAGGACGTGCTTAGGCAGGAATAACATCAGAGACAAGGGTCTGCATCCAAATGGATTGCACATGGCATGAAATAGACCCACAGATTCTTGTGTCACCATGAAGTAGCTAAGAATTGAATGAGTGGTCCTGCTAGAGTTCAGCTGAGGGCTGAGGAGAGGTGTCCCTGCAGCAAAGGCACCCCTTTGAGGGCTGGGGAGATCTAAGCCATAGTCAGGGAAAGAACACACTGGAGTCTCTGGTTTTAGCAGCACCTGAGGGGTGCGAATAGGAGCATGTAGTCACCGAGGCAGAGTGTCACCCGAGTGGACTCAAGAGAGTGACTGCTTGAGTGAAGATACAGCATCCTTGGTATTAGCTGTGTGACTTTGAGCAAGCTTGTCAACCTCACTAGGCTTCCATTCCATCATCTATATGAGGTTATTAAGGGTGTCTTTTTTAGGACTGTTATTAAACTAAATGGATTGTAACTATAATGTACTTAGTACAGTACCTAGTAAGCACTATATGTGAGCTTGCTAAATAAGTAAAGTCAGAAGGGGTTAATGGCTCAGCTCCCTGTAAGTAATCATGGTGTGTTGCTACTTCCAACAGAACAGACGCTCAATTACAGTAGCCACAGGCTCTTTCTCAGTGGATGCTTACAGGACAGAGGCCAATGCCCAAAGCAAGGTGGGATGACATTTCCTCACCACTGATTATGAAGGGGAGACAGCAGGTAACAATGTATAGGCCAGATACCCTTCAATGTCACTATGATTTTGTTTAAACTTTTCACTACAATGTGATTTCACTCAAGGGAGGTAGGACAGAAACCTGTTTGAAATAAATCATTAAAGAATGAGAGCATTTATTTTAAAAAAATAATAAAAACAAGTTTTCACACCTTTTTTTTACTCTACCGAGGGCATTTGTGAACAAAACACGAAATGAGATTATTTTAAAACTTTAAAAAATTAATTTATACTTTCTTTCAATTATATATAGTACATTTTAGTCAATGTGTTAAATTCACACTCCAGAAGAACAGCTTTTTATCTTGGAATTTTAAAAAATCAGTGGATATATTTCTTTGAAACGTCTGCAATTACTAGTTTATTAGTATCATCCAGGACTCAGATGTTCACTAATCCTCCTGAAATTACATAAACAAATGCAAATGGAAAGAATCCAAGTCAAAATAATATAACAAAACAGCACTTCCTCACAAAAGCGTATAAAATTACAAGAACGCTATTTTAAAATACGGACACTTTAAGAAAACAATAATCTCAAAAAACACAAAATTGCCAAATTGTTTTCTAAACTGCAAAGTAGATAAACATGACTAATGAATAAGTTTGGGTTTTGTAAAAAAAATTATTCAAATACATTGAGTAATTAATACTGAGATGCAAAGTTTGTCTTCTTTTCTCCTATTTGATTTATAAGGGGGCAAACCATAATATAGGAAAATATACTCTATTTCAAATGCAGTATCTTCATTTTAAAGCTGCCCCAATTAATTAAAAATACTTATAATGGAGAGTCCCAGCTTCCTGAGCAGTCCATATTTAGATAAATGGGAAAAGACAACTACAGCCAGTATATTCATAGTCTTCACTGAGACTAATGTCAACAAAATATTTAATATGGCAGTCTTCTATTTTAAGCTCACACTTTTGGTGATACAATCTCAGGTCTTCTTTAACACTGGAATTGCAAAATATAACTGCTATTACATATAAATATTAGTACATACTTTTCTATTAGTCCTTCAAGGACAGATTTTAAATGTTTGATTCTAATATTCCCATGCCGTGAGTAGATTGGTTACTCTTCAGTTTGTAAATATAAGTGGGCCATGTAAAATTTGTTATCAACTGATAAGGATTTGATCCACCCATTTAGTTATGGATGTAAACTGCCTCAATGTAACTATTTACCCCTCATCATGATATGCAGAGTATGTACACAAAAGCTTTTTATCAGCTAACTATATGAAAGGATAAACACAGTAATAATTCATTTGCTCCTAAATGAGCAAAAGCAAAAGACTAGCTTCCCCTCAGGAAAAAAAATTTCAGACTTATGAAAAGGACAACAATACTAAAAAAATTGTATTTACTTAGAAGCATTTAGAACGTCAACAAAACAGCTGCGTTTTTTTTTTTTTTTTTTTTTGGAATCACCGGGTGGTATTTAGTTAACAGAACAACAATTATTTCATATATGCCACATCAAAGACAACTGATGAAAGATGAAAAAACCACCATGTCCATATGTAACTAATTTGTGCTGCACGTTAACAAGAACCTGCTTTGAATTTCCACGCCAATTTACAACCCCCATACTACACTAGGCAAGGTTAGTGGCTATTGAAAATACCATCAGGACAGGGCTATATAAAGACATATTTGGTAGTGTGCTAACTATACAAAAAAAGACATTTTACCGTTTAAAAACAAAACTTACACAGCCTTACATTTCAATTTTCTTCTTTAAAGGGAATGAGTTGTGTACAGGGGGGTTAATTGCTTTATAGACAAGAAAAAAAACTGTGCTAGAACCAACTTATCCATCATCATCATCTTCTTCTTCATCTTTCTTCTCCTCATCCTCTTCATTTTCCTCATTTTCCTCTTCTTCCTTCTTTTTCTTGGGTTTTTCAGCCTTGACGACTCCCTTTTTGCTGCACCAGGTTTTCCTTTAGCTCAGTATGAAGGGATATCCTTTTGTATTTTTCCTTCAGCTTTGCAGCCTTCTTTTCATAGGGCTGCTTGTCATCTGCTATAGTGTTATTCCTCTTCTCCCAGGTTCGTCACAACATCACCAATGGATAGGCCAGGATATTCTCCTGTGATTCTTGGGTGATTCTCAGAACAGAACAAGAAAAAGGCTGAAGAAGCCCTCTTGGGTGTGATGGGATACTTGACCTTCTTTTTTGTCTCTCCACTGGGATTCTCCTTTATAATGGGCTTTGTACGCCTTTGCCATGTCTTCTAGTTTTTCTTTCTTGCTGGAAAACATGGTCTTCCACCTCTCTGAAGTTGATTGAAACATGTGGGTGCTTCCCTTTTTGCTCCTCCCAAGTTTGCACAGAGAATACATATGATGACATTTTGTCTCTCGGCTTCTCAGGATCTCTTTTGCCCATGTTTAGTTATTCTCCCTCTGTGAGGCACAGAGTCGCAGAGTGCCCATCCAGCTCTCACTTGCCCCAGTGCTGTCTCTATGGAGCTCAATGTACTGCAATGGCTGAATCAATGGAAAGTAAAAATCCTATCATGAGTCATATCATTTCAAAGTTTTTTGGGTTTTGCCCTTTTTATTTTGATACAGTGATCTTGATTCCAGAAATATTTGATAATCATATTTCGGATCTATTGCTTCACCCTTGCCCTGACTTCTATCAAACAAGTTGACCTAAATCTGTTTTGTGATTTCTCACTTTACTTTCAAACTGAATACTGAATCACCAATAATATCAGAAACTCTTCTCTTTATGAAAGGAAGGGGAGACAACGTAATATTTATGACACCATGAGTGTCATTTACCTAAGGTGTTTTATATTTTTACATCAACTAAGACAATTAAAGTCTCATCTAATTGTCCATACTTAGCTCTTAGATCATTTGACTCAATATTGATGGAATAATCTGGTATTATATAAGTTTCCCTAGAATATGTTATTAAAACCAATATAAAGTATGGAATATCAATTTTGATTTTACAGTCTCTACAAGCCTTAAATGCTTCTGTTTTAGAATATTTTATTAATTGAACATAATTTTTAAAATTATGTCAGGAAAATAAAGTTTTTGTATCTGCTTAAACACATAAATTAATGTGAAACAAATAATTTTATATTAGTTTAATTTTAGTAAAAACACAAATTAATAAGCCCATATTTACATTATCAACAATGTCAATAATCTTTTTGAAATAATATATTAAATTATTATAGCAATTCCTGTTAGGAAGAATAGAATATTATTTGTTTTTAACCCATAATATATATGAATCTCCACCAAAAATAACTTACTAAAAACCAGCAAATAAATAATAATCATAATAGAGAATAACTATTCTTTTAAAAGGTATTTTTTTGCATAATGTGTATAATTTTCACTGTATTTGCACATATTTGACTCACTTTTCTTCCATTCATAATCCTTTAAATAGATAAGACAGATAATAAGAGAATATAGCAGATAAAGAATGATTTAGTAACTTTTGTCCAAGGTCATCCAGAAAATTAATGACAGAGACAAGTATAGAACAAAAATAATTGAAATAACGTAACATACATATAAATGGTTAGACGATAGTTATGCAAGAAAACTATGAAAAAGCAAGCAGAGAGCTTTTAACCCCAGTTTATGCAGCAGGCACATTTGATTGTGAATCTCAATAATGAACCAAAAGGACGAAAGCAGACTGTAAGACCATATATACCTGTATAAAACAGGCTGATTTCTCACTCTTTTTATTGCAGCAGTGGCAAATATTCTCAGGAGATGTAGTCTTTTTGTTTAAGAAATTTTGTAGAAATTTAGAAATTAGCAGAAAACACTCATATTCAAAGAAATTTCTCATATTGTAGAAATTAGCAGAAAACACTCATATTCAAAGAAAACATTTTGAGAGTCTCACCTGCAGAGTTCAACAGGATGGAGAACAAGACTATGAACAACTAACCAGAAAAAAAAAATGTAGTATCTGAAATCTGTGTAATACAACAGATAAGTTATCTATGTTAAAACACAGCATTTAGACTAATCCAAAAACTTTTCCACAATACAAGGGTTTATCAGGGTCAGGACAAGTGATCTGCAGGGTCAAGATATGTGGTCCCATGGAGATGACGGCCATCTTATAGACTATGTTCTGAGTATCTGGAATCCTTAAGCCTCCACTCAACGGGCCCTGTTCATTGATCTGCTTTCAGGACTTGTGCCTCTTTCCCAGGATCATCCTCCAGAGGGTAGACCTCTAAGACCCAAAGGATGCTCAGAAGATGTCCTTTTATCTGGAGAGGGGTATTGGATAAACTAGGATGTTCACATGTGACTGCTTGAGGGTTTTCACCATGTAGAAGGGAATCAAAGGTATAAAAGAACCTCTTTGAGTTGTCAGGTTTCAGCATGAAACTGAAAAAACTACGAGGCTTTCTCTCTTCAATCTGTCTTCCAGGTCATTATGAAGGTATATTTTCAAGGTAAAAGGCTAGATATATTGCATTGAATCATTTTTTTTACCTTGATTTAAAACTTTTAAATATTTGGACATGAGGTATACAGCCCTCCCTTTATATTATTAACCCAGGCTCCATGAATATCAGGTATAGCTAGCTCTGCAGGCTTGTAGTTATTATACATCTAATTACAGGTTAATGTCAATTCTTCCATTTTGATGGAAGTGCTATTATTAATTCCCTATGCCTCTGTCTTGTTACAAGACCATGATTATTTCCCAATTGTCCTATGGCACCTGGTTAGACTGAGATCACCCAATCCTTATCTCATCCTCCAACCTCAGGCCTCTTACCTTGCTGGCTAAATACGTTTAATTAAAATTAATTAACATAAATTTTCATAATAGCATTCTGTAACTAAAAACAACAGTATGATTCCCTCTTGATTATAGGATTGCCTTCGAAATGTTTAATGTGGCACAAAAAGACATACTTCAAAGTCTCATATTTGCCCATTATCTATGGTCTCTTGACTTCTGTATCTTTGCAAGTATTGCTCCTTCTATCTGGAAACTGTTTCCTATTTTCTCAGCTTGAATAATGCTGACTCACCCTTCAAGATTCAACTCATGCTTCATCTCCTCTGTGAAGTTTTTTCTGTGTCCCTCAGACAGAGTTAGGTGCTCCTTCTTTGTGCTCCCACCCATGCATATTTCCATCATTGCTTACTGTTGTTACCGATTTTTTTTTCTGTCAATCATAGAATATAAGCAATTTAAGATTAGTGGCTGTGCCGTTTTACTTTATTTGTGAAATCATTGTACAAACATTTGTTCAGCTCTGCTCTAATCCATATACTGTGCAAATCATGAGCTATTTAGTGAGAAAATACACAGGCCTTGTCACTGAGAATGCAACAGTAAAACATGCTTACAGTCTCTAGGCACTGTGAGTGATGTGGGCTTAGATGGAGTTACATACAGATTGTCATAGCAGCTCAAAGAAAGTCTACCTATTTTTTTCCCCCAGGGGAGGAGGCATCCTGCAGAAAGGGGTCTAGGCTGAGACCTGTGTAGGATGAATGTCTGATAGACACATGCTTGGTACATACCATGCTTGGTAAATAACATGCAAATAACACACCCTTTGTAATCACTGCATTTACATTCATCCAAGAACAAGACAAATCTGCTGTGTTCTCCCATGGGCAGCAGAAGTTATAAAAGCAAACACGGTAGAACCAGAAGGATGAAAGAAATACTGATCAGAATTAGGACAAAGCCACGTTCCAGCCACTCTAGGCTGAGAAAGCATGGTCAGGAGAGCCAAAATAGCTGATTGAGAAAACATATAGACCATTTATCTCAGCATTCTACATATCTATATCATACATATATTATACAATTCACAGCCTATTTTAGTTTAAAGAAGGTAAAGACTTTAATTTTTGGTTCACAGGAATGGCAGTTCATCCTTGTCTCTGGAATGGGATGAAAAATGATGCTAGAAAAAATAATGTAAAAAGACAGTAATTACAATTATTGTAATTAAAATTAATGTAAATGTAATATACACAGATTTATAATAACTGAATAGGACTATTTAAAATTCTGTATGATGGGTTCAGGTTTTCTCTACTCTTTATTGATTAAGTTTATAATATAATGTCTCAATTTAAAAATCAGCTATTGTTAACAGGTGGATATTTACCTGTAAAAACTAACAAACGTACGCAGTCAGTGTTTTTTAAGAGTAAGAAAATGAGTAAATACAACCTTTTACTGAAAGAAGCAAAAAATATGGCTATTCCAGTTTATATGTGTAACACCTAACATGGTCTCCTTCCTTTCCAAGCAAATCACAATTTGGAAATTTATAAAATAGCCTCTGGCACATCCTTGAACAAATATAATTTGATCTATAACAAATCATACCACGAGAATAAGACTTTGTCTACATGACCACTGCTGATTTCAGTAATGACATTTCCCAAAGCAATCTTAAAAGTAGTTTTACTAGTGGATCATACCTGAATATACTAGATTTAACAAGTCAGCTTAGACCATGGTACTTCAGGCCACAGAATACACTTAACTCAAACATTTTGTTAATATAATTTACTAAAGATGGTTGACAAAATAAAAAAACAGTTTTCAATCTATTTAATGAACCTTTCTGAATACATGTGGTTGAAGAATTAATCTTACATTTATTTGAAAATATTATTAAAATTATTTTTGATATTTTGTTAAATATTATTCACATTGAACATAAAGTATATTTGGTGTATCTGGTCAAATAAAAGAGTACATGTGTATAAGTTTTGAAAAATATATACTGAATTGTTACAATGTTCCCTTTATCGTTAGATGTATAAGCTGACCCCCACCAAAAATCTTAACAATAATAAACTTTATAGCAGAAAACTACACAGCTTGAGTACATAATAAACTGGACACTGAATTATACATTTGTATTCTTCAATAAATATACTGCAATTAATAGAAGGAGAGAGATGGAACAACATGCTATAATATAAAAGATTTATAAGATGCATCAAGCAGTCACAAATGTGACTTTATATGAATCTTAATTTAAACAAATAGTTTACAACGAAATTCAACATCTTTTCAAAGTAAAAACTCAACAAATTAGGTATATTAGAAATATACCTCATGAAGGACTAATATGACAAGCTCACAGCTAACATTATGCAGAAAAACAATGAAAAACTCAGAGTTTTTCTTCTAAGATCAGCAACAAGACAAGATTGCCCATCTTACCACTTCTATTAAACATAGTTCTGGAAGCACTATCCAGAACAATTAGTTAAGAAAAAAGGAATAAACCGCATATAAATCATAGAGGATGAAATTAAACTTTCTCTGTTTGCAGACATGATTGTAAATATAGAAAACCCTGAAGAATCTGTCTAAAATCTGTTAGAAATAATAAAAAAATTTAGTAGAGTTGCAGGATACAAAATAAAAATACAAAAATTCATTGTTTTTATATGCTAACAATGAATTATCCAAAAAATAAATTAAGAAACAATCCCATTCACAATATATCAAAAAGAATAAATACTTAGGAATAAATTTAACCAAGCAGATAAAAAATCTGTAGACTTACAACTAAAAGACGTTGATAAAAGAAATTGAGGAAAACACAAATAAATAAAACATTCCATGTTCATAGATTGCAATAGTTAATATTGTTAAAATATCCATACTATCTAAAAGTTATCTACTAATTCAATTTAATATCTATGAAAATTCCAGTGGCATTTTTCACAGAAATAGAAAGAAGTCTTCAAAGTCTTCAAATTTTAATGAAGTCATGAGTAGCTAATGCAATTTTGAGCAACAACAAACCTGGAGGCACCATATTTCTAATTTCAAACTATGTTACAAAGCTCTTGTAGTCAAAACAGTGTGGTACTGGCATTAAAGTAGACACACAGACCAGTAAGAAAAAGATAGAGAGCCCAGAAATAAACCCATGCATATTCAGTCAACAAATCATTGACGAGAATGCCAGAAATGCATTATGGAGAAAGGGTAGTGTTGGGAAAACTGGATATCCACATGGAAAAGAATAAAATTATATTAGAAAACATTAACAACATTATATTGCTCAAAAATTAACTTGACGTGGATTAAGTCTTAATTGTAAGACCTGAAACAGAAAACTCCTAGAAGAAAACATAGGGAAAGTATTCTTTGATACTGACTTTGACAATGAATTTTTTGGTATGACACCATAAGTACAGGCAAGAAAAGCAAAAATCAGTGGGACTACATTAAACTAAAAACTTCTGCACAGCAAAAGAAATGATCAACAAAATGAAAAGGCAATTTTAAAAATGTGAGAAACTATTTGCAAAAAACATATCTGATAAAGGATTAATATTCGGAATCTATAAGGAGATTGTACAACATAATAGCAGAAAAAAGATAAAAACGAAGAAAAATCCACCTAATTTAAAAAAATGGGCACAAACCTTGAATGGACATTTTTCAAAAGAAGACTCTCAAATAGCCAAGAGGAATATGTAATATGTATGAATATATATGAATATCACTATTCATCAGGGAAATGTAAATCAAAAGCATAATGAGATATCACCTCAAATGGGTCAGAATGGCTATAAATAAACAGACAAAAGATAACAAGTGTTGGCAAGGATATGGAGAACAATAGATCCTTGCACACCATTAGTGGGAATGTAAACTGGTACACCCATTATAGAAAACAGTAGAAAGATTCCTCAAGAAATTAAAATTATAACCACCACGTAATTCTTTAATTTCACTTCTGAGTATACATCCAAAATAAATGACATCAGTATCTCAAAGAGATAGCTGCACCCGAATGCGTACCACAGTTTTTTCGAAATATCCAAAATATGCAGTCTGTCCATTGACATATAAATGGATTGAAAAAAATGTGGTATGTTTGTATATGTGTGTGTGTACATGTGTGGAATATTATTCAACTATAAAAAGAAGGAAACCCTACCATTTTTTACAAGATGGTTGAACCTGGAGGATATCAGGCTAAGTGAAACAAGCCAGATGTGGAAAGACAAATATTGTATAGCCTTCCTTATATGTGGACTCTAAAAATGTCACACTCATAGAAACACTAAGTTGTAGAAGCAAGTTTGCCAGGGGCAAGGGATGGAGGTGGTGGAATTAAGGAGATGTCAGTAAAAGAATACACACATTCAGTTATAAAATGAGTAGATTTGGGGGATCTTATGTACAACATGATGACCCTAGTTAATAATACAGTATTGTTTAATTGAATTTTCCTAAGAGAGTAATGAATGTTAAGTGTCCTCACCACACCATACACACACACACACACACACACACACACACACACACACAATTAATGGTCATAAATGTGTTAATTTAGTAATCATTATATTGTGTATACCTATATCAAATAATTGTATAAACCTTGAATATAAATAATTTTTGTCAATTATTTTTCTCAATAAAACTGGAAAAAGAGACAAAAGAAAACAAATACAAATAATCTTTAAAACATTATGAAATTTATTAAATATAGTCATGCCTCAGTATACATGAGAGATTGGTTCTAAGACCCAACATGGATACTAAAATGCACAGATGCTCAAGTCCTTTATGTAATGTTACATAGTATTTTAATATAACCTATACATAGCCTCCTGCATAATTTAAGTCACTTCCAGATTGCTTATGATATCTAATACAATGTAAATACTATGTAAATTGTAAATTCATTGCTTAGGTAGTAATAATAAAAAAGAAGTTTGTATATGTTTAGTAAAGAGGCAACCATCATTTAAAAAAGTATTTCAATTCATGGTTGGTTGAATCCACAGATATGGGACCCATGGATATGGAGGGTCAACTGCAATCAGAAATTTTAATACTAAACCTGATAGTCAATACTATTCAAATTTGTCAGGGAACAACAGGTGCTGGAGAGGATGTGGAGAAATAGGAACACTTTTACACTGTTGGTGGGACTGTAAACTAGTTCAACCACTGTGGAAGTCAGTGTGGCAATTCTTCAGGGATCTAGAACTAGAAATACCATTTGACCCAGCCATCCCATTACTGGGTATATACCCAAAGGATTATAAATCACGCTGCTATAAAGACACATGCACACGTTTGTTTATTGTGGCACTATTCACAATAACACAGACTTGGAACCAACCCAAATGTCCAACAATGATAGACTGGATTAAGAAAATGTGGCACATATACACCATGGAATACTATGCAGCCATAAAAAATGATGAGTTCATGTCCTTTATAGGGACATGGATGAAGCTGGAAACCATCATTCTCAGCAAACTATCTCAAGGACAAAAAACCAAACACCGCATGTTCTCCCTCATAGGTGGGAATTGAACAATGAGAACACATGGACACAGGAAGAGGAACATCACACACTGGGGCCTGTTGTGGGGTGGGGGGAGGGGGGAGGGATAGCATTAGGAGATATACCTAATGTAAATGATGAGTTAATGGGTGCAGCACACCAACATGGCACATGTATACATATGTAACAAACCTGCACGTTGTGCACATGTACCCTAAAACTTAAAATATAATAAAAAAAATATTTAGATCTGATAATGATATTGTGAACACATCATAAAAATAGAGCCCTTATATTTTAGAGATAAACAAGAAATACTGAAAAATTATAGTTTGGGATTCGTTTCAAAATAATATGGAAGGAGGATATCAGATAATATTGATTATGAGTTGATAATTTTTGAAGGTAGGTAATGAGTTCATAGAAGCTCCCTAATATATTATGTATAGTTTTATAAGTTTGAAATATTCCCTCACAAAGCAGAAAAAAAAAAGAAAAGATATTGCCATAATACAGATTGTCTATGAAATAACAATGCAGAATTATAATAAAATTGTAGGTATTCTTATTTTACTCTAATCAAAAGAAAAAAATAAACAATGTTTAACTTGATTTGTTTTTTTCACCAAAATAAAAAAAGAGAAGCAAATGAAAATTCAAAATAATAGCTCTAATTTATTTGGTTTGTTTAATGTGTTTTGTAATATATTCAGCGTGGAAACCAAGTTATCTTATTTTATTTTTATAACAACCCTACAGTAGATGCTAGTAGCCTCATTTTATACATAGAGAAACTGAGGTTCAGAGATTAGAAAAACCAGGGTTAACCAAATATTTTCAGTTGTAAAGTCAGGAATTTTATCTCATGACATGATATCATGATATTTGACAAGATATTTTGATTTGAAAGTGCCTGTCTTTCACTGATCATATAATTAAAATACACAAACCATGAAACGAACACTTGCAAAATCAATTAGGAAGATAAAATATATCTATTTGGATTTAATTAGAAAGTTAAAAACTGTAGGACTTTCAACCAAAGATTTAATATAGAAAATTAAGTACTTTCAAAATTATTGAGAATGCTGTAGACACAAAATTCAAGTCTACCACTGAACTATCCATTTCAAGGGCACTCAAGCATAGCTGGTGTTGTAGTCTAAATGACAGCCTATCAAAGTTGTCGACATCCTAATACCTGGAACTTGTTAGTAAGTTATTTTATATGTTAAAAGGGACTTTGCTAATTTGATTAAGTTAAGGTAGACTATCCTGGATTATCAGAATTGATCCAATATTATCACAAGAGTCCTTATAAACGAAAAGAAGGAAGGTCAGAATTAGAAAAGGTATTGCAGTGATAGGACATTTTAGTTCTACATTCATTGCATGGTGACAATGCAATGTAAAACTAAAAGGAATGTGGGCAGTCTCCTTAGGAGGTAGAAAAGGCAAGGAAATAGATTCTCCCCTAGAGCCTCCAGCATGAATGTAGTACTGCTGATCCATTCTGGATTTCTTACCTACAAAACTATGAGATAATAAATTTATGATTTTTTTTTTGAGCTGGAGTCATCCAGGCTAGAGTGCAGTGCTGCAATCTTGGCTCACTGCAACCTCCACATCCCGGGTTCAAGCAATTCTCCTGCCTCAGCCTCCCGAATAGCTGGGATTACAGGTGTCCGCCACCACGCACAACTAATTTTTGTATTTTTAATAGAGACGGTGTTTCACCATCTTGGCCAGGCTGGTCTCGAACTCTTGACCTCATGATCCACCCACCTTGGCCTCCAAAAATGCTGGGATTACAGACGTGAGCCACTGCACCTGGCCCATGTTGTTTTTAAGACACTAATTATGGGGCAAGTTGTCAAAGCAGAAATAAGAAACTAATACAACTGCGAACCATATGCTGCTTCTACCTGCTCCCACTGCCACTGCCACTGGCAGCCAAAAGCTGGTGATTGCCCTGGAATCTTGAGCCTGGCCTCCACAAGAACATCGCTTTGAATTTTGATGCTAGCAGCAATAGCAGCAAGCAGATGAGCTCTTTCTGAATTTGACCATCCAAATAATTCACGTCCAGTACTCTAATTGCAATGGATAGTAGGATCTTAGTTGTAAACTTTCTAATTACTTTGATACATCAAGTTACAAACAATGACGAATGGTTAAACGTACAAATCAATAAAGGTGAAACACCACATTAGCAGAATGAAAGACAAAAACCATATGATCTCAATAGATGTAGAAAACACATTTGATAAAATTCAACATCCCTGCATAATAAAAACTTGCAACAATGTAGGTATAAAATGAATGTATGTCAACACAATAAAGATCATATATGACAAACCCACTGTTAATATTATACTAAACAGGGAAATGTTTAAAGCTTTTTTCCTAAGAACTGGAATGAGAAAAGGATGCTCACTTTGATCACTCTTACTCAACATAGTACTGTAAGTACTAGTTAGATTAATTAGGCAAGAGAAAGAAATAAAGGACATTCAAATTTGAAAAAGAGGAAGTCAAAATGCCTGTGTTTCCATGACATAATCTTATATAGAGAAAAACCTAACAACTCCAGCGACAACAGAAACCCCTTAGAACTGATCAACAAATTCAGTAAAGCTGCATAATACAAAATCAACATATACACATTAGTAACATTATTATACATCAACAATGAACTAGCTGAAAATCTCATTTATAATAGCTACAAAAAATAAATAAAACAAAATACCTAGGAGTAAATATAACCAAGGAGGTAAACATTTCTACAATTAAAATTACAAAACATTGATGAAAGAAATTGAAGGGAACACACAAAATTGAAAAGACATCCCGTATTCATGGTTTGAAGAATGAATGTTGTTAAATTGTCCATACTATTCAAACCAATCTACAGATAAAATGCAATGCATATCAAATTACAAATGTCATTCTTCAAAGAAATAAAAAATCTGGAGATCTATATAAAGCCACAAAAGACATTGGATAGCCAAGGAAACATCCCATGTTCCCCATAAATATATACACCTAACCATGTACCCACAATTTGTTTAAACACAAAATTAAAATTTAAAAAATGCTTATTAAAAAAGAAATTCCGAGCAAAAAGAACAAAGCTGAAGGCATCACGCTACCTGACTTATGAAATACTATAGTCATAGAAACAAAAATATCACAGTAGTGGCATAGAAACAGACACCAGTAGAACAGAGTAGAGAACCCCAAAATAATTCCACATATTTACATCCAATTGATTTTTGACAAAATTGCCAAGAAAATATATTGAGGAAAGACACTCTTCAATAACTTGTGCTGGTAAAATTGCATATCCATATGCAGAAGAATGAAACTAGACCCCTCTTGCTCATCACATAAAAAAATTAAAATGAATTAAAGGCCAGGTGTGGTTGGTTAAACTTATAATCCCTGCACTTTGGGAGGCCAAGTAGGGGTAGATTTCTTGAGCTCAGGAGTTCAAGAACAGCCTGGTCAACATGGCAAAACTCCCTCTCTACAAAAAAATATAAAAATTAGCTATATATGGTGGTGCACGCCTGCAGTCCCAGGTACTCGTGAGGTTGGGGTGAGAGGACTGCTTGAGCCCAAGGAGGTAGAGGCTGTAGAGATCCATGATTGTGCCACTGCACTGCAGCCTGGGCAACAGAATGCACCCTGTCTCAAAAAAAAAAAAAAAAAATGAGTTAAAGACTTCAATCTAAGACCTCAAACTATGAAACTACTAAGTAAAAATACTGGAGAAACTCTCTGGGACATTGATCTTGGCAAAGATTTTTCTTGTGTAATAGCCCAAAAGCACAGACAACCAAAGCAAAAATGGAGAAATGTACAGCTAGAAAGCTAGAAGCTAGAAAGCTTCTGTACAGCAAAGGAAACAATAAAAAAGTGAAGTGATAACCCCCAGAATGGGAGAAAATACTTGCAAACTCTCCATCTGACAAGTGTTTAGCAACCAGAATACATAAAGGAACTGAAACAACTCAATAGGAAAAAATGTAATAATATAATTAAAGAATAGACAAAATATATAAATAGACATTCCTCAAAAGAACACATACAAATGGCAATCAGGCATATGAAAATGTGCTTAACATCACTGATTATTAGAGAAATGCAAATTAAAACTATACTGAGATTTTACATTACCCCCGTTAAAATGGCTTTTATCCAAAAGACAGGCAGTAACAAATGCTGGCAAAGATGTGAAAAACAGAGAACTCTCATACACTGTTGGTGGGAATGTAAATTAGTACAGCCACTACGGAGAACAGTAGGAAGGTTCCTCTAAAAAGTAAAGATAGAACTCTTATATAATCCAGCAATCCCACTGCTAGGAATTTACCCAAAAGAAAGGAAGAAAGGAAATCAATGTATCGAAGAGATCCACACTCCCTAGTTTATTGCAGCAGTGTTCACAACAGCCAAGATTTGCAAACAGCTTAAGTGTCCATCAACAGATAAATGGATAAAGAAAATGTTATACACACACACACACACAGACACACACACACACACACACAAAGGAGTACTCCTCTTCCACAAAAATGAATTGTATCTGCTCGTTTGCAACAATATAAAGGACATTATATTACATGAAAAAAGCCAGGCACAGAAAGACAAACTTCACATGTTCTCACTCATTTGCAGTAGCTAAAAATTAAAAGAATTGAGCTTATGAAAATGGAGATTAGAATGATGATTACCAGAGGCTGAGATGGGTACTGGTGAGTAGTAGGTAAGAGGAAATAATGGATAGAAAAATATAATTAGAAAGAATGAATAAAATATAGTATTTGATAGCACAGAGGGTGACTATAGTCAACAATAATATATACTACATTTTAAAATAACTAAAAGAGTAGAACTGGAATATTTGTAGAACAAAGAAATGATAAATGCTTGAGGTGATGGATACCTGATTTACCTTGATGTGATTTTTACACATTGTATGCCTGTATCAAAATATCTCATGTAGCTTATACGTATATGCAGCTATTATTTTCAAAAAATACATAAAACAACACATTTAAAATAATAGTAAAATAAAAGTCCATAAAAATGGTGCTGGGAAAACTAGATATGCATATGCAGAAGAAGGAACCAGACTTTTACTCTCACTGCACAAAAATCCACTCAAAGTGGATGAAAAACTTAAATGTGAGACCCGTAACTATAAAACTACCAGAAAAAAGAGTAGGAGAAATGGTTTGGGACATTTCTCTGAGTGAAGATTTATGGGTGAGGCCTCAAAACCATGTGAAACAAAACCAAAAGTAGACAAATAAGATTATATCAAACTAAAAAGTTCTGCATAGCAAAGAAAAGCATCAACACAGTAAAGCAACAACCTGCAGAATGGGAGAAAATATTTGCAAATGATTAATGTGACAAAAGATTAATATCCAGAATACACAAAAAACTTAATAGCCAAATAACAACCAATCCAATTAAAACTCTGTAATTTAACTGAATAGACATTTCTGAAAACAAGATATATACTTAGCAATCAGGTATATGAAAAAATGCTCAACATCACAATGAAATACTTTTCAGCCATAGAAAAGAATTAAATCCTGTCACTCATGGCAACACAAATGAGCAGGACATTTTGTTAAATGAAACAAGCCAGGCATAGGAAAAGAAATACCGCATGTTGTCATTCATATGTGGAAGCTAAAAACATTTGTCTCATACATGTAGAGAGTAGATTCGTGGTTTACTAGAAGCTGAGAAGGGGAGGGTAAGGGGCGGTTAGTGAGAGGTTGCTAGATAGATACAAAATACATCCAGACAGAAGGAATAATGTATAATATAATTTATATTTTTCCATAGCGCTTTAGGATCACTATAGTTAAAAATAATTCATCATATTTTTTCAAATAGCTAGAAGAGAGAATTTTGAATGATTCCAACATAAAAAAAAGATAAATATTTGAGGTGATGGATATGCTAATTACACTAATTTTAACATTGTATACATGTATCAAATTATCTGTACCTCATAAATTGTTATGCACAATTATTATGTGTCAATTAAAATAATTTTAAAATGCTGTTTTCTTTGTTTCCTTAGAGTTTAAATTTATCAGACCCTTCTGAATATTTTCTTCCTTGGTAATGACAGGACATTGCGAATGAAGTATGGTTAGGACATATTCTTTTGCATGAGGCCTTTCAACTACCTTGAACTTGGGAATGGCATCAGGTAAAAATTTACGTTACAAAAATCCAAATATGTGAGCCCATGAAAATGAATTATATATAGTAAAGTTGAATTTTTATATATATACTTTATTGTATATGTCCAAAAGCATATATATATATAAACATTTATATTTCACATGATTTTCAAGTGTTTATATATACAATTGTGCATATTATTTGTGGGTGATTTAAAGACTTTAAATTATTATTTTTAATTAATGAAATTTTTTCTCCCTCAAAAAAAGATACGAAAAAGGAAGTGAAAATGGAATGTCAGGTACAAGCCAGCTAGAGTCAATACACACAATTAGTCTATTTAACCAAATGTTACTTAAAACTTGCACAGTTAACTCTTGTAAATAAAACAGATTTCCTTTCATATTTCTATAATTTTAAAAACTGCTAACTAAATATGTTAACATTTAAGCCATTGTTTACAATATATTCTTGAATCTAGTTTTCAAAATCCACATGTTTTGCTTACACTTGAAAAAATTCTTACTTTTTTTGTGTGTTCTTGAAAGTCTGCTTAGCCTGAATTATTGTTCCTTTTTTTATGCAATGGGCAAATTGAACCTGGCTTTCTAAGTGTGATTTGTACAGCTTTTTGCTGTCTGCTCATACTCAAATTTTATAACTTACTCTGTTTTACAATCTACTGTATAAGTTCTAACTTAATGTATTTTCATAGCAAGCTTCAACAAAGAATTTAATAGAGTCTGAGTCTGAGTCATTCCTCCTAGGACTCTAAAATTTAGACAAGTATTAACATTTTAGTGGTATCTTAATGTCAGCATGTAAATATTAATTTATTGACACAATAGTCAATTCATAACAACTTAAATTGCAAGAGATTTCAATGAACATTTTAAAAATTAAAGTGTCTTGGACTTTCTTCAGTTGTGATACATTTTACAATTTGTACATTGTTTTCTCAAAATTAAAGAATACAATTTATGAAATGTGTTTGTTACAATAGCTAAACGTTATAGCTTAATATTACTTCTGGCTTTTTAGTTTAAAAGAAACAAACAAAAAGGCTGTGAATAAACATCAAGCAGACATCTTTTAAATAAAAAATAATCTTGAAGTACAACAGCTGATCTCACAGTGTTACAAATAAGAATTGTATCTCCACCACGATTTGAAAGAAATTTCTGCTTAGCTCTACAAACATGTTTAAGCAAATATTTGAATATTTCTATATTAGAAGCCATCCTTTTTGCTTTGTGTGTTGGAAATAAGAGAAAAATTGTTAGAATACTGTATTACTATATCTGTATTAATTTTGGGTAAAATCACTCCATCAATTACTAAGAATCATTCATTTAATTCTCAGTAGCTAAGCTGGAAGATGAATCACATAGATGACTCAAATATGTAAAACTTTTCAGTCAAGCCTGAAACTACTTCTTATATAGAGTACAAAAAATACCCTTCAAAAGTTGAGGAAACAAAGCAAAAACAACCAAAAAATATTTTCAAGGTAATTTTTTTCTTCTTACGTTGTGTTTCTCTACTTAGTCACTCATACTTCATTAATAAGTTTAGTTTAATTATAAAAATATTGAACTCTGTTAATAATTAGTAACTTTAAAATAAAATAATATTTAATTTTCTTGCAATCTAAACATTCAGCAAAGAGTAATAGATAATGTATAGTAAATATATAAATTTAATAAAATTAAGATTTATTTGCATTTCTCGAGTTATTCAGCCCACTGTGATTCCTAGTTATTACAGACAATGGCCTCTTAATAAACACTTGCAGGCTGATTCTTGCACACAATATGGAGATTTGGGAGCATGGTATCAAGTCACTGGGGTCACAGACACAACCTCTTGAATGATTCCTCTGCCGCTGTCTACTTTATGCCCATAGTGCTGTTTGCATAGTCTTTTATAACTTAAATTTGATCATGTTCGTTTCTAAAAATCACTCCATGGTTAATTTAAGGTTAACATTTCACATTTGCGAATCATACAAAGACAAACTAGACTGCCAGTATCATACCCTGCCTCTTGCCACATGTTTGCTCACGTCTGTTATATTTTATTATGCACCCTGTGCCTGGAAAATGTATTTCTATCCTGCTTGGCTCCTGTGCACCCTTCAACACTTGAGTTGTGTGTTATTTTTTTCTGGGAAGCTTTCCAATTCTCCTCCAGACAGAGTTAGTTGCCCCTGCCCTCTGTTCACAGAAACACCCAGTGGGGCTGGAGGTGAGAAAACTGTGTGCCAGAATAAATCTTACTTTTGAGAAAATATTCATATGGGTCAAGGCTGTCTTGGTATTTTCTAGGCATCTCAGTTCCTCAGAATAGCCCTAGAGGAACAATTTTTTCTCAAGGGTAAGTTGTCTCTTGACTGGTTTCAGTGGCTGTGCTTCAATCTGCATTCCCTATAGAAAACATGAGCCAATGTCTGTTGTCACTGTGGTTGGTGGAAGAGGTGGAATTGAATCTGGAGATGGTCAAGCCAGTGAGTCCCTTCATGAATTGGAAAATGAGACACAAAAAAATTATCACCAATTTTTTTTTTCATTTTTTAAAATTTTGGTTTCCCTCTGGTCTCTTGACTTATGAACTTAGGAGGTTTTGGTTTTTGTAGACCAAGTATATATTTATGGAAATTTTTATATCAACTTTATTTAACCATGTCTGGTTCTTTTTATTTTTACTATTGATTCAAGTTACTATTTGGTGTTATTTACTTATCTCAGTACAGTGTCGATCCCACCTGACTGTGTTGTGTTATTATTGTCAAATATATTACATTGCAATATGTAATTGACACAACAATGCAACTACCTATGTGTTGTTTTAAAATAAATTTAGAAAAAAAGAGAAAATATGCCGTTATACTGTTTTTAATATGTACACGGTTATTTTTACTGGTACTGTTTGTGTGTGAATGTGGATTTTCCTGAGGTAACTTGGTTTCAGCTTTAAAAATGTTCTTCACTGGCCGGGCGCGGTGGCTCACGCCTGTAATCCCAGCACTTTGGGAGGCCGAGGCAGGCGGATCACGAGGTCAGGAGAGCGAGACCATCCTGGCTAACACGGTGAAACCCCGTCTCTACTGAAAATACAAAAAATTAGCCGGGCGTGGTGGCGGGCACCTGTAATGCCAGCTACTTGGGAGGCTGAGGCAGGAGAATGGTGTGAACCCGGGAGGCGGAGCTTGCAGTGAGCAGAGATCGCGCCACTGCACTCCAGCCTGGGCGAAAGAGCGAGACTCTGTCTCAAAAAAAAAAAAAAAAAAAAAAAAATGTTCTTCACTGTTTCTTGTAAAGTAGGACAGCCAGCATTGAATTCTCTCAGCTTTTTTTTTTATCTTGAAAGGTAGCTTTGATAGAGAATTCTTGGTTGACAGTTTTTCCCCCCAGCACTTTAAGCATATTAGTCCACTGCTTTCTTGCCTCTATTGTTTTTGATAAGAAATCAGCTTTTATCTTACTGGGGATTCTTTTCACATGACGAGTTATATCTCTCTTGCTTCTTGCTACTTTCATGTTTCCATTTTTCTTTGGTGTTCCACGTCTTTAATATAATTCATCTAAATGTGGATATATTTTTATTTATCCTACTGGAGACTGTTGTGTTTCTTGATTGTGTAGGTTAATATATTTCATAAAATTTTAGAAGTTTTTACCCATTATTTCTTTAGTTTTTTTCATTCCTATCTCTTTCTCCTCACTTTCTGATATTTGCTACCTATATGTTGTTAATATTCATTACCTACATGATGGTGTGATTAATGGTGTTCCACATTTCTATAGAGTCTCTTTATTTATAAATTATTTTTTCCCTCTGTCTTTGAATTGCATAATTTCAAGTAATCTATTTCAAGTTCACTGGTTATTTCTTGGGCTAGTTTAAATCTATTCTTAAATTCCTTCAGTGAAATTTTTATTTCATTTACTGCACTTTTCAATCCTAGAATCACCATTTGGTTGTTTTCTATAATTTCTCTTTATTAATATTCCCTGTTTGATGAGGCACTGTCATTATAGCTTCTTTTACTTCTTTAAACATAACTTCCTTTAGGCTCTCTAATAATGGCTGTTTTTAATTCTAAAAAAATTAAAATTTTTTAAATTTTTAGTCTCTCAGAAGTTTATATTACCTGCTTTGGCTCAATCTTTGTTGTTTATTTCCATGTCTCAGTTTTTTAGTTGGATATTTGGAGTGATATAACAATTCTGGACAATAATTGTTTTTCCCCGTCTCTGAGGCTTCTTTTGTTACTGTTTGCTGGTTTATTTGTTTAATGACTTAGTTGCACTATGTAAGTGAAGTCTACTTCCCCTGCAATGTGAAGCCTCTGATATTATTACTCAGATAATGCAGCCTTGAGAATGCACACAGTCACCCTAGGATAACACTGGTTTTACCACAGCTTTCTTTGATTGCTTCTTTCTGTCTATCTCCATTGCACAGTCTGCCTGTCTGCCTCCTTTTGTATCATCCTCAACTGTTAGGATTCATGAATTGCTAGCTGATTGCTCTGTCATTTTAAATAATGCTTGGGGAAATAAAATACTTCACAGTCTAATCCAGTGAAATATGAGCAGGAGTAATTTTTGACCTACTCTTGGGAGTTTATTTTGATCTCAGAAGAGCTCTTCTTGGTTGCCCTTTTTCATTGTTTTCTTTGATAAACTAGTTGGTTTATGATTTAGCTGGTTGCTCCCATAGAACTACCAGCCTTCTCTTTTTTGTTTACCCCCACCCCCAAATCTCTATTGTTTTCCGGAATGTCCTTAGGCTTGAAGCTCCTCTCCTTCTGTTTCATGATAGTGTTTTTGGGAAAAACTTTATAGAGCTCTCTGTTCTTATGAATTCCTCTCACCATGGGCATAATCTCTTAGTCATTCCTCCTAGTACTGAAGTGTAAAGCCACTGATCTTCTCCGGTTGCCTCTACCAATGTGGAAACTTCATCCTGTCAGTGAGCTGCTGTCACCCTATTTATTTCTTCATTATTCTTGGCCTGCCACGCCTGGGGTAGAAGCTGGTAGAGGAAGGAAGCACTTGGGTTTTGTTTGCACTCACCAGAAATGTACCCTCTGCAACTCAGGTCTTGGAAGGCCTGTAAATGCTGGAGGCCTACCCAGTGAAATAGCATACTCTTTGGTTGAGAACTGGGACTAATGGGAGAAGGAAATCCATTCTGACAACATCAACTTAATGTAGAAGTCCTGTCATGTTGAGCTTGAGTGTGGGGAGGAAGAAGATGGGTTGGGTCTCAAATGCCATAGACTCTCACTTTTCTTACTGAGATTTAGTAAATTGTCTTGAATGGATGCCTTTTAAAAATGTGCTGTTTTCCTTTAAAACAACCTCAAGAGCTTTTAAATAATTGTTGTGTTTATAATTTTCACCTGTTATGGTTGTTAACATGGAAGTGATCTATGGAGTTCCTCACCGACACATCTGGCTATTATCTTCTTAACTGAAGACGAAGGAAGTAAAAGACAATTATCCAGAGATATAAAAGGAAGCAGACATATAGAAACAGGAAGCAATAGTAAATGAAAAGACATGTCTCTCTTGGGGCCTATGACTTTCCAGTCTTTGGTTTCAGTCAGTGAGACCCAGCTGCATCTTTGCTACCATATTCTGTATGGTATTGAAATATTCTTAGGACATATCACTTTTTGGATAGGATTAATGCAAAAAATAAATCTAATACATTAAAAATATTACCTTAAAATGATGAAAATAATTTAATGCAATGAATTTCTATAAATTAGTATACAGAAATTTATTATAGAAATTGGCTCACATGCCAAGATCGTGCTACTGCACTTCAGCCTGGCGACAAAGCAAGACTCAATCTCAAAAAAAAAAAAAAAATTGGCTCACATAATTATAGAAATAAAAAATCTCATGATCTATCCTCTGTAAGCTGAAGAAACAGGATATAATGTGCTGTAATTCAGTCCAAGTCCAAAAGCCTGATAACTGGGGGCTGATGGTCTAAGTCCTAATCTGCATCTGAACCAGGTGCATCTTTGCTACCATATTCTACATGGCATTGAAGGGCAGAAAGGCAGAAGAAGATGGAAATTTTGGCTCAAGTAGAGAAAGAGAATTCTCCATACTCTCTCTTTTTGTTCTATTTAAACTCTCAGCAGATTGGATGATGCCAAGCCATATTGGAGAGGCCCATCTGCCTTAATCGGTTCACTAATTCATACGCTGCTATCCTTCAGAATCACCCTCACAATCCAACCCAGAAATAACGTTTCACCAGCTATCTAAGGGGCCCAGTCAGATGTTTCTTTTCATCTCCTTGTCACTGTATCATCCATACATATTACCTTAAGCCATGTTTAATCTCTAAATAAACACAATATCAAGGCTATAATTTCAGCTAACATTATATGACTAATCAATATTCAACCAAAAATGCACTAATCCCTTCCCCAGAAGAGTAGGTAAAGTCCTTGGGTGATGTGTGTTCCTCTTCTGATATTCTGTAACTCAAATATTATTACATAAAATTAATACTACCTAATCACTGATATAAAGTCAACACATATTATGTTATATAAGGACATAAGAAAGGAAATAAAACAAACATACTTGCTTAATATATGTATATATATGCAAAAATGTATTTAAAAGAAAATAGAGATAATACTCATGACAATTACTGTCATTGTTTCTGTAAGTGGTCATGTCGTCATACCTGATATTTGTAACTATCTTCTTATACTACCCATCTCTATTCCCTTGCCTTCAGCAACAACCTCGGCTGCTTGTGGTTCTTTACCTGGTGGAGTGACCCTAACTTTCATTACTGAAGGGTGTGGGCCATTTTAGTCCTCCCTGGATTGGGTTGTTACAGTTTTCCATTTACCCAATCACAGGGCTGGGTAATCCTAAGAAATGCTCTAAGGAATCTTCTGTCTTCCTTATCTCCAGTGTGCAGTAGTAGTCAAATTTCCCATTGGTCATCCTGGATCAATCACTCTAGTCAAAACCTTAACTCCCTTCTTTGCCAGTTGACTAAGAGGCATGAGTCCAAAGTGGCAAGGTTGCAGTCTTACCTTCCAGTTAAATGGAGTCATTGTGTCTCCTGGTGGAAGCATTCTTCCCTCTGGAGCTAAGACTACTAGGGAAGCAAAGCATAAAGTCATGGGGACAGGGAGCAAAAATTTGGTAGTGGGTCACTACAGGCAATAGTGATTCCTGGCCCTATGAATCCTGGCTCCTGAAGAAACTTCACCATCTATTGGATGCTGATTCAGAGTATATACATCCTTTGGGAAATCCTTACTCCAGCCCTGCAAGGTATTGCCACCAAGCTGAAACTGCAACTGAGTCTTCAAAATCAATTTCACTATTCTATCAAGCCAACTGCTTTAGGATGGTGCATGGTAAGACCAGTGAGTTCCATGACCATTGGTTCATTGTCATACACTTTTTGCTGTGATGTGAGCTTTTTGATCAGAAGTAATGGAAAGTGGAATACCATGGTGATTGATGAGGAATTCTGTAAGTCTATATATGTGAAACCTGCTAAGATCAGTGAATTCCATGACCATTCGCTCATTGTCATACACTTTTTGCTGTGATGTGAGCTTCTTGGTCAGAAGTAATAGAATGTGGAATAGCACGATGATTGATAAGGCATTGAATAAGCCTACAGGTGTTAGTTTTAGCAAAAGCAATGTGTGTAGGGAAGGCAAATCCATATCCAGAATTAGTGTTCCAGTAAGACTAAAATGTTACTCCTTCCATGATGGAATCAGTCTAATGTAATCAACCTACCACCAGGTAACTGGCTGATCAGCCAGGGGGATGGGACATATTAGGGGCTTGGTGCTGGTATCTGCTGCTAGCAACTTAGGCACTAGTGGTGACCGTTGCCAGGTTCCCCGCATTGAGTGGAAGTCCATGTTGCTTAGCCCATTCATAACCTACATCCCTGCCACTGTGCCAATTGTCCATGAATCCATTGGGTGATGACAAATTTGGCTGGGGAAAGAGGCTAACTGGTATTCGCAGACTGGGTCACCCTTTCCAATTGATAATTAAAATCTCTTTCTGCTGAGGTCATATTTTAGTAAGCATTCAAACAAGAAAGAAATATTTTCACTTTTTTCTTTTCTTTTTTTTTTTTTTTTTTGCTCAATCAGGGTGATCCATCTACATACTACTTCTCCAACTTTATTTGTAACCAATTTTCCAATCATGTTTATTCCAAGCTTCTCATCATTGGCCACAACCATGCATCTGTATATGATCTCACATCTGGTCATTTCTATCTCATAGTAAAATGCACAGCCAGGTACACTGCCTTAAGTTCTGACAACTGGGAAGATTTTCCTTACCACAGTCCTTCAGGGATGTCCCAGAGAAGAGAGGTAGTGCTGCAGCTTTCCATTTTTGGGTGGTACCTGCATACTATGGAGAACCAGCTATAAACCAGGCCTGGGTCTTCTCGTCCTCTGTCAACTGATCATAGGGAAGTAGCCACAAGCCCACAGGTGAGGACAGAGTGAGAAATTAGTGTAGCAGGAGTGGGGACCATTGACATTTAGACCTCTTCTTTATATAACTTACTTAAGTCTTCAGCATCTGCTTGGATTCGACCAGGTGTATATCACTTCTATTGTATGATGGCATGTTGCTTTGCATGTACAATTTTAATCTATAAGTTAACCTGTATGAGCTTTAAAAGCCAAATAGTAAGGGGGTTAGGTTTGAGAATAGCATGGCCAGCAGGGATTTTTTTAATGAAATTATTTTTACAATATTCTAAACTGCCGAGTGTTCCAACAGAATTGTTTTGAAAATGGTTACTCACTAGATACATGACTTTGGAAATCTTGCCTCCTCAATTTTCCCATCAGTGATACGGATTTAATAATAATATTCACCTTAGAGGGCTGCCATGCAGTGAAAAGAGCTAAGGCATGTACAATGCTTATAACAGTGCCCAGCAGAATAATCACTCAGTTTGAATCTAAAAGTCCTTCAGTGAAAATGTTGGGGATGATTTTCTTAAGACTTGGAAGAGTTTCAATAAAAACTGGTGCAATCAGAATCTAATATACTGATGATACATATACTTCTTAAGTTTTTATTTATAGTGATTAAATAATGTAATAACTTGTATTATACTTAAGTAGATTCAAGGTAGCAGCTTGAATCTGAACCCCGTTTGTTACTAAATACTGTACCCATCCTTCACCCACCCTGTTTGTTATTAAACAATGGGTCTCATGTAACATTTTCATGTCAATTGTTTTTATCTAAAAAATTGCGTGTAGCCAGTTCTGTCGTGCATTGAACAGCAAAATGGACTTCTAAAATTGTACTAGTATTTTTTCTAATTAGGATAAAATAAAATAATTTGCTTCTATACCTCTTTAACTTCATTGAACCATATACAGTCACATCATTTCAGTATTTACTTCAGGATAACAATTCAAACTATACAGCTACACCACCAACTGCAAATTATTCTGGGAAAATGGGACTGAGGTTAAGTTGACAGAAGAATATATCATCTTTCTGGAGGATGTCAGTGCGCAGTTATACTGTGGGCAAATTATTGTTATTCTAAACATAGACAGTTATACAATCATGCAAGGTAAATAGGGACATCAGTGAAGGACATACTGGTTTTATTACTTTCTTGCTGAAATGCTTCTTTTACTCAGTCATATAAATAAGAATGCGCCATGTGAGTAAAATATATAAAAGATCAAGAACTATTTGTTCTTGATAGTGTACTGGTAAATATACAAAATTACTTTAATTGTAGAAAACTGTCAAATCTTTACCCACACACCAGGTGTAAAGGGACATTGTTTTTGTTTCTATTTTAGGATTTTTATCCCTTCCTTCCTTCCCTCCCTCCCTCCCTCCCTTCCTGCCCGCCTGCCTTCCTTCCTGCCTTCCTTCCTTCCTGCCGTCCTGTCCTTCCTTCCTACCGTCTTTCTCCCTTCCCTTCCTTCCCTTCCCTCCCTCCCTCCCTCCCTCCCTCCCTCCCTCCCTCCCTCCCTTCCTTCCTTCCTTCCTTCCTTCCTTCCTTTCTCCCTTCCCTCCCTTCCCTGACTTCCCTCCTTCCCTTCCTTTCCCTTCCCTTCCCTTCCCTTCCTTCCCTCCCTTCCTTCCTTTCTCTCTCTCTTTCTCTTTCTTTCTTTCAAGTCTCCCTCTGTCACACAGGCTGGAATACAGTGTTGTAAATACAGTTCACTGCAGCCTTGAACCCCTGGGCTCAAGCGATCCTCCTCCCTCAGCCTCCCAAGTAGGGAGGACTAGGGGAACATACCACTGTGCCTGGTTAATTTGTTTGTTTTTATTTTTATAGAGATAGGATCTCGCCATGTTACCTGGGCTGGTCTTGAACTCCTAGCATCAAGTGATCCTCCCACCTCGGCTTTCCAAAGTGCTGGGATTACTGGCATAAGCAACTACACCCGAGTTTAGGATTTCTATTAATTAATAAGGTGTGGAAACAAGAAAAGCCTGGAAACAAATAGCAGTGAAATGTAAATGATTTCTCTTGGTAATATTTAATATTTAAATTATGTTTGCCTTTGTAATAGCTTTATCCACAATTTTGAAAAAAGTTAAAAAATGTTAAAAATCTTAAAAATAATGCCCTAAAACTTCAATTCTATTTTTAACATATAAATTTATAAAAAATAGTTAATGCCCACTAAATGTTAACTTTAAATACTCTAGAATATATTAAAAAATGTTAAGAATAAATATTGCTTCTTTGGTTACCTTACTTAAATATTATAAATATAGGCATGTATTGAGAGTGTAGACTAAAGACAAAGCACAATGCACACTTCATCATTACAGTGATATTTAGTTATCCAAATGAGCATAAAATCCTGACATTTCAATAATGCAAACAAATCACTTCCTTTAATATTTTTTGTGTCTTTATATCATCTACTTTTCCCCTCTGAGTATGGAGGAAACAGACTATAAATCAAGCAAATAACTTTTGCTTGATAGATTATGAAAAAATATTTGATCTTTTGGTCTCATGAAGCTACACAGCCAAAATGCTTTTACTTTCTGGCATGAGTCCCAGACTCCAAGTGTCATTCAAAAGGAACATTTTGAAGACACAGTGCTTGATATTTTACATCTTCTTGTAAATCTCTATTTTTTTCTTTTACTATTGCTTTACTTTTTACAGAGTTTCTTACACGTAGCTGCAGAAGTTATTATCAAATGGGAAAAATTATAAAACTAATTAAAATATTATTTCTTCAGGATATCTCAGCTGTGAAAATGGCAACATACTGTAAAGATAGAGAGGGAGATAACAAGACAGCAAGCGAGACAGAAAACTACAATTAAACATGTAACAAAAATTACTCACCTGAACTGCTAGCTGTTCACAAAGGTTATGCCCAGTCCCTGAACACAAAGACAGTCTACCATACCTGTGAATATTGTGAATACTTGATAAACCCACAGCAACAACACCAGAATAAAAACCTTTAATGTTTGCACAAGCTGAACTGCTAAAGAATTTTAACTATGCCAAGAATAAGACTAGAAAATAGAATATGGATCTCTTTTTTATATGAATTCAAAAACTTCCATTAACTTTTTTTATTTGAAGAATTAAAAATTACAGATAATTTGACTAATATCATTTCATGTATTCCTATTTTAAATATCATTTATTTATACTAGAATGTATAATATAATGGGATATTAAAGGAATAGTCTTGTTAACAACTATATTAAAAGGTTTAAGAACTATATTTCTTCTAAGCATTAAACAAACTTTCTTTGTACCTCATAAAATTAGAAACACAATATAGAATACTTAGTAAGTACAGTGTAAGCATGCATGTTGATTCTTTAATGCATGATATTTGGTATATTATATTTGAAATAAGCATATAGGGAAAATCTTATATAAAAACTACCTATTTTATTGAATTACATAAAATTTACACGCATAAATTTATAAAATATTCAAACGAAACATCTGGAAAGGCTTCTTTGACAAAAACAATTTGTAAGTCTTAAATTATTATGAACTTCAAAGTAACACATGCTATTTTACTTTTAATTAAAATATTTTTAAAAATACGGAGTTTTTTGAAATAAAAATATGGGAGACGTAAAATCTAGTCTTAACCTTCTGTCTACCTGATGGAGTAGCAAACCGATTTGCTTTCCTAGGTCTCAGTTCTTTATGGGGTGATTCATAAACGGTATGTCTCCTACCTAAATAAGCAAATTATTTTTGGTATTAGGAATACGACTGTAGTCACATCTTGCCTTTCAGAGTTTAATCTACAAGGCTACTTTTCTTTCTGTAACCATTATTGTCAAGGGTTATTTGAGGCCTACAGCAATGTTTGAGGCAGATAATTTTTATGATAAACTATGAAGAGGTAGATGAACTAAAATTATATGACCCAGCTGAGACAACGGGAAGCTATAGAAAAAGAAAAAATCATAGATTGGTGGATAGTATCTTTTGGCGCTTCAAAGATAGGTGAAAAAATATTGATTGCAAGAGAAATTATATTTTGTGGAGGCAGGAGTCAATCAATACCTCTTAGCAAGAAGAAATTTTGAGTGCTCTTGCCATTCATAGACGTCTGGGAAATCAGAAGCAGGTCACAGAGCAGGAAGGAAGGAAATACCGCGAACTCTAAACTAAGAGCAGAAGAGTAGGGGATTCTAAGAAATAAGAGGTAGATCACATGCAGTCATAGTAGCAGAGGTAAATTATTCAGTCAGTCAGGAATTGCTGGGAGCTGAATTAATGGTCATTGAGACCTTGAGAGCGTGACCAAATTTTAAACCACTGACAAATTATTTGTAATCCTTGTTTCTGGTTCTTAACCTGCGTACAGTCTGCATCAGTGGAAGTCTAGGCAGAATGCAGAATGCTCACTAGGCTAGGACTTTAAAGAGAAGTTAATAAAAGATTATAAATATATACACAATATGCGTGTTTATAACATGTGTATATAATATATATGTTTATTTCTGAAGAATTAAATATATTATTCATACTATATTTAAATATGTATAATATACTTAATATACATATATAATATCCCAGTTTGATTCTTGGGACATAATACATATATGTATCTATAAATTACATATATATAATATAATATACCAACAAGTAAATTTTATTACATATATATAAGGTTTTTGTTTAAACTACACTACTGAATTCATTACTAGTGAATACTGTCTTTGACATATTCCATTCCCCATGTAAGTCTCTTAAGGAAAACAGAGTTCATTGAAATTGACTTCTAAGGTCAAATGTCTTTGGGTCTTGTGTAAGGTCAAGTGTATTAGCTAATGCAAGTATTAACACCAGACCCAAAGAGCATCTAATAGTAGATGAAATAGTTTCAAAGAGTCCAAAAAGTAGGGACAAGAACTAGTGACTCATTCTGCTAAAGATTGATGATGTTTGTAAAGCAAAAGGGATTTATTGACTTATTTATTGATTTGATTTATTGGTTTGGAATGATTTTTTTTTCCCAAGAAGCATTCATGAATGTGCCACAAACGCAATCAAAGAAAATGCAGCGTCTGCATCTTGGTGGAGAGTGAAGCTCAGCAGACAGCTGCAAGTGCAGAGGATTTAACGAAGAAGAATGATTTTTGCGGCAGAGATACATCACACAGCACAGCACTGTGCTCAGTCAATAATGACGACTAACCAAGATGAGATGAGAATTAGAGTAGCAAACAATGCCTGCAGAGTGACTACCGTAAGAGAGAATAAAAGGCAGTATGTAATTATAGCTGTTTTTTTTATTTCCCCCCCAACTATGGCATATTATGGCATAAAAATTGGTGAATGAAAAGGAAGTCACACAAAACAAACAAAATCCTTAATGCATTTTAGTTTGACTAGATACCCAGATGGCATGCATTTACCCTATAAACGAACAAAATAATATAAAATGCGGAAGCCTCAATGATGACTCAGGTAGATTTAACTGCATGAGTTTATACCAGCACAAAGGAGGAACTGATTCTAGATAACTGACTCTAGAAAAAGAATTCATAAGAAAGACATTGGATAGCTCATAAGATCTCCAGAGATGTAGAGAACCAGCTTTGGAGACCAAGCAGCCAAAAGCAATGCTCAAATCATGCTGCACATCTAGTCCACCAAAGACATAACTCTGTCTCTGGAAATGAGATGATACCTGTTTATGTCATGGGAACCGCTGAGTCAGAGTCATAGAAACAGTCTCTCCTAATGCAGCTCTGCTGAGACTGTCCTCTGGGTTTAGCTGCACTCACTGCAGCTACCTATCACCAGAAAGCATGTCGTTGTGTCCCTTCTTCTTCAGGCAACTAGCAACCGTTTCAAAGTCAATGTGGAATCAGCACAACCTTAGTTAGGTGTTTGTAATTTTTCTGTGAGGGACTGGGAAAGTAAGACTCTGGTATACTTGGCTTCTAAACAAGAAACTGGATATACCTAAGTGGTTGGGAATTTTACAAACACAATATGTAGATTAAGATGCTGGGTAGACAAAAAGAATGTTAAGTGATCTCTGAAGCAAATAAGCAAAAATAACTAATGTACCCTGGACATGACCATTCTTTATGTGAAATAAGTTATAAATGAAGAAGTCCTGTGCTATGAAAATCACCAACATTCCATGGCTTTTCTTACTATCAAATTTATGTAACTGAGTAGAATTACTATTGCAATCTGGATTTATTATTATTATTATTATTATTATTATTATTATTATACTTTAAGTTCTAGGGTACATGTGCACAATGTGCAGGTTTGTTACATATGTATACATGTGCCATGTTGGTGTGCTGCACCCATTAACTTGTCATTTACATTAGGTATATCTCCTAATGCTATCCCTACATCCTACCCCCTACCCCCACCCAAAAACAGGCCCTGGTGTGTGATGTTCCTCCTCTGTAAACTGGTTCAACCATTGTGGAAGACAGTGTGGCGATTCCTCAAGGATCTAGAACTAGAAATACCATTTGACCCAGCCATCCCATTACTGGGTATATACCCAAAGGATTATAAATCATGCTGCTATAAAGACACATGCACACGTATGTTTATTGTGGCACTATTCACAATAGAAAGCCTTGGAACCAACCCAAATGTCCATCAATGATAGACTGGATTAAGAAAATGTGGCACTTACACACCATGGAATACTATGCAGCCATAAAAAAGGATGAGTTCATGTCCTTTGTAGGGACATGGATGAAGCTGGAAACCATCATTCTCAGCAAACTATCTCAAGGACAAAAAACCAAACACTGCATGTTCTCACTCATAGGTGGGAATTGAACAATGAGAACACTTGGACACAGCAATCTGGATTTTTAAAAGTAGATTAAACCCATCTTGATGGCCTAGCTATGTGACCTAGTCAACTATCATTTTAAAAATATGTGTTAATTAGAGTATAATGACAGTTGTTGGACTACATATTATTACTTGATTTGGTTATTCTGACTAAATCACATTCTGGATAATATAAATGCCACATAAACTAAATTTGTAACTTATAATTGCATTTTAAAATTCTCATTCTCTAGTGGCTACATTTTTTTCTGATAGTTCACATCCATCTTATAGCACCGTAATTATTACTATATTTTATTTTATTTTTTTATTTTATTTTATTTTTGAGATGGAGTCTTGCTCTGTCGCCCAGCCTGGAGGGCAGTGGTGCGATCTTAACTCACTACAACCTTCACCTCCTGGGTTCAAACAATTCTCCTGTCTCAGCCTCTCAAGTAGCTGGAACTACAGGTGCATGACACCATGCCTGGCTAATTTTCGTATTTTTAGTACTGACGGGGTTTCACCAAACTGGCCAGGCTGGTCTCCTGACTTCAAGTGATCCACCTACCTCGGCCTCCCAAAGTGCCGGGATTGCAGGCTTGAGCCATCGCGCTTGGCCCAATTACCACTGTATTCTTGAGCTACCATTATACCACTCTTTAGTCCATGCATTTTAAAATATGTATACACTTATTTTAAAATGCTTGCCTCTATTTTTTGTTTCAACAGACACTTCTGAATACCTTGGAACTTGACTTTTCCTCTTAACACTTCGTTGTATACGTTTTCAAGTAGGACAACTAATGACTGTCACGTTGGTGAATCCAGTGGCCCTTTGATTGTCTTCATCCTCCAATGTCTTTGTCATATTTGTTTATATTGCTTGGATCACCTTTGGTACTTTCTTTCCTTGTCTTCTATATTATCTCATGTTGCGTTTTCCTTCTACTTCTGTGGTCACTAATTCTTGGATCTTTTTCTTCTGCTCCTCTTCTAAATGCAAATATCTCACCAAATTCTAAATATCCTCCTCTCTTCCATGTAACACAGCCATCTTTGGTCACTCATTCCATAGAGTTTGTAGAGTTATTAACAGTCCAATCTAAATGTGTGATTGTCCTATATACATCTCTGTGTTCAATTTCTATTCCAAACTACCCCTTAATTTCCATAAGCATTGCATAATGAAGCATTTCCAAAGCCAAATTTATCACATTGTCTCTCAAACCTGCTATCCCTGCAGACTTAGTATTATATATATTTTAAGGCATGAGAGAGGCCTAGCTGCAGGTCATTTGGTTCAATTATCCACATATTAAATCTCAATCTCACAGGCCAGGGCCAGGGTTTTTTTTAATTAGTGCAAGCACTGTATGTCATTGTTATGTGTGTCAAATTTTACATGGATACCAAACCTTTAAATGCCAGGAAGAGAACATAGAATAATAACAATTAGAGAAATGAGAGGCCTATTAGAACTATTGTCTATCATCAAGAACACAGAATTGTGTATTTTATATTTTAAAGCTATAGTTTGCCTTCTCCTTTTATTCAAACTTTTCATGAGCTAGGTAATGAAATTGGTAGTATGTCTTTAAAGAATTTGCAGTGGTAAAAACTTAAAGTTTCCAAAGGTGAATGTAATATCTGAAAGTTTTTGTTGCTGGTCAGCATTGTGCAGTATTCTATTTATTCTGATTCTGGTAAAATCCCCTGTTATTCTGCTAGGGATAGCATTTATCTTTTCAAAATATTGCACCCACCTACCTACATGCACACACAAAGATGCTGCCACCATGGGCCTTTCTGCTGAGCACCATATTTTGTTTGCCTTTTTTTTTTCTTTTTGAGACAGAGTCTCGCTCTGTCACCTGGACTGGAGTGCAGTGGTGCTCACTGCAGCCTCAACCTCCCCGGGCTCAGGTGATCCTCCCACTTCAGCCTCCTGATTACCTGAGACTACAGGTGAGCACCATCATGCCTGACTCATTTTTGTATTTTTTTTAGAGATGGGGTCTTGCTATGTTGCCCAGGCTAGTCTCAAACTCCTGGGTTCAAGCAATCCACCTGCCGCTGCTTCCCAAATTGTTGGATTTACAGACATGCACCACCATGCCCAGCCTTTGTTTACCTTTTGACTGAAGAACAGAATATAATACTTGATGGGCATTCATTCTACTAGAATGATTTGCAATCTTAGACATTTGTAATATTTTGAAAGTTTTAATAGGTTGGATTAACTAAACCAAAACATTTTGGATACAATATAAATTTTGTAAAGCTAAAGGTGTCTAAATCAGCAAAAGCAAGCGGTTAAGCCTAAGTTTAAGATGTTGGCCAACTTCTGTTATAAAAATTACATAACTTAATAAATAAGAGTCAAATATTTTATTTCTCAAAGCTTCTGGATTACTTATTAGCTATGCTCTAAAAGATCAGCAAGTGAGATGAAACATTAAAAATGGTAACTTGTGAAAACCACCAATGTATTTTTTCATTCTCTCTTGTATAATACATTTTAGAAAGGCAAGGATTCCAAATGTATTTTCTTAATAATGAATATGAGAACAATGCCACTGTTACTAATATTTCAGAGTTGAGATTATCAGTGCAGTCACTGATTAACACTCTTGTGTAAGTTATTGGACAAAATGATTGTTGACCCACATGCATAAGAATAATGGTAGGAATTGCATCAGTTCTGTTAGATTTTTATGTTGAGAAGCCCACATTCCTCTAAAAGTTAAGAACATAAGATCAGAATCCTGGTTGAAGGTAGAGAAACTCAGTCAGCAGAAAGATAATTTAGTAAATGTGCTTTTAATCTCTTTTCTATTTAGCTTTCTTGGGATGAAAAGAGAAACACTAACTTTGTATAGGTTTATTTTTTTCTTGGAAAGGGAAACATAATTTCATACATTTAAATTTATGCCTGGGGAGCAAAAGCTAACAGCCAAATGAGAAGTGGCACTGGAAAAAATGTAAAGAGACTATTTCTCTTTTTTAAATTGGGTGTTAATATTATTTCAAAGATTAATATAAATGTTTATATATAATATTAATAGTATAAAGTATTGGAAATTTAGCCTGTTACATTATTCTCACCTACTCATCAAGTCTTTTTTATAATTTTCACTAATTATATTTTTCTTCTCTATTGCTCAGATTATGACTTTTAGTATAATTAAACCTCCATTTTCTGATCCAGTAACTTTAAATAGAACTACTAATAAAGGGTAAATCAACTAGAATGAAGAATTTGTTTTTATCTTTGACTATTCATCCATTACTTTTTGTAAGTGTGGTAGGCAGAAAAATGCCTCCATTTCAGATGAACTAACTTCTAAATTTTTGAATCCTGTGTATATGTGACTGGTTGAAGGTGTGCAGGTTCTTGGCATCTTGAACAAAGAATTGACAAAACGCACAAAGGAAGGAAAGAATGAAGCAACTAGAGATTCTTTGAAAATGAAAGTACACTCCACAGGGTGGGAGCGGTGGAGCACAGCAGCTCAAGAGCCGTGTTATAGAATTTTCTGGGGTTTAACTACCCTCTAGAGGTTTCCCATTGGTTACTTGGTGTATACCCTACGTAAATAAAGTAGTGGTTCGTAATTTGTCTGATTGGTTGCTTACCAATCAGAGGCTGAAATGAAGTTACAAAGGTTACACCCTATGCAAGCATGTGATAGGTTGTGGAAAGCAACCAATCAGAGGCTGAAGTGAAGTTACAAGGTTACTCTCCTATGCAAACGTCTGATTGATTGCTTTCTGCAACCCATCAGAGAGAATTTCAATTTTCCATCTGCCACGCAAAAAATGGGAGGGGTTGCAAAGAAAGTAGCCTCCTCTCCTTTTGTTACTTAGGTGTGGACAGTTGGGGTTTCCTTTTGATTTAGTTCTAGGAAGTCAGTATGAATCAGCCTTGGGTTCCCTGCCTCCAGACCCTACTCTCCTATCTCATATATTTATATATATACACCTCATATATATATGAGAGATATATTTATATATATTTATACTTTGTATAACAAAAAGTGAATATTGTGTGGCAAAGCGACTAAAATAAGGGCCTTGAAAGGTAGATATTATGCTGGATTATCCATTTGGGCTTAAATGCAATTATCTATTCCGTAAAAGAGAGGCAGAGAGAGATTAGGCAGACACACACAGAGGAGGAGTTTACATGATGATGGAAGTGGAGATTTGGGTGAAAGAGGCGTAAGCCAAGGGAGCTGGAGGAGGCAAGAAAGAATTCTCCCCGAGAGGCCCCAAACAGAGTGTGGCTCCGTCAACACCTTGATATTAAACTCCTAACTCCCATATCTGTGACAGAACACATGTCTTGCTTTAAGCCACCAAATTTGTCGCTTGAAACACCAATTAGTGAGGTAATTAATTTGTTACAAACAACCATAGGAAACTTAGAGTGAGTCACACTTTTTATTCAATCAGGGCTTATGTTTCTTGTCCTTAAGTACATTTGAGGCTTTTTCATTTGTTTGTTTGGCTTTTATCCATAAGTTAACTTTATAGATGCAGATTAGAGAACATTTCAAATATTATCTTATATAAATATCATATATAAGGGACAAAGTGTTGTGACAAGACTCAGAAAGACAAATATCAGTAAATTTAGGGTGCCTGAAACAGTTTTAAAACTAGATTTTTTTTCTCTTCATCAGTTACTCAAAAATCACCTCATGTTTTGATTTATTTTGTATTTGAGTCATGACTTTAGTGTACAGCTTTTTTCTTGTCTCTTTCTAGATCATTTTTTTCTCTCTTTCCGTTCACTAAGTAAGCACTGCCTTTACTACATTAATCATACAATCTGGATAATGAAACCTACTTCACTGCTGGAGACGTTCTTCTCAGAATCCTTTGACTTCCTAGTCCACATTAGATTGATTACATCTTAGACAATTATACAGCTGTCATTCTGTATATTTTTTATTTTTGTCCTCTTGAATTACTTTCACTATTTCCTACTTCATATCTTTCTCTTTTAGTTTGCTTTAGGTTTTCTACCATTGTTTATCAAATGATATTTTAGAAATATTTTAAATTTTTGAATATTTACATTCTGTTCCCCTACTAGAGTATTTACTTAACTTACTATTACATTCTAGGCACAAAATTATTTTCACTAATAATTTCTCAGCATTGTTCTATTAGATCTTAGCATTTAGAATTAATAGTAAAAATTTTGACATGTATCATAGTTTGCCTTTCGCCTTTTTCCTTATTTATGGCTAAGTAATGTCCTTTCTTTTCCTTTCATCTCCTATCTTTAAAAATCTTAAGGGGTTTTATTTGTTGTTGCTATTTTTTTTTTCTTCTTTTAGTATTTTGAAATATTACAGAACTATGTCTAGGCATGTACCTTTAATTATCTTTTCAGTCTTTGTTTACCCTTCAGAAAACTTTCCCTTTATATTTAAAAGCACCTTGTTTTTCTTTTCTTTTTCCTTGAACTAACTTTTAGGTAAATATTAATATTCTGGATTCATTCTAAAAGTCTCTTACACTTTTATTTCTCATGATTTAAGAGACTTTCTCAATTTTATAATACAGCTCTTCCATTGACTGTACGAATTCAAGTAGTGAAACCAAGTAAAGGAATATCGGACTAAGATGTGAATGACTACTGTCTACACCTGTCAAGTAGGGCTCAAGCTTGATCTTAGACTTTAAGCTTTTCAGTGCTTACATCACATAGGACTGGGGAGCTCAGAAAGCAAGACTGTTGAAGCCTAATCAGGAATTCCTTAGGATTAAGCAAAGTTTACAGGGTCAGTCCAGGCTTGAAAAAATGTAAAGCAATTCACTCCAAAGAATGGTCTGTAGTCCACTTAGAGTCTTAAACAAAAAGAGCAAGTCCTTTTTATGGCGTTCAATGAGAAATTGAGCACCATTAAATTCTATGCTTTCATTGTTTATGTACAACAACAGGATATTTCCTAATAATTTACTAAATATATTATTAAATATCAGGAAATTTGGGTATCTGACAACTAATATTAGTAGGTTGTTAGAATTCACTTATTTCGCATTTCCCCTGCCCCCAAAACAGTGGATACCATAATCATGAGCTCCATGCACACCTCCTTTTCCATAAAGTTGGTCCTCTTCTCTGAGGTTACATTACGTAAGATCTTACATTGTGTAAGATCTCATGCTGATGATCATGGCAGTGGTGTTGGCTGAAAACTTGTGAGCAGAAAAGGCAGACCCATACATGAAATATATGCCTGTTCGTCTCAGAATTAATTGCTGGCTACTTCAGACAGAGTGCTGTCCTGATACTCTGGATATCAATGTCAGCTCAGATCCAATATGTTTGGGTAGTTCCCTTCTCCAGTGTATAATGTATAAATGGAAATCCTTCCATCTGGAGAATAATCATGGTAATTGCTGCCATGTACATTTATCATCTAATATGGGCTTCTTCTTCCTATTGACATGGATTATTTTCAGCTAGTGTGTTCTGGGTCAAAACCCAGCTAGGTCTGAAATGTGGGGAAGCGACTGTTACTTTTTACTAATGCAAATGCTTTCAGTCTTTTGGATTGTTCACTTTTTGTGGATACCCATCATTTTATCCCTCTGGACACTATTTTCCGTTACTATTTTAATAGTACTTTGCTGATTCAGGCCTCTCGACTACCCCTGTTACCTCATTGGGAGGATTTTATTCACTTGGCTTCTAAGTGCTGCCACATGGCCTCACTGGGGTCCTATCATTCTTTCCCATTACTGTCAGTGAGACAAATTTTGTAACCACCTTTCATAACATGATCCCAGGTATGCAGTGTAGAGCACCACTGAATACTGTTGTCCTTTTTAATGGAACATTCTGTATAGGCTTGATATATCACCTATCCTCCAGACCAACCTGAAAACATAACCATTTGGTGGCTTTTCAGCCTTGCTTGGTATATCTACTCTAGCCTTCCCGCTTCTCTGATACTTTTAGTACCTACTTCCTCTTTCTGTTATGGCAACTCTTGCATTTTAAAGTAGCGTGGATCATTACACTTTCACACTTCTAGGACACTTCCTAGCAACAAGTTAATTATCTCCTGGAGTTCTTGCCAGAATTTTACATCTCACATCTAGGGAAAGTGCTCCTAAATAAATGCTTTTTATTCTACTTTTATTTTTGAATTCTTCTCTTGATCAAAGACTCTCAGAAAGCAATCCCATGCTTTTCCTTTCCATGCTCCTTCTGATATTTCTGTCCAGGTTTTATTGTTCCTTTAAGATATAGTCCCTCTTTTATTAGGTACGCCCTCTTTTCTCGGCCTCTTTTATTAGGCCAAGTACATCCCTGGCTAAGGTTTGTTGAGTTCACCCTATATACAGGCTTACCAACCATGAGAGAATTTAGAACAGATTCTGAGAAGGTCATTGGTATTTTGTAAGGTAGAATCTTCTCAATGATTTTCAAGCAAAGGGAAAATGCTAGCTCTTAATATGAAAGTTTAGGTTACTTCTACCAGTTCAAGGAATTTAGAAAATCCTAGGATTCAAGATTTTCGGGGACATCAACACACATGTCTCCATTCCATGTCTCCATTCCATGTCAGTGCCACATTCTTTTCCAATGAGAGTCTTGAATTTGGCATGAAGGACCTGTGTTGGGAGTTTAGTCTTATTTGGAACTTGGCTGTACTGTTAAGCCTAATCTCCTATTTTATAGAAGTGCTGCTAAGAAGACCCTCTGACTTTCATCCTTGCTTTCAACTCGTGATCAATCTTTCTCGACATCTTGCTATTTTTCTAGAGTGCCAGTGGAGTTTAATAAGTTTAATAGTAGCTACTAAATTTCCTTGCCCTTAAAATTACTGTTTTTCTCATGTTATTCAAATGTCTTATACGTTGCACCAGATAATCTATTCCTTTCTTTCAGATACTGCCCCAATTCACTACTAGCAAAATTTAACAATTGGTCTGCCATTTATGTCAGGAATTCTTTGTTTCACCGACCACCAGTGATGGAAACTTGTATCAGCCAGACTGCAAGAGAGCCAGCCAGAACCTGCTTGAGTGCCTGCTTTCTCAGACCATTGCTTGTACTAATTGTCAGGTTGGATTCCCTAGAGAGCAGAACCTGAAGTAGAGTTTAGCATGCATGATATTTATTACAGTATCTCTGAGATCAATACCTATAAAAGGGTGGTAAAGGAAACTGACTTGAGGAGAAGGACTGAAGATTCACTGACCAATTTAGTCAAGCATGAAGGAAGTTCTAAAGCAACAATGGACTCCCATAGTTGTTTCTCACTGAATTGAAATGATCAGGCTCTTAAACTCCTGCATTGATCAGACTTTGGGTGTGAACTGCCTAGTGAAGGGATGAATCATAGGACAAGGAGCTGTTGCCTTTGAGACAATCTTTCCGGAGACTGACAGCACTTTCATCAGTTGAGGCAACAGATCTAACCGTGAAGAGTAATATGAGCAGCACATCAGAATGTCTGTTACATATGTACCACATATGCCTCAGTCATATCTACTCCAATCAAAAACTCTAATTAAAAATTCTATCCCTTTGAAATCTCCCAATGCTTACAGTAGGAAGTCTCATAATTTTAGAAGTTTATTGAAGCCAGTTCAGAAAGGTCTTCAATTGATCTTGATTTTAAATTGATGCAAATATTGGTTTTCTCATTAATATTTACTTTCAGTAATTGTTTTACATGAACTATTTGATTATTATCCTCACGGTTCATAGTAATGCACATTTGCTTTGACTTCCTTTTGTTTATACTTTGGCAGCACTAAACTTGTTTTGTGTTTGTTTTTCTTGTTTGGTTTTTGTTTTTTATTAACTAAGTGATATATGACAACATGTTTGGGACCACTAATTTTCAAAAGAATTCTAGCACCCTCAGAGCAAATATATTGAAGAGGGGGAAAAAAAAAACTTGGGTCATCATTTTTTATACTGTTTTCACAAGAATCTGGATGTTTTTCTACAGTAAGGGTGAAAAAATTATGTTGAATTTAAATTTTAGTTAGCACCACAGACAAATGCTGGTCCTTTTTTTTTTCTTTTTTAACCAAAGCAGAAAGGTGGGAGTTCTCTTTTTCATTTAAACTCTTGGTTAGAATTATGTCAGAAATTTTAAAACTATAAAAGTGAATGTTTTTGATTTGTTTTTGTTATTGCTGTGGTCCTTAAAATGACAATATATTATTATTCCAAAAAGGACACAATAGCTTTCCTTCCATTGTTTTCTCCTCAGAGAATATAGATATATTTTAATCAACAGAAAAAAATGCCTATGCTATTTAAAAATCTAATCAAATTATTGAAAATATTTTATTTCTACCTTTAAATATTAAGTTATAAAAGCAAAATCTATATGAATGCACTTTTAATATATTTATAACCACAGTAAACTTGCTGTTGAAATACAGTGTCTCTTAGACTCTCTGGCTGATTTCTTGAGAAAAATGACTTATTTGTAATCTGGAGTTTCTAATAAAAATCATTTACAATGTATCTGATCATTAATGAATTTAGTAGAGTTTTGCAAAAGTAAATGTTTCTAGATTCTTGATTGAGCTGAGATGGAAATCTAGGATTCATATTACTTTTTTCTTCAAATTCTCACTGTTTACAAATATCTTTTGGGGTTAGTTGCATTTCTCACACACCATTTCTTTTAGAATTCCTTTGAGATTTCCTTAAAAAATGCTTAGTTTTTTTCTGAACATAGAAACATCATTCTAGTGTAGAAAAGCTAGAAAACAAATTTAGCTAAGAAACAAATCTAACTTTATCTACAAAATAAAAGAATGTCATAATGTCCTGGGTTTCAACATATCAAATCCTTGCTTTTTTCTGTAGGCATTGCGTAGTGTAGCATTTCTCGCACATTTAAAGAATTGCTATTCCTGTCGGACAGTGATGTTTATAAATTATTAAAAGTGAAAAAGTGAAGTTTGTTAATTATTTGATTCTTCTATAATTTGTCTGTGTCAGTGCAGTCACTCGTCATTATTGTTACATTTATAGTGCATTCCTTGCTTTTTCTGCTTTTCAGTGAATATTGGAATCTTCAATATAAGAATGCACTTAAACTAACACAAAATTAAGGAGAAATCTCTTAGCCTGAATAATATAATTTTAACAAATAATGAAAGAAAAATTACTGGAGGAAGAGACATTTATTTATAGTGCTTTGGTATCCTGTGACGATAAACCAAGTTGAGGAGATTAAAAACATAATTAGGCAAAGACTTTTCATCTTATCACTCAATATTATTCTTAGTTAAGAGTTAGTGTGTTATTAATATTGTGTCTGAGAAAACTTGCTTCACTGGAATTTCAGGATTTGTTTCGAGTGCTGACATTAGGCAAAAATTGAAAAATGAAACAATTTGGGGAGGTTGATTTTAATTTTAAAAATTAAATCAAATTTAATTTGGGTGTATATATTTCAATGAATTATGAATTGTAGGCTGTGGTGTTCTTTAAATGAGGGGTCAGTAAAGGACCTAGATGTTGATTATTGTCAACTAAACTGACAGTATTAATTTTAAAATCCATGAAAGTTCCATGGAACTTGCAAATTGCTTGAGAAATACATATTGTTTTATTGTTATGGAAGTAAAAATAAAATTTCTAAATATGAGTTTAAAGTTTAATGAACTTTAAAGTTATATATACCTTTTGAGATGATATTGTCTCTGTCTAATAAGCTGAAAAAGATTATAATTCTTAGAGGGTTTGGATTTTGTCTTCTAATACATTATTTACATCTTTTATGCATGCTTATTTATGACTAATAAGTATGTTTTCCACATAAGAACATATTTAAAGGAAATGATATTTTTCATTCAAATATAAAATAAGATAAAGTATTAACTACAAAATCTTTCCATTGTACAGAAGGCGATAATCAAAGTCTTTCAAGACAGAGAGAAAGTATCTGATTTTTACAACAACCTCTTATACCTGTATTCTAAGACTAGAACTACAAGTTATGGAAACAGTAGTTTACTAGGTCTGCTGTGTCTATTTGTTATATAATTCAAAGTACAGAAAGATTGAACTGGCTTTATATATTGCTTTTTAAAGTTAAGAATGATATCTTTTTAGTTTGTTTGCATCTCTGATTTGACTGATTCATTGAACAACAATTGTTAAAGACCATGACAGAGAGGATACTGTGCTAATTCTGGAGAAGAATTCCAAAATGACTTCGACATAGAGCATGGATTCAAAGGGCTTGATGTTTATATGCTAGCTTGAACACGATTAAGTTTGTAACTTAATTCTTTAGTACTAAAAGAGTCAGAGTAAATTCAAATTATAATAATAACTTCTCTATGATGCTAAGTATATGTTCAAAGCTTTGAATGGTGGCCCAAATGGCTATAGTTTATATTTTCTATAATTAATGGTATTCTAAGTAATAATGTTCAATTAGAATCAACTGTTACACAGTTGTTGGAGAAGCATTTCTTCAGTCTGTAAATATTTTGCAGAAAATTTATTTATTCAGGTGATGCATTCATTTCCTAAAACTGCTGTAATGAAGAATCATAAACTGGGTGGATTAAAGTGCATAAATTTATTGTTTCACAGTTCTGGAGGCTAGCAGTCCAGAGTCAGGTTATCAGCAGGATTTGTTCCTTCTTAGGGCTGTATTATTCCTCCCTTGTAGCTTCTTATCATTGGCGGGCAATCTTTGGCATCCCTTCTCTTGTAGAGGCATCACTCCAATGCCTGCTATCATTTTCACATAACATTCTCTCTGTGCCTCTTCACATACTGTTCCCTCTCTGCTTTTCTAATTCTGTGCAAATTTTCTCTTTTATAAGGATATCAGTTATATTGGCTTAGGGCCCACCCTATACTTGATTACCTCTGTAAAAATCCTATTTCCAAATAAGGTCACATTTTGAGGGACTGGGATTTAGGACTGCAACATTTCTTTTTAGGAGGACACAATTCAATTCACAACAGATAAATAGGGATTATTCAAAACTACAGCTACATTGGCAGCTCCAAAATTCAAATAGAAAATTAAATCAAGTTGTTCTCTTTACCTACAAGTCACATTTGCTATGGCATTTTTAAACTCACAGAAAACTGTAAGTTGTATGTATTTTAATAAATACATTTTCCTATTATTGAAAAATTTCTAACTTGTTTAACTCTTAGGTTTTTTGCACAGTTGGTTTTTCTAATTATGCATTACAACCCAAGTAATTTTAAAATGTATGTGTGTTTCATCTTCCCCAGTCTATGTCTATATTAATTTTAAAGAGCTTATCACCCCAATAACATTGGATATAAAAAGAAATAAAGATACATATATCTTCTTGGAGTCTATGTCTTTACTTTTTATGATGTTGTATTTTATCAGCCTCTTCTTAATCTTCTAATATCCAAACACATATATTTTTCTAGCGTATGATTTTTAAATTTAATATAGGTGGTTTTATGTTTTATAAGCCAGTGGTTCACAGTTTTGGTTATACTTGGAGAAAAGGAAATGCTGAGAGACTTGGTCAAAAGTCTTTTATTAACAAATAGTTAGATCACTATCAGGAAGTAAATAGCCCTCGGTAAGTTGTACTATTAGTTTTATGAGTCATTTTTTTTTTTCCGGATAGCTTGTGGTAATTTGACAAATGACTTTTAGAATAATTTTGTCACTCAAGAGGCTTTAGACCTTCAGACGAAAAATCAATGTGACTATTCTGTTTCAAAAAATAACTTTTTCATAAATGCATAATGTACGTAAGAAAAATATAGCTTTTATGTGAATTATTTAATTAATAGTTTCAGTTTTCCTCTGGCAGAATGGCTATGGGGGATAGACTCTTTTTTTTTTGTTTGTTGGTTTTTTTGAGACAGGATCTCACTCTCTCGCCTAGACTGGGGTGCAATGGCCCCATCTCAGCTCACTGCAACATCCGCCTCCCAGGTTCAAGTGATTCTCCTGCCTCAGCCTCCCGAATAGCTGGGATTGCAGGCGTGCACCGCTACTGCCGGCTAATTTTTGTATTTTTAGTAGAGACGGGGTTTCACCATGTTGGGATAGACTCATGCAGCATGTCAAATCCTCTTTGTTTCACTTTAGGAATATCATCTAGCTCTTTGAATTTCATAACTCATCTCTTTATCAATATCACCTATATCAGTTCAAAATTGAATCATCTCTTATCAAAATCACTTCTATGTTTTTCTAAATGGGCTAAACAAAAAATCTCGAAAACACGCTCAAAAAGTATTTCTCATTGAAACTAGATTTTTAAAAAATACAAACTTGATAGTATTACCCATCTACTTAAATATTATCAATACATTTCTATTACTATGAATATAAAAATGGGCTCCATAATATGGCAGACAAGGGCCTCCATGTCCACAATCCATGCTAGCAAAGTTTTGAAGATGTTGCAGTTCTTTTTTTTGTATTTCCTCCCTTCCCAGGTTAAACCTCTGGTGCCTCTGATTTTCATGCCCCACCCATTTTTATTTTTATTTTTCAAAGCATTTATTAGAAAACACTCCATTTTGTTCAAGCTTTCTCTTTCAACTCTTTGGTCAAATTTGAAATGTCAAAAAATTAATAATAATATTTTGATTTTCACGTACTATGTGTATTTTCAAAAGTGTCTATAGGGCAATGGCATTACTTAGGTAAAAATGACAAATTCTTATTTTAGAATTACACATTCTGGCACATACCAGTGATAAAGATTTGTTGGGTTTATGAGATTATCTGTGTAAACAGGAACACTTGAAATGTTTGCAATTGTCTACTGTCATATGAAGTTTCTTATATTTAAATAGTACAGCAAATGCATAAAAAATATGTTTTGACATGATGACACACTCAATAGCAGCAAAAGATTATAGACCAAAATTCTTGTCAAAAATTCAAATATTTGATGTCAAAAAATATTTTAAAAATAAACACTGAATATCACTCAGTTGAAAATTAAATTCAATTTCATTTTCCTATTTATAAACTTAATAGCAGTCTTCTTTATGTTGACATTTTAATTTATAACATTAATTTTAAAAATTTTACTGACTATCCGATAAAAATGAGATGATCCTATTCCAGATATAATACATATAAATCAACTTAAAAATAAAAAAATCAGAATAAAGTTTTATAAACGAATGCAGGGTTATGGTTTTATGTTCATAAAACTAATATATGCATAAGTAAATAGACTTCTAGTTTTAATAAATTTTAGAAAACTCTTCCCAAAAGGCAATGAATGAATTCTTTTCAGTTTTTCATCAAGTCAGAAAGAAGATTTCACAGAATGATGAACACAGAAGGTTTTTTCCGGATTCCCTCCAGTGCTGTGTACATCATTGGCCTTTAAAAAAAATAAATTGAAGGGTGGATATATATCAGAGCCTAAAATTAGGACATCAACATTCTAGTCTTCATTTTATCACTAATAATTTCTTTTACTCACTTAACTTCTTCCAAGGAAAGATGAGGTGTTTAGGAAGAACAGGAACATCTGTGAGAATTGAAAGCTTCAGAATGTTATCGCTTGTATAAAGTTGGCACTATGGTTTGGATATTTGCCCCCTCCCAAACTCATGTTGAAATTTAATTACTATTTTAACACTATCAAAAGAAAGACTCTTTAAAAGGTGATTAGACCTAGGCTGGGTGTGGGGGTGGCTCACACCTGTAATCCCGGCACTTTGGTAGTCTGAGGCAGGCAGAATGCTAGAGATCAGGAGTTCGAGACTAGCCTGGCCAACCTGTTGAAACCCTGTCTCTACTAAAAATAAAAAAGTAGTCAGGCATGGTGGCAGGCACCTGTAATCCCAGCTACTGGGAAGGCTGAGGCAGGAGAATCACTTGAACCCTGGAGGTAGAAACTGCTGAGGTGATGCCACTGTGAGCATGGTGGCTCACACCTGTAATCCCAGCAGTTTGGGAGGCTGAGGCAGGTGGATCACCTGAGGTCAGGAGTTAGAGACAAGCCTGGACAACAGGGTGAAACCCTGTCTCTACTAAAAATACAAAAATTAGCCGGGTATGGTGGTGGGCGCCTGTAATGTCAAGATTGCGCCACTGCACTCCATGCACTCCAGCCTAGGTGACAAGAGCGAGGCTCAGTCTCAAAGGAAAAAAAAAAGAAAGAAAAAGTGATTAGATCATGAGGGCTCCAACATTAAGGGTGGAATTGGTGCTGTCACAAAAGGACAAATTGAGTTTGTCCCCCTTTTGCTGTCTCTCACATTCCACCATGTCATGATGTAGCAAAGAATGCACTCTCCAGAGGCTAGCACTTTGCTGTTGAACTTCCCGGCCTCCAGAGCTGGGAGCCGTAAATTTCTGCTTGTTATAAATTACTCAGTATTTTGTTACAGCAGCACAGAACAGACAAAGATGGTTACATGGGAGTATCGGGTTGATTTGCTAAAAGGGGGGCCGAAGGCTGAATTACATGCTAAACCAAGGACTGGGATATTTTATCCTGTAGGCTGATGGTACTCAAACTTTGCTCTACCTAAGTATAAACTAAAATTTATTTAGAAAAAAGACATTCTCAGATCCTGATTCTTCCTTTGAGATTGTTATTCAGTAAATCTGAGATAAAGGTGAGGAATCAATTGTTTTCAGGTGATCCTGATAATAAAGTTTGCTTTGAAAAACACTACTCATGGCCATGAGTAGTTAATACTTAATGTTTTAAAAATTAGGGTATGAAATTAGATTTATCTATTGGCCTTTAAGGCTAGGATTAATGTATTTCAGCATGTGTATGTATAAGAGTTGTTACATTAATTTTTATTAAAAATTGTGTTTAAGTATGGAAATATTGTATTCATAGTACACTGCTGAGAAAATATATTAAATCTATGCCCAAGTATACACATAAATATTCATTGTCTTAATGATACATGACTTATTAGTGACATTAAATATAAAAACTTTTGTGCCATTGGTATTGTGTCAAAACCTGTCAAAGGAATATGAGTTTTTAATAGAGTGCCATTTTATATAATGTCTTCTATCCAAAGCATTTACATTTATAATTGGAATATAAATGTTCATAAAAACTGAAATATTCATAAGGCTAAGAAAAACTTTTATGAAGAACAGAATTTTGATAGATGCTTCTGTAAAAATGAATTGTCTGCATTTAAAAGTGACAAGCTTTATAACTGTCCATAATGGTGATCTCTTACTAGCTATAAAGCAGTTAGCAATATATAAAATTTTAATGCTAAAAAGATTCATCACACTTTATTGCATTCTAGAAAGCTACAGTGCCCATAATTATTTTTATTCATATATTTTCCATCTTTGTATTTTTATTCTATATAGAATTAATTCCTATATTTAAAATATTCATTAAACAATTAGTCCTGAGGTTTTTCCTCCTTTTAACAAAAAGTAAATCTCAAAACATGATTTCTATCAGTTTTACTGAAGGTTTATTTTTGTCATTATATTTCTAATATAAAATGTTTGAAATTTGAATATCCCAAAAGTATAAATTGGCCCAATATCTTATTATTTGGTTTGGATAGAAAATTGCTAATTTGGTGGCAATTAACATTAAATTTAATATCTTTCTTCATTACGTTTCCAAAATATTTTCAAATATCAATAGGTGTTCTTTAAAAGATTGGGACAATATTTTTGTATGTTCTATCTTTAATTCCAGATTTGGTGTATTCCCTTGAAATGCATGTTTTATTTGTACATACTGATAAATATATTTTATTCTCAGTAATTACTCATTATTCCTAGTTGCCTAAGGCACTCCACCCATTGAATTGTTGGTCTTTATTTATTTACCAAGATAATAAATCATTGTCATTAAGTTTCATAGTAGAGGTTTTTTATTTGTTTGATTTTATATTTGCAAGCAAGACAATACTTTAAAAATAAAAGTATTTGATCCAGACCCTTGAGAGACAAATATTTGAAGTTGATTTTAAAAATGTGGTTTTATGATCAAAAGCTAGATTCTGGCTGAATCGAAGTATATAAAGTTTTCATAATGAACCAAGCAGATGGATGTATAAGGAGTTAACTACAGTTTTCCCTCCCCAAATGCAGAAAAAGACAAAATGAAAAGCAAGGATGAAGTTTCTGATGGGAACATTTCCAGAGTTTAGACAAAATAAATACCTAAAAGCTGCCCCAAGCAAGTGTGGGGAAATGAGAGAGAAAGCTCACAGATGGAGATTCCAGAATACATGTGACCATTATCTGACTTCTTGTGGTAGAATCCAGAGGAAAGTAAATCTCTTAGGAAACCTTCACTTCTGGATGTGATTGAATGGTGGTTATAGCAGCTCCGAATGCCCGCATCTAGTCCCAAGTGTGAAGGGTTTGGAATGGCAGCGGATTAAAAGGGAACTTGGGGCTGTTGTTAGAAAATATCTAGCTAGCACATGTGCTTCCCTTGATGACTGAAAGGAGCTTTTGGTTCAAGGATGTAATAGTGAACATCAGTAAATGATAACAAAGGTGAGATGAACGTGTGCACCTCAGGGGAGGCCAGTGATGTCTCTTCATATAATATATTTCTCATTTAAATCCACATGAGTTTGGGGAAAATATTTTTATTAAAATCCCTAACTATAAATATTTGTAGGAATTAAATTGTAAGAATAATTTTTAAAACTTCCTTTACATAAAACTAAAAAGTAGGTGTAGTATGTGTCACTTAGAAAGCAAAGTAGAAGCTATCTAACTTGCTTATTTATCCAGTAAGCAATTTATCCCCCCTCTCATACATTTTCACTAATACACACACGCACAAGCACACATGTTTGAATGTAGTAGTACTTAGCACATACCTGATTAGGATGGTCGCATAAGGTATGTAACAGACTTATTCATGAATCTCTCTTCTCCTAAATGAGCATTATTCACAGCAGACACCCCAAACCTGAACACTTACAATACACGTTCTGTTATTCTTTAATATGCAAAAGAGAAATTGACCATTCTTGCCACATCTTTTCTGCTTAATTCAAATAATCGCATTCTACAGAGTAACATAGTTAACATGTCTCTCAACTCAGTCCTTTAACTTTTTAATATGTAAATAACGTCATATTTTTTCTCTGTTTAAACGTCTCCAGTGATTTTCCACTTGTGCTTAGAGTATAATTAAAACCCTTTTTCTGGTCAGCAACTGGCTTTTTGATTGTAATTCATACCATGCTCCTCCCGGCTCACTGACTCCAGCCATTCTGAACTACATTTAGCTGTAAGGATACACCAAGCCTGTATCCACCTCAGAGACTGCACTTACTCTTTATTCTCCCTTAGATCTTTAAATGTTTGATTCTTTCTTGTAATTCAGATTTCAACTCACGTATTGCCTCAGGGAAGAACTTTCCTGGCTATATTACTTGACATCGCTTCCTCACTAGTTAGGCACACACTTGCTCCCACCATAGTTACTTTCCCTCACCGCACTGTATTCTTTTCATAGCACTTGTCACTATCTAACAGTACCCTTTATTTAACTGCTTGAGCTGCGATTCAAAAATAATAATAAAACCTAGTGAGGTATTTGTTTGTTTATCTATTTCCATATGTTTTATTCACTTTTGGTTTGGGGATAATTAAAGGAACTATATAAACAAAAATAAGTAGTCAGTAATCATATCATTTGTGAATGACTTATAGGTGCTTCCAAGTTATGAAGGCACACATAACAAGGCAATGAATATGGAGATGGAGATCTGGAGAGGTAAGTCAATTTACATGGATCACAGAAGGCTTTGAATGACTTGTTAAAAAGATTGACTCTGATCCTTGGGCAACAGGAAAGTAATTAAGGGTTTCAATTATTGGTATGGACTAACATCATCAAATGTATAAATGGGGAAAAATATGCTGAGCATAGTAATATGAGAGATTTGAGAACATGTTACCATATTACTGATTGTTATGTCTTTGCTTTTTTATTCAACAGTTATTTATTGAGCACTCTTTTAGACACTGGGGATAAAGCAGTGAAAAAAACAAAATTCTAATCCTTATGAAACTTACATACCAGGGAGAGACACAGAAAGTAAACAGATGAGCAAATACGTGTAAGCGTATAAAAGTAAATATATAATTGTTAATGTATACATATGATGTAAATACATAATTATAATATGTAAATATAAATATATAATTCTGAGTAGAAAATGCTATAATCAAAAACAAACAAGATCATGAAGATGTAATATGAAGGTGGTGTTATTTTGAAAAGCATTTCTTAGTAGTTATATTTGGAACAGAAGTGCAAATCTACTGTGGGAGAGATATGCCAACATATGGAGAAATATGCATGTATCACAAGACAGGTTACTGAAACATTATCAACCTAAGGAATCCTTTACAATCTTAAAATTACTGAGGACTACAAAGAATTTTTGTTAATGCAAGTCATATCTATGTCTACATATTTATTTATGTCTATCTGTATAATGCATATATCTGAATCTATGTATATATAATCTTTATATGTCTTACTATGAATTAAAATGATATCCTAAAATGTTTATTAATTCAATTTCAAATAACAATAAAATCTATATCACGGGAGCCTAAATAACATATTTTATTAAAATAACTATATTTTCCAAAAACCCAATAATGTAATGAGAAGACTGTTTTGCGTTTTGACAATTTTCTGTAATTTCAGGCTAAATAGAAGTTAACTGGATTTTCAAATTTGTTTCTGTAATAATACTGTGCAATGTGTTGTTTAAGTTGAAGTATGTGATGAAAATATGGTGTCATGGATATATTTAATTGGAAAGGAGGACAGTTTTTAATATCATTTCAGATAATATTGGATATTCCTCCTGGTGGTTATTGCATCAAAACTTGACAAGTAATTTCTTAAAAGTTTATTTCAATGTGGAATCAGAAACCACATCAAAAAACATTTCATACTCACTTTATTCCATTAAAATTCATTGGTATTTTTTGTACTTTGAATGACTATTTTATACATATATGACCTTTAACATTATGTGTTGGTCATTTGAAAAATATTGATTCACTAAGTTATGTGTTTACCCATTTCATTATAAAATATTAATATTGATTACATCATCAATATCAGATAAAACAGTTTTGAATAATGACAAGTTGTCGATGTCATGGTGGCCAATACAAATTTTTCAAAATTCTAAATGCTAAAAATCAATACCCTTGACTGTTTTCCTTAAAGTGGAAGTTGACTCACTGTGTTCATTTTTTATTTTATTTTTAGAGGTGTGTGTGTGTGTGTGTGTGGCTGTGTGTCTGTGTGTGTGAATTCAATGACTCTTAGTATATTGGTGGTGTTTTGATTTCTGCTGTGGTGCACATGTTTTACCTTCATTGCATTTGCATTATTAGTGCATCATTATTGCCAAAGGCAACATGAGAAAAGCAAATAACATCTGAGTATTGTTATGAAATGGTTTTTGGCAAATAGATCCGCTGAAGGTTTCTTGGGGGTGCTCAAACACTACACAGTTCTTGAGAACCATCAACACATTTTGTTTTGGATTGTGCTCTGGGGTAACTCACTCCATAGAAACAAGTTTTAATATTACACTATCCAGAAAGGAGGGGCATCCCGAAATTAGAACAGAAGACTTAAACGTAGTTCTAAAGTTTGCTATCTTTCTATCATATGCAGTTTCATTTCATAAAGGACTTAGTGTCCCATGAGCTCTGGATATAATAACTATTTCTGCTAATTCTGATTCCAAGTACCAGCAAATCACACACAATACGGACGATCACGTTAGAATAGCTATAATTAACTTAAGGGATATATGTATGAAAGCCTTCATGTCAATTTATCTTGAAAAAAATAAACCCTGGAAAGATTATTCTTGCATTTAGAGATCTAATCAGCATACAGAGATAATGTTAATAGTTGTCAATTTGTCTCCTCATACTTAACATTCCTTCACCCCATCCAATAACATGTGGGCAGGAATCAGATCCTTCTTTTGGGAAAGTTTAGGAGTCATTGAAATGAGCATATGAGCTTATATGTTCCTGCTGTAAATCATAACCAATATATACTCACTAATGCATCCCAGCATGTACTATAAATTGGCAATATAGATTGTTTGCAAAAATTCCTTATAAAACAATCCTTGGAAATTTTTCTATAGCAGAATTGAAATGCCCTCTGCAGATGCTAGCAAATGCTTCTACTCTTACGTGACCATCAATCATCTCATATTGTTCCCATACACATCAATGCCCAGGCCAGTAGCAGACAGAAAACAAAATTGTAAAGTGATAAGTGTACCCACAAAACTTCTCTGAATGGACCAAGTTTATTCTTAATATTAGTCATTTTCTTTTCTCTCCACAGCTATATGTGTAGCTAAAAGAGATCGTGGGACACAGGGATCTGCAGACAAGAAGAAAATCCTACCTCTCTACATGTTCTGCATCTCAATTTAGCATCTCCTATTGTCTGTGGGTTTTTTTTGTTTTTAGTTAATTATAATTTTGACATAATTAACCTTCCTTAGGTTCAGTGCGGAAACTTTAGAAATGTGGCTAAAATGAAAGCTAAATTTAGTCAATTTTTCTAGTTTAAGTTCACTAAAAGCCATGATCTCAGCCATATTACTTAAGCTCTCTGTCCCTATCTTCCCCATGAAGATAGTAATTTTATCTACATTAAATACTGGCTCCTGGCCGGGCGCAGTGGCTCACGCCTGTGATCCCAGCGCTTTGGGAGGTCGAGGTGGGCAGATCACCTGAGATTTGGAGTTAGAGACCAGCCTGACCAGCATGGAGAAACCTCATCTCTACAAAAAATACAAAATTAGTCGGCATGGTGGTGCATGCCTGTAGTCCAAGCTACTCAGGAGGCTGAGGCAGAAGAATCGCTTGAACCCGGGAGGTGGAGGTTGTGGTGAGCCGAGATCGCACCATTGCACACCAGATTGCACTCTAGCCTGCATAACAAGAGCAAAACTCTGTCTAAAAAAAAAAAAAAAAGTGGCTCCTGAGATTCAATGTATTTAATAAAGGATGTAAAACAGTGCTTGTCCCATAGTAACTGCTTAAAATGTTGTTTAGTATTATTATTTTCTATACTAGGACGTATATGTTTATTATTCTCTTAAATAATTTGGCAAATTGTAGCATACCTATATTTATACTTTAATTTTGCTTGTTAACTTCTTGTAATAAATATTAAGCACCTATCCATGACACACAAGTCATGCAGTTATTTTCTTTCTAATTTAGCTTAATCCTTTGCCTTTGTTTGCAAAGCCTGTAGCAAAAAAAAAAAAAAAAAAAAAAAAAAAAAATACTGCAGTTTCAGAATACATATACCAGACCTAAAAGCATCCT